>NC_000009.12:124470552-125095552 GCF_000001405.40 Homo sapiens | reverse complement strand
TAAAAATAGGAGACTCTGTTATTATGTAATCATTTCTGTAGAAGGAGAGAACACGTATTGTAGGACTATCTATTATAGGGATGTTCATTTTCTGTTTTATAGGGATATGCTTTGTTTTTTAGTTTAATAAGCATGTATTTTTTGTCTTAACTATCACAGGTTAGGGGCTCCAGAAAGCAGAATTTGAGACACAACTTAATGTGCAGAATGTTAAGTAGTGCTCTTCTGTTCAACTCCTGTGGAAGGGAAGAAGCAAGATTTGGCAGGGAGAAGTTGAGCTGTGGTACACTGTGAACAACAGGAGCTGACTCCACAGGGAGCTCTGGAGCTAACGTGGACTTTTAGAGTTGCCCTGCTTTGAGCAGAAATGGCTGGACCATTTATACCTTTGTCTCCGTTGGTTACTGGATGAGGGATTGTCTTGGGAAGCACATGACCTTGGGCAAGGTAGCTCTGCAGAGGTAATGTCTACAGGAGCTGACAGTACTCCCAGCAAGTTCTTTCTTGAAGGGAGAGCTGGGTGACACATCTGTTTGTCTGTCACAACTTCGTGTGTGAAAGTAATTAATACATTTTATGTATCTATTTTATAACTTAAAAATTTATAATTTAAAGTTTCTTTTATTCCTTTATCAGTAGTTTCTTGTGTAACTATTAGTACTGGGCTTTATTATAGACATTGGAGATAGGGAAATGTCCCTCCCCTCATGAAGTTTGCATTATATTTGGAGATAGATAATAAATAAATTTTGGCTGGGCGTGGCGGCTTACACCTGTAATCTTAGTACTTAGGGAGGCTGAGACAGGCGGATCAACTGACCTCAGAAGTTCGAGACCAGCCTGGGCAACATGGGGAGACCCTGTCTCTATAGAAAACACAAAAAGTAGCTGGGCGTGGTGGTGTGAGCCTGTAGTCCCAGCTACTTGGGGAGCTGAGGCGGAAGGGTCACTTGAGCCCAGGAGGTCGAGGCTTCAGTGAGCCGTGTTGGAGCCCCTGCACATCAGCCTGGGTGGCAGAGCCAGAGTTTGTCTCAAAGATAAATAAGTATAAGGAAGGGTGTTGCTGTTTTATATGGGGTGGTCAGGGAAGACCAGAAATGCAATAAGATGATTTGAGTGAAATGATGGAACTAGCTCTGCAGATATTTTGGGAAGAGCGGTCCAAGCTGAGATTACAGTGAATTCCAAGACAACCCTGTGGCAGGAATGTGTAGAGTATTGGTGTGTACATGAAACAGCAAGGAGAGCAGTGTGGCTAGAATGAATGAGAATAGTAGGATGAAGAATAATAGGAGATAAAGTCTTGGATATAATAGTGGTGATCAGATCATATGAGACCTTGTAAGCCATTGTAAAGACTTGGGGATCTTCTCAGAATGAGATGGGAAACCATGTGAAGATTCTGAGCTAAGTGATAGAATTTGACATATTTTAAAAGATCATCTTGTCTGCTGTGTTTGGAATGAACTGTACCCGAACAACTGGAAAAATGGAGTTGCTCCAACCGAGAAGGGGAAGACTGTGAATAGAGTAGGTTTTTGGGGTGAATAGTTGCAATTAAGTTTTGTATCTGATAAGTTTGGAGTACCAATGAGACATTCAGATAGAGATGACAAATAGAAAGTTAGAAAGTGGAGACTGGAATTCAGGGGAGAAGTCCAGTGTGTAGATTAAAAAAACGTAGGTGTCGGCCGGGCACGGTGGCTCACGCCTGTAATCCCAGCACTTTGGGAGGCCGAGGAGGGCAGATCATGAGGTCAGGAGATCAAGACCATCCTGGCCAACATGGTGAAACCCTGTCTCTAGTAAAAATACAAAAATTAGCCAGGCGTGTCAGTGTGTGCCTGTAGTCCCAGCTACTCGGGAGGCTGAGGCAGGAGAATTGCTTGAACCCGGGAGGCGAAGGCTGCAGTGAGCCAAGATCACACTGCTGCACTCCAACCTGGGTGACAGAGCGAGACCCTGTCTCAAAAAAAAAAAAAAAAGGAGGTGTCATCAGTGTCCAGTTGGTGTGTAAAGCCATGAAAATTCACACTGTCACCTATGGAATGAGTGGAGAAGAGAACATCTCAGAGATTTGAGCTCAGGAACACTCCAACATTTCCACGTTGGATCATGAGGTGAACCATCAGTGGAAACTTTGAGAAGGAGCAGCCTGTGAAGTAAGAGGAGGAAATGATTTTTTTATTTTTGAGATGGAGTTTTGTTCTGTTGCCCAGGCTGGAGTGCAGTGGCATGATCTTGGCTCACTGCAGCCTTCCCCTCCTGGGTTCAAGCAATTCTCCTGCCTCAGCCTCCCGAGTAGCTGGGATTACAGGCGTGCACCACCATGCCCAGCTAATTTTTGTATTTTTAGTAGAGACAGTGTTTCACCATGTTAGCCAGGCTGGTCTTGAACTCCTGACCTCAAGTGATCCACCCACCTTGGCCTCCCAAAGTGTTGGGATTATAGGCATGAGCCATCGTGCCCAGCCGGAAATGATGTTTTAGAAGGCAACCAGGAGTGTTTCAAGAAGAGGAAAATGATCAACAGTGTCCAGTGCTGTCGATAAGTAACATAAGATGAAGACTGATAATTACCCTTTGGATTTACCAGTATGGAACTCATTGGTAGTGACAAGCAGTGATTCAGTGGAATGATGGGAACAAAGTGAATTGGTGTGTGTTCGACAGAGAATGGGGGATGAATGGGAGACAGCTCTATAGACAAGTCTTCTAAAGAGTTAATGCTGTGAAGGAGAGTAGAGAAACAGCATGAAGGCTAGAGGAGCATGTGAGCTAGAAAGAAGAGTTTTAAATTGGAAGCTAATGCACCCTGTTTGAATGCTGATGATAGTTATCCAGCACAGAGGCCCATTGGTGATGCTGCAAGAAGAGAACAGTTGATGGGCTGATGTCCTTGAATAACAGTGAGGGATGTGAAGGTTAAGGCATGAATGGAGGGCTTGGCCTTAGATAGTAACATAGTTCAATCAAGATAATAGAAGGAAGACAGAATAATATGTGTGGCTACAATAGCAAGTAGATGGTACATTGTGGCTGGGCATGTGTGGAGGATCTTTACTGATTTTCTCTGGTGGTTTTTTGTTGTTGTTGTTGTTTGACAGAGTCTTGCTCTGTTGCCCAGGCTAGAGTGTAGTGGCGTGATCTTGGCTCACTGTAGCCTCCGACTCCTGGATTCAAGCTATTCTCCTGTCTCAGCCTCCCAAGTAACTGGCACCATGCCTGGCTAATATTTATTTATTTATTTATTTTTTAGTAGAGACGGTGTTTCACCATGTTGGCCAGGTGGTCTTGAACTCCTGACCTCAAGTGATCCACCTCCCTCGGCTTCCCAAAGTTCTGGGATTACAGGCATGAGCCACCATGTGCAGCCAAGCCTGATTTTTTTTTTTTTTTTTTTTTTTTTTTTTTTTTTTTTAAGAGACGGAGTCTTGCTCTGTCGCCCAGGCTGGAGTGCAGTGGCGTGATCTCAGCTCACTGCAAGCTCCGCCTCCTGGGTTCACGCCATTCTCCTGCCTCAGCCTCCCAAGTAGCTGGGACTACAGGCGCCCACCACCACGCCTGGCTAATTTTTTTATTTTTATTTTTATTTTTTTATTTTTGGTAGAGACGGGGTTTCATCGTGTTAGCCAGGATGGTCTCGATCTCCTGACCTCGTGATCTGCTCGCCTCGGCCTCCCGCAGTGCTGGGATTACAGGCGTGAGCCACTGTGCCCGGCCCAAGCCTCTGTTTTTTAGTGAAATATAAAACAATTGCCATCAGCTGAAAAGTGGGGATGGCGGATGAGATGTTGGATGTTTGAGGAGAGAAGAGAAAGTGTGAGATAGGGCTCTGGAAAGTGAAGAGTGAGTGGACTAGGAATGTAGTGGAAATGCCCATTCTGTGGTCATGCTTTGAAAGTGAGATCAGTCAGCATGATTATGTGTATTTCTTCAGCCCTATTTAGTAGCCCAGGTGCAAGCATGGAGTAGGTAGAATGTTGGATTTAACTGAGTGATAAATAAAACTAAATATTCACTTTGAAAGCTGTTTTTAGGAGGTCGGTGATGTGAATGGTATTTAGAATTTTAGCTTTTTAATTATACCCATTTTGGAAGGCTAAACTTAGTGAATGACAGGTCATTAAAAAAGCAAAAAAGAAACGGCATTGTTCCAGGAAAGGTTCTTGGTTGAAAATTACAGACCTTAATTCCAGCCAACTTAAGCAGAAAATGAATTTATTGGAAAGTTGTCAAGTACCTCACAGCATGGATGGAAAGACTGGAGAATCTGGTTCAGAAAATAGGCAAGAACCAAGGGAATCCAAATATCTGTAATCATGGCTGAAGTCATGCCCCTAGGGGAGTCTGGTTCCGGATGCTGTTGCCACCATTTTTGAACCCTGGTATTGCATCTGTTGGAGTGAGTTATGAACCTGTCCTTTCTTTTTTTTGAGACAGAGTCTCGCTTTGTCACCCAGGCTGGAGTGCAGTGGCGCGATCTCAGCTCACTGCAAGCTCCGCCTCCCGGGTTCACCTATTCTCCTGCCTCAGCCTCCGGAGTAGCTGGAACTACAGGCGCCTGCCACCATGCCCAGCTATTTTTTTGTATTTTTAGTAGAGACGGGGTTTCACCATGTTGGCCAGGATGGTCTCGATCTCTTGACCTCATGATCCACCTGCCTCGGCCTCCCAAAGTGCTGGGATTACAGGCATGAGCCACCGTGCCCAGCTAACCTATCCTTTCTCATTTGAGCCACTGGCTGCATCTCAAAAACCTCTAAAAAGATTACTCTGAGGCCAAGCATGGTGGCACACCCCTGTAATCCCAGCAGTTTGGGAGGCTGAGGTGGGAAGATCTCTTGAGTCCAGGAGGTCGCTGCTATGTCAAGAATGGAGTATAGGAGTGTAAGAGTAGATGTGGGGAGAATAAGTCATGAGGCTCCAAAATAGATGATATTGACTTAGATTAGGATAGTGACAGTGGAGATGAAAAGAAGTGGATAGATTCATGAACTAGCCCATTAGGCTGTTGTTAAAATTCTTGTTTAGGGAAAAATTCCTTCCTTCTCCCCTGCCCCTTCCTTCTCCTTCTTCATCATCCTCCTTCCTCTTCCTCATCTCTCCATCGCTCCTTACTCTTTCTTCCTCCTCCTTCCTCATCATCCTCCTTCCTCTTCCTCATCTCTCCATGGCTCCTTACTCTTTCTTCCTCCTCCTCTCTCCTCCACATCCTCCCTCGTTTTCCTCTCCTTCCTCTTCTTCTTATCTACCTCCTCCTTTCTTGAAATCTAGACCTTTCTAGAGGCCTTTTACATACTCCTATCTTGCATAAGGCAGAGTAACTTATCTAGCAGATATTTTATAAAATCTTGTAGTATTCATCATTTGTTAATTAAGAAAATATGCCTAGCTCCTAGTATGTATACTATTGTGCTGAAGGGGGTTGTTGTAGTCATTTCAGAATTGAGTTCAAGTCTAGACACACAGAAATGGTTTATTTCTTCTAGGGCACTACATGCTTGCTGTCTAGGCTAACCTTTTTTCTAGGTGTGGGTAATTGAGAATACATGATCTAGGTTTCACCTCAACTTTATTTCCCAGCACTCATTAGTTCCTTATTGTAGTCATTTACATATCTGTTATTGGAAATGGGCCAAATGTTTATCCATTATTTTAAAAATAATAAGAAAACAGGTATCTTTTTTTTTATCTTCCTAAGACGGTGAAGGCTAGCTACTCAGAGACTGCCATGGGAGGATCACTTGAGCCCAGGAGTTCAAGGTTGCAGTGAGCTGTGATTGTGCCACTACATTCCAGCCTGGGTGACAGAGTGAGACCCTGTCTTTCTCTTAAAACAAAACAAACAAACACTGCCCCCCCCAACCCCAAACCAAAAAAAAACCCAGCTAGATTACTGCCTCAAACTTAATGTGCACACAAGCCATCTTGAAAGCTTGTTGAAATGCAAATTCTGATTTTGTAGGTCTGAAGTGGGGCCTAAGATTCTGCCTTTCTGTTAAGCTCTGTGGTGATGCTGATGCTGCTGGTCTATAGATCTCATTTTGAGTAACAAGAAACTAGATAATATCCTTTGCACTTTCATCTTTGTATGGGTTATTCTGCTTTGGGGCATGTTTTGGAGCTGTTTAATTTGACCACAGGTTAAGTAGTACATTTTAAGAAGATTGAATTGTATAACCTTTTCCTGCTTTTTTGGGCCATATTCTTGAAGGTTATAATACTATAAATAGCTTAAGATTTTTAGTTTCAGCTTTGGAAATAGATGAAGAGAAGTCTCAGAAGCAGTATAATTTTTATTGAATCATTAAATTTGCAGCAGCACAATTGGTTTATCTACTTGAGGTAGTCTGAACTACAAGTAGAGTATTAGTAACTGAATTAAGAATAAGAAAAGATACAATGCTGAAAATCATTATTAGATATGTAGAATACAGTTAAGACTTGGGGAGTTTCTGTTTTGTAGGGTTGGGAATGTTTTGGATAAGGTATATGGTATATCAGCACTGGGCTTCTTAGCTGGGGCGATCTGCCTCCCAAGACACATTTGGCAATATCTGGAGATATTTTTAGCCGTCAAAACAAGTAGGGGGGTGATGCAACTGGCATCTAGTGCGTAGAGGCGAGGGATGCCGCTAAACACTCTACAGTGTACCAGACAACCCCCACAACAAAGACTTATTTGGCCCAAAATGGCAGGAGTGAGAAGGTTAAGAAACTCTATGTTAGGGAGTTTTCAAAAGCACTTTATTTTTAAAATTAAAAATAATACATCCAGGCATGGTGGTTCATGCCTGTAATCCTAGAACTTTGCGAGGCCAAGGTATGAGGATTGCTTGAGCCCATGAGTTCAAGACCAGCATGGGCAAAATAGCGAGACCCCATCTCTACAAAAAATTAAGATATTAGGTGGGTGTGTGCATTAGTTTGTTTTCACATTGCTATAAAGAACTACCTGAGACTGGATAATTTATAAAGCAAAGAGGTTAAGTTGACTCATAGTACTATAGCCTGTACAGGAATCATGGCTGAGTAGGCCTCAGGAAACAATCCTGGAGAAAGGCAGAGGGGAAGCAGGAACATCTTACATGGCTGGAGAAGGAGGAAGAGAGAACAGTGGGGAGGTGCTACACACTTCTAAACAACCAAATCTTCTGAGAACTTACTATCAGGAGAATAGCAAGGGGGAAATCTGCCCCCATGATCCAGTCACCTCCTATCAGGCCCCTCCTCCAACATTGGGGATTACAATTCGACATGAGATTTGGGTGGTGACACAAATCCAAACCATATCAGCATGGTGGTGTGCATCTGTAGTTCCAGCTACATGGGGTGGTGAGGTGGAAGGATTGGTTGAGCCCAGGAGTTTGAGGCTGTCATGAACTGTGATTGTGCCACTGCACTCCAGCCTGGGTGACAGTGAGACCCTGTCTCAAAAAAAACAAAACAAAACAAAACAGTTGAGACCATTCTATTGACGTATCAACAAAAACTTTTTAAATGAAACATTTTAAATTTACAGAAAATTAAATAGAATAATTAATCCCCACATTCTCATCACCTAACTTCAACAATCATGAATTGATGGCCAGTTATATACTTTACGTATATTATATCTATAAATTTGATATATTTGTGTATATCCACACTCACCTAACCCTGAGTTTTTGAAGCAAATTCTAGGTATCACATCATTTAATCTGTAAATATTTCAGTATGCGTATTTAAAACATGAGGACTCTTTTTGAGCCATTATCACACACATAAAATTACCAGTTTCCCTGATTCATTATCTCTTCTCTCTTGTTTTCTTCCAAATGGATTTTTTTGCTTTTAATGAGATTTCACATAATGAAAGAGCACTAATTTTACAAAGCAATGGAAATTGATGCTACATGGGCCAAACAAAAGCTATCTGCCGCAAGTACTTTTTTCTAATTATTTTTCTAGAATGTCTTTATTTGTTTGAAAGTGCCGTGTAAAATAATGCAATACTTTCTCTTTTCTACTGTGTCTGTTTTACAAATCGCCTTTTTCATCTTCCCCAGTATTTTCTGAGTTATCTTCAGGCTTTGTTATATTTGCTATAGCAATGGCCTCTGGGGACTAGTTACTACTTACTAGCTAGTACCTGCAGGAATCATTTTCTTAACTGGTGGTGAGCTTCTTGAGGGCAAGGACCAAGTCTTACCAACTTTCTGCCTGATAACCATTAGCATGTCCTCAATATTTGTTGGATGGCTGCTACTAATCTTGAGGGCATCATGCCAATATTGACTGATGTATCAATCAATGCTACTGGCATGTGGTATTTACAGCAAAAAACTAAGTGTGCTCATTTAGCTATAACATGTCTTTAGCAGAAGAGATAAGTCAGATGTTAACATTTGATACCTGCATCTATGGGAGGTGAAGTAGAGAATGCTGTTTTCTCTAGTTACATTCCTTTGTTTCTTCTTACACTTATTTATAGGGTGACCATATGTCCTAGTTTGCCTGATACAGTCTGGTTTTCCAAAGTCTAATAGTGCCCCTTTTCATTCACAGAATTGTCCTAGTCTAGGTGGTAAATTAAATGGCAGTATTACTTACATAACATTTAATGTATGCCAGACTCTCTTCTAAACACTTTACATACATTCTCACTTAATCTTCATGATAACCCTGGGAAACAGTTTCTATTATTCTACCCATCTTACATATGGGAAAGTTGAAGCACAAAGAGGTCAAGTGACTTGGCTAAAATCATGCAGCTGTATTTGAATAGTAAGTGGCAGCACCAGGATTGAGTGCAGGCTGTTTGACACCAGTGCTCTTACCCACGCCACTCTTGCCCCTATGCTGGTCCCAAATATATCTGTCTGCCTCTGTAGACTACATTTTGATCTATTAAGAATCTCCTGATAATTAATCTGCATATTTTTAGATCAGCAGTCTGGCTAAGGCTTTGGAATTTGAAGGGTTTCCTTTGTTTTCACAAAATCCTTATAGATTCTACATGTACCACTAGGCCAATCCGATTATAGTCTTCTTTCTCAGAAGATTGAATGGTGACCTTTTTTCATCTTTGTAATGCCAGCTATTCAGCATTCCCTCTGAGACCCTCCAGTGATGAGGTTTCCCAGCATTTGGAGAGTATCAAGTCCCTGCCTCAGTCACTTTTCCTTATCTCTGACCACCTGTGGTAGCTGAAGTTCTCTTTCCAGCACCTGGAACAGTGGCAGCCATAGAGCAGGCACACATAAACTGTTTCACTGCCTTTGATTAGTGCATATTTTGGAGTTGCCTGGAAACAGTGTTCAAGGCACTTACATAAGGTGCTTTAAGTAAGAGGTTATTGTAAGCTACTGCTTTCAAGTAGCTTACAATTTAGGAAGGGGATGACGAGTGTACACAAATAACTATGATATACGGCAATTGAACTATATAAGCAAAGTATTTTAAGAGTTCAGAAAAAAACAAATTGTTTCTGACAGGAGTGATCCAGAAAAGTTTGATAGAGATGGTGGTACTAAGTCAGTTTAATAACTTTTAAATTGGCTAAAAAATTACTGTCTACTTATGTTTGCTAAGGGTAGAGGCTTGACAGAAGAATAAGACTTGATGAACCTCCAGGAGAAGAGGATGTGTCAGCTTGACACTTGGTCCTCTTGGGAGGAATCCTCAGTCAGCAGTCTTGCTCGGTTTTTATGGTATCATCATTATCATCATGGCACATTTTAACCCTCTAGGTGGCTCAGATGGAACTTTTTCTCAGCAGCAAAGAATTATCATATATATTTTGAGACAAGGTCTCGCTTTGTTGCCCAGGTGCGATCACGGCTCACTGCATTCTCAGCCTCCTGAGCTCAAGTGATCCTCCTACCTCAGCCTCCTGAGTAGCTGAGACTATAGGTGTGCACCACAACACCTGGCTAAGTTTTTGATGGGGACTCTTGGGCTTAAGTAATCCTCCTGCATTGGCTTCCCAAAGTGCTGGGATTACAGGCATGAACCACTGCACCCAGTCAATATTTTTTTAATGTAGAAGCCTGATATGTTATTTGATTTTTTTTCTTTTTTGAGACAGAGCCTTGCTGTGTCACCCAGAGCTGGAGTGCAGTGGTGCACTCTCGGCTCACTGCAGTCCCCGCCCTTTGGGTTCAAGTGATTCTCCTGCCTCAGCTTCCTGAGTAGCTGTGACTACAGGTGCACGCCACCACGCAAGGCTAATTTTTGTATTTTTAGTTGAGATGGGGTTTCACCATGTTGGCAAGGCCGGTCTCGAACCCCTGACCTCAGGTGATCCGCCCACCTCAACCTCCCGAAGCGCTGGGATTACAGGCATAAGCCACCGCACCCGTCTGTTATTTGATTTTATTTTTAACCTTTTAAAGTCTATTGATGTTCCCAACATATTTTTCCTTAATAAAAAACACAGTCTACTTTTATTACAATGTAATTACATTTGCCTTTTTAATTGGTAGTAATAAAAAGTGGTTACTTTTTAATAGGATTTGTCACAGTAGTCAGTAAGATAGGATAGTTAGTGCTCATTATCCTCCATACAAATGAAGAAACTGAAATTTGATAAAACTGTAAGCTGCGTGACTTTGGGGAAAATGGAACAATTGGGACCTGGACTTGGGTCTTCAGAATTCACATCCAGTGTATGTATATCACATAGCCTTATTTAGCTTATTAGATTTTTAAAAAATTTTATCAAGATAAAGAACAATAAAAGTTGTGGTGATCTCATGTTATAACCCCTTTTTAATAAATGTCATTATAGAATCTACCTTAACATGATGAGTCTGTTTTCATTTCTCAGTTGACAGGCCCATTAGCACTGCTTTGATGATTGTAGACACAATGCATTCTACGGAAAGGGAAATCCTGAAGGGGTTGCAGGTGGCCTATATGGTTCCTTTGTGCAAATTAGAAAAAGGCCGCCCCTCTAGGGGAACCAGAGTGCTCCCTTTCTGTGGTCAGTCAGAAGAAGCAGCTTTGGCCCCAGGCAGGATGATGAGCTTGGAGCATGGGCATCTGGATTGTTGTCTCTGCTTGGCCTCTTTTACGTAGTGCTTAAAAAGCAGCAGCCGGCCGGGCGCGGTGGCTGGCGCCTGTAATCCCAGCACTTTGGGAGGCCCAGGCGGGCAGATCATGAGGTCAAGAGATCGAGACCATCCTGGCTAACACGGTGAAACCCCGTCTCTACTAAAAATACAAAAAGTTAGCCGGGCGTGGTGGTGGGCACCTGTAGTCCCAGCTACTCGGGAGGCTGAGGCAGGAGAACGGCGTGAACCTGGGAGGCGGAGCTTGCAGTGAGCCGAGATAGCGCCACTGCACTCCGGCCTGGGCAAAAGAGCGAGACTCCATCTCAAAAAAAAAAAAAAAAAAAAAAAAAAAAAAGCAGCAGCCAAGAGTCCTGTTCATATTAACTAATTTGTGAGGGGCTGGGTTAAAAAAAATTTTTTTTACTATTGTATTTTTAGACAGACCCTCTCGTTCCTCCGTACACCAAGTACATACCTGCCTCAGCATCTTTGTACTTGTTCCTCTACCTGGAACCTGGATCTCCCAGCCTTCATTTCATCCAGGTCTCCACTCCAGTGGAACTCTGCAAGCTTCACCTCGCCTACTCCAGTGAAAGTATCACCCTCCGTCATTCTCCCTTCCTGCTGTACTTTTTTCATAGTACTTCTTACCACTTGGAATATTATATTTATCCTCATTTTATTTTTGTCTTTCACAGAGTGTAGAAAGTACACTCTGTGAAAGCAGATATTTCTTTCACTGCTTTTTCACTGCCATGTTCTAGCACCTGGAAAAATACCTGGCACATAGAAGACTCTCAATATTTGTTGAATGATTGAACTAACCATGTGATTACTCCATTTTCATGCAGCTGATGAAGGCTACCTGAGACTGGGCAATTTACAAAAGAAAGAGGTTTAATTGGACTTACAGTTCCATGTGGCTGAGGAAGCCTCAAAATCATGGCAGAAGGCAAGGAGGAGCAAGTCACATCTTTTTTTTTTTTTTTTTTTTTTGAGATGGAGTCTCACTGTGTCGCATAGGCTGGAGTGCATTGGTGCGATGTCAGGTCACTGCAGCCTCCGCCTCCTGGGTTCAAGCAATTCTCTTGCCTCAGCCTCTGGAGCAGCTGGGATTACAGGCGCACACCACCACACCCAGCTAATTTTTGTATTTTTAGCAAAGACGAGGTTTCACCATGTTGACCAGGCTGGTCATGAACTCCTGACCTCAGGTGATCCACCTGCCCCAGCCTCCTAAAGTGCTGGGATTACAGGCATGAGCCACCATGCCCGGCCTGCAAGTCACATCTTACATGGATAGCAGCAGGCAAAGAGTGAGCTTGTGCAGGGGAACTCCTCTTTTTAAAACCATCAGATCTCTTGAGACTTATTGTCTGTCATGAGAACAGGACAGGAAAGACTTGCCCCCATTCATTCAGTTACATCCGGGTCCCTCCCACAACACATGGGAATTCAAGATGAGATTTGGGTGGGGAAGCCAAACCTTATTCTGCCCCTGGCCCTTCCCAAATCTCATGTCTTCACATTTCAAAACCAATCATGCCTTCCCAACAGTCCCCCAAAGTCTTAACTCATTTCAGCATTAACTCAAAAGTCCAAAGTTTCATTCAAGACAAGGCAAGTCCCTTCTGCCTATGAGCCTGTAAAATCAAAAACAAGTTAGTGACTTCTTAGGTACAGTGGGGGTACAAGCATTGGATAAATACAGCCATTCAAAATGGGAGAAATTGGCCAAAACAAAGGGGCTGCAAGCCCCATGCAAGTCCAAAATCCAGCAGGGCAGTCAAATCTTAAAGCTCCAAAATGAACTCCTTTGATGCCATGTCTCACACCCAGGTCATGCTGATGCAAGAGGTAGGCTCCCATGGTCTTGTGCAGCTCTGCCCCTGTGACTTTGCAGGGTATAGTGTCCCTCCCGGCTGCTTTCATGGGCTGGCATTGAGTTTCTACAGATTTTCCAGGCGCATGGTGCAAGCTGTCAGTGTATCTACCATTCTGGGGTCTGGAAGACGGTGGCCCTCTTCTCATAGCTCCACTAGGCAGTGCCCAAGTAGGGACTCTGTGTGGGGATTCCAACCCCACATTTCCTTTCTGAACTGCCTTAGCAGAGGTTCTCCATGAGGGCCCCGCCCCTGCAGCAAACTTCTGCCTGGGCATCCAGGCGTTTCCATACATCTTCTGAAATCTAGGCAGAGGTTCCCAAACTTCAGGTCTTGACTTCTGTGCACCTGCAGTCTCAACACCATGTGGAAGCACCCAAGGCTTGGGGCTTGTACCCTCTGAAGCAACAGCCCAAGCTGTACCTCGGCCCCTTTTAGTCATGGCTGGGGTGTCTGGGATGCAGGGCACCAAGTCTCTAGACCACACATGGCATGGCGACCCTGGGCCTGGCCCACAAAACCATATTCTCCTAGACCTCCAGGCCTGTGATGGGAGGGGCTGCCGTGAAGATCTCTGACATTCCCTGGACATTTTTTCCATAGTCTTGGGGATTAATTTTGGGCTCCTCGTTACTTATGCAAATTTCTGCAGCCGGCTTGAATGTCTCCCCGGAAAATGGGTTTCTCCTCTCTGTCACATTGTCAGGCTGTGAATTTTCCAAACTTTTATGTTCTTCTTCCCTTATAAAACTGAGTGCCTAGGACCAGGCATGGTGGCTCATGTCTGTAATCCTAGCACTTTGGGAAGCCGGGGTGGGCGGATTGCCTGAGCCTTTAAGATCAGCCTGGGCAACATGGTGAACCTCCCTCTCTAATAAAAAATATAAAAAATTAGCTGGGCCTGGCAGCATGCGCCTGTGGTCCCAGCTACTCAGGAGGTTGAGGCAGGAAAATTGCTTGAACTTGGGAGGCAGAGGTTGCAGTGAGCTGAGATGGTGCCATTGCACTCCAGCCTGGGCAACAGAGCAAAACTACATCTCCAAACAAAACAAAACAAAACTGAGTGCCTTTAACAGCACCCAGGTCACCTCTTGAATGCTTTGCTGCTTAGAAATTTCTTCCACCAGTACCCTAAATCATCTCTGTCAAGGTCAAAGTTCCACAGATCTCCAGGGTAGGGGCAAAATGCCACCAGTCTCTTTGCTAAGACATAACAAGAGTTGCCTTTGCTCCAGTTCCTAACAAGTTCCTTATCTCCATCTGAGAGCACCTCAGCCTGGATTTTATTGTCCATATCACTATCAGCATTTTGGGCAAAGCCATTCAACAAGTCTCTATGGAGTTCCAAACTTTCCCACATTTTCCTGTCTTCTTCTGAGCCCTCCAAACTGTTCCAACCTCTGCCTGTTATCCAGTTCCAAAGTCACTTCTACATTTCAGCAAGCCCCACTCCACTGTTACCAATTTACTGTATTATTCCATTTTCACTCTGCTCACAAAGACATACCTGAGACTTGACAATTACAAAAGAAAGAGGTTTAATTGGACTTACAGTTCCATGTGGCTGGGGAGGCCTCACAATCATGACAGAAGGCAAGGAGGAGCAAGTCACATCTTACATGGATGGCAGCAGGCAAAGAGATAACTTGTACAGGGGAACTCCCCTTTTTAAAACCATTGGGTCTCATGAGACTTATTCACTATCAGGAGAACAGCATGAGAATGACTTGTCCCCGTGATTCATTTACCTTCCACTGGGTCCCTCCCACAACACGTGGGAATTCAAGATGAGATTTGGGTGGGGACACAGTCAAACCATATCACAGTGGATTGTGATTGATGGTATAAATTATCAGCTTTAGTATTTACTACCTTTTATTGACTGTTTATGGGCACTTTCTGTGACATAATGTTATGAATATTGTCTAATGGAATCTTCATAATACCTTTATGAGGGGTAAATAATATAAACTCTGTTTTGGAGTTGAAGAAATCCCAAAGCTGAGAAAAGTTAAAAACATGCCCAAAGTAAAATAGCTAGTAATTCAAGTCATTCCTTGAGAGGTAGATCTGATAACCAAAATCAATTTCTAAAAATTGTTTTAGTGATTCTTTTGGGTCTCATAATATTTTTTTCAAAGAGTGATTTTTAATCACTGGGTAGGGGAAAGCCTGAAAATACGTTTACTTATGTTTTAAGGAAAAGGAAAGGTAGGATCTATGGGATTTGAAATACTGGGATAACTCGGGATCAGACAACCCTATTTCACAATATTTGTGTTTTTATCTTAGGATGCATACTATGAGGGTCCTTTGGGAAGAAGAACATGACTTTGGGGTTTTTTTTCTAACTGTGTAATTCTGGAGAAATAACTTACTTAAGCCTGTTTTTTCATCTCTAAATTCTGGTGACAGTGCCTACCTTATAGGTGTGTGCAGATGATATGTATATAAAATGCCTGGCATAGTTTCTGGAGCGTGGGAGCTTGATTTCTTCTGTACCCTGCCCCCTGCCTTTTTCTTCCTCCTTCCAGCTACAAGTGACTAAGGATCCAAGGAACTGAGGGCCGTTTTCTTTTTTTTTGATAACTTCCCTCTAGTTAAACAATCCCAGATTTTAAGCTGCTTTTGGTAGTATGTAGACAATCAAGGTACCTTTTAGAATTCACATGGCATCTTGTTTATTGCTGTAATTCAAGGAGTAATTCATGTGCTTTGTTAAGTGTTGTGCACATATTCCCTTCACAGACTTTGGGGTCTAATTCCTGCTTTCGTAATCAAATGCTGAATGAAAACTGAGGGTCAATAACTGTCTTTATTTCTTACAGCCTTCTCCTCATGTTCCGTGAAATACCAGTTTTTTTTTTTAAGTCACCAACGTGTTTGCCAATACATATGAATTTGGATGCTAACAGGGATTTCTTAAGCACCATCTTGTAATTTCTATAACTGTCATTGTGTCAACAGGATAGTAGTGTCATTTACAGACTCAAAGACTGGGAATTCTTGAACTAATGAGTTGTTAATTAAGGTAGGTTAAAAAAAAACCAGGCATTTTTATATGAAGATACTTTCTGTATGAAATTTGATTAGGCAGTATAGCATTTAACTAGTAAGTGTGAAAAATTATTTACTAAGAAGCAAAGAACAGGATTTAAAAGAAGTACAACCAACTTCCAGTTATAGATGTCTGAGGAGCCTTTTCAATTATACGCAGATCTTCTCTCCCTTTTAATATCCTATTATGTGCCATATAATGAAGCAATAAAAAGGCTCACAATTTAAGCATTAATGATTGATTTAACCAAAGATATATAATTATTAGCTTACATAACCCCAAATAATGATATAATTAACAATAACATAACTAATGATGGGGGGAGGCACTCTGGGAGCTATAAGAGAACAAAATCCTTATTTGCCATTTGCAGAAAATCTGTAATATCAAAAATAGATGAATCAAGCAATTGCAAGAAAAGCTTATTATATAGGAAAATAGAGGAAACAATTATCAAAATAGATGAATATCAGAAATAGATGAATCAAGTAATTGCAAGAAAAGCTTATATAGGAAAATAGAGGAAACTATTATCAAAATAGATGAATATCAAAAATAGATGAATCAAGCAATTGCAAGACAAGCTTATTATATACGAAAATAGAGGAAACTACCAGGTAAAACAGAAGAATTGAAAGTTTTTTGATTTTTGGTTTTTCTTACATTTTAGAGACAGGGTCTTTGTCTATCCCCCAGGCTGGAGTACAGTGGTACAATTATGGCTCACTTGAACTCCTGGGCTCAAGTGATCCTCTTGCCTCAGATTCCTAAGTAGCTGGGGCTACAGGTGTGCACCACCACATCCACCTAATTTTTAGATTTTTTATAGGAGTCTCACTATGTTTCCCAGGCTGGTCTCAAACTCCCAGGCTCAAGTGACTCTCCTGCCTTGGCCTCTCAAAGCGCTGGGATTATAAGTGTGAGCCACTGTGGCCAGCCTAACAGTGGGAAGCTGTTGATGCTGGCAGTATAGGGGTGGTGGGGGGAAGGGTGAACCAGCAGACTACTGTCTTTAAGTGTTTGTGGGTAATGTTGGCTTTTTTTGAGATAGAGTTTCACTCTTATCGCCCAAGCTGGAGTGCAGTGGCGTGATCTCAGCTCACTGCAACCTCCACCTCCTGGGTTCAAGCGATTCTCCTGCCTCAGCCTCCCGAGTAGCTGGGATTACAGGCATGTGCCACCATGCCTGGCTAATTTTTTGTATTTTTGGTAGAGATGTGGTTTCATCACATTTGCCAGGCTGGTCTTGAACTCTTGACCTTAGGTGATCCGCTTACCTCGGCCTTCCAAAGTGCTGGGATTACAGATGTGAGCCAACACGCCCAGCCTAATGTTGACTTTTTTTTGTTTATATATTATTTTGACAAAAATAAAAGTTAACTATGAGAAAAGAAAAATAGAAATATAAGCAATCCAAAAAAGTGAAGACAACTCACAAAAAGGAATAATGTATTTGCAAATCATTTATCTGACAAGGTGCTTTTATCTAGAATGTGTAATGAACTCTTAAAATGAAATAATAAAAAGAAAACCCATTAAAAAAATACACCAAAGGCTGGGTACGGTGGCTTACGCCTGTAATCCCAGCACTTTGGGAGGCGGGGGGGGTGTGGATCACTTGAGGTCAGGAGTTCGAGTCCAACCTGGCCAACATGGTGAAACACTGTCTCTACTAAAAATACAAAAATTAGCCAGGCGTGGTGGCAGGTGCCTATAATCCCAGCTACTTGGGAGGCCGAGGCACGAGAATAGCTTGAACTTAGGAGGCAGAGGTTGTAGTGAGCCAAGATTGCACCACTAAACTCCGGCCTGGGCGACAGAGCAAGACTCCATCTCAAAAATAAATAAATAAATAAATAAATGTCAAGTATCTGAGTAGACATTTCTTCAAAGGAAATATACAAAGCCCCAATAAACACAGAAAAGCCATCAGGGAAATCCAAATCTCTCTAGACAGATAATAACAAGTGTTGTTGAGGATGTGGAGAAGTACAATACTTCATACATTGCTGCATGTGTGAAATGGTACATTCACTTTGGAAAATAGTCTGGTAGCTCCTAACAGGGTTAATATAGAGTTGTCAGATGACCCAGCAATTCTACTAGGAGGTATACCCCCAGAAGAAATGAAAACATGTCTATACAAAATCTTGTAGGCAAATATTTGTAGCAGTATTATTCATAGTAGCCAAAAAGTGAAAGTCTGTTCATCACTTGTTGAAAGGAGAAACAAAATTTGGCATATCCATACAATAGAGTATTACAAGGAAAAACAAATATAACCAATCAGTTACTGCTTAAAGAAAAAGTAATTTTTCTTTCTCCTTTGAGGAAAAGTTTATTCTTTTCTTACCTATCATGCATCCACTTTATTGTAGACAAAACATGAAATGTAGGAAAGCAGAATTGTGACGGAATACATCATATGACCATATGAGTGGGGACTGGCTCTGTCACCCAAGCCTGAGTGCAGTGGCGCTTCCAACTCACCTTCCCGAGTAGGTGAGACTACAGGCACACACCATCATGCCTGGCTGATTTTTTCATTTTTTTGTAGAAAAATGGAGTTTCTGCTGGGCGCAGTGGCTCACGCCTGTAATCCCAGCACTTTGGGAGGCCAAGGCAGGTGGATCACCTGAGGTCAGGAGTTCGAGACCAACCTGGCCAACATGGTGAATGAAACCCCGTCTCTACTAAAAATTTGCATTAGCCAGGTGTGATGGCACTTGCCTGTAGTCCCAGCTACTAGGGAGGCTGAGGCAGGAGAATTGCTAGAAACTGGGAGGCAGAGGGTTGCAGTGAGCTGAGATCACGCCACTGCACTCCAGCCTGGGTGACAGTGAGACTCTGTCTCAAAAAAAAAAGAAAGGAAAAATGGTGTTTCGCCATGATGTTGGCCAGACTGGTCTCAAACTCTTGAACTCAAACAATTTGCCTGCCTCGACCTCCCAAAGTGCTGGGATTACAGAGGTGAGCCACCACCCAGCCATCCATGTTTCCTTTTTTCTTTCTTTCTTTTTTTGTTTTTTGGAAGTGCAGGCCACACAGTTTTGTTTTGTTTTGTTTTTTTGAGATGGCTTCTCACTCCCTCTGTGGCCTAGGCTGGAGTACAGTGGTGCAATCTTGGCTCACTACAACCTCCACCCCCTGGGTTCAAGCGATTCTCCTATCTCAGCCTCCTGAGTAGCTGGGATTACAGGCGCGTGCCACCACGCCTGGCTAATTATTGTATTTTTAGTAGCAATGGGGTCTCACCATGTTGACCAAGCTGGTCTGGAACTCCTGACCTCAAGTGAGCTGCCTGCCTCGGCCTCCCAAAGTGCTGGGATTACAGATATGAGCCACCACGCCTGGCCCATAAGTATCTTTCAATGAGTTATTTTTATTGTTGTTCTGCTTAGTACAGATTAACCCAACATTTGATGACTAACAGCCTTCTGTCAGAGTATGCTGAGATGTTGCTCGAGTGTCCCCTCATGATTTTCATGTTGTTTGTATTTATACTACATACACAGACTGTTGGCCACTGTTGCTCTCATCTTTGTATATGATCGATCAACAAGGAAATGTCTGTTGGCTGGGTGTGGTAGCTCACACCTGCAATCCCAGCACTTTGGGAGGCCGATGAGAGTGGATTGCTTGAGGTCAGGAGTTCGAGACCAGCCTGGCCAACGTGGTGAAACCTCATCTCTACTAAAAATACAACAAGGCCAGGCGTGGTGGCTCACGCCTATAATCCCAGCACTTTGGGAGGCCGAGGCGGTTGGAAAACTTGAGGTCAGGAGTTCAATACCAGCCTGGTCAACATGGTGAAACCCTGTCTCTACTAAAAATACAAAACTAGCCGGGCATGGTGGCACATGCCTGTAATCCCAGCTACTTGGGAGGCTGAGGCAGGAGAATCACTTGAACCTGGAGGCGGAGGTTGTTGTGAGCGGAGATCGTGCCACTGTACTCCAGCCTGGTCAACAGGAGCGAAACTCCATCTCGAAAAAAAAAAAAAAAAAATTAGCTGGACGTGGTGGTGCATGCCTATAATCCCAGCTACTTGGGAGCCTGAGGCAGGAGAATTGCTTAAACCTGGGAGCAGAGGTTGCAGTGAGCCGGGAGATCATGCCACTGACAGAGTAAGTGAGAAGCTGTCTCAGAAAAAAAAAAAAAGAAAGAATGAAACATCTATGTGGCCTGCACTTCTTTACAGACTAAATAGAAATATAGACCTAATAGCTTGCTGATTGGTGATTGAGGCTTTTGCCTACATTTCTTGTTTCCTCTTGAGTTTTGGTGTTATAAATAAATAAATGGTGATTTAAATGAAAGTACATTGTATTTTCTGCCTCTGTGAGTTCTCTACTGGAGACAGTTTGAATGAATTGTTAGGAGTAGGCGACTTTGAGTCATGCTTCCTTACATCCGTCTCCAGATTCATATTTTGGATGCTTTCTTTCATTTTGTGTATTTTTGTATTTCCTGCCCCATTAGCTTCATAAATAGTCATTCCATGCATCTTGTTTGTATGTATTGTTTTTAGATAACCAACTAACTGGTCCTTAGTTTTTCATCTTTTATTTTTTTTGAGATGGAGTTTCACTCTTGTTGCCCAGACTGAAGTGTAGTGGTGTGATCCTGCAACCTCCGCCTCCTGGATTCAAGCGATTCTCCTGCCTCAGCCTCCCGAGTGGCTGGGATTACAGGCATGCACCACCATGCCTGGCTAATTTTGTATTTTTAGTAGGAACGGGGTTTCGCCATGTTGCTCAGGCTGGTCTCGAACTCCTGACTTCGGGTGATCTGCCCACCTCGGCCTCCCAAAGTGTTGGGATTACAGGCATGAGCCACCTTCCCTGGCCAGTTTTTTATATTAATAATATAAGAGTTTAGATTTTATTGGGTTTGTATTTAAATTAGATCAAGTTTGGATTTGGGAACCAGCATAACTGCAAGCCTGGAAATCCTTAGGAGATTCTATCTGTTCTTTGCCACTGAGAGAAGTACTGACTATTCTGAAAATAAGGCAGAATGAGGCCAGGCTCATGCGTGTAATCCAAACACTTTGGGAGGCCGAGGTGGGCGGATCACTTGAGGTCAGGAGTTCGAGACCAGCTTGGCCAACATGGTGAGACCCCCATCTCTACTAAAAATACAATAATTAGCCAGGCATGGTGGTGCACGCCTGTAATCCCAGCTACTCAGGAGGCTGAGGCAGGAGAATCGCTTGAACCTGGGAGGTGGGGGTTGTAGTGAGCCAAGATTGTGCTGCTGCACTCCAACCTGAGTGACAGAGCGAGACTCTATCTTTTTTTTTTTTTTTTTTGATATGGAGTCTCGCTCTGTCACCCAGGCTGGAGTGCAGTGGTGCAATCTTGGCTCGCGGCAACCTCTGCCTCTCGGGTTCAAGCAATTTTCCTGCCTCAGCCTCCTGAGTAGCTGGGACTACAGGCGCGTGCCACCACACCTGGCTAATTTTTTGTATTTTTAGTAGAGACGGGGTTTCACCGTGTTAGCCAGGACGGTCTCGATCTCTTGACCTCATGATCTGCCCACCTCGGCCTCCCAAAATGCTGGGATTACAGGCATGAAGGCATGAGCCACCGCGCCTGGCAACTCTATGTTTAAAAAAAAAAAAAAGGAGAACGAGAGTGCTTAGGGAAATTGAGAGCATTTGGAAGAATAGGAAGAATAGAAGCCTGCAGTCTGTGAGTGAAATGTAAGGGTATTTGACTAACCATACAGGGAAAAGAAACCTTTCAGAGTGATTAAATCCTGTACTCTTCATTTTATTTACACATTTATTTTATTTTTATTTTTGTTTTTCTTTTTTATCTTTACATGACATTGACCAGGCTGGTCATGAACTCCTGACCTTGTATAAGTGTCTTTTTGCTGCATAAACAGAGTCATAGGATAGACATTGCTCCAAAGAAGATATGCAAATGGCCAATAAGCAGGTGAAAAGATGCTCAGCATCACTTGTCATTAGAGAAATGCAAATCAAAACTACACTCATTCATATGGCTGCTATCAAGAAGGTATAATAGTAATAAATAGAAAATAACAAGTGTTGAGAAACATGGAGAAGTTGGAGCTCTTGTGCATTGTTGGTGGGACTATAAAATGATACAGCCACTGTGGAAAACAATATAGCAGTTCCTCAAAAAATTAAAAATAGGGCCGGGCGCGGTGGCTCACGCCTGTAATCCCAGCACTTTGGGAGGCCGAGGCGGGTGGATCACGAGGTCAGGAGATCGAGACCATCCTGGCTAACACGGTGAAACCCCGTCTCTACTAAAAATACAAAAAATTAGCCGGGCGTGGTAGCGGGCGCCTGTAGTCCCAGCTACTCGGGAGGCTGAGGCAGGAGAATGGCGTGAACCCGGGAGGCGGAGCTTGCAGTGAGCCGAGATCGCGCCACTGCACTCCAGCCTGGGCGACCGAGCGAGACTCCGTCTCAAAAAAAAAAAAAAAAAAAAAAAAAAAAAATTAAAAATAGAATCCTCATATGATCCAGCAATTCTACTTCTAGGTTTATATCCAAAAGAATTGAGAGCAGGTTCTTGATGAGATATTTGTATACCCATGTTCATAGCAGCATTATTCACAGTAGTTATAACATGGCAGCAACCCATGTGTCCATCAGTGGATGAATGGAGAAGCAAAATATGGTATATAAAAACAAGGGCGTATTATTCAGCCTTAAAAAGGAAGGAAATACTGATATATGCTACACCATGAATGGATCATGAGGACATAATGCCAAGTGAAGTAAGCTGGACACAAAAAGACAAATACTATATGATTCCACTTACATGATATTCTTAGAGTAGTCAAACCTATCGACAGAAAGTAGATTGGTGGCTGCCAGGGGCTAGGAGGAGGGGAAAATGGGGGAGTTATTAAGTAGTGGGTATAGAATTTCAGTTTTACAAGGTAAAAATGGAGATGGATGGTGGTGATGGCTATACAATGCTATGGATGTATTCAATACCACTGAACTGTACACTTAGAAATGGTTAAGATGGTAAATATGTATATTTTACCACAATAAAAAAGTAAAAAAATAAGTCATAGGAATAAATTTTTAAAAGCTATTTTCTACATTTTTCAATTTTTTCTGTTTTATTTCTTCATTTATACTCAGTTTATTAAACACTGTTTCATTGTTATTTTTGTATATTGGAATGATATAATTCTTACTACAGTTACTTGAGTAAGAGAAGAAATTTTTAATGTAACTATATCTTTTCTCAGCATAAGAATCTCTACTATCTTACGCCTGTAATCCCAGCACATTGGGAGGCCAAGGTGGGCGGATCATGAGGTCAGGAGATCGAGACCATCCTGGCCAACATGGTGAAACCCCGTCTCTACTATAAATACAAAAATTAGCTGGGCGTGGTGGTGCCCGCCTGTAGTCCCAGTGACTCAGGAGGCTGAGGCAGGAGAACCGCTTGAACCTGGGAGGCAGAGGTTGCAGTGAGCCGAGATTGCACCACTGCACTCCAGCCTGGTGACAGAGCAAGACTGTCTCAGAAAAAAAAAAAAAAGACTATCTACTATCCCCTGTCTCTTGCCCTCTTTAGTTTTCCCTTCTGGCACTGGCATTGAAACAAATTCATGCAGATCTGTATGCCTTAAGCAGTGAAAGTAATTTGTTCTTTTGCCCTGAACACGTCATGCTAATCAGAACTTAGTTTCCTCAATAAGTATGGACTAATTATACCAGTGTGCACTAGAGAAAATGCAGAATACAGCAAGCGGAGCCAACATTTACTCTGATTAACCAACACTCCTTTTGCTCTGTGTATCAAGCAATTGTGTGTTCTTTTTTTTTCCTGCCTTTTTTCCCTTTCACTGCAGTACTTTCTGCTAGGTTGTGCTATGTCTCAGTTGAATTACTACTGGAATTTGTGTAATTGTGTGTGTTAGATAAACATCTCTCTTTTTCTGTATTTGATAGGCAAAATGATGTCTTTATAGTCTTGTGGGCAATATTTTACAAATGGCCTTCTGGCTGTGTATCACTGCTGCTCCATGCCAAAACTCCTTTGGCTTCCTTTTCTTAAACTCTCTGTCCTCATGGTATTATTCAGTTTCTTTATACATTGATCAACAAGAAGTTTGGTACCTATGCATTTCTCTTTTCATTATTATTATAACATGTAACTTTTTTTCTTTGAGTTAGAGTCTCATTTTGTCACCCAGGCTGTAGTGCAGTGGCACAGTCATGTTCATTGCAGCCTAGAACTCCTGGGCTCAAGTGATCCTTCCACCTCAGCCATCCTAATAGCTAGAACTATAGGCACACAACACCATGCCAGGCTGATTTTTTACAAAAATTTTTATAGAGATAGAGTCTTGTGATAGTACATTAGTCCATTTTCACACGGCTAATTAAGACACACCTGAGACTGGGTGATATAAAGGAAAAGAAGTTTAATGGACTCACACCTCCATGTAGCTAGGAGGCCTCACAATCATGGTGGAAGGTGAAAAGCACATCTTACATGGTGGCAGACAAGAGAGAAAATGAGAACCAAGCGAAAGGGGTTTCCTCTTATAAAACCATCAGATCTTGTGAGACTTATTCACTACCATGAGAACAGTATGGGGGAAACCGCCCCCATGATCCAATTATCTCTCGCCGGGTCCCTCCCACAACACATGGGAATTATGGAAGCTACAATTCAAGATGCGATTTGGGTAGGGACACAGCCAAACCATATCAGATATTGCCCAAGCTAGTCTTGAACTCTTGGCCTCAAGTGTTCCTCCTACCTTGGGATTACAGGCATGAGATTACAGGTGTGAGCCACCATGCCTGGCCTTGTAATTTAACTTCAGTAACATGTTGGAATAAGACAAAAAGATTGTTTTGGCCTGGTGTGGTGGCTCATGCTTGTAATCCCAGCACGCTGGGAGGTCGAGGTAGGTGGATGACTTGAGGTCAGGAGTGCTAGACCAGCCTGGCCAACATGGTAAAAACCTGTCTCTACTAAAAATACAAAAACTAGTTGGGTTTGGTGGCAGGTGCCTGTAATCCCAGCTACTCGGAGGCTGAGGCAGGAGAATTGCTTGAATCCTGGAGGTGGAGCTTGCTATGAGCTGAGATTGCACTGCTGCACTCAAGCCTGGGCAACAGGGCGAGACTATGTCTCAAAAAAAAAAAAAAAAAAAAGATTGTTTTTAGAAAATAATTTGTGTATAATTCATGATAATTTTATGCTATCCTTGATACATGAAGATGCTTCACACTGTGGTAAGGACCAGCTTTTAGAGCTCTGTCATTTGTTCCCATTATAGGAATGCCATCTGTACCAAGTGGTAGCTATTCTGTTTATACTGAATATGGCAAAACCATCATCATCACCCCTCACATATACACACATATTCAACACTTTCTGTACTTGGTATTTTTCAATTTATGCTGTTTCGGAGTGTATTTGCAACAATTTTGCAACTAACAATTTCATGGTATAGTGTAATTTATAGCACAGTTTCATATCTGTTAGTTCATTTTGTGCAACAACTTTAAGAGCTAGGTATTATTAATATTCCATTTTTACAGCTGAGACATGTGATAGTATTTTATGCTCATGCTTAATTATACAGCCATTCCATCTCTTTGTATGTTTTTTAAAAATATGAGCTCATGGCCGGGCACGGTGGCTCACGCCTGTAACCTCAGCACTTTGGGAGACCGAGGTGGGCAGATCACCTGAGGTCAGGAGTTCGAGACCAGCCTGGCCAACATGGCGAAACCACATCTCTACTAAAGTACAAAAATCAGCCAGGTGTGGTGGCGGGCGCCTGTAATCCCAGCTACTCAGGAGGCTAAGGCAGAGAATTGCTTGAACCCGGGAGGTGGAGGTTGCAGTGAGCCAAGATCATGCAACTGCACTCCAGCCTTGGTGACAAGAGCAAGACGACGTCTCAAAAAAAAAAAAAAAAAAAAAAAGACCGGGTGCAATGGCTGACGCCTGTAATCCCAGCACTTTGGGAGGCTGAGGCGGGCGGATCACAAGGTCAGGAGATCGAGACCATCCTGGCCAACATGGTGAAACCCCGTCTCTACTAAAAATACAAAAATATTAGCCGGGCGTGGTGGTGGGCGCCTGTAGTCCCAGCTACTCGGGAGGCTGAGGCAGAAGAATGGCATGAACCCCAGAGGCGGAGCTTGCAGTGAGCCAAGATCACGCCACTGGACTCCAGCCTGGGCGACAGAGCAAGACTCCGTCTCAAAAAAAAAAAAATCTGAGCTCATAACAAAATGATCCCTTTCTTAGCATGTGATTTCCATAAATGCTCTCCTTTCTTTGTCAGAATAAATTTTTTTGTTTTTTAATTTTTCTTTTCTTGAGATGGAGTCTCACTCTGTCTCCCAGGCTGGAGTGCAGTGGCATGATCTTGGCTCACTGCAACCTCTGCCTCTCGGGTTAAAGTGATTCTCCTGCCTCAGCCTCCCGAGTAGCTAGGGTTACAGGTGCATGCCACCAGGCCTGGCTAATTTTTTGTATTTTTAGTAGAGACAGGAGTTTCACCATGTTGACCAGGTTGGTCTTGAACTCCTGACCACAAGTTTTCCAACCGCCTTGGCCTCTCAAAGTGCTGGGATTATAGGCGTGAGGCACCGCGCCTGGTCAAATTTTTTGTTATATTTTTATTTTCTTTCCTATGTACTTCCTTTCTTTTCTCTGCCTGTTTACCTTTTCAGTCTGATCACAGAGTTGTTCCTTATGTTTTTGAAACATCACTAACTGCAGAATAATAACGATGGTGATATTATATATTATGTAGTGTTTTCAAACTGATTTTACAGCTGAAATCTTATTTTTATCTTCACAACAGGTATCTGAGGTAAGCAAGCCAAGTGTAAATTTATTTTTAATTTTTTTATAAAAAATTTTTAGAGAATAATTGAGATGGGGTTTTGCCATGTTATTCAGGCTGGTCTTGAACTCCTGGCTTCAAGCAGTCTGTCTGCCTTGGACTCCCAAAGTGCTGGGATTAGAGGCATAAGCCACCATGCCCAGCCTCTTTGTTTTTTGTTGTATTTTTTTGTTGTTGTTGTTGTTTTTCAGACAGGATCTCACTCTGTCAGTCAGGTTGGAGTGTGGTGGCTCAGTCAGCTCACTGTAACCTCAAACTCCTGGGCTCAGGGGATCCTCCTGCCTCAGCTTCCCGAGTAGCTGGAACTACAGGTGCATGCCATCATGCCTGGCTAATTTTTTAATTTTTGTAGAGATGGGGTCTTGCTTTGTTGCCCAGGTTGATCTTGAACATCTAGCCTCAAGCGATCCTCCTGCCTTGGCCTCCCAAAGTGCTAGGATTACAGGTGTGAGCCACCATGCCTGGCTTGTAAATTTCTTGTTTTGCTGGATTAAAAACTTGCAATCACAGTGTTAACTAAAGTTATTTTTGGTTAAAATCACATAACTAAGTGTTAGCAACAGAAATACTCGGGCTTTTGTGCTATACCAAGGCCCTTTCCACTGCCATTATGACTCCACTTTATGCATACTGGTATAATGTAATGCAGACTTAACATTATTTTCTCTCAAGATTTCTTTCAGACTTTCATATTACCAACTACTTACTCAGAATTCAGTCCAGAGAGGCAGTTTTTCTTGTTGCTTTGTCACAAACTTCCTATAAAAAGTAATTATCAACAAGGCAGGTCAATAATTTGCCAAATTTTCTTTACTCAGCAAAACACATCTTTGAGCAGTTGTCCCTGCTCGTTGTTGTTTTGCTTGTTTGCCCATTTTGTAATCTGTGTAAGGACTCTATCGATGTATTATGTATCTATGTATTAGTTTCCCAGGCCTGCTGTAACAAATGAAAGGGCGTTGAACTTCATTAGTTGTCAGAGAAATGCAAATTAAGACAAAAATGAGAAATGACAAGCTGGGTGGCTTAAAACAACAGAAATTTATGCTTTCATAGTTCAGGAGGCCAGAATCCAAAATTAAGTGGTTGCAGAATTGGTTCCTTCTTAGCGACTCAGAAGGGAAATCTGTTCCAGGTCTCTCTCCCGGCTTCTGATGGTTGCCAGCAATCCTTGGCGTTCCTTGGCTTGAAGCTGTGTGATTTTGATCTCTGCCTCCGTCTTCACGTGGCTGCCTTCCTTCCTGTCTGTCTTCACATGGCATTCTCCCTTCCCTGTGTGTCTGTCTCTGTGTCTCCTCTGCTCTTTAAGGACAGCAGTCACATTGTGTTCAGGGCCCACTCTACTCCAGCATGACGTCATCTTAACTTAGGCCTTAATTACATCTGCAAAACCCCTATTTCCAAAGAAGGTCCCGTCCCGTTCACAGGTACCAGAAGTTAGGACTTCAACATATCTTTTAAGGGGGACACAATTCAACCCATTAAAATATATGTTCTTTTTCCTTTGTCTCTACTTCTATTCTTGTGATATGTTTACCCATGTGCTTCCCACAAGTGTCTGTTGAATTGATCTTGTTTATGGATTTCCAGTCTGCCCACATAATTTATATATACAGTCGTGTTGCTTAACAACAGGGATATGTTCTGAGAAATGTGTCATGAGGCAATTTTATTGTGCAAATATCATAGAGTGTACTTACACAAACTAGATGGTATAGGCTTCCTACATACCTAGGCTTCACGGTATAGCCTGTTGCTCCTGGGCTGCAATCCTGTACAGCATGGTACTGTACTGAATACTGTTAGCAATTATACAATGTTAAGTACTTGTATATCCAAACATATCTAAACATAGAAATGGTGCAGTAAAAACACAATGTAAGAGATTAAAAAATGGTTCCAAGCACAACTGCATCTTTAAAAAAAATAAATAGGCCAGGCGCAGTGGCTCACGCCTGTAATCCCAGCACTTTGGGAGGCCGAGGCAGGCGGATCACGAGGTCAGGAGATCGAGACCATCCTGGCTAACAGTGAAACCCCGTATCTACTAAAAATACAAAAAATTAGCCGGGCGCGGTGGCAGGCACCTGTAGTCCCAGCTACTCATGAGGCTGAGGCAGGAGAATGGTGTGAACCCGGGAGTCAGAGTTTGCAGTGAGCTGAGATCATGCCACTGCACTCCAGCCTGGGAGATAGAGCGAGACTCCGTCTCAAAAAAAAATAAATAAATAAATAAAATAAAATAAAATAAAAAATGGTATACCTATCAGGGCACTTACCATGAATGGAGCCTGCAGGACTGGAAGTTGCTTTGGGTGAGTCAGTGAGCAAGTGGTGAGTGAATGTGAAGGCCTAGGACATGACCATACACTTCTGTAGATTTTAGAAACACTGTACACTGAGGCTACACTAAATTGATTTAAAAATTTTTTCTTTGTTCTTGGGAATATAGAAATATACTTAACCTTTATATGTGTTGACCTTTTATCCAGAAACTTTGCTAAACCCACTGGTTAATTCTGATAATTACATATAGATTCTTTTGAAATTTCTATGGAAATGTTCATGTTATGTACAAATAATAACAGCTTATATCTTTGTTTTCTTTTTTTCTTTATTCAATACAGTATCAGAGGTTCTGGTGATAGCAGTCATTCACAATCTCAAGGGGAAAGATATCAACATTTCACTGAAAAGTATGATTTTTGCTATAGTTTTAAAATACATATCCTTTATAAAATTAATGAAGCTCCCTTTCTGTTCCTAGTTTGCTGAGTTGGTTTCTTTTTCTTAATTGTGAGCCAATGTTAAATTTTACCAAATGTGAGTTGTGCATCTGTTGAGCAATTGTAGTATGATTTTTGTCCTTCATTCTACTTGTGTGATAAATTACAGTGATTGATTTTCAAATATCAAACCAACTTTACATTCCTAAAATAAGTCCAATTTTGTCATGTCCTTTTTATATATTGCCGAATTGGACTTGCTAACATTTGGCTTAGTATATTTGTATCTATACTCATTAGTGAGAATGGCCTGTAATTTTGCTTTCTTATAATATCCCTGTTAGGGTTTGGTATCAAAATTATGTTGGCATCATAAAATGAGCTGAGGAATGTTCCTTCTTCTCTATTCTGTAAGAGTTTATGTAAGATTGCCTCTTTTTCTTTTGTCTTCTTTAGATGTTTTTTATAAATTTGACAGTGAAACCACCTGGGTGTGGAGTTTTCATTGTGGGTAGGCTTTCAATTAGGCTGTCAATGTTTTAGTAGATCTAGAACTCTTCAAAATTTCTTTGTGTATCAGGTTTAGCAAAAAGTGTTTTTCTCAGTGTTTGTCTATTTTACTTAAATGTTCACGTTGATGGCATTAAGTTATTTATAATATTCCTTTTGTGATCTTTTTGTTTTCAGCAGTGATACTCCTTTTTTTCATTCTTGATATTAGTTATTCTCTGTTGTTGTTTTTTTTCCCCCGTGGGTCATTCTTGCCAGGGTTTTATTAGTCTTTTTAAAGAACTAACTTTATTTTGTTGACTTTGTTGTGTTTCTTATTTAATTAATTTCATCTATGTAAATTTATTGCCCTCTATTTTCTTTGGGTTTAATTGGCTGCTCTTATTGGCTGTTCATTTCCTAACCTCTTTTTAAATGTATGTGTTTAAAGGCCAGCCATTTCTCTCTAAGCATAGAATTATCTGTATCTATAAGCTTTAATTTTCATTGTGAATCAGTTCAGAATGTTTTCTACTTTTCATTATGATGTTTTTTGACCCGTGAATTATTTACATGGATATTTCTTAATTTCCAAACATGGGATTTTTTTGTTTGTTTGTTTTTTGAGATGGAGTTCCACTCTGTCGCCCAGGCTAGAATGCAGTGGCACGATCTTGGCTCACTGCAACCTCCGCCTCCTGGGTTCAAGTGATTTTCCTGCCTCAGCCTCCCAAGTAGCTGGGGTTACAGGCACCCACCACCATGCCCAGCTAATTTTTGTATTTTTAGTAGAGACGGGATTTCACTATGTTGGCCAGTCTGGTCTTGAACTCCTGACCCCAGGTGATCTGCCCACCTCAGCCTCCCAAAGTGCTGAGATTACAGGTATGAGCCACTGCACCCACCTGAGAATTTTTTTAGTAATATTTTGGCTATTGATTTCTCACTTACTTGCAGTGTGGTCAGAAGGTATACTGTAATTTTAATTATTTGTGACATCTAGGGACTTGGTTTATATCTAGCATAGAATTAGTATTTATTTACTTATTTATTTGAGATGGAGTATGAGAATTAGTATTAATTAATTAATTTATTTATTTGAACCACGGCACCCGTCTAGAATTGGTCTTTATGATTGCTCCATGGGTATGTGAATAAAAAAGACATATTCTGCAGTTTGTAGATGTGTGGTTCTCTATATTTCAGTTAGGTCAACTTTATTAATGGGGATTTTAAAAATCCTACTATCGTTAGTCTTTTTTTTATGATTCTTTTGTTAGTTACTGAGGGATATGTTCTAAAATTTCCCCTTATGATTGTGGATTTGTCTGTTTCTTCATTTAGTTTTATCCGTTTTTATTTATATATTTTGAGGCTATGTTATTAGGTGCATATGATTTTTAGAAATATATTGAATTGGCTGGGCGCGGTGGCTCACGCCTGTAATCCCAGCACTTTGGGAGGCCAAGGCAGGGGGATCACCTGAGTCTGGAGTTCAAGATCAGCCTGGCCAATATGGTGAAACCCCGTCTCTACTAAAAATACAAGACTTAGCTGGGCATGGTGGTGCATGTCTGTAATCCCAGCTACTTGGGAGGCTGAGGCAGGAAAATCACTTGAACCTGGGAGATGGAGGTTGCAGTAAGCCGAGATCCCGCCATTGCACTTCAGCCTGGGTGATAAGAGTGAAACTCTGTCTCAAAAAAAAAAAAAAAAGATAAAAGGGATATATTGACCTGAACACTTTGTCACTAGGGAATATTCTTCTCATCTATGTTGATTTTTTTTTTGAGGGGGACTTAAAGTCAGTGTCGCCTGATAATAGCGTAGCTACACTTCTTCCCTTTTGGTTGATGTTTCAAGATATGTATTTTCCATACTTTGACTTACAACCTTTTCAATCTTTTACTCATGTATCAGTTTTTTTTCTTAAATCCAATCTGATGGACTTCATCATTAAATTTTATTACTTAGTTCATTAAAATATATTGTAGCTACTGACATATTGTGTTTTAATTTTACTGTTACACTCTTTGCCTTCCATTTGTCCTGTCTTTTCTATATTCATTCTTTTTTTTTTTTTTTTCCTCCTTTGAGATTGATTCTCACTCTGTCACCTAGGCTAGAGTGCAGTGGTGCGATCTTGGCTCACTGCAACCTTCACTTCCTGAGTGGCTGGGATTACAGGTGTGTGCCACCATGCCTATCTAATTTTTGTATTTTTAATAGAGATGCTGTTTTGCCATGTTGGCCAGGCTGGTCTCGAACACCCAATCCAAGTGATCCGCCCACCTCAGCCTCCCAAAGTGCTGGGATTACAGGCGTGAGCTACTGCGCTGGGCCTAATCTTGCCCTTTTCTGGGGGGGGTGGGGGGTTATAATTAAAACCATTCTATTATTTGACTTCATTAGTACTTACACAGTGTTTTACATTTTTTTTTTTTTTTTTTTTGAGACGGAGTCTCACTCTGACACCAGGCTGGAATGCAGTGGTGCGATCTGGACTCACTGCAACCTCCTACTCCCTGGTTCAAGTGATTCTCTTGCCTCAGCCTCCCAAGTAGCTGGGATTACAGGCACGCGCCACCATGCCCAGCTAATTTTTGTATGTTTAGTAGAGACAGGGTTTCACCATGTTGGCCAGGCTGTTCTTGATCTCCTGACCTCATGATCCACCCATCTCAGCCTCCCAAAGTGCTGAGATTACAGGCGTGAGCCACCTCACCCGGCCTTTGTTTGTTTGTTTGTTTGTTTGTTTTGCAATTTTGGCTCACTGCAACCCCCGCCTCCCAGATTCAAGCGATTCTCCTGCCTCAGCCTCCTGAGTAGCTGGGATTACAGGCGTGTGCCACCACACCCAGCTAATTTTTGTATTTTTAGTAGAGATGGGGTTTCATTCACCATGTTGGTCAGGCTGGTCTCGAACTCCTTTGACCTTGTGATCCACCCACCTTGGCCTCCCAAAGTGCTGAGATTACAGGCATGAGCCACTGCGCCCAGCCTGCTTTTCTTTTTTTTTTTTTTTTAATTTTAATATAGAGACTAGGCTGGGCACAGTGGCCCATGCCTGTAAATCTAGCACTTTGGGAGGCTGAGGCAGGAGGATTACTTGAGTCCATGAGTTTGAGACCAACCTGGGCAACATGGGGAGACCATGTCTCTACAAAAAAATACAAAAAATTAGCCGAGCATGGTGGTGTGCCTGGAGACCCAGCTACTCAAGAGGTTGAGATAGGAGGATGGCTTGAGCCTGGGAAGCAGAGGTTGCAGTGAGCCATGATCACGCCACTGCACACCAGCCTGGGCAACATAGCGAGACCCTGTCTCCAAAAAAAAAAAATCTAGAGATTAAGGCATGCTTTCCTGACTTAAAATTTAGTATAAATTATTATTTTTGTCACTTTCAGAATAATGCAAGGACCTCAGCAAACTTTAACTCCATTTATTCCCCTTTCAATTAATAGACTAACATTTTTTCCATTCTTCTGTAAAACACATACATATCTTCATTTTATAATGTCAATATTTGCTTATATTTACCCATGCATCTCCTTTACCCTTGCTCTATATTTTTTTCCTATATCTCTAAGTTTCTTTTTTTGATTATTTTCCTTTTGCTTAAAGGACACTCTTCCTTTTGTTCTGCTGGTGATGAATTCCATATATATTTTTTTCTTTTCTTTTCTTTTCTTCGTTTCATTTCTTTCATTTTGAGCTGGGTCTTGCTCTGTTGCCTCCAGTGGTGTGCAGTGACACTGTTATAGCTCACTGCTACCTCAAACCCCTGTGCTCAAGCAGTCCTCCCACATCAGTCTCCTGAGTAGCTGGGACCACAGGTATGTGCCACCATGCCTGGCTAGCTTTTGTATTTTTTTGTAGAGTCAGCGTTTCACTGTGTTGCCCAGGCTGATCTCTAACTTCTGGACTCAAGTGATCTGCCCTTCTCAGCCTCCAAAGTGTTGGGATTACAGGCGTGAGCCACTGGGCCCAGCCTTGAACAATATTTTTTTAAGTTTAGGTTTTATATTACTTTGTCCAAAACTATTACCATAATCCATTTCAATTCATAAGACTGAAATAAATACTTGAGGTATTTGAAGTTCTATTGAAGGTTTAGTTGAAGAGCAAGAATAAATGTAACATGGGTTTAGCCCTTAAGGACTTTTTTTTTTTTGAGACGGAGTCTCGCTGTATCGCCCAGGCTGGAGTGCAGTCGCGCGATCTCTGCTCATTACAAGCTCCGCCTCCTGGGTTCATGCCATTTTCCTGCCTCAGCCTCCAGAGTGGCTGGGACTACAGGTGCCCGCCACCACGCCCAGCTAATTTTTTGTATTTTTAGTAGAGACAGGGTTTCATCGTGTTAGCCACGATGGTCTCGATCTCCTGACCTCATGATCTGCCTGCCTTGGCCTCCCAAAGTGCTGGGATTACAGGCGTGAGCCACCGTGCCTGGCCAAGGACTTTATAATCTGGTATGACATGAGGCACAGGTTTCTGTAATATTAGAGTAGAATGTGATAAGTAGCAGCTACAAGGAAGGATGGTATATTTATGAAATACTTGAATAGGAACACTGAGAAAGTCATGAAACTCAAACTATTTGTCTTTTGCAACCTAGCTGTATTAGTCCATTTTCATGCTACTCATAAAGACATACCTGAGACTGGGAAGAAAAAGAGGTTTAATTGGACTTATAGGTCCACATGGCTGGGAAGGCCTCAGAATCATGATAGGAGGCGAAAGGTGCTTCTTACATGGCAGTGGCAAGAGAAAATGAGGAGGAAGCAAAAGCGGACACCCCTGATAAAACCATCAGATCTTGTGAGACTTACTCACTATCATGAGAATAACATGGGAAAGATGGCCCCATGATTCAATTACCTCCCCGTGGTTCCCTCCCACAACACATGGGAATTCTGGGATTTACAATTCAAGTTGAGATTTGGGTGGGCCAAACCATATCACTAGCATACTGAAAGATTTAAAAATATATATGATGATCTTTTTGGTTATATATTCAGAATACCTGGCTGTTTGCAAGACAGTTGGAACTACTTTGAAGAAATATGCCACTCTGAAGATGTCTGCTGAGAATTATCTCCACAAACAATGCTGTTGCTAGGATTACATATTAATGCCATCTTTATGTGGCCATATGTCTTTATCAGTTTCCTTTCACTATCTGCCATGGCTTTTTTTTTTTTTTTTCATACTAAGCCTTCTAAATCTGGCATATTTTACACTTATACCTCACATTTATAGCACATCTCAATTCAGAGTAGCCATGTTTCAAGTGCCAAATAGTGACAAAAGGCTAATGACTACACTTTTGGACAGTGTGTGTCTAGATGGTGAGATAGACTTTTCAAAAAACAAATAATTGTTATATTTGTTCAACTCTTTGTGAAGTAACTGAAGAAGCCCCTACTGACTTGATCAGAAGTAGGTGCCAGGGAAAGATTTAGATTTTCAAGGAAAGTTTTACAGAAAAGTTGTCGTTTGAATGCTGTCTTCAACTATGAATATAAATTTGGTAGGTGTACAAAATAGGCCAGGGGAATAGCGTGTAAATCATGATGCTGTATAAGAGTAGGATTTGTTCAGAGGCTTTCAAGTATTTCCTTGTGGTCGGAGAATAGGTACGTGTGTGCTAGTGGAAGGTGAGACTGGAAAGATAGATTTTGAAGAATGTCAGATGCTAGTGATTCTTCACCAGTTCTTGTGTTATGAGTAATTTACCAGTAATGACAGTTAACCTCAGGATAAATTTTCTGCAGTGTAATTGATAGATCTCATAGAATGACCATTTAATGTCCCCTCATACATTCAGGGAAACTTATGGGTTTGAACTAATTTACACTGCCTCTAGCAACTATGCTGGTTTCAGTGCATGTTCAACTGCTATAATTAGTGTAGTTTTAATGTGCTCATTTTGCTGCATTAGGTTTGTATTTTGTTACTGTATTTTACTGTGTTTGTATTTTGTTCACCAATTCATCATTGGTGGTTGAACATTTTTCTTATTAACATTGAAATTTACTCCTGTCTAGTCCTTAGACCCCATTCAGGCCTTACCAGTTGTCTCAATAACATCCTTTACAGCAGAAGGATCCAGGGGAGAATCAGGCATTATACCTCAGTTTTCCCTTGTCTTTGAAGGAAAGTACTTGACATTTTTGAAGATTACAGGTTGGTTATTTTGTAGAATGTCCCCCAACTTGGTTTTGTCTGTTTCCTCATGATTAGACTCAGGCTACAGAACTTTGACAGGAACAGTACTTCTCATCGCATGGGACTTTGATTTGTCTGATTACTAATGATGTTCACTTTGATCATTTGATCAAGGCAGTGTCTGCTGGATTTTACTGCTGTGAAATTACTTTTTCCCTTGGAAGTAATGTGTAGTTTATGGGGGAAGTATTCTGAAACTATCCCATTCACTACCACACTTTCCATTTATTCACTCATTTATTTATATCTATATTGATTCATGATTTCTTATTTTGTTCAGTAGGTTATAATCCATTGCTATTACTATTGGTATTGATGCTGAAATTACCCTGTTTGGCCAGTGGGATCTCCTTCAAGCTTGATCCTATGTCTTTTTGACATTCTTTAGCATTCCTTGAGCACTTTCTTGCTTACTACCACAAGATATTCCAGATTGATCCTGTACTTTTTCTACCCCTGTGCTGTAATTAGTGAATTACAATTCTCCAGAGATGTCTGGTTCCTTTTATTGGAGAATGGTATTAGGGGCCAAGTGTTAGGTGCTAGAAACGTTCATACCACTGGGGAGGGAAGATGATCACTGCTCCAAGGCGCTCTCAGTAGATAGAATTACAGAGCTAGGGAGTATGCATCTGTGTGTGCTTATGTAGACACACACACCATGCATGTATGTCCATGTCTTCAGAAATCCATGAGTTCACTCATACTTACAGTTTATTTTTTTTGAAACGCAGTCTCGTTCTGTCGCCCAGGCTGAAGTACAGTGGCATGATCTCAGCTCACCTCAACCTCCGCCTCCCGGGTTCACGTGATTCTCCTGCCTCAGCCTTCCTAGTAGCTGGGGACTGCAGGCACACCCCACCATGCTGGGCTAATTTTTGTATTTTTTGGTGGAGATGGGTTTCACCATGTTGCCCAGGCTGGTCTCAAACTCCTGACCTCAAATGATCCACCCACCTTGGCCTCCCAGAGTGCTGGGATTACAGGCATGAGCCACTGTACCTGGCCCAGTTTCAATCCACAGAGTTCATTCTAACTTCTTCCATTTCCATATTTGCATCTCCCTTCTCTGCCAAGTGAGAACTCTGGGTCCCATTGCCTTTAATAAATCTTTTTTAAAAAAGAATTTTTTTTTTTTAAAGAAATGGGGTCTCATTCTGTCACTCAGGCTGAAGTGCAGTGGAGGGATCATAGCTCTCTGCACCCTTGAACTGCTGGCCTCAGTCGACTCTCCTGCCTCAGCCTCCTGAGTATCTGAGGTAGCTGAGTAGGCACCTGCCACCACATCTGGCTAATTTTTACATTTTTTGTAGAGACAAGATCTCACTGTATTGCCCAGGCAGGTCTCAAACTCCTAGCCTCAAGTGATCCTCCTGCTTCTGCCTCCCAAAGTGCTGGGATTACAGGCGTGAGCCACTGCATCTGCCCTTAATAGATCTTATTTGATCCTTCCCTCTTTATATAGCAAATCTCCCATTGCTGCTTTGAACCCTTCTATGTGGAGGTGCTCAGGCTCCTACTTTCCCTGCCAGTCCTCCACCCTCATGGGTGCCCTCCTCCTCCTCCACACTCGGCCTTCAACATCCTGTGCAAGCTGGCTCTGCCTGCGAATGGCCTCCTCACGTAGCTTATATTCCGACAACCATGCAGGTACCCTGTGATGTGGATACCCACTTGGTGGCTATAAGAGTGAATTTTTCAGGAAGGGAAGAGAATTCTGATTTCCTAAGTTTTACTTTAATGGTTCTAGCTGTGGGATTATTTTGACATTCTTTGAGTCCTTTCAATTTTAGGTGTTACATTTTCTCTAATTCTGGGAAATTTAGTCATTATTTCTGCAAATATTTCTTCACTCTCATTTGTGTTTTTCTCTCCTCCTGTGTAAGCTATTGTGTGGCAGTTGATTTCCCTCATTTCTCTATCTTATCTCTTGCTTTTTCTTTTATATATTTAATCTCTTTCTACTGTCTTTTGGCAGAGTACCCCAAATCTGATATTTTAGCTTATTTATTTGTTCAACTGTATCCTTTCTGTTCTTCAGTCCATCTATTAAAATTCATTATTTCACCAATTGTATCACATTATTTCAGTGACTATATTTTGTCTGCCTATTTTTACATCCTACACCAGGACCAAATTTTCCTGTTGTTCCAGGAATTTCTGTCTGTGTGTAAACACAAATCAGTTTTTAAAATTTAGGTTTGTATTGTACATACTGTCTGACAACTTACTGTTGTTTTCTGTTTTTACATGGCAGCTTTATGAAATTTATTACAAGTGGAGATAGTTTCAATATAGTTTTAATATACGTCTGTGTGTGTACGTGTGTGTGTATGTATATGTGTGTGTGTGATTTTATATCCCTTTTATACTGAAGTGTACTCATACCATTGCCTCACCTTCTTAAACAGAGTTGTAAGTTAGTGATTGGGTAGAGTGCAGTGGTCAGTATTCCTAACCATTTTAGTCTTTGGGGCCTTTAGGTTGTTTTCAATTTTTAAATGTTATGATACTAAAATAAATACACGGATAAAGTGTTTTCCCATTTGTGGGATCATTTTCCAGAAGGATTTATAGAGTGGATCAAATGGACAAATAAATCAATATTTTTAGATTGTTAACCATGTAGAGGAATGCCTAGAACATAACAGGCATTCAAATAATATTTATTAGAGGAAAGGATATTATAAAAATTGCTTTCTAATATGGTTCCAATTTTCATCCATACCAATGATAGGAGATGATCTATTTTCTTTCTTTTTTTCTTTGTTTTTTGAGATGGTGTCTCGCTCTGTCACCCAGGCTGGAGTGCAATGGCACGTCTCGGCTCACTGCAACCTCCGCCTCCCTGGGTCAAGCAATTCTGCTTCCTCAGCCTCCTGAGTAGCTGGGACTACAGGTGCCCACCACCACGCCCGGCTAATTTTTGTATTTTTAGTAGAGACAAGCTTTCTCCATGTTGGCCAGGCTGGTCTTGAACTCCTGACCTCAGGTGATCCATCCACCTCGGCCTCCCAAAGTGCTGGGATTACAGGTGTAAGCCACTGCGCCCGACTGAGATGATCTGTTTTCTTACAGTATCTTACACTTAAATTATATTTTTGTGATTTGATTGTAATCAGAAGAATTCTATATCTGTCTTGGATAAAAAATACTATCAGATGATATAACTAAGGTTTTTTTCTATTTTTATTTTTACCTCCTGCATGAATGAACATATGTTTTCTTACAGGACTGAATTTGCTCTTAAAGAAATCATGTCCTCTGGAGGTGCTGAAGATGATATCCCACAGGGAGAGAGGAAAACAGTTACAGATTTTTGTTATCTTCTGGATAAATCTAAGCAACTGTTCAATGGGTTAAGGTGAGTGGACTCTTGGTGTTTTGAACTTTTCTTTAGTTCTGCATTTGTTTTTTTTCTGGCTGATGTGTGGTAAGTTTCCGAAAATTATGGGTAGAATGTCATATAAATTTCTGTATTAGAGTGATCATGATTTTTTCTTTGACATCATTTTTAAAATTCTTGGATAAAAAAACAATAGGAAAAGAGGATAACTTACACTGTTTTAGTCAACTTAAAAAGAGCTATTTTGTGAAATGGTTTTGTATACATAACTCACACCAGATCTGATTTTAATCTGGTTTTGCACATTAGGGTGTTGAGGTCTGAGGAGCCTAAAAATGCATATGCAATTGAATGTGGAGCCTCCTATTGCATTTTTGTAATTTGTTTACTTGCTTGTTTCTTTTATTCTTTCTTTCTTTGTTTTCTGGGATGAAATGTCTGTGCCTAAAGTAATGATGGTTACCTTTGTCTACCAGATTGGGGTGGTGATGGTGGGGGGTGGGTGGAAAAAGTAATGATGAGGTGTTATAAACCATGCTATTTATGATTTAACCTGTATTTCAGTTCTTGAGAGTCTTAGGATATTCACTGACTTCAGACCTAAAGCTTCATTAGCTTAGTACCAGTTAGAAGAAAATTCATACAATAGGTAAAATTCTAGGGATAAACAGGTTTTATTTTTGAAAATTTACATAGGAAGGAGTGATTGTAAAGATACTAAGTTATTTTAAATTATGGTTTATTTATGGATAAAAATGAAATCTTTTTATCTTACATTTTACAATTGTATTATACATCCCCAGGTTTGGACGTATACTGGCAGGGTTTATTTTTAAACCAGATAATTTATCTTTTAAAAAAATTATGTGAATTTTTCAAATACCATTCTGTCTAAAGCTGCCCTTTTAATCATTCTCTTTTTCCTATATTCATTTGATTTGCTTCATGACACTCACCACTCTTAATATTATTTACTTGCTTATTATGTCTCTCCCGCATTAAAATGAAATGTCCCTAAGAGCAGGCCCCTGTTTGTCACTGTTTCTCTAGTTTTTAAGCCCATGTCTTGCACATTGTAAAGGCTTTGTGAATATTTGTTAAATGGAAGATTCCAAAGGCAGTATTCTTAACTCTTGCACTCTTCTGCTTCCTATTTTATGCTGCAGAGGAGATGTTTGAGATCATGTTTTTCTTTGGCTTTATAAATTAATTGTGTCTTTTTAAAGAATATTTTCTTTCACTATTTTAATTCAGAAGTTTTCCTTGGTATGCCTGGGGTTTAAATCTTTTATTTTCCTGCAATAGATTATTTTAAACCTCTTAAATTTGCATACTTAGACTTTTTTTTTTTCTCTTTGCCTTCCAGGTATATTTTTTTTCTTCAACATTTAATTGGCACCCAGTATGTACCATATTCTGTATTGGGTACGAAAATTCAGAGATAAAGCTAACAGTCCCTGCCCTCAATTACTCTATGAGGAAATTATAAAAAAACAAAACCCAAGGCAAACTTCTGCTCACAGCAAGCCTCAGCTTTAGCACATCCAGTGAACCTATTTCACAGATAGGAACACATATCTGTGTGCCTATTGAAATTAAGTAAGTAAAAAGTTAGAAGAGGCCAGGCGCAGTGGCTCACGCCCATAATCCCAGCACTTCGGGAGGCTGAGGTGGGAGGATCACTTGAGCCCAGGAGTTTGAGATCAGCCTGGGCAACATGGTGAAACCTCGTCTCTACAAAACATGAAAAAATTAGCTGGATATGGTGGTGAGTGCCTCAAGTCACAGCTGCTCGGGAGACTGAGGTGAGAGGATTGCTCAAGCCCAGGAGATCGAGGCTTCAGTGAACTGTGATCACACCACTGCACTCCAGCCTGGGTGACAGAGCAAGACCCTTAACCAAAAAATAAAAACAAAATCTTAAAGGGATTATAGATTTAAAGGTAGGAAGGCATTTAAAAGCTTGCATTTAAATCCCTTGTGTAACTTCTGGCACATGGGCTCTCAAACTTAAAACACTGACATAGTTATAATAGCTCGGACCCCATTTTTTTGAGACAGTTTTATGGAGCTATATTTATATACAATAAAATTTGCCCATTCAAAGTTTACAGTTGAAAAGTTTGGTATGTTTGCAGAGTTGTGCAGCTGTTAGTACGGTTTAATTTTAGATCATTTTAATCACCCCCAAAAGAAATCCGGTTCCTATTAGCAGTGATTCTACATTCTTCCAAATCCTAACCCCTGACAACCACCAATCTAATTTTTTTCTCTATGGATTTACCTATTTTGGATATTTTATATATTAATTAATTGGAATCATACAATATGTGGTCTTCTATCATGGACATCTTTTGTTAACATAATGTTTTTGAGGTTCATCTGTGTTATAGCACATATCACTACTTTTATTAGTGATTAATATTCCATTGTAAGGATTTATCACAATTTGTCCAGTCATCAGTTGATAGACATTTGAGTTTTTTGGCTATCAAGAATAATAGTCCTGTGAACATTTGTATACAAGTTTTTATGTGAGCGTAGGTTTTCCTTTTTTTTGAGACAGAGTGTTGCTCTTGTCGTCCGGGCTGGAGTGCAATGACACGATTTTGGCTTACTGCAACCTCCGCCTCCTGGGTTCAAGCAATTTTCCTGCCTCAGCCTCCCGAATAGCTGAAATTACAGGTGCCTAACACCACGCCCAAGTAATTTTTGTATTTTTGGTAGAGACAGGTTTCACTATGTTGGCCAGGCTGGTCTTGAACTCCTGACCTCAGGTGATCCACCTGCTTCGGCCTCCCAAAGTGCTGGGATTACGATTCTCTTGGCCATATACCAAGGAGTAGAATTCCTGGGTCATATAGTAATTCTGTGTTTAACCTTTTGAGGACCTGCCAAACTGTTTTCCAAAGTGGCCTCATCACCAGTAATGTGTTCTAGTTTCTCCTCATTCTCATCAACACTTACTATTTTCTGTCTTTTTGATTATAGACATGCTACTGGATGTAAATGGTGTCTCTTGGTGGTTTTGATTTGAATTTCCCTAATGTTGGGCATCTTTTTATGTGCTTGTTAGCGATTTCTGTTTCTTCTTTGGGAAAGTATCTGTTCTAATTCTTTGACCAGTTAAAAAATTGAATTATTTTTAAAATTATTAATTTATAATTGTTTATATATTCTGGATACAAGTCCCTTGTAAGATGTATGATTTGCAAATATATATTCTCTTATTCTGTGGATTGTCTTTTACTTTCTTTCTTTCTTTTTTTTGAGATGAAGTTTTGCTCTTGTCCCCCAGGCTGGAGTGTGATGGTGCGATCTTGCTCACTGCAACCTCCGCCTCCTGGGTTCAAGTGATTCTCCTGCCTCCAAGCGATTCTCCTGCCTCCAAGCGATTCTCCTGCCTCGGCACCCACCGCCCCCCTACCCCGAGTAGCTGGGATTACAGGTGCCTGTCACCATGCCCGGCTAATTTTTGTATTTTTAGTAGAAACGGGATTTCACCATGTTGGCCAGGCTGGTCTAGAACTCCTGACCTCAGGTGATCCACCCGCCTCGACCTCCCAAAGTGCTGGGATTACAGGCGTGAGCCACCGCAAACCGGCATGTCTTTTACTTTCTTAATGATATCCTTTGAAGCACAAATGTTTTTAATTTTAATAAAGTTAAACTTATCATTCTTTTCTTTCATTGCTTGTACTTTTGGTATTGTATCTAAGAAATCATTGCCTAACTTAAGGTCATTAAAATGTACTCCCGTGTTTTTTTCTAAGAGTTTTATACTTTTAGCTCTTACATTTAGGTCTGTGATCCATTTTGAGTTCTTTTTATTTTAATTAATTTTTTTGAGATGGAGCCTTGCTTTGTCACCCAGGCTGGAGTGCAGTGGCATGATCTCGGCTCAGTGCAGCCTCTGCCTCCCGGGTTCAAGCAGTTCTCCTGCCTCAGCCTCCCTAGTAGTTGGTGCCACCACACTGTATTTGTTTTAGTAGAAACGGGATTTCACCATGTTGGCCAGGCTGGTCTTGAACTCCTAACCTCAAGTGATCCGCCTGCCTTGGCCTCCCAAAGTTCTGGGATTACAGGCATGAGCCACCATTCCCAGCCCATTTTGAGTTAATTTTTGTGTATGGAGTGGAATGTTAGTTTTATGTTATTTTTTAAATCAGAAAAACATTTCCAATTGTTTTGATTATTGCATATTTTTCATTTTTTCTTTTTAAACATTGATACATAATAATTTTACATATGTATGGGGTACATGTGATATTTTGATACATACATACCATTGTAATGATCACATTATGGATTTGGGATATCCATCACTTCAAACATTTATCATTTATTTGTGTTGGGAACATTTTAAATCTGCTCTTTGAGCTATTTTGAAATATAAATCTTATATCCCAGGTATAGAGTCGTATCTTTCTAAGGTGCTGTTTTAAAATTTTACAATACTAATAATGATAAATTTTGATCTGTCACCTGGAAGAGTGGATAAGCAAATATACCACAGATATATTTTCAGTGTTTTATTGAGTGACCCTCTTCAATTTAAATAAGATATAATTGGCTGGGCATGGTAGCTCACGCCTGTAATCCCAGCACTTTGGGAGGCTGAGGCAGGCAGATCACCTGAGGTCAGGAGTTCGAGACCAGCCTGGCCAACATGGTGAAACCCCATCTCTACTAAAAATACAAAAATTAGCCAGGCGTGGTGGCACACACCTGTAATCTCAGCTACTCGGGAGGCTGAGACAGGAGAATCGCTTGAAGCTGGGAGGCGGATGTTGCAGTGAGCTGCGATCACACCACTGCACTCCAGCCTGGGTGACAGAGCAAGACTCTGTCTCTAAGTAAATAAATAAATAAATAAGCCATAATTATTTATACAAAAATAGGTCTGTGGTGAGCAAACTATATATCTTCTCTGAATGCTTTTGGATTTTTGTTTGAGAGAGATGTGGTTGTCCAGTATAGCAGCCGTATTGTTTTCTTTTTTTTGTTTATATAAATGAAAGTATCTCCAGGAGCAGTGGCTGATACCTGTAATCCCAGCACTTTGGGAGGCGAAGGCAGGAGAATCACTTGAAGCCAAGAGCTCTAGACCAGCCTGGCGACATAGGAAGACTCCATCTACCAAAAATTTAAAAATTAGCTGGGTGTGGTGGTGTGTGCCTTTAGTCCCAGCAACTTGGGAGGCTGAGGTGGGAGGGTCACTTGAACCCGGGGGTTTGAAGCTGCAATGAGCTATGTTATGCCACTGTACTCCAGCCTGGGCAATGCAGTGAGACCTTGTCCCTTTTATAAAAAGAAAAGAGAAAAAAGTGTTCTTTGTTCAATATTAGACCTTGATTATAAAGGGCTGTCTTTATCAGTTTTGTAGGCCTTCCTTAAAGTTCCCTGTGGTGGTGGGTTGGAGGTGTGTATTGGCATTCTTGTCTACACTACTCTCCCTGTTTCCTGCGTAAAGAAGATCTTTGAGTTTTGTTAATCAGAAACCTCTTTTCTTTCGAGTGTTGATGTTGCTTTATGAGCATTTCTTGAGAAAGGGACAAGATTTATTTTGGAATAATTATAAGGTTTTTTTGGTTGCTATCCCCCTGCGCCCACCTCCACCCCCTTATTTAAATTGGTCTGAGTAGGTCTATGGCCCTTATAGAGAAGAAGAAATGTATTGGTAGTGGTCTGGACCAGCATTGGCATTTGGGGAAATGGAATGAAGTGGGATCCAGCTGGAATAGTGTCAGTTTTTAATATTAAGCCCTTTCCCTCTAGCATTTTTTTCACTGTTAGTGCTTGTCTTTTTTTTTTTCTCCTTTTCCACATGTTGTAACATGTTTTTCTTTTTGCTTGCTTTCTTCAATTCATGTACTGTGTCTTAAACTTATTACTGAAGTATAATTGACTGCGGAAAAGTGCACATGCTGTAAGTGTGTTTTTAAGAAACTGAATACATCCATGTGACTTGTATTCAGATGAAGAAGTAGCACACACAGCACCTCAGAAACCTCCCCTGTTGTGTTCCCTGTTACTTGGACTTTTTAACTCATTATGAGCAGAGTGAAAAAGGGCATTTCAGTGCATGAAAGGTTTCAGATTTTTGTATCATGTCTCATTTGGGATATAATAGATTCTCTTTTTACGCTTGGAGGTGTGTCTTTCCACATTATATTAAGCTGTTCATCTAAGTTGTCAGAGCCTTTCATTTTCCCAGCTGTGAATATCTTAATGGAGTATTTTTCTCAACTGAAAATACCTTCTTATAATATGTGCATAATAGTTTATCTCTTATTTCCACTCACTGTGTAAGAAAACATAATCCAGAAAAATAAGAATTGGATGAAATGAATGATGTTTCGCATATAATGGCTCTTGCATGTAGTTGCAATAATAATGAAGTGAGAATAATGTTAGAAAAAGCTTTGAATACTGTCAGAAAATGATCAAAAGCCCAAGTGCTTGCAGGGTTCTGGTTGCCATGGTGACTAAGACTGTCGAAGCAGAATGGAATACTTAGTGAGATTATATAAGGCAGCATCTCGAGACATGTATTTGAGAAACACAGCTGTGTCTATCAGTGATATCCCTAACTTGCAGTGTTTTGCAAAAGCAGAGGCCTCCAAGTCACTAATTATTTGACTACAGAGGAGCAAATACACAAAGCCAAAGAAGGCTTGGGAGGCCACTGATAGTATATATAATATTATTATTATAGTACATATAATAGTATATATTGTGTGAGTGTGTGTGTATATGTATATTTTTAATTGGGAGGTGCCCCAAAGTGAAGTGTACTAGTCTTAAATGAAAATAATTACAGAAATTATTTTTATTAAATATGCTCCTAGCCAGGTGCGGTGGCTCACGCCTGTAATCCCAGCACTTTGGGAGGCTGAGGCAGGCAGATCACCTGAGGTCAGGAGTTTGAGACCAGTCTGACCAACATGGAGAAACCCCATCTCTACTAAAAATACAAAATTAGCCGGGCGTGGTGTCACATGCCTGTAATCCCAGCTACTTGGGAGGCTGAGGAAGGAGAATCGCTTGAACCTGGGAGGCGGATGTTGTGGTGAGCCGAGATCACGCCATTGCCTCCAGCCTGGGCAACAAGAGCGAAACTCCATCTCCAAAAATAAAATAAAAATAAAATTAAATAAATAAATAAATAAATAAATATGCTCCCAGTATTCAACTTAAGAAAGTTTCTATAATGCTTCCTTTAGAAGCCTGTTTTTAGGATTCCCTTTTTCCTAAAATGGACAACTGAGAAATTAACAGTTTGTTCCATTGACCCCTTCTTCCCCTCCCCTGCCCTTTTCTTCTTCTTCTTCTCTTTTCTTCTTTCCTCCCTCTTCTCCTTCTCCTTCTTCAGAAAATTAATATTCTCTTAGAGGCTAGTTCTGCAAACTGGTAATGGCAAGTTTATTGTTATTGAAATAAATAACCATGTTATTTTAGAGATTATACCCTAAACTGTCTGTACAAGCTTGTGATATAGGCTGTCATTTTATATGGCTTACCACCAGAAGAATTGGACTTGCCTTTGAGGTAGACTGCCACCAGAGTACAGTAGGTATCTTGATCACATGCTCTTGAACATCATTGATTGACTAGGCTGGGCATAGTGGCTCTTGCCTGTAATCCCAGCACTTTGGGAGGCTGAGGTGTGTGGATCACTTGAGGTTAGGAATTTGAGCCCAGCCTGACCAACATGGTGAAACCCCATCTCTACTAAAAATACAAAATTAGCTGGGCATGGTGGCACATGCCTGTAGTCCCAGCTACTTGAGAGTCTGAGGCAGGAGAATTGCTTGAACCTGAGCAGCAGAGGTTGCAGTGAGCCGAGATCACGCCATTGCATTCCAGCCTGGGCAACAAGAGTGAAATTCCATCTCAAAAAAAAACAAAAGAAAAGAAAATCAATGACTAATAGAAATTTAATATAAGCCACAAATGTTATTTTAAATTTTCTAGCCACATTAAAAAATAAAAAGAAACAAGTGAAATTAATTTTAATAATATTTGATCCAATAAATAAAAAATATTCTACTTCATCATAAATCGATAGAGAAATATTAGTGATATTTTACATTGTTTTTTATACTAAGTCTTTGAAACACAGTGAGTATTTTATACTTACATACATTTCAGTTCAGATTAACTACATTCAAGTGCTTAGTAGCCATGTGTGGCTGTTTGCTCAGGCAAAATTCCTCCCAGTTTTAGTTTCTGTTCTCATAATGGCTGACTGTGCTTTCTCGTGAATCCATATTGGCTATTTTGGGGTTGTCTTCTTCACTGGTCCATGAGGTGTTCCCAGTTTTGCTTTCTTTGTCTCCTCCAACATAGATGCTAATAGCTTGCAGGTCTTTTGGCTGTTGGTAATTTGTCTCCAACCACCTGGGATTTGATGGTTACCATATTACTGTATCAGTTTGCTATGGCTGCCATAACAAGGTGCCATAGACTGAGTAGCTTAAACAACAGAAATGCATTTTCTCACAGTTCTGGAGGCCGGAAGTCCAAGATCAAGGTGTCAGCAGGTTCAGTTTGTTCTGAGCCCTCTCTCCTTGGATTGCAGATGGATGCCTCCTTCCTGTGCCCTCACATGGTCATCTTTGCATGCATTTGTGCCCTGGCGCCTCTTTGTATGTCCTAATGTCTTCTTCTAAGGACGCAACTCATATTGTATTAAAACCTTCCCTAAAGGCTTCTTTTTAATTACCTCTTTAAAGGCCCTATCTCCAGATACAGTGAAATTCTGAGATACTGGGAGTTAGAGGTTGAATGTACGAGTTTTGGGAATAACAATTCAGCCCATAACCCTTGGTTTTATTGAAATGTTACCAGTGGGTTTTGCTTTATTATCTGTTTGTTCTGCCTGTGTTGGGAAGGTATCTGAATAGATTCAATACTATGCTGTCACCATTTCCCCAGAATCTAGAAAATTAGCTATTTAAATGCTATGCTAAAATATTAAACAATAAAATAGATGAATATATTCTATTATAATATAATATATTCTATCAAAGTCCATATAACCAGGTCTTATATGTTAGCTCCCTCTAAGATCTTGTCAGGTCTTACTAGAAACATAGAGCATCTTCCCCTTTAAAGTTGCTGGTAGAAGCTGGATCGGGAATTGGTTAGGGGAGAGGTAGTTGTAGTTAGTTTTTTTTTTTTTTTAAATTTCAGTAGTTTTTTGGGGAACAGGTGTGTTTGGTTACATGAATAAGTTCTTTAGTAGTGATTTATGAGATTTTGATGCACCCATCACCCAAGCAATATACACTGTACCCAATGTGTAGTCTTGTTCCTCACGCCCCTCCTACCCTATCGTGAGAGTCCCAAAAGTCCATGTGTCATTCTTATGTCTTTGTATCCTCATACTTTAGCTTCCACCTATGACTGAGAACACATGATGTTTGGTTTTCCATTCGTGAGTTACTTAACTTAGAATAATGGTCTCCAATTCCTTCCAGGTTGCTGCAAATGCCATTATTTCATTCCTTTTATGGCCTATCTCATATATATATACACACACACACATATATATATGTGTGTGTGTGTGTGTATATATATATGAGATAGGCCATAAAAGGAATGAAATATATATATGTGTGTGTGTATATATGTGTATATATATGTATATATATGTGTGTGTGCATATATATATATATATATATATATATATCTCACAATTTCTTTATTCACTTGTTGATTGATGGGCACTTGGGCTGGTTCCATATTTTTGCAATTGCAAATTGTGCCATTATAACCATGTGTGTGCAGGTATCTTTTTTATATAAATGACTTCTTTTCCTCTGGGTAGATACCCAGTAGTGGGATTGCTGGATCAAATGGTAGTTTTACTTTTAGTCATTTAAGGAATCTCCACACTGTTTTCCATAGTGGTTGTACTAGTTTACATTCCCACCAGCAGTGTAAAAGTGTTCACTTTTAACCACATTCAATAGTGGTTAGTTTTTAAGATTCTTCAGGAGGGGTATAGAGAGAAAATTAAAAAGATATGTTAAGAACCCTGAAGAATTCATTAAATCCTCAAAACAATGTCATTAGTGTCTATTATTTTGGTTCTACAGATGAGAAAAACAAAGCTTTGCCAGTTAAAGTCATAGCCTATGTTAATGTGATAGATTATAATTTGAGAAGTGCTACTTCCGAGAAGTTTTTCCTCAATTTAGGAGTAAGGATTCCAAACACAGACGAATGTTTGACTCTAAGAATAGAGGCAGGCCAGGCACAGCGACTCATGCCTGTAATTCCAGCACTTTGGGAGGCCAAGGCCAGAGGATTGCCTGAGCTCAGGAATTTAAGACCAGCCTGGGCAACAAAGTGAGACCCCGTCTACAAAATAAAAAATATAGCTGGGTGTGGTAGTGCATGCCTGTAGTCCAGCTGCTCAAGAGGTTGAGGTGAGAGGATTGCTTGAAGCCAGGAGTTCAAGACCAGCCTGAGCAACACAGTGAGACCTCATCTCTATAGAAAATTTTAAAAATTAGCTGGCCAGATGCAGTGGCTCATGCCTATAATCCCAGCACTTTGGGAGGCTGAGGTAGGCAGATCACTTGAGGCCAGGAGTTTGAGATCATCCTGGCCAACATGGCGAAACCCCATCTCTACTAAAAACACAAAAATTAGCCAGGCATGGTGGTGCATGTCTAAAAATGTCACAGGATCCTTAGGGTGTTATTTTTCCAGCCAGAAACCTCTGTGGCTAGTGGCACCTTTGCCCGAGTTTTGCTTGGGCTCACTGGGCTTGTTCCCGCTACTCAGCCTGGCAGGTTGTGCTTGACTTATGCTACTGGCTCAGATCCCACACCTGCCAAGGGTAGGCCAGGTATGGAGCAGCGAGGGGTGTGTTAGCGAATGGGCATGGGGTCTGGCCACTGTGCACAGCCAAGCAAGCTAGCTGCCGTGGTGGGGCAGGCATCTCCAGGCACTGGCGCCATGCAAGGTTGCAGCTGGATTAGATGTGCCTCAAGCAGCTTCCACTGCAGGCACCCACATCTGGACGAGGGGAACATGGTGGTGGTGCCCAGAAGCTTGGAGATGCCAGGAACCACAAGCCCCAAAGAGGATGTCACAACCCTGGCTCAGGGAGCCCATAGGTCTGAACTCCCAAAGGGCCTCAGCTCTTTCCTTCTCATTGCCTACAACGTGGCGAGCAAGGGGGCATGTTTCAGCCCTGTTTGTGTTACCATTTTTTGAGTACCAGAATTTGCCAGGTCCTGAGTTCTTGTCCTGCGCCCAGGAAGAATGAGGTATGTGGACAACTGGAGGGTGAACAAGGTGGAGAGGAGCTTCATTCAGTGACAGAAGAGCTCTCAGGAGACCCCTAGTAGGTAGCTCCTTTCTGCAAGCAGGTTGTCCAGGCAAGTGTCCAGCTCTTAGCAGAGAGGAGACCTGTAGTAGTTGCTCCTTCCTGCAGGTGGATCATCCCAGCAAGTGTCCAGCTCTCAGCAGAAAGGAGTGGGTAGCTCCTTTCTGTAGGCATGTCATCCCACAGAGGGTATGAGTCTGGCTGTCTGGGGTTATTTTGTGCTCTGAATGGTGGAAGTGTGTGCTGATTGGTCCATGGGAGGCCACGGATGGGCCTGGAAAAAGCACCTCGAGTTCTCACTCTGGGCCATGGACTTCAACCAGAACTGGCAGCCTTATCCCCCCAGGCCCGCCTCCCATGCTCGTCATTACCCAAAGTCTGGAGAGGGCTGAGGCAGCAGGGGGCTTGTGAATCAGTGCCGTCATGAGCACACCCAGTCAGTTGTGACAGGTCCCAGGCTTGGCCACAACTTTGCTCCACCCCAGAGTGGGTGCCAGGAGCTGGGAGAGGCCAGGGAGCAGGAGCAGGTACTTTCAAGCATGTGGGGGCAGGGAGCTTCTTAAGACCCTGAGAACACAGGGAAGCATGGGTCCAAAGCTGCAGCTGGGTAGCTGCAGCTGCACCCAGGAGCGCTGGGCTCCCACCCCTCCAACTCAGTAGGTGGCCCGGCTTCCACCTGTTCCTGGCCTCCACCCATTCTGTGGAGCATGCAGCCCTGGCCACAACTTCCCCACTGCAGTCGGCATCCCTGCAGCAGCTGCTCCAGATGGGCTGCCACCACCATCATAATCCCAGCTACTTGAGAGGCTAAGGCGTGAGAATCGCTTGAACCTGGGAGGGAGAGGTTGCAGTGAGTGGAGATCGCACCACTGTACTCCAGCTTGGACAACAGAGTGAGACCCTGTCTCAAACAAAAATATTAGCTGAGTGTGGTGCCATGCACCTGTAGTCCCAGCTACTCAGGAGGCTGAGGCAGGAGAATTGCTTGAGCCCAGGAGTTTGAGGCTGCAGTGAGCTATGATCATGTCATTGCACACCGGCCTGGAGGAATAGAGTGAGACCATGTCTTTAAAAACAAAGAACAACAAAAAACCACTGGGTCTACCAATGGGTAAAAGCAAATACTGGTGCTAAACAAGGAAATGCTCAACTGGGCTTTGAAGTCTCAAATGCAGTTTGGTCTCGTATACACATGAACACAGAAACATGGTTTGGAACAAAGATGTCCCAGTAATATAGTCCTCTGTGTTTAAACAAGAATATGTGAGTCGGACAGTGTGCTCTTTGACTGAAAACCTGATTCAGAGAAGTTGGCTTATTCCTTTGCCTTTGACCACAGCTTTGTTGGAGGTCAGCAGCATCCTAAGAGCCAGGGAGCAGGCCAGGCACAGTGGCTCACGCCTGTAATTCCAGCACTTTGGGAAGCCAGGGCAGGTGGATCACTTGACGTCAGGAGTTCAAGACCAGCCTGGCCAACATGGCGAAACCTCATCTCTACTAAAAATACAAAGCAATTAGCCAGGCATGGTGGCAAATGCCCATAATCCCAGCTACTCAGGAAGCTGAGGCATGAGAATCGCTTGAACCTGGGAGGTGGAGGTTGCAGTGAGCCAAGATCATGCCACTGCACTCCAGCCTGGGTGAAGTGAGACTCTGTCAAAAAAAAAAAAAAAAAAAAAAAAAAAAAAGCCAGGGAGCAGAATGTGGTCCCAGAAAAGAACTAACAACTTTACTTGCGTACAAAATCTAGGTGGTTATTCCATATGGTGGAAAAGAGCATTGGATTAGGAGGTAGAAGGTTTGAATTTGAATCATAGCTCTACAGCTTACTGGCCATAATTCCTAAGTAACTTCCTGTATGTATGTTTCTTTTTGTATATGTGTGTGTGTGTGTGTGTGTGTGTGTGTGTGTACACACACACACACACACATACTCTGGTGGAAGCCATGCATTTAGGGACTGGACTAAGGAAAGAGAAGTTAATGGAAGAGATTGTAAGGACAGAAAAAAGAGTTACAAGATGGTGAGAAAGTGGTGAACAGTGTAATGCCATAGAGAGGACTGATAAAGAAGGGACTGAAAGATGCCCCTTGGACTTGGATTTTAGGTGTACGTAGGGATCAATGATCTTAGCTAATTCAGTTTAGTAAAGATGGGGGATTTACAGGAAATTTACAGAGATTTCCTGAGTTTTGATATCTCAACGTTATATTTGAAACATCCCTGATAATCAGGTTTAATTATTTGCACTGCATTTCTTCCTACCATAGTCTCCTGAGTTCTACTGATAGAACTGAGGATTTCAATAAAGAGAGATTAGTGTCATACTTTTACTTTCCTCCAAAATCTTGGAAAAAAGAATATGATTAGCTAATTCATAACATAGCTGCCTTTGCAAAATGTGAAATATAAGGTCACTTAAATTATGGGGTAATTCAGAGCCCTATTTAATTTAATTCTATGGACCATTAATTTCCCATCTTTGCTGACAGTAATAATGACCAAATGATATATTCAGAGTTTAAAATCAGAGTCAAGCTCTGAGTAGTAGAGGAGTTTTTTTTGAAACTCTTCATAGAGTACCTTAGTTAATTTTAGATGCTGATCATATAGTGGTTCGTATATTAACTTCTGTGATATGTCTCATTAGAAAAAGGATGATCATAGGAGTTTTCCTATGGACAAATTTTAAAAAATTTAAACCCTATTTTGAAAAAGAAACTGGTGTCTTTATAACTGATTTAGACTGGAATAGTAGATGTTCTAAATTCTTTTGAGGAAAATAGTATAGAAGTTAGCCAATGTTGTTCATAGCTATAAATCAGAAAATATTTATATATTACAGCTTACTGTTAGGAGCCCTAGTATAGCATTTTAGATCACTTTTTATGTACTTTTAGCCTGCGTACGAAGTCCTGTTCCTTTATAACCCTTTTTACTTGACACCTGAAATAAAACACTGGCTTCTAGTTCTGTTTTCTCCCTTAACAGGATGTATTACTGAGATTTATTAATTTTATCAGTTTTGGAAACTCAAAGGAACTTGCAGGCAAGTGCTTACTTGAAAAATTGCCTAAAGACTTTAGATAGTATCCTTAATGAAACACAATAATTGTCAGTTGTCACAAAGTTGGTGTTGCTGACAAATGCTTGTACATAATAATACAATCTTCCTAACAGCAGCAGCTTCATAAGAGAAAGTTTCTAGCAGCAACTTACATTTAAAAACATCTGATTAGGTCTTCCTGATGTAACCTCTCATTAGAGATCCGTGGAGACATAAAAAAGATGAAAACTTACAATAAATGTGGGAAACTAATATCCACAGTTAACCTATTTCTGTAATCTGAAATGAATTTCAGCTTATAAGGAAAATGGAAATGGATTTTTAAAATGCAGTTTTAAACTTGCTAATTCTTGCTATTGTGCCTGAAAATTTCAGGTAGGAAAATATTTTGCTTTCTTATCCATTAACTTAACATCTGGTACAAAAATGCAGATCTTTTTTCACTCTTCACTTCCACCTACAGAAATTGACCTTTCATTCATATTGTGTAGCTATTCAAATTTATTAGTATGAAGATATTTATTACAGCATTTTTAAAACAGGGAGGCCGGGTGCGGTGGCTCACACCTGTAATCCCAGCACTTTGAGAGGCCAAGACGGCGGATCACTTGAGGTCAGTAGTTCAAGACTAGCCTGGCCAATATGGTGAAACCCCGTCTCTATTAAAAATGCAAAAAAAAAAAAAATTAATTGGACATGGTGGTGTGCACCTGTAATCCCATCTACTCAGGAGGCTGAGTCAGGAGAACGCTTGAACCCAGGAGGCAGAGGTTGCGGTGAGCCAAGATCGTGCCACTGCACTCCAACCTGGGTGACAGAGTGAGACTCTGTCTCTAAATAAATAAATAAATAAACAAAACAGGGAAAAAGTAGAAAGAATATAAATGTTCATCAGGAAGATATTGATTAAATAAGTTGGTTCATTATATACTACTTTGTACACAGTAAATATTGATATAATTCTCTATGTATTAAAGAAACCCGATATATTCTTAAATAGACATGTTGCAGGACATTATATGTAGTTTTATCCCATTGATGTAAAATAATGGAAAAACTCATGTATATACTTAAATGTGCACAGAGAAAGAAATCATTCTTTTTTGTTTGTTTCTTGAGACAGAGTCTCACTCTAACTCACCCAGGCTGGAGTGCAGTGGCACGATTATGGCTTACTGCATGCAGCCTTGACCTCCAGGGTTCAAGCAATCCTCCCACCTCAGCCACCCAAGTAGCTGGGACCACAGGCACCTGCCACCACACTTGGCTAATTTATTGTATTTTCTTATAGAGACGGGCTCTCCCTATGTTGCCCAGGTTGGTCTCGAACTCCTGGATTCAAGTGATCCTCCCACCTCAGCCTCCCAAAGTGCTGGGATTATAGGTGTGAGCCACAGTCCCCTGCCAAAATCATTCTTATTGGTGGTGTTTGTGGGGAATAAAGTTGAAAGGAGAAGCAAGAGAGCATTGTTTTACTTTTTGCTTTATATACTTTATAGTATTTTTGTTTTCTAGAGACTTTTATTATTTTCATAATTGAAAAGGAAAGAAACATAAGGTCTCTGTGATAGATTGTTTGTAAAATGAGTCCCTTCCCTGAATCCATGCTTATTACTAGTTCCCTGTCATACTGCCTCTGGGTTGGGCTAATAGATTTGCTTTGGCCAGTGGGACAGTTGCAGACATAATTCAAATACTTGAAAAATGCACATTAGAGCTTGTCTTCTCTATTGCAAGTCTTAAAACCTTGTAACCAAGCCCTATATAAATAAACCCAAGCTGGTCCTGGACATTTGAGAGAGGCCACAGACCACTAGCTGTCTGAGTTGCCTGAGTGAGATCTGACTGAGACTGGCAGAACTGTCCAACTGAACTCACATCTAATTGCCTACCCATAAAATGATTAGCGACTACATGGTTTTTGTTTTAAGCTTCTAAGTTTTGAAGTGGCTTGTTATGCAGCAAAAGTTAATCGATAAAGTCTCCAGTGGTGAAATCAGCACCTGCCCTTCTGCATTTTTACTGCTTTATGAGATACCCAGATTGCTATTTCTTTCTTTTTCTTTTTCTTTTCTTTTTTTTTTTTTTTTTTTGAGATGGAGTCTCGCTCTGTTGCCAGGCTGGAGTGCAGTGGCGTGATCTTGGTTCACTGCAGCCTCCACTTCCCAGATTCAGGCGATTCTCCGGCCTCAGCCTCCCGAGTGGCTGGGACTGCAGACGCATGCCACCACGCCTAGCTAATTCTTTTGTATTTTTAGTAGAGATGGAGTTTCACCATGTTGGCCAGAATGGTCTGCTCTCTTGACCTTGTGACCTGCCCACCTTGGCCTCCCAAAGTGCTGGGATTACAGGCGTGAGCCACTGCACCCGGCCCCAGATTGCTACTTCTAAAAATTAAGCCGAATGTAAGAGGGGGAAGAAATATTGTCACTGTCACAGTATACATACTGAGAGCTATGAAACCAATGAGTAAAGATCAGTTGGCCGGGTATAAAAAACTTTCAGAAGATTGTCTTCTGTAATAAAATGCCACAGATCATGGCTTCTGTGAAAGAGCATAGAACTATAAGGAGATAACAGGCTAAGGTTAAATAAAGCAAGAAAGATGTTCAGGAAAGCAAAAACGCAGTAGCAGGATTAAAATTCACATCAAAGACAATAGAGTAGAACTGATACTTAGACAAGATGCTGCACCTCAGGGTGATGTGACTGCAGACTGATCCTACCAGTACTTCAAAACATTTAGCTAGTGATATTCAGGAAGAACTGCAGATGATCTCTCAGTATCCTGAGAAAATGATAAATATGAAGTCAAGAGAATGAAGATGACACAACTGAATAATTACCAATATTTTTGATGGAGAATTCAGAAAAGTTGTAATGGAAAAAGTAAAGATGAAATTTTAAAAAACATTTTACAGCATTTGGAAAACATCTAGGTAAGCAGATCAAGAAGACATATTCAGAAAACATGCTGGTTTGGGGGAAAAATTATTTGGAGACACACAGCTGCTGGCCAAGAAACAGCAGCTCAAAAGGAAATCATAAATTAGATATCATGGTATTACAGGCTTGGTGAACTACCGATGTACACTGCACCCAGTTTATCTCAAGAAAAACATTTTAACAAAACATAGCAGGTTGAGCTAGCCACACTGATAGGCCTTGTTTTGTGGCTTTCTCAATGATGCTTTAAAAGGAAACAGTTTCATTTGAATTATTTCTTTTCTTTTTTTGAGGTAGGGTCTTGTTGGACTGCAGTGGCGCAATCTTGGCTCACTGCAGCTTTGACCTCCTGGGCTCAATTGATCCTCCCACCTCAGCTCCCCGAGTAGCTAGCACTACAGGCCTGTGCCACCATGTCTGGCTAATTTGTGTATTTTTTTGTAGAGACAGGGTTTTGCCATGTTGCCCAGGCTGGTCTCGAACTCCGGGCTCAAGTGATCTGTCCGCCTTGGCCCCTCAAAGTGCTGGGATTACAGGCATGAGCCACTGCACTGACCTGTTATTTCTTATTTTGATGGCCCCAAAAATGGGCACAAGTAATTCTTTTTTTTTTCCTGAGATGGAGTTTCACTCTCGTCGCCCAGGCTGGAGTGCAGTGGCACAATCTCGGCTCACTGCAACCTCCGCTTCCCAGGTTCAAGCAATTCTCCTGTCTCAGCCTCCCAAGTAGCTGGGATTATAGGCGTTCGCCACCAGACCCAGCTAATATTTTGTATGTTTAGTAGAGACGGGTTTTCACCATGTTGGTCAGGCTGGTCTCAAACTCCTGACCTCAAATGATCCGCCCGCCTTGGCCTCCCAAAGTGCTGATATTACAGGCTTGAGCCACTGTACCCGGCCAAGAAATTCTTCTATAAAACCCTTTCAGATCACTAATAGTCTTAGACAGCCAATGAAACAGAAATACAATTTCCTTATTTAAGGTGACAAAACAAATATGACCAGGAAACAGTCTGGCAAGAAATACACTAAAATATTAAATGGAATTGGTTAGGTCATGGGATTGTTCTTTTTCAACTTGTACTTTTTTTTCTTCTTTCTTTTCTTTTCTTTTTTTTTTTGTAGGGATAGAGTCTTACTACATTGCCCAGGCTGGTCTTGACCTCCTTGGCTCAAATGATACTCTCCCTTCAGCCTCCCAGGGAGCTGTGACCATAGGCATGTAGTCCTACCAGGCCTGGCTAATTTTTTTTTTTTTTTAATCGACAAAGTTTTGCTCTTGTTGCCCAGGCCTGGAGTGCAGTGGTGCGGTCTTAGCTCACTGCAACTTTTGCCTCCCAGTTTCAAGCAATTCTCCTGCCTCAGCCTCCCAAGTAGCTGGGATTATGGGCGCCTGCCACCACTTCTGGCTAATTTTTGTCTCTTTAGTAGAGACAGGGTTTCACCATGTTGGCCAGGATGGTCTCGAACTCCTGACCTCAGGTGATCAGCCTGCCTCGGCCTCCCAAAGTGCTGGGATTACAGGCGTGAGCCACTGCACCTGGCCTGCCTGGATAATTTTTTTAAAAATGTTTTGAAGAGGTAAGGTCTCTCCATGTTTCCCAGTGTGGTCTTGAACTTCTGGGTTCAAGTGCTCTTCCCGCCTTAGCCTCCCCAAGTGTTGGGACTACAGGCATGAGCCATCATGCCCGGCTACTTTTTTCTTAATGTATTTATTTAAAACTTCTTTTTCAAAACAGCATATTTATATGCATACATGCACAGTTATATGCTTGTAAGTAAATAAAGGTCTTCACAATGAAGACCTAGGTTATTTGGAATAGAAGTGGAGGAGACTTACTCTATACATACCTTTTGTGCTCTTTGAATTTTATACTATGTATATAAATTACCAATTCAAAAAATGAATTAAAATATAACTCATAATTTAAAAAACATGAGTTTTACAAGGTGAAATAATATAAAAGGGCTTACACTATGAAGTAGTATTGGCTAAAACATCCCTCTCACCTGGAGTCCTCATTTTTCAGAGGCAATCACTTTTGACTCTTTCTGATTTTAGTTTTCCTGGCATTTACTTTCATTTCTCAAATATACTTTTATCACTCTTTCTTCGTTTATTAATTTATACATTCTCCTTTGATATCCTGCCACAATAAATGAAGACTTCATTTACCCAAAAGCTACTCTTTTCCCTGCCCCATAGAAATAGTAGCAGGAATAAGAATACTAATAGCAACTAACATTTATTAGTGCTTACTTTGTGCCAGGCCTCTTTCAAGTAATCCACACATACTGTCTAATCCCCACCATACCCTCTGAATTTACGTTACCACTCTTCTCGGTTTTCCCATTATTCATTTTATTTTATTTATTTATTTTTAAGACAGGGGCTCCCTTTGTTGCCCAGGCTGGAGTGCAGTGGTGCAATGATGGCTTATTGCAGCCTCAACCTCCTGGGCTGAAGCAGTCATCCCGCCTCAGCCCCCATAGTAGCTGGGACTACAAGCATGCCCCTGGCTAATTTCTTTTTAAAGTAAAAACAAGTTTATTAGAGAAGTAAAGAAAGAAAAGAATGGCTACTCTGTAGGCAGAGCAGCCCCGAGGGCTGCTGGTTGGCTAATTTTTAAATTTTTTTGTAGAGACAAGGTCTCACTTCGTTGCCCATGCTGGTCTCGAACTCCTGGCCTCAAATGATCCTCCTGCCTTGGCCTCCCAAAGTGCTAGGATTGCAGGCTTGAGTCACTGTGCCTGGCCCATTATTCATTTTATTAATCATATTGTCAACTACTGGCAGCACACGTTTTAAATGCTGATCATAGATGATAGTATTATCTAACTTTTTTGTGTTTTCACTAGGTGCTGTGTATTCTTAGGTCGTTACCTGTATTAACTCAGTAACTCTTGTCATCAAACCTATGGTCTAGGCTCTATTATTATTATCTCCATTTTATAAATGAGGAACTAAGGCATAAAGTTTACTCTGTATAACATTGTGTAGACAATTAGTGGTACCAAGCCAGTCTGACTTCAAAACCCAGTCCTTTAACCCATCCATACACCATATTGATGGTATCCCTTTGATTCCATTTTGTAAGGTAAATTTTCATTCCCACTAGTTCCATCATCTTTTCTATGTTTTCTTTGTTTCTTTGTTTCTTTCATTTTTTCTTTTTTTAAGATAGAGTCTCACTCTGTTGCCCAGGCTGGAGCGCAGTGGTATGATCACAGCTCACTGCAGTCCCGACCTCCTGGACTCTAACGATTCTCCTTCCTCAGACTCTGAGTAGCTGGGACCACAGGTGCATGCCACCACACCTGGCTAATTGTTTCATTTTTGCTAGAGACAGGGATCTCACTTTGTTGCCCTGGCTGGTCTTGAATTTCTGGGTTCAAGCAGTCCTCCCATCTCAGCCTGCCAAAGTGCTGGGATTGCAAGCATTGAGCCACCACACCCAGCCTCTCTTCTTTTCTCATGCTTAGTTTTGGTCAGTTATAGCTTCATGTTTTTATTTCACAGAACATAAACTGTATTTACCATGCTATAATCATAGTTAAATATTTTGTGTTTGATCTATACATGGATTCTAAAAGTTGAAAACAGATAATAAACAACATTTTGACATATAACTATGTAAATATTATACATAGCAAAGCCAGGAGTTGAGAAATGATCTTTCCTTCTCTGTAGTTCCAGTGTATATCTCAAATGAATTCATCCTTAAGTTCACACTCAAATGGATCACTCTTTTTTACACTATTTGTTTTTTGGGTTTGTTTGTTTTGAGACAGGGTCTTGCTATGTTGCCCATGCTAGAGTACAGTGGCATGATCACAGCTCACTGCAGACTTGATCTTCGGGCTCAATGAATCCTCCCGTCTCAGCCTCCTGAATAGCTGGGACTACAGGTGTGTGCCACTACGCCTGGCAAATTTATTTTTTATTTTTTATTTTTGTTTGTAGAGACTGTGTTTTGCCATGTTGTCCAGGCTGGTCTTGAACTCCTGGGCTCGAGCTGTCTACCTGCCTAGGCCTCCCAAAGTGCTGGGACTACAGACATGAACTGCTGTACCCTGCCCTGTTTTTCTTTTGTAACCTCTCTGGGTTGAGTCCTTTCACATGTAGTTCCTTTCTCATGTTTTCTAGGTTCCAGCTTTCTTCATTCTGTTATATGGAAGGCACTAGGCTGGACATTTTCAGTTTGCCCTTCCAGATCTTACCTTTTGCCTCTTCTCCTACCCTGGGAGACTAACATTTATAGGCTGCTCCAACTGATATCTTTGCCCTCTGTCTTCCAGCTGGGCTACACCAATGGAAAGGGTCAGCAGGAGGTTGGAGGGCAGGAGTAGAGTGAGCACAGATGTGTATTTTGCCAGCTCCCTCCCTTAAGTTTTGGGAACTGCCCCCTCCCTCTGCTGCACCAGGCCTAAGGGATAGTAACTTAGCCACAGGTCCTTAAAGTGTTCCTTGTTGGTTTCCCTTGACTCTGTTCACATCTTTGTAGCCTCTTTGTCAAACTCTTCCCAGTGACCCACTTGTGTGTCGTCTATTTCCCGCCAGGATTTTGATTGGTGGGAAGTAATAATATTGATATTTCTTCATATAATAATGATATTTCTTCATCAAATGTTCTTTCAGAAGTTTCTTGAAATGTCTCATCTACTGATTGCCTCCCTCTCTTTTTATTTCTGTATGGAGCCTCGAAAGAGAAGATAAAATTATATGCTCAGTCCATCGTGTATTGCTTTTTTATTTGTATTACTCTTTTTAAAAACAACATCTTTATTGGGATATTCAGATATCTTACAAGTTACCTTTTGGAAGTATACAACTCAGTGGTTTTTAGTATCCTCACAGGTTACGTGCACCCATCACTACAGTCAATTTTAGAACATTCATTATCCCCAAAAGAACCCTGTACCCATTAGCAGTTATTATCTTTACTTTTTAAATGCGGGAAATAAACCTACATAGAAAGACCAGAAAGACTTTATGCTCTTGAACTGTATAAACTGACTCCAGCCTACCTGTTGTACCTTTTGTTGTTGTTGTTGTTGTTGTTGTTGTTATACCTTATTTTCTACTAGTTCCCATAATACATCATTTATTTAATTCAGGCTGTTTTCCTACTTGTGCTACAAAGTGTTATTAACTTATAATTGTCGTTGCTTCTCTTATATATTTTATTTATCTCTGTCTCTGATAATCTCTTAATCTCTTCTTTCTCTTTTGCCTATCCAAATCTTTCTCTTTGTGAAGCATTTCCTGGCTACTCAAGCCTTCCAATATGTACCTTAAACATTTTTCATTTTAATTAATTGATTTTTTTTTTTGGAGATGGAGTCTTGCTGTGTTGCCCAGGCTGAACTTAAACCCCTGGTCTCAAGCAATCTTTCCGCCTCAGCCTCCTGAGTAGCCAATGTGTCCCTTTTCTAAACTCCTTATTACTTTTATTCAGTGTCATGTAATTTAGTACTTATTTGCAGTTTTTTCTACATATGTGATCATATTTTCTGTCTATTACAACCAATAATCCTATTAATTGAAGAGATCAGTTTTCACATTACTTTATATGGCCTTCATAATTATTAGCACTTGATAGAATAATATTAGTAGGCTGGGCGCAGTGGCTCACACCTGTAATCCCAGTACTTTAGGAGGCCAAGGTGGGTGGATCACCTGAGGTCAGGAGTTCAAGACCAGCCTGGCCAACATGGGGAAACCCCTTCTCTACTTAAAAAAATACAAAAATTAACCGGGCGTGGTGACGGGCGCCTGTAATCCCAGCTACTTTGGAGGCTGAGGTAGGAGAATCACTTGAACCCAGGAGGCGGAGGTTGAAGTGAGCTGAGGTCGCGCCACTGCACTCCAGCCTGGGCAACAGAGTGAGACTCCATCTCAAAAAAAAAAAAAAAGCATAATATTAGTAAACAGGTTTTCTCCTTCCATTGAGTGTCTTCACAATATACCTTGCCCAACAGCGAGGTGGGTGACACCAATAGCAAGATATCCCAATGGTGCAAAAGGAAAGCTAACCAGAGGCCGGGCATGGTGGCTCACACCTGTAATCCCAGCACTTTAGGAGGCCGAGGCGAGTGGATCACCTGAGGTCAGGAGTTCGAGACCACCCTGACCAACATGGCGAAACCCCGTCTGTACTAAAAATACAAAAATTAGCCAGGCGTGGTATCGTGTGCTTGCAGTCCCAGCTACTCAGAAGGCTGAGGCAGGAGAATCACTTGAACCCGGGAGGTGGAGGTTGCAGTGAGCCGAGATCGCGCCACTGCACTCCAGCCTGGTGACAGATAGAGACTCCATCTCAAAAAAAAAAAAAAATATATATATATATATATATATATATTCATTTTACTATTAAACATTTGAGTGTTTTCTCTGTTCTAAATATTTCTATAGGCATTTTAGTTATAGGGATCAATATAAATATAGCCTGTACTTCTTTTCTTAATTGAAAATAGTGCTAATGGTGGTCATAGGGGTACTGATTGAGACAGAGTTGAACTAGCACAACAAAGGTAGACAGATAAACTTAGAGAAAGGAGTAGGGGGCCCAGAAACAAGAACATGTATTTTATCTGGCAACCCTAAATAGAAGAGACTGGCTCTAAATTGATAAGCTGTGAATCTGCTGATGGTACCTAGGGGTCATTGTACTGTTCTCTCTACTTTTGTGTATGTTTGAAATTTTCCATCATAAAAAAATTAAAAGATACAACTTAAAAAATAGAGATACCTTTCACAAAAACAATGAAAATATGAGACCTTACAGTAATGTGAACCAGGAAATATAGGACCTTTATGGAAAGAGTTATAAATGTATTTAATGACAATGTTTGTACCATAAATGGAAAGAAATGCTATTGACAAAATTAGAAAAAATACGAATTCCCCAAATTGATCTCTAGATTTATTCATTTACCACTAAATTCAATGAATTTATTGCTCCTTTATTTTTTTAAAAAAGTGGCCGGGCGTGGTGGCTTATGCCTGTAATCCCAGCACTTTGGTAGGCTGAGGCAGGTGGATCAGGAGATCAGGAGATCGAGACCACAGTGAAACCCTGTCTCTACTAAAAATACAAAAAATTAGCCGGGCGTGGTGGCAGGCACCTGTAGCCCCAGTTACTTGGGAGGCTGAGGCAGGAGAATGGCATGAACCTGGGAGGAGGAGCTTGCAGTGAGCCAAGATCACGCCACTGCACTCCAGCCTGGGCGGCAAGAGCGCGACTCCATCTCAAAAAAAAAAAAAAGTGACCTCAATAGTACAAATCTTGTGAAATGTAGTTGACTCTTTATAATTTGATTCAAGTTAGCTCCATGTACCTGTAGCCATACCCTAAATTCTTTGAGACACGACTGTCTTCTAGACTTTGTTAGAGATACCTTGAGTTTATAAGGTTTCTACAAGACAGCCAAATTCTTAAATTCCTTTCCCAAATCTGTTTTGTCCCACTGAAAAAAGGTACTTGGGGCCATCTCCATCTATTCACAGACTTTAATGAAGAAGTTTTGCCCTCGAAGATGAGGCTGAATTTTAATTGGCATTTATGGATAGCATTTCTCAATTATATATTTTACAGTTATGCATTAGTAATTGTTGTATCTTTCAATCTTGTAAGTTCTTGAATTTGTGGATTTTCTCTTTTTCTTTTCAACTCCGCTTGCAGCTAATTCTTTTCTGAGTTCATCTTTTTCTCATTGTATTTTAAGTGTAGCTAATAGCATCCAGGGCTAGCAACATACTGTTTCCCAACCTCTTTGTATAAATCAACAAGTTCATTAATCGTATTATCTGCTTTCTCAGTTTTCTCAGGCAAATGCAGTGTTACCATTGCATTATATAGGTCATCATTGTTTCCAGCCTTCAGTAACAGTTACTTGCTACTCAGTCGCAATTGCAGGTGTCACATATGTTACATGTTTGTTATGGCAATAACGTACTCCTATTACCAGTTTCTGGACTAGCTTTTCCGAAGTAAGGCTGCTGTAACAACCCTCAAATTGTAGTGCCTTCCTACAGTAAAGATGTGTTTCTAGCTCCCATGTTAGCTACAAGTTGTCTGTGGTTTTGGGGCACTGTTAAATGTGTCTTACTCAGTGTTCCAGGCTGAAGAACAGCCCTATCTTTGTCTTAGGTCAGAGGGAAAATTGAAAATGCTGAAACACTCAGTGCTCTTAATTTTCTCCTAAGATATGATATAAATAACTTACAATTATATTTCATTGGCCAAAGGAAGTTAATACGGCCAGGCCCAATGTTTGTATGGTAGGGAGTATTTGCCTCTCAAAGACTGTACTATAAGTCACCAGGTTCAAGGACAGGGATGTATATTTATCTTATAGGGAGAGGATAGAATAGTGCAGAACAGTAATACCATCTACATATCGATTTCTAGGTATATTTTCTAAAGCAGTGTTTTTCAAACATTCAGCTGAGTTCTTAGCTGAAGATAAACATTTGGAAGTTGTCAGTATATAAGTGAGTGTGAATAAGATCACCGAGGGAGAGGGAAGAGAGGACCAGAAACCTCATGGGAGAAGCATCTGCAAAGAACACTAAGAACGACCTGTCAGAGAAGTAGGGAGGAGAATAGGAAAAGAGCATGTCCTGGACCCTAGTTATAGAATTATTTCTGCTCCAAAAAGTGTAACTTTTTTAAAAAAGAAAGCCTGAATGCAAGCATTTTTCATCTGTCTGGTTTGTACCATCACAAGACATAATTTCCAAATAGAATAAGAAGTTTAATATTAATACATACTCATTTACTATTACAGAGATTTGCCACAATATGGACAGAAGCAGTGGCAGTCCTATTTTGGAAGAACTTTTGATGTTTACACCAAACTCTGGAAGTTCCAGCAGCAGCATCGGTAAATGAATTTTATAGTTAAAGGAGAGTGAAGGCCTGTTTTGTATTAGTCACAGTTTTTATCTTCACTACTTCAGTGCTTTTTGTCTTGGTGCTTTTTCTTTTTTTTCACCAACAAAGCAAAGGTAAATCTTGGTGCTTTTAAAATAACATATTTCATCTTTATAACCCAAATGAAAACAAATTTATTTCTTTCCTATTTATTTAAGATCTTAAAATGTATGGCCAGGCATGGTGGCTCATGCCTGTAATCCCAGCACTTTGGGAGGCCAAGGTGGGAGGATTGCTTGAGCTCAGGAGTTTGAGACCAGCCTTGGCAGCATGGCTAAACCCTATCTCTACAAAATACACAAAAATTAGCCAGGTGTGGTGGTGCTCAGCTGTAATCCCAGCTACTTAGGAGGCTGTGGCACGAGAATCGCTTGAACCCTGAAGTGGGGGAGGTTGCAGTGAGCAGAGATTGCATCACTGCATTCCAGCTTGGGCAACAGAGAGAGACCCTGTCTCAAAAAAGTAAATAAATAAATAAAAATAAATAATAAAATAAGGCTGGGTGCAGTGGCTCCTGTCTGTAATCCCAGCACTTTAGGAGTCTGAGGTGGGTGGATAACTTGAGGTTAGGAGTTCAAGACCAGCCTGGCTAACATGGTGAAACCCTGTCTCTACTAAAAATATAAAAATTAGTCGGGCATGGTGGTGCACACCTGTAATCCCAGCTATTCAGGAGACTGAGGCAGCAGAATTGCTGGAACCTGAGAGGCGGAGGTTGCAGTGAGCCCAGATCATGCCACTGTACTCCAGCCTGGGCAACAGAGCCACACTCTGTCTCAAAAAAGGAAAAAAAAGAGTAATGTTCTTGTCCGATTTTTAAAGACAATATTATATGTGGAATGGTTCAGATCAGCTAGAGCATAGGTAGGATGATTTATGGTTTCATTCTAAAATATATGTTTATTGGCCAAAGTAGTTTCTTTTTATATTTCAACTTATAAATAGACATTTAATAAATGCTTTTTAAATTTAATGGAATGACTACATTGAAATCTAATGAAAAATTCATTAGCTTTGCTGAATTGGATGGTATTTTATCCTATTGAATTTACAGATTTGATTAGTTTTGGAATTTATAGACTCATTTCTATTTTCTTGTATCCTATATAAAACAGACAAGTCTTGGATAATCGGTATGGCTTGAAGCGCTGGCAAATAGGAGAAATTGCTTCCAAGATTGGGCAGCTATACTATCATTATTAGTAAGTAAATTACACATGGAAAGAGTAAAGTGTTGTCTGATTAAAACACAGCATGCAGAAGTATACATACATAGTATACTCATTGCTAGGCATGAAAATCACGAGTTACAAATGAAACTCTAGTAGTTCGGACCAGATTGATCAAGACAATGTTGTGCAATAACCTTCCATAGTCAAAGTACTATTTGTTTTAAAGGCTTGCCTCCCAAACACTTCATTTGGTCAGACTCATTTATAACTTAAAAATTTGATCTTGGTTTTAGATAAACGATTAATACTAAAGGATTTATTGTTCTTGCAGCTTCACTTGTCTTAATAATGTGTAGCATTGTATTATAACTTGTATATGTGAATGAATGGTTTTCAGAAGGATACTTTAAAAAACTCATACTTGCAGGATATGTTTGAAAGATATTTTTTATTATATCCTTAGAGCACTAACATCTATATAGTCCCATCCCTGAGTTCAGAAAACAAGAAGGGTCCTTTTAGGAATCTAAATGTCATCATCCTGAAGTGATAATCAGGTATACAATAAAAAAGGCTTGGACCATTTGTAATCTAAAAGGCAATAAAATGGCTGGGCGTGGTGGCTCACGCCTGTAATCCTAGGACTTTGGGAGGCCAAGGCAGGTGGATCACCTGAGGTCAGGAGTTTGAGACCAGCCTAGTGAAACCCCGTCTCTACTAAAAAGACAAAAAAATTAGCCAAGTGTGGTGGCAGGTGCCTGTAATCCCAGCTACTTGGGAGGCTGAGGGAGGAAAATTGCTTGAACCTGGGAGGCAGAGGTTGCAGTGAGCCGAGATCATGCCATTGGCACTCCAGCCTGGGCAACAAGAGTGAAACTCTGTCTCAAAAAATAAAAAATTAGAAAAAAGAAAAGAAAAGAAAAGGCAATAAAACTTCTTCCATTTCCTACATTTTGGCATACCGCTCCAAATTCCCACCACTAAAATCACTCTCTTGGGTAGAATATTTTCTTAAAAAGTCCCTTGTAAAACTAGAAGTGTTTTCTCAGGTAGAAATGTTTTCTTAAAAAGTCCCTTGTAAAACATAATTCATTAACATCCCCTGAAGATTCGTATGGATTAGTGCATTCCTCAGTTCTGTGAGGACAGAAATTAAAGAAATGGGCCAAAGGACTGTATGGATTTGAGGAAGTGGCCTAGTCCTGGGAGAGGATTTCACTGGATGGAATGCTGTTTGGAGAGTCCCTTCAAAGAATGAGGATAATGTGTAATATGGGTTGGCATCAAAAAAGGCTTGGATGCAGCGAGGAGGTTTTTAAAAAAATTTCATTATTATTTTTTATACATTTTAAGGGTGATATGATTATTGTCTTGCCGATTCAAATTTAGGACAGTCATTCCCACCCCCGCACCCCGTGCCACAGAGGAATACAGCGGTATATAGAACAAGTATTTACCATGGTGAAGAGTCTCTGACACTGTCATATTTAAAAATATATTTTTTCTCATAGCTTACGCACATCGGAAACCAGCTATCTGAATGAGGCTTTTTCCTTCTATTCTGCAATCAGACAGAGATCATATTATTCTCAAGTCAATAAAGAGGACAGGTATGTATCTGCTATGTTTTTAGAAAGATGAGGATAAAACATTCAGTCTTAATCTTCGTAGAAATTGTGTGGAAAAGCATACATTTTTATAACGTGTACTCGTTTACCAGGCTTTATTGAGTGCCTGCTATGTAATAGACCTTCGAAAGCATAGAGAAGTTTATGTTACCTAAGCAATAAATATCAAAGATGTTTAACAGATGTCACAATGCCAAAGGAGGGTTGGGTTATTGTTTTACAAGAGATTGGCTTCACACAGATTTAATAGAAAAGAAATGACTCCAAAACAAGGCTTAGCTAATAACATTTATTCTTTAGCCTGTGTAATCTTAATTCATATCTCTTCAAAAGCCTGGTGACAACTGTCATGTAGGACCAGGGAATAGTCTGTTAATGCTGTTTGAATTTTCTCTCTCTTTTTTTTTTTTTTTGGAGGTGGAGTCTTGCTCTGTCGCCCAGGCTGGAGTGCAGTGGTGCGATCTCAACTCACTGCAACCTCCACCTCCACTTCCTGGGTTCAAGCAATTATCCTGCTTCAGCATCCCAAGTAGCTGGGATTACAGGCTTGTGTCACCACCCCCGGCTAATTTTTTTGTATTTTTTAGTAGAGATGGGGTTTCATCATGTTGGCCAGGCTGGTCTTCAACTCTTGACCTCAAGTGATCCACCCGCCTTGGCCTCCCAAAGTGCTGGGATTACAGGCGTGAGCCACCACACCCAGCCTGGATTGTGATTTGATTACTTCCAGATGAGTATGGAATTGTGGAAGAAATCAGAGATCTTCTGGAGAATCTTTCTTGTTAGTATTCTGGGAACTGTTGGATGAGAAAGTTCAGGCACAGAAGGTCTGAATATTCTCTCTACCCCAGCAACACAACTCACAGTTTTTATATGGTGAAAAGATTATATTCTCTTAGCAATAGAAGAAAACAGTTTTGACATGTTTTTCTCAAGAACACTTTGTGGTTGACTGTTGTAAGCTTTCCAACTAAACAGTGACATTTTGGGGAAAGCCCCACTCTTGTAAATCTCCTTAATTTCCTTGCATGTCTTGTTCAGACTTGTCTAGGGGCGTTTGCATGGCACATGTAAGGGGTGCAGATGCTGGAGTGTACATTTTTCATATCTTTTTGTCATCCCCTTACATCAGAAGTTCCATCAGTTACTTTTCCCTTAGGTTGTCCTATAGTTTGCTTCACATATTTTCACTACAGATATATTTCCTCCAACTCTAATTTTTAAAAAAATTCTTGGCGAGATAAATTATATCTTAAAAAATGCGAAAGAGCTGTATAACATTTTATCGGCATTAAAAATACATATAAGCAGAGAACTATTTTAAGTAATAGCAAAACACCTTGTATAATTTACTTTTCTGCATTTTCTAATTTGACAAAAGGGAAATTGGCTTTAACCTTAATACCCAACAGTTTGATTTATTGCCATAATTTTATGCCTTAATAACAAACATCAAATTTGAATTGTTTTCCTTTGCAGTTTTCTAGATCAGAGCATATTATTTAGAAGTAGGATTATTTGGAATCAGGATGACAAAAACTCTTGCTTTGTGCCAGTAAATTAGAATCAAAGGACAATCTGGTGTGCAAAACCTTGACCTTGCTGTGTGTAGTTAGGAGGGGCTTTGTTCAGTTTGTAGGTTGTTTCTTAGTTTACACAGGGTAAGAGTGCTAGTCAAGATTGCAATCAGCAACAGCTGCTAAAATCAAGAGCCAGGAGAGAAAACCAATAAGGAAGTATTCCACAATTTCACAGTTCATTTAAAAGGCAAAAATCTTCACTCCTCAAAAGGAACAAGTTCTCTCTGCACTGTCTTGACAGCTAAGGATTATGTCGAGACCAGGAGGAATAAGTAGTTTGTTCCAGCAACCTCAAGGTTAGTGTCTGTCACTAAGCATAGACCACTCCCAGAACATCTCATTCCATGGGTCCATCCTACCTAGGAGAGGAGATATTACATACAGCCACTCCTCCTAGGAGCTGCACACCCCAATTCTGTTGCAAATGGCCAAAGCTGAACCTGGTTGGATATGGAGAAGGTGAAGATTCTGAATACCCAAGAGGTTTTGTGGAGATGTTACGGTGAGCCACCTGGAAGAACAGAGTTTCCTAGGCAAATGTATAGTTAAAGAGTCAGTGTCTTGTAAGTAGGGAGCCTAGCAGGTTGGACAAGGCTAGAATTCTGGAGTCCAGAAGTTTGTTAAGAGCTTAAAAAAAATGGCCGGGTACAGTGGCTCACACCTATAATCCCAGCACTTTGGGAAGCCAAGGCAGGCGGATCATGAGGTCAGGAGATCGAGACCATCCTGGTTAACATGGTGAAACCCCGTCTCTACTAAAAATACAAAAAATTAGCCGGGCGTGGTGGCACGCGCCTGTAGTCCGAGCTACTCAGGAGGCTGAGGCATGAGAATCGCTTGAACCGGGGAGGCGGAGGTTGCAGTGAGCCAAGATGGCGCCACTGCACTCAGCCTGGGTGACAAAGTGAGACTCCGTCTCAAAAAAAAAAAAAAAAACTTCATAAAAAGCCTTCAATTTTACATTCATATTTCCCACTGGACAAAACTTGATACTGTCACCACTTATGTTGACGTTGACAACATGTCAACATGTCATTTATTGTTCAGAAGAAACAATAAAAGGTAGGGGGAAAGTGAATAATAAAATTATGATTATTACAATAGAAGGCAGGAAAGGAAAATAAACTCCAGTTATGTTGATGTCAACATAAGTGGTGACAGTATTTTTTTCAGTGGGAAATATGAATGTAAAATTGAAGGCTTTGGCACTGATGATAAAGAGGGCTTGATGTGGACCCTTGCAGTGAGTCACACTCTTTTTTCTGCAGTTTGATATGGAGTCAGTTGGTAGGCTAGGGGTTGTGGTTCAGGTTATCGGGCTTGATTGAGGTGGCCTCTTATGTATGAGTGGACAGCACTGACGCATTTAATCTGTGCTTTGCTGCAGTTCATCACAGTGGCTTCCAAAATAGAAAGCACCCACCCACTTCTGTATGCTTATTGAATATAAGGATCAGCTAACTATGGCCTGTTTGCATGCCAGATTGGGCCCATGGCCTGTTTTTGTACTGTGTGGCAGTTTAGAATTTTTCTTTTTTTTTTTTTACATTTTCAAAGGGTTGTAAAAAGGGAAAAGATGAATATGCTACAGGCACCAAATGTGGCCTGCAAAGCTTAAAATATTTACCATCTGGCCCTTTGTAGAAGGTTTGCTGGTTGTATAATCCATGATACAGATTCATAGAACCTATTTTTTAATCAAAAAAGTAACAGAATTAAGTCATTCATATTTCAAGTTTGAATTGACATCATCCTTCTACTAATTTTCTTTGTTTTGAATTCCACTTTCGACAATATGATAGGCTAGATAACCTGAAATACTAAACACCTAGAAATGCTGGATAAAATAGGACAATCATCCTTTTAAATGGAAAACTTAGTTGTCAAGAAAGTAAGGAAGTCCCTAGTTCATTTTCCCATGGCTGTGGTGACCTTGGAGGGTGGGGCAATTGGTTTGGGTGACATAAAAGAGCAAGGAAGAAGAAAATTGAAACTAGAAGGGGAAGGTATGATATACAAGAAGGATTGGTAAGAAAAAATTATCCCCTTGTATTCTAAAACATCGATTTGATGGGGCAGTAATCATCATAACAATGGCTGATTGACATTATTAAAATAAAATGGAGCCAAATCTAGATAACAATAATATGAAAGAAGAAAGGGGATAAAGAATTAAACCATTCTGATATCCATTTATTCTTCAGAAGAAACATAGAGTAAAGTTTACTTGTTAATATTTTCAGAAAACTATAATTAGAATGTGTAACTTCAGAAGAGGTAGAGGGGGAAAGTGAGTAACAAAATGATGATCATTACAATGAAAGGCAGGAAGGGAAAATAAACTCCAAAAAGTATAATTAGCACAAAATAATAAAATAGAAACAAATCCGAATCATGGTAAGTAAAAATGATCTAAACTTCCCTGTTAAAGACAAAGATTATCAGTATGCCTCTTAGAAAAACCCAATAATATACTGTTTTTAAGAGACTCTTCGAGGCCAAGAGCGGTGACTCACACCTGTTATCCCAACACTTTGGGTGGCTAAGATGGGAAGATTGCTTGCGGCCAGGAGTTCAAGACCAGCCTGGGAAACGTAGCAAGACCCGATTTCTACAAAAAATAAAAATAAAAAAATTACCCAGGCATGGTGGCACACACCTGCAATCCTAGTTACTCAGGAAGCTGAGGTGAGAGGATTGCTTGAGCCCAGGAGTTTGAGGCTGCAGTGATTTATGATGGTGCCACTGCACTTCAGCCTGGGAAATAGGGCAAGACTGTCTCTTTTAAATAAATAAACCCTTCAAAGATGTAAGGTAGACAGAGAAAGATAATGAGACAGCTACTATGGGGAAGAAATGTGTACGTGTATACGCATTTCTTATGTGTATACTGTGTGTATATTTAAAGGTAGAAAGTATTATTGAGAATAGAGGTTTACTCTGATGAAAGGAACAATTCAGGAAAATATAAAAATCATAAACTTATATATACCTAATAACGTAGCATTATGATAAAGCAAAGTGTTTTTTTAAAGTGGGGAAATTAATGATCTGATGTACATGGGAATTTTTGATATATGATATCTAATAATTTATATATCAAGACAAGAAATTATAAGATTTGAGTAACAAGTTTGTTCCAGTGTACCTAAAATTGTGTGCAACAGTATATATGTTATTTTCAAACTTATATGAAAATCTGTGAAATTAACTGATACTTGCCACAACACAAGTTTAATACAAGGTTCAATAAAGTGTGTGTTGTCTAACCATGGTACGATTTCATTAAAAACAAAAATAAAACATAATTTAAAAAAATCAGTAGCTGCATTTGCAGGCCAGCTACTCAGAAGGCTGAGGCAAGAGGATTCCTTGAACCCAGGAGTTCAAGTCCAGTTGGGCAACATAACAAGACTCCATCTCTTAAACAAAAAAAAAGTCAATAAGTTTGTCAATCAATAGACACATTTCTAAGTAACTCATGGGTCGAAAGAATTTTTTAAAAATTTTATTATGGAAAATGTTGAACATACACACAAAAAATACACTGTTGTAAGGCTATTATTTGTGATGTAGGATATGGAAAGCAGGAGGAAATGTCAGGTTTGAATTGATGATTGGTAAGTGTAAAGTGTTATGTGTGAACAGATAAAATATATTGTAAGGGCATTTGATAAGTTAAAGGATGCACGTTGTTACTCCTAGCAATCACTTAAAGAACAATAACAAAGAAGTAGTATAACTAGGAAGCCAATAGATGATATAAAATGGAACACTAAAAAATATTTGATTAACCGAAGAGAAAGCACAACAGGAACAACAGAGGAACATAGCAAGAGAAGGAGCAAGTAGGAAACAAATAGCAAGGTGGTAGATATAAACCTAGCCAAAGCAATAATGACATTAAATGTAATTGGTCTAAAAACATCAAGTAAAAGGCACAGAGATCATATTTTCCTGCCTGTAGTCTTCCACGCTTCGTTGTATTCTTAACTTAAACATTTATTACTTTCTTTAGGAAGCCTTTTCTCACCCAAGATCTAGTCCTGTGGGCACAAATAGCATTCTTTATTTCTCCTATCATTATATTATTCCGTTGTGTTGTAAGCATTTATCTCTCTCCTGTATATTTTAAGTTCTTTTCTGTCTGTAAGATCTTTGAAGAAGGGAATATCTCTAGTTTTTTACAACTGTGCTTTTAGCAATTAACAGTATCTGATGCATCTAAGTTCTCAATAAATACTTGTTAAATGAATGAATATATGAGTAAACAGCTTAATAAATCAGTAAGAAATATTTTAAAAAGACTATATGCTTATATGTGGGAATGTTTATAATTGTGCAGAAAAGGAGGGAAAGAGTTTTAAAAGCTATCAGAAAATTAAAAAAATCAAAAAGCATTCTTTTTTAATCTAATGAGTAATTTTTCATTTATCTTCCATAGACCTGAATTGGTAGTTAAGAAGTTACGATATTATGCAAGATTTATAGTAGTTTGTCTTCTTCTCAACAAAATGGATGTTGTAAAGGATCTGGTAAAGGTAAATACACTTTAAATAGTTCAAATTCTAATCTCTAGTTGTATATGGATGATCTTATTTTTAAAAAACAGATTTTAGGTTAAAATAATTTTGATATATCAATAATTACAATATTCAAAGTATAGTAACTTCTGACAAGGGTAATGATAAAAAAATTTTCCAACTCTTTTCATGTTACAAATACACTAATCTGAGATAATTATCTTGATTCCTTGCTTTTGTCCTTTCTGCATGTTTTACATTTCAAAGCCCATCAGTGGATGGCTGGGAATGCAAACAAACAAAAATTCTTAGTTTAAGAGAAAATAATTGAAATGTTATGTGAAGAAAAAGTACATAATGCTTTACAAAGGCCTTGCAAATGATTTTCATTTTCCCACCACTTTAGAGTGTCTGCATAAAGTCTCTCCTTCATTAACTGAGGTGATTAAGAGTTAACTGTCTTCAGACCCACTTAATACCTGTAATCATTGCATATTAAATTCTGATTGCATTCTGTATTCAATAGTTTCAATGGCATACTTAATTTTGTATCAAGTATAACATGCCAGTTGGTTTTTTGGGTTTTGTGGGGTTTTTTTTTTTTCTTTTTTTTTTTTTGAGACAAGGTCTCGCTCTGTCATCCAGCTGGAGTACAGTGGCATGATCTTGTCTCACTGCAACCTCTGCCTCCTGGGCTCAAGCAGTCCTCCCACCTTAGCCTCCTGAGTAGCTGGAATCATAGGCTCAAGCCACCACTCCTAGCTAATTTTTGTGTTTTTTGTAGAGACAGGGTTTCACCATGTTGCCCAGGCTGGTCTGAAACTCATGAGTTCAAGCAATCCGCCAGCCTCTGCCTCCCGAAGTGCTGGGATTACAGGCATGAGCCACCGTGCCCAGCTCAACATGCCAGTTTTGACAAGGCCACCAGAAGTAGCTCTCTGTTCTCCTTTTCTACCTTCCTTTATACCCAGTTACCATTAAAAATATTTCCAAAAACCATATAATACAAATCCAAATAAAGTCAGGAAGTATTTTTAGAAATATATAATTTTTTGTAGTGGTAGGGTCTCACTATGTTGCCTAGGCTGCTCTCGAAATCTTGGCCTCAAATGATCCTCCCACCTCGACCTCCCAAAGGGCTGGGATTACAGGTATGAGATACTGCATCCAGCCTCATTTTTTTTTATTGTTAAAATTTTTGAATTTCTCTTTTCTGATTCTTTCATTAATGAATTCATTGCTCATGTAGTACTGATAGGAAGTAGATCTCTGTAAAGACTTTATTTGATGGGTGTTATTCTGAAGTTTGTACTTTTGAAGAAAATTTATTAGTTTTCATCTTTGTTTTTTGTTATAATCAGGACTGTGTATTGCTAATAATCAAATTTTGTAAGTATGTCGGTTTCTGTCAGGAATATGGTTCTATATGGCTGTGTGTTTTTATGGGTTTTTTAATAACCTTTTTTGTGATGTTTTTAAAATCAGGAATTGTCAGATGAAATTGAAGATTATACTCACCGATTTAATACTGAAGATCAAGTGGAATGGAACTTGGTGCTTCAAGAAGTAGCAGCTTTCATTGAGGTCAGTTTTTGATAAGAAAAATCATAATTATTGATAAATAAATGACCGTGTAGTTTATGTTTTTATTGTGTGTATATGTCAAGAAGAAGGAATAGCTTACTCTATTGATATTTAGTCTTGGCCATTCGTTAAGTTCTTATTGCTTTTTTCTTTAGGCGGATCCTGTAATGGTATTAAATGATGATAATACCATTGTTATCACATCGAATCGCCTTGCTGAAACAGGAGCCCCATTGCTGGAACAGGGCATGATTGTGGGACAGTTGTCTCTGGCTGACGCACTCATTATTGGTAATTGTAATAATCAGGTAAAGAATTGTGAAGGAATTATGCTTAAAATTCACTGTGAAAAATAGTGCTATTGATGATCACAGAATTATTTTCTTATAAATATCCTAACATCCTCTTGTGAGGAAATTGCTGATTAAATTATGCTGTGTGCATATATGGAATATATTACAGATATTTAAATAGCTTAGAAAGAATTTTTAATAACATAGAAAGATACTCGTGATACAGTAAATGAAAATAAACTTGCCATGGAGCCAGGAAGCAGAATTATTTCATATATGTTAGAATGTCTATATGTATGCACACAGGAAAAAGACGAGGAAGAAATGTTACAACTATCTAAGTTTTATCTCCAAATAACCAAATTATAGGGGATTTTTATTTTATTTTTTACAACATTCTAAAGTTTCCAAAATTTCTGACCTGGCACAGTGGCTCACACCTGGAATCTCAGCACTTTGGGAAGCCCAGGTGGTTAGATCACTTGAGGTCAGGAGTTCAAGACCAGCCTGGCCAACATGACGAAGCCCCATCTCTACTACAGAATGCAAAAATTAGCCAGCCATGGTGGCATGCTCCTGTAATCCCAGCTACTCAGGAGGCTGAGGCAAGAGAATCACTTGAACCTGGGAGGCGGAGGTTGGAGTGAGCCAAGATCACACCACTGTACTCCAGCCTGGGTGACAGAGCGAGACTCTGTCTCAAAAATTAATAATAATAATAAAGTTTCCAAAATGTATATGTCCTACTTTCCAATCAAGCAAAAAGGGGCGAGGAGTTGGTGTTTTTTGTGTTTTGTTTTTTTTTGAGACAGAGTCTTGCTTTGTCACTCAGGTGGGAGTGCAGTGTCATGATTTTGGCTCACTGCAACCTCCATCTCCCAGGTTCAAGCGATTCTCCTGCCTCTCAGCCTCCCAAGTAGCTGGGATTACAGGCACATACCACCACACCCGGCTAATTTTTGTATATTTAGTAGAGATGGCATCATCATGTTGGCCAGGCTGGTCTTGAACTCCTGACCTCAAGTGATCCTCCTGCCTCAGCCTCCCAAAGTGTTGGGATTACAGGTGTGAGCCACCGCACTTGGCCAGGAGTTGTTTTTGGGTAAATTTGTCAAAAGTGAATTTCAAATGTTTTTTCATGACAGAGTAGCACCATGATGATGAGATTTAATGTACTAGAAATGAAATTTACTGGAAATTACACCAGTGAATACATTTTTCTAGATGTGTTTTTTATACAAGTTTAATTTTGGATCCTATCCTAGCATCTATCAATCACTTTTGTTATTGTTAAATTTTTCTGGTATTTCTCCATTTTTGGCTTTTATGACCATTATTTTGCAAATGTCTACAACGTTTTTGAAATTATAGTATGAATATACTAAATGGAAATATTTTGAAACATTTATGGTTTGTATAGTTATACTATCTTAAGGCTCGGTATTTTTCTCACTTTTTTTTAATTCAAAGAAAATTTTTCTAATCAGAAAAATATAAATTAAAACCAAATGAGATATCACCGAACTAGATGACTAAAAACAAAAGAGACCAAGAAACTGATAATAGCATATCCTGGCAACTAGTACAAGAACTGAATATTTCATACTATGTAGAAATAGAAATTGATAGATTTACTTTAGAAAAGTGTCAGGCATTATCTAGTACAGCTCCATATGTGCACACTCTATGACCAAGCATTTCCAGTATTTTCTTATTGATCTGTAAGAGTTCTGAATATATTCTACATGAAAGTCCTTTGTCAGATTTATGTGTTGAACTATCTTCTCCTACTCTTGTCTTGCCTTTTACTCTCTTCTGATATCTTCTGTCTCTTTTTCTCCTTTTCTTTAAACATCTGTTAAAATATTTATTAGTATCTACGCTATGCCAGACGCCCCTGTTCCAGATACTGAGATTCCAGTGAACAGAAGTCCTTAATTTTAATGTAGTCTAATTTATAATTTTTTTCCTTTCTGGTATTAGCTTTTTTGTGTCCTATTTTGAGAAATCATTGCTTACCTTACCTTTCATATTTAGATCTATGATATCTTTGGGATTTATTTTAGTGTGAAGTATGGGTCAGATTTTCTTTCTGGATTTCCAGTAGACCTAGCACCATTTACTAAAAAGACCATCTTTTCCCTGCCACACTGCAGTGTCACTTTTATCATAAATCTGATGTTCAAATATATTTGAGTCTCATTCTGTTCCTTTGGTCTGTTTGTCTATTATGCTGATACTTCTGACTTCATTATTATGGCATTTTAATAGGCCTCGATATATTGTAGTAAATGAAATACTGATTTTTTCTAATTTTTTCTCTTACATTGATTCTGATTCTTATTTCCTTCTTCCTATTTTGAATTTAATTTGCTTAGATAACTGACATTTATTTATTTATTTATTTATTTATTTATTTATTTATTGAGACAGAGTCTTGCTCTGTCTCCTAGGCTGGAGTGCAGTGGTGCAATCTCAGCTCACTGCAACTTCTGCCTCCCAGGTTCAAGCGATTCTCCTGCCTCAGCCTTCCTAGTAGATGGGACTACAGGTGTGTGCCACCACGCCCGGTTAATTTTTTGTATTTTTTTTTTGTATTTATTATTTTATTTTATTTTATTTTATTTTATTTTATTATACTTTAAGTTTTAGGGTACATGTGCACAATGTTCAGGTTAGTTACATATGTATACATGTGCCATGCTGGTGTGCTGCACCCATTAACTCGTCTTTTAGCATTCGGTATATCTCCTAAAGCTATCCCTCCCCCCTCCCCCCGCCCCACAACAGTCCCCAAAGTGTGATGTTCCCCTTCCTGTGTCCATGTGTTCTCATTGTTCAGTTCCCACCTATGAGTGAGAAGATGCGGTGTTTGGTTTTTTGTTCTTGCGATAGTTTACTGAGAATGATGATTTCCAATTTCATCCATGTCCCTACAAAGGACATGAACTCATCCTTTTTTATGGCCGCATAGTATTCCATGGTGTATATGTGCCACATTTTCTTAATCCAGTCTATCATTGTTGGATATTTGGGTTGATTCCAAGTCTTTGCTATTGTGAATAGTGCTGCAGTAGACATACGTGTGCATGTGTCTTTATAGCAGCATGATTTATAGTCCATTGGGTATATACCCAGTAATGGGATGGCTGGGTCAAATGGTATTTCTAGTTCTAGATCCCTGAGGAATCGCCACACTGACTTCCACAATGGTTGAACTAGTTTACAGTCCCACCAATAGTGTAAAAGTGTTCCTATTTCTCCACATCCTCTCCAGCACCTGTTTCCTGACTTTTTAATGATTGCCATTCTAACTGGTGTGAGATGGTATCTCATTGTGGTTTTGATTTGCATTTCTCTGATGGCTAGTGATGGTGAGCATTTTTTCATGTGTTTTTTGGCTGCATAAATGTCTTCTTTTGAGAAGTGTCTGTTCATGTCCTTCACCCGCTTTTTGATGGGGTTGTTTGTTTTTTTCTTGTAAATTTGTTTGAGTTCATTGTAGATTCTGGATATTAGCCCTTTGTCAGATGAGTAGGTTGCGAACATTTTCTCCCATCTTGTAGGTTGCCTGTTCATTCTGATGGTAGTTTCTTTTGCTGTGCAGAAGCTCTTTAGTTTAATTAGATCCCATTTGTCAATTTTGTCTTTTGTTCCCATTGCTTTTGGTGTTTTAGACATGAAGTCCTTGCCCATGCCTACGTACTGAATGGTAATGCCTAGGTTTTCTTCTAGGGTTTTTATGGTTTTAGATCTAACATTTAAGTCTTTAATCCATCTTGAATTAATTTTTGTATAAGGTGTAAGGAAGGGATCCAGTTTCAGCTTTCTACATATGGCTAGCCAGTTTTCCCAGCACCATTTATTAAATAGGGAATCCTTTCCCCATTGCTTGTTTGTCTCAGGTTTGTCAAAGATCAGATAGTTGTAGATACGTGGCGTTATTTCTGAGGGCTCTGTTCTGTTCCATTGATCTATGTCTCTGTTTTGGTACCAGTACCATGCTGTTTTGGTTACTGTAGCCTTGTAGTATAGTTTGAAGTCAGGTAGCGTGATGCCTCCAGCTTTGTTGTTTTGGCTTAGGATTGACTTGGCGATGCGGGCTCTTTTTTGGTTCCATATGAACTTTAAAATAGTTTTTTCCAATTCTGTGAAGAAAGTCATTGGTAGCTTGATGGGGATGGCATTGAATCTATAAATTACCTTGGGCAGTATGGCCATTTTCATGTTATTGATTCTTCCTACCCATGAGCATGGAATGTTCTTTCATTTGTTTGTATCCTCTTTTATTTCATTGAGCAGTGGTTTGTAGTTCTCCTTGAAGAGGTCCTTCACATCCCTTGTAAGTTGGATTCTTAGGTATTTTATTCTCTTTGAAGCAATTGTGAATGGGAGTTCACTCATGATTTGGCTCTCTGTTTCTCTGTTATTGGTGTATAAGAATGCTTGTGATTTTTGTACATTGATTTTTGTATCCTGAGACTTTTCTGAAGTTGCTTATCAGCTTAAGGAGATTTTGGGCTGAGACAATGGGGTTTTCTAGATATACAATCATGTCGTCTGCAAACAGGGACAATTTGACTTCCTCTTTTCCTAATTGAATACCCTTTATTTCCTTCTCCTGCATAATTGCCCTGGCCAGAACTTCCAACACTGTGTTGAATAGGAGTGGTGAGAGAGGGCATCCCTGTCTTGTGCCCGTTTTCAAAGGGAATGCTTCCAGTTTTTGCCCATTCAGTATGATATTGGCTGTGGGTTTGTCATAGATAGCTCTTATTATTTTGAGATACGTCCCATCAATACCTAATTTATTGAGAGTTTTTAGCATGAAGCGTTGTTGAATTTTGTCAAAGGCCTTTTCTGCATCTATTGAGATAATCATGTGGTTTTTGTCTTTGGTTCTATTTATATGCTGGATTACATTTATTGATTTGCATATATTGAACCAGCCTTGCATCCCAGGGATGAAGCCCACTTGATCATGGTGGATAAGCTTTTTGATGTGCTGCTGGATTCGGTTTGCCAGTATTTTATTGAGGATTTTTGCATTGATGTTCATCAAGGATATTGGTCTAAAATTCTCTTTTTTGGTTGTGTCTCTGCCCGGCTTTGGTATCAGGATGATGCTGGCCTCATAAAATGAGTTAGGGAGGATTCCCTCTTTTTCTATTGATTGGAATAGTTTCAGAAGGAATGGTACCAGTTCCTCTTGTACCTCTGGTAGCATTCGGCTGTGAATCCGTCTGGTCCTGGACTCTTTTTGGTTGGTAAGCTATTGATTATTGCCACAATTTCAGAGCCTGTTACTGGTCTATTCAGAGATTCAACTTCTTCCTGGTTTAGTCTTGGGAGGGTGTATGTGTTGAGGAATTTATCCATTTCTTCTAGATTTTCTAGTTTATTTGCGTAGAGGTGTATATAGTATTCTCTGATGGTAGTTTGTATTTCTGTGGGATCGGTGGTGATATCCCCTTTATCATTTTTTATTGCGTCTATTTGATTCTTCTCTCTTTTCTTCTTTATTAGTCTTGCTAGCAGTCTATCAATTTTGTTGATCCTTTCAAAAAACCAGCTCCTGGATTCATTAATTTTTTGAAGGGTTTTTTGTGTCTCTATTTCCTTCAGTTCTGCTCTGATTTTAGTTATTTCTTGCCTTCTGCTAGCTTTTGAATGTGTTTGCTCTCGCTTTTCTAGTTCTTTTAATTGTGATGTTAGGGTGTCAATTTTGGATCTTTCTTGCTTTCTCTTGTGGGCATTTAGTGCTATAAATTTCCCTCTACACACTGCTTTGAATGTGTCTCAGAGATTCTGGTATGTTGTGTCTTTGTTCTCGTTGGTTTCAAAGAACATCTTTATTTCTGCCTTCATTTCGTTATGTACCCAGTAGTCATTCAGGAGCAGGTTGTTCAGTTTCCATGTAGTTGAGTGGTTTTGAGTGAGTTTCTTAATCCTGAGTTCTAGTTTGATTGCACTGTGGTCTGAGAGATAGTTTGTTATAATTTCTGATCTTTTACGTTTGCTGAGGAGAGCTTTACTTCCAACTATGTGGTCAATTTTGGAATAGGTGTGGTGTGGTGCTGAAAAAAATGTATATTCAGTTGATTTGGGGTGGAGAGTTCTGTAGATGTCTATTAGGTCTGCTTGGTGCAGAGCTGAGTTCAATTCCTGGGTATCCTTGTTAACTTTCTGTCTCGTTGATCTGTCTAATGTTGACAGTGGGGTGTTAAAGTCACCCATTATTATTGTGTGGGAGTCTAAGTCTCTTTGTAGGTCACTCAGGACTTGCTTTATGAATCTGGGTGCTCTTGTATTGGGTGCATATATATTTAGGCTAGTTAGCTCTTGTTGAATCGATCCCTTTACCATTATGTAATGGCCTTCTTTATCTCTTTTGATCTTTGTTGGTTTAAAGTCTGTTTTATCAGAGACTAGGATTGCAACCCCTGCCTTTTTTTGTTTTCCATTTGCTTGGTAGATCTTCCTCCATCCTTTTATTTTGAGCCTATGTGTGTCTCTGCACGTGAGATGGGTTTCCTGAATACAGCACACTGGTGGGTCTGGACTCTTTATCCAGTTTGCCAGTCTGTGTCTTTTAATTGGAGCATTTAGTCCATTTACATTTAAAGTTAATATTGTTATGTGTGAATTTGATCCTGTCATTATGATGTTAGCTGGTTATTTTGCTCGTTAGTTGATGCAGTTTCTTCCTAGCCTCGATGGTCTTTGCAATTTGGCATGATTTTGCAGTGGCTAGTACCGGTTGTTCCTTTCCATGTTTAGTGCTTCCTTCAGGAGCTCTTGTAGGGCAGGCCTGGTGATGACAAAATCTCTCAGCATTTGCTTGTCTGTGAAGTATTTTATTTCTCCTTCACTTATCAAGCTTAGTTTGGCTGGATATGAAATTCTGGGTTGAAAATTCTTTTCTTTAAGAATGTTGAATATTGGCCCCCACTCTCTTCTGGCTTGTAGAGTTTCTGCCAAGACATCCGCTGTTAGTCTGATGGGCTTCCCTTTGTGGTAACCCGACCTTTCTATCTGGCTGCCCTTAACATTTCTTCCTTCATTTCAACTTTGGTGAATCTGACAATTATGTGTCCTGGAGTTGCTCTTCTCGAGGAATATCTTTGTGGCATTCTCTGTATTTCCTGAATCTGAATGTTGGCCTGCCTTGCTAGATTGGGGAAGTTCTCCTGGATAATATCCGCAGAGTGTTTTCCAACTTGGTTCCATTCTCCCTGTCACTTTCAGGTACACCAATCAGACGTAGATTTGGTCTTTTCACATAGTCCCATATTTCTTGGAGGCTTTGTTTGTTTCTTTTTATTCTTTTTTCTCTAAACTTCCCTTCTCGCTTCATTTCATTCATTTCATCTTTCATCACTGATACCCTTTCTTCCAGTTGATCGCATTGGCTCCTGAGGCTTCTGCATTCTTCACGTAGTTCTTGAGCCTTGGCTTTCAGCTCCATCAGCTCCTTTAAGCACTTCTCTGTATTGGTTATCCTAGTTATACATTAGTCTAAATTTTTTTCAAAGTTTTCAACTTCTTTGCCTTTGGTTTGAATTTCCTCCTGTAGCTTGGAGTAGTTTGATCGTCTGAAGCCTTCTTCTCTCAACTCGTCAAAGTCATTCTCCGTCCAGCTTTGTTCCGTTGCTGGTGAGGAGCTGCATTCCTTTGGCGGAGGAGAGGCGCTCTGCTTTTTAGAGTTTCCAGTTTTTCTGCTCTGTTTTTTCCCCATCTTTGTGGTTTTATCTACTTTTGGTCTTTGATGATGGGGATGTACAGATGGGTTTTTGGTGTGGATGCTGTTTCTGTTTGTTAGTTTTCCTTCTAACAGACAGGACCCTCAGCTGCAGGTCTGTTGGAGTTTGCTAGAGGTCCACTCCAGACCCTGTTTGCCTGGGTACCAGCAGTGGTGGCTGCAGAACAGCGGATTTTCGTGAACCGTGAATGCTGCTGTCTGATGTTCCCCTGGAAGTTTTGTCTCAGAGGAGTACCTGGCCATGTGAGGTGTCAGTCTGCCCCTACTTGGGGGGTGCCTCCCAGTTAGGCTGCTCAGGGGTCGGGGTCAGGGACCCACTTGAGGAGGCAGTCTGCCCGTTCTCAGATCTCAAGCTGCGTGCTGGGAGAACCACTGCTGTCTTCAAAGCTGTCAGACAGGGACATTTAAGTCTGCAGAGGTTACTGCTGTCTTTTTCTTTGTCTGTGCCCTGCCCCCAGAGGTGGAGCCTACAGAGGCAGGCAGGTCTCCTTGAGCCGTGGTAGGCTCGACCCAGTTCGAGCTTTCTGGCTGCTTTGTTTACCTAAGCAAGCCTGGGCAATGGCGGGTACCCCTCCCCCAGCCTCGCTGCTGCCTTGCAGTTTGATCTCAGACTGCTGTGCTAGCAATCAGCGAGACTCCGTGGGTGTAGGACCCTCCAAGCCATGTGCGGGATATAATCTCCTGGTGCACCGTTTTTTAAGCCCGTCGGAAAAGCGCAGTATTGGGGTGGAAGTGACCCAATTTTCCAGGTGCCATCTGTCACTCCTTTCTTTGACTAGGAAAGGGAACTCCCTGACCCCTTGCGCTTCCCGAGTGAGGCAATGCCTTGCCCTGCTTCGGCTCGCGCACGGTGCGCTGCACCCACTGTCCTGCGCCCACTGCGTGCTCCCTAGTGAGATGAACCCGGTACCTCAGATGGAAATGCAGAAATCACCCGTCTTCTGCGTCGCTTACCCTGGGAGCTGTAGGCCGGAGCTGTTCCTATTCGGCCATCTTGGCTCCTCCAATTTTTTGTATTTTTAGTAGAGACAGGGTTTCACCGTGTTAACCAGAATGGTCTTGGTCTCCTGACCTCGTGATCTGCGCACCTTGGCCTCCCAAAGTGCTGGGATTACAGGCGTGCCTCCTCGCCTGGCCAACTGACTTTATTTTTATTTTTGAGACAGAGTCTCACTCTGTCCCTCAGGCTGGAGTACAGTGGTGTGATCTTGACTCACTGCCACCTCTGGCTCCTGGGTTCTAGTGATTTTCCTGCCTCAGCCTCCTGAGTAGCTGGCATTACAGGCATGTGCCATCACAGTGGCCCAGCTAATTTTTGTATTTTTAGTAGAGACAGGGTTTCGCCATGTTGGCCAGGCTGGTCTCAAACTCCTAGCCTCAGGTGATCTGCCCCCAGCTTGGCCTCCCAAAGTGTTGGGATTACGGGTGTGAGCCACTATGCTCTTTTTCCTCTTCTAGTATAAAAATCCCTGGGCTGGGCGTGGTGACTCATGCCTTTGGGCATGGTGGCTCATGCACTTTGGGAGGCAAAGTGGGGCAGATCGCCTGAGGGTCAGGAGTTCTAGACCAGCCTGGCCAACATGGCAAAATCTGATCTCTACTTAAAATACAAAAATTAGTCAGGCATGATGGCATGTGCCTATAATTCCAGCTACTTGGGAGGCTGAGGCAGGAGAATTGCTTGGACCCAGGAGGTGGAGGCTGCAGTGAGCCCAGATTGCACCGCTGCACTGCAGCCTGGGCAACAGAAGAAGACTCCGTCTCTAAATAAATAAATAAAATAAAAATCCAAAGCTGTAAAATTCTCTTTAAGCATTACTTTAATTTTATTCTACATATTTTGATATTTTGTATTTTTTCCAATCCTGCTTCTTCTATAATATTTTATATTTTATATTTTCTTTCAGTTGAATGTATTTTCTTATTTCTTTTTTAACTCTTACTGACAGTATATTGCACATCTCCAACTTGAGTTTGATAATTTTTTTTCAGCACTTTGAAGATTTAATTTCATTATCTTCTCTCATTTCTGTTGAGAAATTGTCTGTTAGATTTATTAGTCACATATTATATCCACTTAAGGAAATGTTTCTTTCCTCTGTGTGTTTTTAAGATTTTCTCACTTTCTTTGATTCTTTGCAGTTTTACTATGTTATATTCAGGTGCAGTTTTCTTTATTTATCCTGCTTGAGGTTCACAGAGTTTCTTGAATCTATGGGTTTATGTCTTTCATCTATTTTGAAATATGGTTATTATGTCTCTGAGTATTGTTTCCCTTCTGTTCTTTCTCTGCTCCACTTCTAGGACTCAGTTACATGTTTGTAGACCCGTTCACAGTGCCACGTGTGTCTGTTATATTCTTTTCTGTATTTTTCATCATTTTTTCCTCTCTAGGTTTAAGTTAGGCTGTTTTCTGTTGACTTCTTTTCCATTTCACTAACCATATCTTCTGATGTGTTTAATCTGCTATTTAACCTTTTATTAAGTTTCATATTTCACATATTGTCTTTCTTAGCTCTGGATTTTTCCATTTGATTCTTGTTTTATAGATTAAATTTTTTTTTCCTAGCCTGGGCAGCATGATGAAACCCCATTTCTACAAAAAATACAAATATCAGGCCAGGCAGTGGCTCATGCCTGTAATCCCATTACTTTGGGAGGCCTAGCTGGGTAGATCACTTGAGGTTAGGAGTCCGAGACCAGCCTGGCCAACATGGTGAAACCCTGTCTCTACTAAAAATAAGCCAGGCATGGTGGCTTATGCTTTTGATCCCAGCTACTTGGGAGACTGAGGCAGGAGGATCACTTGAACTCTGGAGGCAGAGGTTGCAATGAGACAAATTCGTGCCACTGCACTCCAGCCTGGGTGACAGAGTGAGACTCTGTCTCAAAAAGAAAAAAATAAAGGGCCGGGCACGGTGGCTCACGCCTGTAATCCCTGAACTTTGGGAGGCCGAGGCGGGCGGATCACAAGGTCGGGAGATCGAGACCATCCTGGCTAACACGGTGAAACCCCGTCTCTACTAAAAATACAAAAAATTAGCCGGGCATGGTGGCGGGCGCCTGTAGTCCCAGCTACTCCGGAGGCTGAGGCAGGAGAATGGCGTGAACCCGGGAGGTGGAGCTTACGGTGAGCAGAGATCAGACCACTGCACTCCAGCCTGGGCGACAGAGCGAGACTCCGTCTCAAAAAAAAAAAGAAAAAGAAAAAGAACTAAAAAACAAACCTTAGCTGGATGTTGGTCATGTGCCTCTAGTCCCAGCTGCTTGGGAGACTGGGGTGGAAGAATCACTTGAGCCCGGGAAGTCAAGGCTGCAGTGAGCCATGATTGTGCCACACACTTCAGCCTGGGTGACAGAAGCAGACCCTGTCTTAAAAAAAATTTTTTTTTTTTCTTTTTAGAGACAGTATCTGGCTCTGTCATGCAGGTGGGAGTGCAGTGGCACAGTCATGGCTCACTGTAGCCTTGACCTCCCAGGCTGAAGTGATCTTCCTGCCTCAGCCTTCCAAAAATGTTTATGTTTTATAGAGATGGGGTGTTGCTGTATTGCCAAGGCTGGTCTCAAACTCCTGGCCTCAAGCAGTCCTTCTGCCCTAGCCTCCCAAATGTTGGGATTATAGGCATGAACCACGGCACCTGGCCCTTTTTTATTTTTTAGTAGATTTTAATTCTCTGGCAGAATTCTCTATTTCTTCATTTGTGTTCTACCATGTCTATTTTGTTGATCACACTTAGTAGTTATTTTAAAGTCCTTTTCTGCTAACTATACTCTCTAGTTATGCTAACTACAAGTGTGTTGGTCTGTTCTATTGCTTGTTTCTCACTTTTAAAATTATCATATTAATATTTATAATTACTATATATCTGATAATTTGCTTGCATATTAATTTATAATCAAATCCCCCAGCATTCTCTTTCTTTTCTTTTTGTTTTGAGACAGTCTTGCTCTGTCACCCAGGCTAGCATGCAGTGGCATGATCTCGGCTCACTGCATCTTCTGCCTCCCTGGTTCAGTTGATTCTCCCACCACAAACTCCCCAGTAGCCAGGACTACAGGCACGCCCTACGCGCCCAGCTAATTTTTGTATTTGTTAGTAGAGATGGGGTTTCACCATGTTGGCCAGGCTCGTCTCAAACTCCTGACCTTAGGTGATTCACCTGCCTCAGTCTCCCAAAGTGCTGGGATTACAGGTGCGAGCCAGCACACCTGGCCTCAGTTTTTACATTTCATTTATTGTATTTTTTATTTTTAAAAGTATAGGTCAGGTGCAGTGGCTCACACCTGTAATCCCCACACTGTGGGAGGCCGAGGCGGGCAGATTACGAGGTCAGGAGTTCAATACCAGCCTGACCAATATGGTGAAACCCCATCTCTACTAAAAATACAAAAATTAGCCGGGCGTGGTGGCGTGCGCCTGTAGTCCTAGCTACTCAGGAGGCTGAGGCAGGAGAATCACTTGAACCCGGGAGGCAGAGGTTGCAGTGAGCCGAGATCGCGCCACTGCACTCCAGCCTGGGTGACAGAGCGAGACTCCGTCTCAAATGAATGAATGAATGAATGAATGAATGTATTAGGTTATTTTCTACATATTCCTTTGATTGGCTTAATCATGATTTTAATTACTTCTTCTATTTAAGCATATGAAACTAACTTTTTTTCTTTTAAGAGACCGGGGATGGGGGTGTGCATCTCACTATGTTGCCCCTTCTTTAATCCCCGCCTCTTGGCTGGTCTCCAGCTCCTGGCCTCAAATGATCCTCCCACCTTGGCCCTCCAAAGTGCTGGGATTACAGGTGTGAGCTGCCACACCTAGACTTTTGCATGTTATGTATGATGTTTGTATCATCCTGTTTCTGTTTGCTGAATCAGGCGTGCCTTTTTTCTTCATGCGTTTTATGATTTTTGTTTCTGAGTCTTCTTTGATGTAATTCTGTCAGCTAGAATTCTGTAAGACCTGAATTGAGGATGCCTTCTTCCAACGAAGATCTGCATTGCTTTTTCCCTCAAAACTTGGGGGCAGTATCAGTTTTTGTTCTTTTTAAGTGAAAAACCTTATAGATTTTTCAGCCATGCAAATAATGTTAATTCAGATTCTCAAACCACATGAGAATCAGCATATGGCCGTGAATTCTTGGGGGAGACTTTTCTTGATCTCTTCTCAGAACAAAGGCTAAGGTAGAGTTTCCTTCATGTTTATGTCTCTGGAGCAGATTTGTTTCTAGTGTTCTCCTCTGAGGCCATATCTTTTTGTGCATCCAGTTTTATTTGGGCATAGGTGTATGTGTGGGAGGGGCCATCTTCCAACCAACCAACCAGTTCTTAGCCAGGAGGCCCATGCTACCCTTACTACAGGAAAACAAGGCATTAGTGCCCACTTATCTCCTTAAACCTCTTCCCCTTCTTTAATCCCCGTCTCTTGGCTGGGCGCAGTGGCTCATGCCTGTAATCCCAGCACTTTGGGAGGCCGAGGCAGGTGGGTCATCTGAGGTCAGGAGTTCAAGACCAGCCTGACCAACATGGTGAAACCCCGCCTCTACTAAAAATACAAAATTAGCTGGGCATGGTGGCACATGCCTGTAATCCCAGCTACTCAGGATGCTGAGGCAAGAGAATCACTTGAACGTGGGAGGCGGAGGTTGCAGTGAGCCGAGATTGCGCCGTTGCACTCCAGCCTGAGTGACAGAGCGAAACTCACATACATACACACACACGTATATTAAATGAGTTAAATGTTTGAAAGTGTAGTTAGTAATCTTCATAAACTTATTCTCATCTTAACTAAATAATTCCTCTTCTTTTATTTGATAGAAACATGTTCTTTAAAAAATTCTCATCTGTTTTATTATCATGTGTGTTCCTGAAGTTCTATATAAGTATTACTGAAATTGGAAAAGGATATAGACTTAAATATTGTGTAGTGCCAAAATGTATGGAAGAAATTACTATAAAATATGGATCATAGGCTGGGCGCGGTAGCTCATGCCTGTGATCCCAGCCCTTTGGGAGGCTGAGGCAGGAGGATCATCTGAGGTCGGGAGTTCAAGACCAGCCTGACCAACATGGAGAAACCCCATCTCTACTAAAAATACAAAATTAGCCTGGTGTGGTGGCGCATGCCCATAATCCCAGCTACTCTGGAGGCTGAGGCAGGAGAATCGTTTGAACCCGGGAGGAGGAGGTTGCAGTGAGCCGAGAGCGCGCCATTGCACTCCAGCCTGGGTGACGAGAATGAAACTCCATCTCAAAAAAAAAAAAAAAAAAAAAAAAAATATATATATATATATATATATATATATATATATATATATATATATGGATCACAGTTGTATTTCAGCATAGCTAATTCATCAAAAGTTAGCTCTTTTTTCTCATGTAGCAAGGATTACTATCAAACTTCTGTGTATAGAATTCGGGCTGAAAAGTCAGGAATCGTGGCTTATGCCTGTATTCCTAGCACTTTGGGAGGCTGAGGTGGGCAGATGACTTGAGGTCAGGAGTTTGAGACCAGCCTGGCCAACATGGTGAAACCCCATCTCTGTTAAAAATACAAAAATTAGCCAGGTGTTTTGGCACACGCCTGTAATCCCAGCTACTCCAGAGACTGAGGCAGGAGAATCGTTTGAACACGGGAGGCAGATGTTGCAGTGAGCTGAGATTGTGCCACTGCACTCCAGCCTGGGCAACAGAGCAAGACTCTGTCTCAAAAAAAAAAAAAAAAAGAATTTGGGCTGGAGATCCTTGTGGTGTTAGTGAAAAACTTGCCCCTCACATAGCACACTACCTACACGTGTGAATTCATCCACCAGTCTGTGGAGGTTAACATGTTTGTAGAACCTAATATAGTCTCTGTGCTGCTGCTGCTTTATTTTTTTTGAGACAGAGTCTTTCTCTGTTACCCAGGCTGGAATACGATGGTGCGATTTCGGTTCATTGCAACCTCCGCCTCCTGGGTTCAAGCGATTCTTCTGCCTCAGCCTCCTATGTAGCTGGGATTACAGGCATCCACCACCACACCCGGCTAATTTTTGTATTTTTAGTAGAGATGGGGTTTCACCATGTTGGCCAGGCTGGTCTCGAACTCCTGACCTCAGGTGATCCACCTGCCTTGGCCTCCCAAAGTGCTGGGATTATAGGCGTGAGTCACCATGCATGGCCCCCTGTGTTTCTGTAACTACTTAAAAAAACAAAACCTGAGGAAGTTTATTGATTAGTAAACATGTATATGGCTGGAGAGGTATGTGAAAAAGCAAATATAAAAAATGCTTATTATAGGATCTAGATGATGAACATATGGATGTCACTGTAGAATTCTTCCAGTCTTTCCATCGCTTGAAAATTTCTGTAACGAAATATTAGAGAAAAAGGTACCCAAAGCCCTGAAGTACATGTGAAAGTCACAACTAGTAACGTGATAAAAGTCTTTAAAGTCTGCGTGTTGCATTAAGGCTAGGTTGTGTTTGTTTTTTTTTTTCTTGCAGGTTAAGTTCAGTGAACTAACTGTTGACATGTTCCGGATGTTACAAGCTCTGGAAAGGGAGCCAATGAATTTAGCTTCCCAGATGAATAAACCAGGAATGCAGGTAATCTCCTCTTTTACATTTGCAAGTTTGGTAACCCTCTGGCTGCGTCTCTCCTGTTGGAACGCTGATTATTCAACAGATACTACAGCCTTGAATAAAGAATTCACTTGATGAGACATGGAGAAATAGATCATCACAGTAAGACTGAGTGTGAAAATAAGACTTCCTTGATAAGGGCTAGTGAAAATAGATATTGATAATTCATTTGTCAAATGCAGCTTTTATGTATAATGTTTTCTGTGTGTAAATATAGGAATCAGCTGACAAGCCTACTAGACGAGAAAACCCCCACAAGTATCTGCTCTACAAACCAACCTTCAGCCAGCTATATACCTTCTTAGCAGCGTCTTTTAAGGTATGTGTGATCCAGTACTTTTTACTATGAGGTGAAAGTGTGCCCTAACTAAAATCTAAGAGTCACTCTTTTGAAAAAATACTTAAGAGTTTAGGTAAAATATAAAAATGAAAAACTGCCTTTAGAGTAATGATCCTGATAATAGATATTTTTGTTTTGTTTTGTTTCTTTTTTTTTTTTTGTACTCCTGGTAAGCTGTGAAATAGCTGTTTGGGAATGAAAATTGCTTATGATGTTGTGATTATTCCCATCATTAATTAATGATAATAGTGGTTCTCCTTCCTCCAGTTTTTTATTACTCAATGATTTTAGGTGTAACAATGCAGAATTGGCCAGGCGTGGTGGCTCACTCCTGTAATCCCAGCACTTTGGGAGGCCAAGCCAGGTGGATCACCTGAGGTCGGGAGTTCAAGAACAGCTTGACCAACATGGAGAAACCCCATCTCTACTAAAAGAATACAAAATTAGCCGGGTGTGGTGGCACATGCCTGTAATCCCAGCTGCTTGGGAGGCTGAGGAAGGAGAATTACTTGAACCCGGGAGGCGGAGGCTGCGGTGAGCCGAGATCGCGCCATTGCACTCCAACCTGGGCAACAAGAGTGAAACTCTGTTTCAAAAAAAAAAACAGACTAAAAAACAAAAGCAGAGTGTCTAGGCTTCTTATATAGTCAAGGAGCTCTATGAAACATTTAGATCATCTGAAAGAACTGTGAGAAATAGGAGAATTCTTCCCAAAGTCTATGTAGAGAAAGCCACAGAAGGGACTTTGTCTTGTAGCCATGTAGTCAGGATCTTTACTTCTCCATTCAAGTTTTCGGAGAATATTCTCCAAATGATGGGGTTTTTGAAGCAGAGAATGTCTTTGCAACTTTTGACAATATAGATTAATAATGAATCTCTGCCGTGTGTATAGTTTTAAAGTCAGGACCAAGAAGAGCGTTTCTTCTCTTGGAAAAGACAACAGTGCATTCTTATTTATTTCACAACTTTAAGATGTCATGAACTTTAAATAAAACCATGTTGTTTATCCTTGTTTGTTGTTTTGTGTATGTGATTTTCTTTCATTTCAGGAGCTGCCTGCCAATAGCGTGCTTCTGATTTACCTGTCGGCCACTGGCGTTTTCCCCACAGGTCGTTCTGATAGTGAAGGTACAATAAAGGAATGCTCCCTGTTGTGAGCAGGGCTTGAATTCTCTTTATTTTCTACAAGACGATGGCCCGTAGCCCACAGACCATCTCAGCCTTTCTAGACAGACTTCCAAATTTGAAACCTGGTCTATTTGTTGATTGATAATTTTGTAGATACCCCAGTCTGTCATATTTTCTGAAATGTTATATGTCAAAGCCCATAAATCATCAGAAAATTCATATATTAAATGCTTGCTTCACTATCAAATGTATCAAAAGCATAATATGTAAATACATTTAGATATACATAAGGAGTTTGGTGTTTCAAAGTTGAAAAGGATGATGGAATAACCAAGCGTAATGATCTATTTCACATCATTGAATTTTTCTGAGCTTTCAGTGCATTGGGGAATCCGGTCAATGGCTACATGATGGCTGAAAGTCTTTGTAGAAATCAGTGTACTTTCGTAACTGTGAAAGTTCAAGCCCTTGTCATGATTTTGTTTTCTGTCCTTTATTTTGTTTTATGGATTCAATCTGTAGAATATCGGGATGCTGTTTCAGAATAAAAACGTAACACTGTCCAGAACATACCAGTCCAGAAATTGGTCAGAATAGATAAGTAACTTGGATGTAAATAAGATAATTAAATATTTGCCTGGGCAAAATAAAAAAATAAAAAAATTCTTAACATCCTTAACATTTTCCTCTTCATTTGTTTGTTGAAATTTGCATTCCTTTATAAAATGCATGTCCTTGCCATCTTCCTTGCATGACCTCCAGATTCTCTTAAAATGTTGAAATGAAAACAAATCTCTTTAGCCTTTTCATTGCAGTGATTTTTTTAAGAAGTGAAATATAATACAACATTAAAAGTAATGTAAAATCTTAAACTACTTTAGTTTTTTGTAATAATGTTAGTACTTTTATTTATAATTATCTGTATGTCTCATATACTGTTAAATCAAGTTTTCTTGGTTTCCGCTTAACATACTGACTTCTTTACTTTTTTCAAAGTATGATAGGTAATCGTACTTTGATAGGTCCTTTGAGAGAGATTATCTGAACATCCCACAGTTGCTGTTCCATTTGGACAAGAGTTTAGCTAATTCATATGAATTTAGTGGGAAAAGGCTAACTTCAGAACCAGAACTAAAGTGCTTGATACAATAGTGATAATAATGGATATTTGCACGCTGAAATCTGGCAATACATTCTTAAAGGTGAAGTTTTTGTGAATGAGAATTTTCAAATTCTATTCAAATATTTTTCTAAGTTTTACAGTTAGTGGCTCATTTAAAATTGTATTTACTTATGAGACTAAGATTTCATTCTTTAAAAAAAAAAAAGCTTATTTTATTCTGCAACTTCTTTTTTTTTTTCTGAGACAGGGTCTCACTCTGTCATGCAGACTGGAGTGCAATGGTGTGATCATAGTTCACTGCAGCCTGGGAATACAGGCACCTACCACCATGCTCGGCTAATTTTTAAAATTTTTTTGTAGAGACAGGTCTCACTATATTGCCCAGGCTGGTCTGGAACTCCTGGCCTCATGCAGTCCTCCTGCTTCAGCCTCCCAAAGTGCTGGGATTACAGGCATGAGCAACCATGTCTGACCAACTTCCTTTTAAAATAATATTGTTAAACCTGAGATTTTAAGTTTGCTTGAAATGTAAAGGTCATTTTGAACATCCCAGATCTCCATTCCTTTTATTACTTAGAATAATGATGCCATAGAGTCTTGTTTTGTTTCTCATTATATTCTGTTTGAAGAACTGCTGAATAATTAAATGTTTTTTAAAATGTTGAAAATGACAACATACTGAAGTCATTTAAATACTCCATTAAATTAAAATGTTAAATTTTAAAATAATTTAAATGTGTAATTATCTTCGCTTGAATCAATGAGAGATTCACACAGTACCTTTGTATTTGAACATCAGGTCAGTGTTAGTCTTCAACTGAAGTCTAGGATTCTTCCCTTTGTTTTTATAGGTCCTTATGATTTTGGAGGTGTACTTACTAATAGTAACCGGGATATTATTAATGGAGATGCCATCCACAAACGAAATCAGTCCCACAAGGAAATGCACTGGTATGTATTCTGGTGTCTACTCTTATTATAAAAATTATACCTCTGTCTATAAATAGAAAAAATATTAAGTAAAATGGGGAGTTTTTTCTAGTACTAGAATGATTCCCTTAGACTAAGATTTAGGGACAGACCAGAAACACTTATTTGGATTCCAGCAATAATTCAGGCTCTGTCTATCCTAGGAAATTAGAACTTTTGGTTGATATTCATTGAATAAATATGTTACACACTGTTTAGTCACTAGGGATATGTCAGTGAACAAAATTGCATTCTAGTTGGAGACAGTAAATATATACATAAATAAATAATATGTCAGGACATTATACATGTAACATCAATACGAACTTTTAAACAAATTTTTTTCTTGAGATGGAGTCTTCCTCTGTCACTCAGGTCAGTCTTGATTTCCTGGCCTTAAGTGATTCTCCCACCTCAGCTTCACAAAGTGCTAGGATTACAAGATGTGAGCCACTGTGTTCAGCCCAAACATTTTTTTTTTTTTTTGAGATGGAGTCTTGCCCTGTCACCCAGGCTGGAGTGCAGTGGCATGATCTCGGCTCACTGCAACCTCTGCCTCCTGGGTTCAAGCGATTCTCCTGCCTCAGCCTCCTGCGTAGCTGGGATTACAGGCACCAGCCACCATGCCCGGCTAATTTTTGTATTTTTAGTAGAGATGGGGTTTTACCATGTTTGTCAGGCTGGTCTTGAACTCCTGACCTTGTGATCCACCTGCCCCGGCCTCCCAAAGTGTTGGGATTACAGGTGTGAGCCACCGTGCCCGGCCACATTTTATTTTATTTTATTTTTTTAATTGAAAAATAATCATTGTAAATATTCCTGGGGTACTTAATGATGTTTCTATATTTGTAATGTATTGTGATCAGATCAGAGTAATTAGCATACTTATCATCTCAAACATCCATTCCTTGTGTTGGGAACATTTAATATCTTTTTTCTAGCTATTTATGATAAAGGCTGATAGCAGTGGCTCACACCTGTAATCCCAACACTTTGGGAGGCCGAGATGGGTGGATCACTTGAGGTCAGGAGTTTGAGACCAGCTTGGCCAACATGAAACCCTGTCTCTACCAAAATACAAAAATTAACCGGGTGTGGTGGCTTGCGCCTGTGGTCCTACCTACTCAGGAGGCTGAGGCAGGAGAATCACTTGAACCCATTAGGTCGAGGTTGCAGTGAACTGAGATTGTGCTCCAGTCTGGGTGATAGAGCAAGACTCTGTGTCAAAAAAACAAAAAAGAGAAAATAAAAACTATATAACATATTATTAACTATAGTCATGCTACAGTGGTATAGAACACTAGAACATATTCCTTCTATCTAGCTGTAATTTTTTAATCTTTAACAATCTCTTCCCTATACCTCCGTTCCCCGTTCCCCTACCCTTCCCAACCTCTAGTATTGAGTTTGTTTTTTTTTTGAGATGGAATCTTGCTCTCATGCCCAGGCTAGAGTGCAGTGGCACGATCTTGGCTCACTGCAACCTCCATCTCCCAGGCTCAAGTGATTCTCCTACCTCAGCCTCCCAAGTAGCTGGGATTACAGGTGGCCACCACCACGCCTGGCTAATTTTTTTATTTTTCATAGAGATGGGGTTTCGCCATGTTGACCAGTCTGGTCTCGAACTCCTGACCTTAGCCTCGGCCTCCCAAAGTGCTGGAATTACAGGCATGAGCCACCGCGCTGGGCCTGAATTTTTTAATACAAGGTTTTGTTGGTTTAATATAGCACAAATGAATGTTGTTACATGATTACAAATAGAACTTCAGGCCAGGAGCAGTGGCTCATGCCTATGATCCCAACATTTTAGGAGGCTGAGGTAGGAGGATCACATGAACCCAGGAGTTTGAGACCATCCTGGGCAACTTAGTGAGACTCTGTCTCTACAAAAACTTAAAAAAAAATTTTTTTAAATGCAAAAAATACAAAAGCAAATAGAATTTCATCTACAAAAGTTCTTTTTCTTTTTTCTTTTCTTTTCTTTTTTTTTTTTTTTTGAGACAGAGTTTTACTCTGCCGCCCAGGCTGGAGTGCAGTGGCACTATCTTGGCTCACTGCAACCTCTGCCTTCCGGGTTCAAGCGATTCTCCTGCCTCAGCCTCCCAAGTAGCTGGGATTATAGTCATGCATCACCACACCCAGCTAATTTTTGTATTTTTAGTAGAGATGGGGTTTCACCATGTTGGCCATTCTGGTCTTGAAATGCTGACCTCAAGTGATCCGCCTGCTTTGGCCTCCCAAAGTGCTGGGATTACAGGCGTGAGCCACCGTGCCTGGAGTTCATTCTTTTTCTAAGCATAACAACTTCATTGCTTGGGCTGTTATTGGCTCATTGGCTCTAGAATTTTTCTAGCTGAGAGCAATCTGGTTATAAAGAAAACTGGACTGGTCTAAAACTTTGTTTCTAATACATATTGAATATCCCTTATCTGAAATATGTGGGACCAAAAGTGTTTCGGGTTTTGGATTTTTCCAGATTTTGGAATATTTGTATATAGATAGTAAGGTACCTTAGGGATGGGACCCATGAAATTGACTTGTGTTTCATATACAACTCATACACATTGCCTGAAAGTAATTTTATTTTTCCCTTTGAGATCCTGGATAAACTATGTGTTGTGCACCTGCATGACTATGATCCATCATGTGAGGTCAGGTGTGGAATTTTCTACTTGTGGCATCGTGTTGGCTCTGAAAACTTTTTGGATTTTGGAGCATTTTTCGTTTTGGATTTTCAGATTAGGAATACTGAACCTGTATGGCATGATCACTTATATGTGGAATCTGAAAAAGTTGCACTCAGAAGCAGAGTGCAACGGTAGTTCTGAGGAGCTGAGGATTGGGGAAAATAGGGAGATGTTGGTTAAAGGGTGCAGCCTCTCAGTTGTAAGATAAATATCATTTAAAGTACAGCATGGTGGTGATAATTAAAAATACTATATTGGCTGGGTGCAGTGGCTCAGGCCTGTAATGTCAGCACTTTGGGAGGCCGAAGTGGGCGGATCACTTGAGGTCAGGAGTTCGAAAACAGCCTGGCAACATGGTGAAATCCCATCTCTACTAAAAATACAAAAAATTAGCCGGGTGTGGTGGCATGTGCCTGTAATCCCAGCTACTTGGGAGGCTGAGGCAGGAGAATTGCCTGAACGTGGGAGGCGGAGGTTGCAGTGAGCCGAGATCATACCACTGCACTCCAGTCTGTGTGACAGAGCGAGACTCCATCTCAAAATAAATAAATAAAAAAAAATAAATGAAAATACTGTATTGTTGGACCGAGCATGGTGGCTCATTCCCGTAATCTCAGCACTTTGGGAGGCTGAGATGGGAAGATTGCTTGAGTTCAGGAGTTCAAGACCAGCCTTGGCAACATAAGAGGATCTTGTCTCTACTAAAAATGTAAAAAATGAGCCAGGCGTTGAGGTGCACGCCCATGGTCCCAGCTACTTGGGAGACTGAGGCAGGAGTATCACTTGAGCCTGGGAGATCGAGGCTGCAGTTAGCTATGATCTTGCCACTGTACTCCAGTCTTGGTGACAAAGTGAGACCCCATCTCAAACAACAACAATAACAAAAATTGTTGTTTACTCGAAATTTTCTGAAAGAGTAAAGCTTATGTGTCCTCTCTGCCCACTGCCCCCAGCACCACCCCCCCACCCCCGCCCCACCGCCCACACACACGAAGGGTAACGGTGTGGGAATGGAGGTGTTGATTAATTTGATCGTGGTAATCACTATACATGTATGCATTAACAAGTCATCACATTGTATACCTTGAATATATACAATTTTTATTTGTCAATAAAAGAAAAACTTTTATTTGAAATATAATGAAGTTTGATGATATTGCTCAGTGAAACATTCATAAATTTACATTTACATTAGTATCTATCCACATATGCACATCGTGTACTCAGTCATCGGAAAGAGCACGCACACCAAGATTCTGACCTTACGCATTGGCTCTCACATGCATGTTACTGGATTTCCGCCTTTGGGTTCAGTAGCTCTTCTGTGGGCCAGTCAAACTGCATGTTTAACAAGCCCTTGATGCAAATGTTTAGAGGAAACATATGGTAAAAAGTAGCTGGGCACAGTGACTCATGCCCATAATCCTAGCACTTTGGGAAGCTGAGGTGGGCAGATTGCTTGAGCTCAGGAGTTCGAGACCAGCCTGGGCAATATGGAGAAACCCCATCTCTACTAAAAAGAGAAAAATTAGCTGGTTGTGTTGGTACATGTCTGCAGTCCCAGCTACTCAAGGAGGCTGAGGTGGGAGGATCACCTGAGCCCGGGACATGGAGGTTGCTGTGAGCTGCGATTGCACAACACCACTGTACTCCAGCCTGGGCCACGGAGCAAGACGGTGTCTTTAAAAAAAAAAATAGTGATAGTAAAAAGATTTTCCTACTTACTACCTGCAGTATTAAGATGTAGCCTGAAATATTAAAAATCTTTAAAATAGAAATTTTGAAGACTCATTGAAATACAAATCTGGTTTTGTTATTACATCTTGTTTCCAGATGTTCTTACAAGGAGCTTTTAAATATGAAACAGGTATCTGTTTGCCAGCTTCTGAGGTTTTCATGCTGTGTGTTTAGTCATCTTTAAATACACAGACTTCACTTTAGCTTAGATATTCTTGAATAACAATTGTCTCTGAACTTTTTTTTTTTTCTCCAAATAGAACTATCTTGGCTATCCTAGTAAATACAGGCTTTTTTTCCCCTTTGCTTAACTAGTCTTTGTTTTTCTCTCAGTGCTATGATGCAAAGGAGATATGAGCAGACCAAACTGAAGAATAAGATTTCTGAGATGTGGCTGACACAGTTTAACAGTTCTTCGTTGTTGTTTTCCCAGCCTTCATCCCGGGGATCTCTATCCTTTCACCAGGAAGCCACTGTTCATCATTGTGGATTCGTCTAATAGTGTTGCGTATAAGGTGAGTTCCATGAGAGCTATTGCACAGGTAGACATTGTGGCACCAACCCAAGGGTACCCACTCTTAATGTGTGCCTTTTTATTTTGCTTTATTTTATTTAATTTTACACAGTTTGTATTTAGTGTTTCTTTTCTTTTGAGGTTGTGCATGCTAGTCAGGATCGGGTGCTATGAATAGAAACAAGAAGAAAACGCATGAATGGACACTCAGTGGAAAATAATAAATCCTCCTGCAGGAAAAAAAAATTCAAGATTTCCAAGATCTCTGGTGGGAGGTTTATTTTTGTTATATAACCCAGAATAATTTTCTTTTATAGAGGTAGAGGTATAAGGGTGAATTTCTCTAGTGTTCAAACGTTTCCCCTTCTCATGCTGAGCTGCTGTAGTTTAAGTAAAACTTCTAGCCCATAGTTTTAGTCTTTGAATATTAACATACTGTTTTACATGCACTTGATTTTTTGAAAATTTGTGACAATCACAAAAAAAAGATGGCCCTGAATGCTGAAATAAGTGACAGGGATCTAACTTGAACATCCTTCGTTTTATATTTCACTATTGAAGTGATGATTTTCAGTGATTTTATAAAGAATGCCAGTGGTCAGCTGGGTGCAGTGGCTCACGCCTGTAATCCCAACATTTTGGGAGGCCGAGGCGGGCAGATTACCTGAGGTCAGGAGTTCGAGACCAGCCTAACCAACATGGAGAAACCCCCATCTCTACTAAAAATATAAAATTAGCCAGGCGTGGTGGTGCGTGCCTGTAATCCCAGCTACTTGGGAGGCTGAGGCGGGAGACTCACTTGAACCTGGGAGGTAGAGGTTGTGGTGAGCTGAAATTGTACCATTGCTCTCCAGCCTGGGCAACAAGAGCAAAACTCCGTCTCAAAAAAAAAAAAAAAATGCCAGCAGTGAAACACTTTAAAGGTGGATATTATAATTCAAACTATAGTAATTTACAGGAAAACGAAAGCACAGTCTTTAGAGTCCTTTGTATCTGGTCAAAATGTTTGATTAGTGAAAAATGTGTTCAAAATATTCTGGGTGCACAGATCTGCCACTTCAAACTGTTTCTGTTGTGGGTGTTCATACTGCAGTTAGAGGGAGAAGCAAACTCCTGATAGGTTTCTATCAGGAAACCAATGAAAATGTCTGGTAGCCAAGAGAGCTGACCCCAAGTATACATTTTCCATTTAGTTTTCATGTTTAGTTTTACTTAAACTCTTTATTCCAAGAGCTTCCAATGCACCATACATTTTTCAGCATTTTTCCTCCTACTCATTTTGTTCAGTATTACAACTTCTGATTTTTAGGAAAGTTAGCAGTGTACTTTCTTTTCTTTTCTTTTTTGAGACAGAGTTTCGCTCGTTTCCCAGGTTGGAGTGCAATGGCATGATCTCAGCTCACTGCAACCTCCGCCTCCCAGGTTCAAGCGATTCTCCTGCCTTAGCCTCCCAAGTAGTTGGGATTACAGGCATGCGCCACTATGCCCGGCTAATTTTTAGTATTTTTAGCAGAGATGGGGTTTCTCCATGTTGCTCAGGCTGTTCTCCAACTCCTGACCTCAGATGATCCACCCGCCTTGGCCTCCCAAAATGTTGGGATTACAGGCGTGTTCCACCGTACCCAGCCAGCAGTGTACTTTCTTAAATTGTATATTTGTTTTGTTTTTGTGGGAAATGGAAGAATGTGAGAAGCTGCTGAATGAAAAGGTTTATTGGCTACCCCAATTAAACTTATAAAGCCAGAGGGGTCCAGGCATTTTGTGTCTTCACAGAATTCAAAAGAAGTACTCTGTCTTTGTCAATGAAAATGAATTTGTTGCAGCAGTTTGGTGATGTGACAGAATGTGTTTTTGCACTGGGTCCAATGTATTGTTTAACATGATCTAGCATCATTGAGAGTACTTTAGCAATCCATTAGTTTCTCCCAATTTAATTGGGCATTATTGGATACCACTTCTCAGCAATACCATTCATTGTATGTGCCTGCTATTTCCAGAGGACTATTTAGATTTAGGATGAATGTTGGATGCCGACTTTTAAAGACACCATTGTGTATAATTGGAAATGTATTTGCTCAAGTAATGCATCATGGCTTAATTTTAGATTTTAATATTGTGATGCACAGGACAGCTGTGGAATAATAGCAAGTCTTTTGTTGTTGTTGTTTGCTTTTGATGGCACAGGCACTGTCACTCCTCTGAAGAAATAAATCGTCCAGAACATACCAATCTTCAGAAATGAAAAGGGAGGCCAGGCGTGCAGTGGCTCATGCCTGTAATCCCAGCACTTTGGGAGGCTGAGGCGGGCGGATCACTTGGGGTCAGGAGTTCAAAACCAGCCTGGCCAACGTGGTGAAATCCCGTCTCTACTGGAAATTAAAAAATTAGCTGGGAGGGGTGGTGTGCACCTGTAGTCCCAGCTACTTGGGAGGCTGAGGCAGGAGAATCGCTTGAACCCGGGAGATGGAGGTTTCAGTGAGCCAAGATCGTGCCATTGCACTCCAGCCTGGGTGACAGAGTGAGATTCTGTCTCAACAAAAAAAAAAAAGAAATGAAAAGAGAACCCCATATGGAGTAGGCAAATCAGATCATGGCACAGACCAATTTTAGTCTTTTTAGAAATTAATATTACTTACTACATTTAATTTAAGCATGTAGTTCTCTTTGGTAGCATATAAAGGTGTCTCATATTTATTTTTCCCACAAAAGCATTTGTAGGCTGGGTGCAGTGTCTCACACCTGTAATCCCAGCACTTTGGGAGGCCAAGGCAAGAGGATCACTTGAACCAGCAGTTTGAGACAAAGCTGGGCAAGATAGCAAGATCCCAAATCTATTTTAAAAATTTAAAAATTAGCCAGGCATGTTTTTGTGAGCCTGTAGTCCCAGCTACTTCAGGAAGCTGAGGCAGGAGGATCTCTTGAGCCCAGGAGTTCAAAGATGCATGAGCTGCGATCGTGCCACTGCATTCCAGCCTGAGTGAGAGAGCAACACCGTATCTCTAATAAATTAATTAGATGAAATGAAATTAAGCATTGTAAAGTCTTAAGCTACCACTTTGCAAGTTTTTTGGTTTGTTTTGTTTTTGTTTTTTGTTTTTGAGACAGAGTCTTGCTCTGTCGCCCAGGCTGGAGTACAGTGGTGCAATCTTGGCTCACTGAAACCTCCGCTTCCTGGGTTCAAGCGATTCTCCTGCCTCAGCCTCCCAAGTAGCTGGGACTAGAGGCACACGCCACCACACCTGGCTACTTTTTGTGTTTTTAGTAGAGATGGGGTTTCACCATGTTGGTCAGGCTGGTCTTGAACTCCTGACCTCGTGATCCGCCCACCTCAGCCTCCCGAAGTGCTGGGATTACAGGCATGAGCCACCATGCCCGACCTGCAAGTTTTTAATGAGAAAAGAGAACTGGGTAACTGATGTATTATTTCTGGAGTATTTTCTTTGCTATATATGTTTTATATAGGTCTGGATGTTTTATGAGTATATAAGTGTTTTGTAAATGTTTCTTCATTTAAACAGTTTCATGTACATTTCTTCATTTAAATATTACTCGTTAATTTTTTTTTTTTTTTTTTTTTTTTTTTGAGACGGAGTTTTGCTCTGTCACCCAGGCTGGAGTGCAGTGGCATGATCTCGGCTCACTGCAACCTCCGCCTCCTGGGTTCAAGCAATTCTCCTGCCTCAGCCTCCCGAGTAGCTGGGATTACAGGCATGTGCCACCACACCTGGCTAATTTTGTATTTTTAGTAGAGATGGGATTTCCCCATGTTGGTCAGGCTGGTCTCGAACTCCCAACCTCAGGTGATCCACCCACCTCGGCCTTCCAAAGTTCTGGGATTGTAGGCATGAGCCACTGCGCCTGGCCACTTGTTAATGTTTATGAAGTAACTCGTGCATATAGTTTAAAGTTGTATTTCTCAACTATTTCTGTGCATCAGAAACTTTCAGAGCCCTTTTCGAACCACTTGTAGCTGGGTCCCATCCACCTCCTGTGATTCTGATCACTTCACCTGGGGTGGGTCTCAGCTACAGTATTTATGAAGACTAGCTGTATTGTGCTGTCCTGGTGAGAGAACTACTCACTCAGAAATCCCTCCAGATTTGCTACTAAAAACAGCAGTCTCCCACTTTTTGTTGCAACCCCTATTTGCCTCTTCCCAGAGGCCGCTCTTCAAATAGTTTTTGGCTATTTTGTTTTTTAACCACCATTTTTCTTTTTTCTTTTTTCCTTCCTTCTCTCCCCTAACCACTATTTTTCTAAATAATATACTGGCATTGATAATTCTTGATTCTTCAGTTTTAGCGTTATGTATTAATTTCCCACTATGAAAGAGAAATTTATCTCCCTTTCCTCTTTCTGTCCCCAACTCACATTTCTACCCTTTCCATCATTTTATCCACACCATAGATAATTTTGATAGATAATTTGTTTTGTTTTGTTTTGTTTTAGAGGGAGGCTCGCTGTGTCACCCAGGCTAGAGTGCAATGGTGCGATCTTGGCTCACTGCAACTTCCGCCTCCTGGGTTCAAGCGATTCTCCTGCCTCAGCCTCTCTAGTAGCTGGGATTATAAGCACGTGCCACCACACCTGGCTGATTTTTGTGTTTTTAGTAGAGACGGGGTTTCACCATGTTGCCCAGACTGGTCTTGAACTCCTGACTTGAGGTGATCCGCCTACCTCGGCCTCCCAGAGTGCTAGAATTACAGGCGTGAACCACCGCTCCCAGCCTAGCTTCCAGTATTTCTTTTTTTTTCTTTTTTGAGACAGAGTTTCACTCTTGTTGCCCAGGCTGGAGTGCAATGGCGTGATCTTGGCTCACTGTAACCTCTGCTCCCCAAGTTCAGGCCATTCTCCTGCCTTAGCCTCCTGAGTAGCTCGGATTACAGGTGCACGCCACCACACCTGGCTAATTTTGTATTTTTAGTAGAAACAGGGTTTCTCCATGTTGGTCAGGCTGGTCTCGAACTCCTGAGCTCAGATGATTCACCCACCTTGGCCTCCCAACGTGCTGGGATTACAGGCGTGAGCCATCGTGCCTGGCCTTTTTTGTGTGTGTGTGAGATGCAGTCTGTCAGCCAGACTGGAGTGCAGTGATGTAATCTCAGCTCACTGCAGCCTCTGCTCCCCAAGTTCAGGCCATTCTCCTGCCTTAGCCTGCTGAGTAGCTTGGATTACAGGCACGCGCCACCATACCTGGCTAATTTTGTATTTTTAGTAGAAACGGGGTTTCTCCATGTTGGTCTGGCTGGTCTCAAACTCCTGACCTCAGATGATTTACCCACCTTGGCCTTCCAAAGTGCTGGAATTACAGGCATGAGCCATCGTGCCTGGACTTTTTTATTTTTATTTTTTTGAGATGCAGTCTCACTCTTGTCACCCAGGCTGGAGTGCAGTGATGTGATATCGGCTCACTGCAACCTCCGCCTCCCAGGTTCAAGTGATTCTCCTCTCTCAACGTCCTGAGTAGCTGGGATTACAGGCGCACACCACCACGCCTGGCTAATTTTTTGTATTTTTAGTAGAGGTGGGGTTTCACCATGTTGGCCAGGTTGGTCTTGAATGCCTGTCTGGGCCTCCCAAAGTGCTAGGGTTACAGACGTGAGCCACCATGCTCAGCCTGAGCCACGGCGCCGAGCCCAATATTTCTTAAGAAGCATGAAGCATTCTAATTCTGTTTTCTTTTTTATGCAACACATTTTCAGTGTCTGGAAACGTATAGAATCTTCTCTTTCTTCTTAGTGATTTTTCAGTTTCTCAATATCGTTTCCTGGTTTGACTTTACTTTTTTATTTTTTAAGATGGAGTTTCACTCTTGCCAACCAGGCTGGAGTGCAGTGGCACGATCTTGGCTCTCTGCAACATCCACCACCCAGGTTCAGGAGATTCTCCTGCCTCAGCCTCCCGAGTAGCTGGGATTACAGGCATGCGCTACCACACCCAGCTAATTTTGTATTTTTTTAGTAGAGATGGGGTTTCACCATCTTGGCCAGGCTGTTCTCGAACTCCTGACCTCGTGATCCACCCGCCTCAGCCTCCCAAAGTTCTGGGATTACAGGCGTGAGCCACTGTGCCTGGCTGGTCTGGATTTACTTTTAACTATGGTGCTTAACATGTACTTGGTGAATTATTTCAGTCTGGAAACTGCTCATTTTCTAGAGTTAGTCCATTTATTTTTCTCTCTGCATTTTCTTTTTTCCTGTTCTGTCTTTTAAGAACTTTTTTCGTTATTGCACATTCTGGTCTGGTTGTCTTTTATTTGTTTGTCTGTCCTTTGCTCTTTAATACATTTTTTCTTTAGGAAATCCCCTCATCTTTATCTTCTAAGCCTTTTATTGAGATTTTTCATTTGTCTATTTTCCTTTCATATATATAGAAATAGATGCATGTGTGTTTATGTAACACATACATACATATGCACATATATATATAATTATTTTGGGTTTTTTTAAATCATGGTTGAAATATATCACTTTCCTTTGAGAATATCAGTGATCATTTAAAATTTCTCCCTGCCTCGTATCTGCTTCCTCTTTCTTCATTTGTTTCTGCTTGTTTTTGCCTCTGTCTTTCTCATTAGAGACTTCCCTGAGAGTATCATAATCCCTGCTTGTTTGCTCATACTTAAGATTGGAGCCTAGCAAACTGATCAGAAGCTCTGAGGGGTGATTCCAACTGAGCTCTGGGACTGGTTCCAACTGAGCTGGACCTTATAGTTGGGTAATCCCTAATGCCAGTATCTTTAGGTCTTCCTTCATGGCCTGGTCATGTATATCAGAGAAGATGCAACTATTCCACCTGGAATATAAAGGTCTAGTGACCAGCATGATGCCATGTTTTCCCTGAAGCGTGTGTGTATGTGTGTGCATGTGTGTAGGTGTTGTGTGTGTGTGTGTGTGTGTTTATAGATACATATATCCTTACCCAGTGCCTCACACTTAAAAGAGTGTTTGTTTGTTTGTTTGTTTGTTTTTTGAGAAGAAGTCTCGCTCTGTTACCCAGGCTCTAGTGCAGTGGCATGATCTTGGCTCACTACAACCTCTGCCTCCCGGGTTCAAGCGATTCTCCTGCCTTAGCCTCCCAAGTAGCTGGGACTACAGGTGTGTGCCACCACACCCGGCTAATTTTTGTATTTTTTAGTAGAGACAGGGTTTCCCCATGTTGGCCAGGCTGGTCTCAAATTCCCGACCTCAAGTGATCCACTCAGCTCGGCCTCCCAAAGTGTTGGGATTACAGGTGTGAGCCACCATGCCCGGCCAAAAGAGTCTTAATCAGTGCATGTTGAATGATGAAATGAGGGAGCTATTGTCCTTATTTTGTACTTGAGGAAACTTTGCCTCTGAGGTTCAGGATCTTGTCTAATATTTCCAACACCAGTCTTTCTCATTGCAGTGCCCATGCTCTTTCCCACGTAGAGAAAGAGTAGCTTTTCAGGCTTGTCTGAGCCTCATATTAGAGGAATACTGTGATTGAAATACCAATATTTGTGTAACAAGTATGGCCCATATTTTGGCTCTTAGATTGCCAGTAGGGGCAAACTAAGCAAGTTGATTGGCCTTGTCTGTGGTAATGTAGTATTTAGTAGGAGTTTAAAATAATAATAATAAAAAAAAGCCATCCAGGTGCAGTGGCTTACACTTGTAATCCCAGCACTTTGGGAGGCCGAGGCAGGCGGATCACAAGGTCAGGAGTTTGAAACCAGCCTGACCAACATGGTGAAACCCCATCTCTACTAAAAATACAAAAATTAGCTAGGCATGGTGGCACATGCCTGTAATCCCAGCTATTCAGGAGGCCGAGGCAGGAGAATCTCTTGAACCTGGGAGGCAGTGAGCCGAGATCGCACCACTGCACTCCAGCCTGGGCGACAGAGCGAGACTCCATCTCAAAAAAAAGGCCCTCAGTCATTTTGGGCAATACTTCTTTTTCTTTTTTCCCCTGGAAGAAGAAAATCCTTTTGCACATTTAAGTATTTATGACAGAGCTAGCTGGATCCCTGCCTGTGAAAATGACTTACAGATTTGTCAAAACAGGAGTATTTATCTAAACAGCCTCATCCTAAAGTATTTGACTGATGTCTACAGCAATCAGTTTCTTAAGGCATTCACAACAGGATTCAGTTATGTAAGAGCTCTTCTGCCAGTCAGCCTCACCTTCATTCCATTTCTCTCTTGCTGCTTTGAAAGACCTTTTTGTTTTTGCTGTCCTGCAGTTATATGGTGATATATCTAGGTTTGGCTTAAATCTATTGGGATTTGTTGGACTTCCTGAGGTGGTAGGTTGGAGTTTTTTGTTACTGCTGGGAAATTCTCATTTTCTCTTCACATATCGATGGTATCTAAGCTTCTCTCTCCTCACCTTATGGAGCTCCAATTAAATATGTGTATTAGACATTCACACTGTGTCCTCCACATTTCTTAACCTCTCTTCTGTCTGTATTTTCCATCATTTTGTTTCTTTGGTTGAGATTTGTATAGTTTCTTCTGATCTAGCTCTTAGTTCAAAAATTTTCTCTTCAGCTGTGTGTAACTTGCTCTCAAACCCATCTATTGAGTTTTTTGTTGGTTATGGTATTTTTCATGTTGATAAATTATATGTCATTCTTTTTTAAGTATTCCATTGCCCTTTTCTATTTTATTTTATTTTTGAGACGGAGTCTCGATCTGTTGCCCAGGCTGGAGTGCAGTGGCGTGATCTCGGCTCACTGCAATCTCCGCCTCCCGGGTTCAAACGATTCTCCTGCTTCAGCCTCCCAAGTAGCTGGGACTGCAGGTGCCCGCCACCACACCCAGCTAATTTTTTGTATTTTTAGTAGAGATGGGGTTTCACCATGTTAGCCAGGATGGTCTCTATCTCCTGACGTCGTGATCTGCCTGCCTTGGCCTCCCAAAGTACTGGGATTACAGGCATGAGCCACCGCGCCCGGACACTCCATTGCCCTTTTTATAGTTTCTTATTTTCAAGTTTATTTCTTATTTCTTCAAACTTAATAAGCATACTTATTATTTGTTGTCTGTGTGATATTTTCTATAATCATATATGAAATTGGAATTTCTTTTTTTTTTTTTTTTATTGAGACAGAGTTTCACTCTTGTTGCCCAGGCTGGAGTGCAATGGTGCGATCTCACCTCACTGCAACCTCCGCCTCCCCGGTTCAAGCAATTCTCCTCAGCCTCCCAAGTAGCTAGGATTACAGGCATGTGCCACCACGCCTGGCTAATTTTGTATTTTTAGTAGAGACGGGGTTTCTCCATGTTGGTCAGGGTGGCCTCAAACTCCCAACCTCAGGTGATCTGCCCGCCTCTGCCTCCCAAAGTTCTGGGATTACAGGTGTGAGCCACCGTGCCCAGCTGAAATTGGATTTTCTATATGAAATCTGATTTTGCTGTTTGAGACATCCTTTGCTGTTTTTGTGCCCCTGTATGCTTGATTATTTTTGACTATGTTTCTTCTTCTTCTTCTTAAAAATTACTTGTATGAAGTTCATAGAGCCCTAGGATGAGGATACCTTTATTCAGAGAGGGTCTGCATTTGCTTATGCCAGACACCCAGAGGCACTACCAGTTTGGGATCACCTAGTTGATAGAAATCTGGGCTGCAAATATGCAGGAGGGCTGACTTACACTGACAACCCTCAGGAACTAATTTTTGTTTTCTTTTGTTTTCTGCTCAGCATCAAGAAAAAATGTTTTGCAGTCCCATGTGGAGTGATCATGGAAGGGAGAGGAAGTGTCAAGTTTGGTTTTGGTTAATCCTTATACTGACAGTATAGCCCTTTAGGATTCCAGGTTAAAGGGTGTACCCTTTTAGGATTCCAATTTAAAGGCTGTAGCCCTGAGGATTCCAGTTTAATGCAGGGCGAGTTTTCTATTAGATTCCCATCTTGGACAGATGCTGAGCTGTGACATTTGTCCCCTTTTCCAGATGAGATCTTCAAAACCCAAATTCAAGTTGCTAGATTGATTCAGGGCAAGAGTTCTGGAATCTGCATATCCTTTCAGTCTCCTCTACAGATTTTTCTGTATCTCTCTGCCCTTTTATCAGTGAAGTGCCCTTGAGTTCAGTCCTTGTTCTTTTCCACCTACAGCTGACTTCCTGATGTTCTTAGCTGATTTTATGGCTTTGCTGTTTCTGTGTTGACAACCTCCAAGCCAGACCTCTCTCTCAAACTCAACTTGAATATTATCTACCTACTCCATATCTTTAGTTATAATTTAGTTGGTAGAGTTTGCAAACTGAACATGCCCAAGGCGGAATTCCTAGGCTCTTCCATATACAGCTTTCCCCATTTTAGTTCATGGCTACTATGCTATTATAGTTGCCCCGGCCATAATCCTTGATTTCGTACTTGACTACTCCTCCCCTCACATCCAACATCCATTTTAGGAAATCCTGTTGACTCGAACTAATATGTATATCCAAGATCCTATTACCTCCTCTGCCTCATCCTGGCTCATACCACCATCATCATTCACCTGAATTACTGCAGTAGCCTTCTAATGAGTCTTCCTCCTTCCTCGCTCTCCTGTAAGTGTGCCTATAAGACAGATATGCCACCTTTCTACTCAAAATCACCAATGGCCTGTCATCTCACTCAGAAGAAAGGCTTTATTTTTTCTGCTTACATATACCCCTCCCTCCCCAGTCTTCCAAAAACATCTCTGATCTTCTCTCTTCCCTGGCCCCTGATTGCTCAGTTCTCTTCAGCCACACTGACCCCCTTGCTGTTCCTGAAACATATCAGGCAGTCATCTGCCCTAGATCTTTACATTCTTTTCCCTCTGCCTTGAATGCTCTTCCAAAGATACCTACATTATTCTTTAGGTGTTTGAGCAAATAAAGCCTTTTAAAAGGTCTTCCCTAATTGTCCTACTTAAAATTATATGCCTCCCCAGTACTCCTCATCCACCTTTCTTTTTCTTAATAATCATAACAGTTAACTTTTCTGTAGTGACTAGCAATATGCACTGTTCTAAGCATTTTATGTGTATACGTTTAATTCCTGCACAACACAGTGTGTTGCTTTTATTGTTCCCATTTTACTGATAAGAAAACCAAGGCACAGATAAAGGTTAAGTAATTTGCCCAAGATCACACAGATAGTAGGTAGCCAAGTTGGAATGTAAAACAATGGACTGTAAAACCTGTGCTATTAACTATGTGCTGTGCTTCCATATGTAGCACTTGTCACCTTCTGTGATATTATATAACTTATTTATTTAGTTGGTTAGTTTACTGTGGGTCACAATCTACCATTTCTCCATCCCCCATCCAACTCAGCTCTAGGCCGGGCACGGTGGCTCACGCCTGTAATCCCAGCACTTTGGGAGGCTGAGGCGGGTGGATTGCCTGAGGTCAGGAGTTCGAGACCAGCCTTGCCAACATGGTGAAACCCTGTCTCTACTAAAAATACAAAAATTAGCCGGGTGTGGTGGCACATGCCTGTAATCCCAGCTAGTAGGGAGGCTGAGGCAGGGAGAGTTGCTTGAACCCGGGAGGTGGTGGTTGCAGTGAGCTGAGATCGCCACTGCACTCCAGCCTGGGCAACAGAGTGAGACATCATCTCAAAAAATAAAAATAAAAATAAAAAAATACTTACATAAATGTCAGCTCCAGAAGATAGAGTTTTTTCTGTTTTGTTTACTGTTGTATCTCTAGCACCTGTAGCAGTGTCTAGTCCTTAGGTCCATGAGTTATTTGTTGAAGAAGAGAAGAAGAGATCTTTAAAAAGAACATTATATACTGTTTTAAGTGAATGCTTTTTTTTTTTTTTTTAAGAGACAGGTTTTCATTCTGTCACCCAGGCTGGAGTGCATGGAGTGCAGTGGTACAGTCATAGCTCACTGCAGCCTCATACTCCTGGGCTCAAGAGATCCTCCTATGTCAGCCTCCCGAGTACTAGGACTACAGAAACATGCCACCACACCTGGCTAATTTTTAAATTTTGTGTAGAGATAGGGTCTTGCTATGTTCTCCAGGCTGATCTTGAGCTCCCTGCTGTAAGCGATTCTCCCACCTTGGTCTTCCAAAGTGCTGGGATTATGAGCCACCACACCCAGCTAGTGAATATATTTTAAACCCCAGTTAAAGAAATAATTTCCTAGGCAAAAGATTGAATGGCTATATGAAAGAAATCAGAACAGCCCCATCACTGGCTAGAAATGTAGGAAAGTTATCAAAATTATTTCCTTTTCCCCCCAAGAAAGGCTTCTAGCCCTTCTGGGTTTACCAATAATTTTTTTTTTTTTTTTTTTTTTTGAGACAGAGTCGCACTCTGTTGCCCAGGCTGGGATGCAGTGACATGTTCTCAGCTCACTGCAACCTCTGCCTCCCGGGTTCAAGTGAGTCTCCTGCCTCAGCCTCCCAAATAACTGGGATTACAGGTGCATGTTACCATACCCGGCTAATTTTTTTATTTTTTTATTTTTAGTAGAGATGGGGTTTCACCATGTTGGCCAGGCTGGTGTCGAACTCCTGACCTCAGATGAACCACCCCCCTCGGCCTCCCAAAATGCTGCGATTACAGACGTGAGCCACCGTGCCCGGCCCAATAATACTTTGAAACCTTTAGAGTCAGATATACAATTTAGGGCAATGAAAAAGGTCAGAACTATCCAATTCATTCTGTAGCAGTTAGGCCACAAAATACTTGTATGGCTTTGATCATGTCTTTGATCTTTTCTGAGCTGCTTTTTCCTTCTCAAATAAGTTGTGAATGCTGATCTCACAGGATTGTCGTGATTGCAGATTAAGATCTATGAAGCCTAGCGTAGTTTCTGGAAAATAGCACTCAGTAAATGATAGGAATTATTATGATAATGATACTGTTTCCAGACAAAATTAGCACACATGAAAGAAAACTTTACCCCAAAGTAGTTTATCAATATAGAATAGAAGAATTTAAATAAAATACTAGCCAATAGGCTATTAATAGAATCATCTATCAAAAGAGTTTATCTGAATCATGCATGAAGATTAGGTAAAGGAAAATCAGGCCAGGTGCAGTATCTCACGTCTGTAATCCCAGCACTTTGGGAGCATAAGGCACGAGGATTGCTAGAGGCCAAGAGTTCAAGACTAGCCTGAGCAATATAGCAAGACCCCATCTATAAAATAAAAAACTAGCTGAGTGTGGTGCCACGTCTGTGCAGTGCTAGCTACTTAGGAGGCTGGGGCAGGAGGATTGCTTGAGTTCAGAAGATAAAGACTGCGGTGAGCTATGATCACACCACTGTACTCCTGCCTGGGTTACAGAGCAAGACCTTGACTAAAAAAAAAAAAAATTTAATACTATAAACTATGTCGATAGGATAAATAAGACAATCACATGCTTTCGTAACAGTCATTTAGTAAAATCTAATAACACTCATCACGTGTTCTTAACTAAAGCACTGAACCTATGATGAAGAGCTTCTTTATTAAATAGCCAACGTTGTACTTAGAGAAACACTAAAAGTATGTTCAATTAAAATAAGAAAAAGAGAATGCCTGTTACTATCATTATGATACACTATTACTTTTGTCCCAACTAGAAATTCATAACATTCCCCAAATAAAACAATAACAAGAGTTGTTCGGATTAGTAGAAGAGGACACAAAACAGTAAATATTGGAAAGAATGAGATGAAAACCACTAGTTGCAGACGGTATGATTTTATATTTGGAAAATCAAGAGAATCACAGAAAAGCTACTAATATGAATATAAATTCATCAAAGTGGTTAGATATAGGACAAACATACAAAATTCAATAGCAACTTTATATATGAGCTATGTCTGGTTCAAATTTATTCATTTGTATATATTTGCTATAATTTTTCTTAAACTTAATAGCTTTGAATCGTACACTTCATCTGTGTGGGCAGTTATGATATATTCTGCAAAAACTTGCAAATAAAGATTATAAGATTATCCTATGGGAGTTAAACTATAAAATTAATTAATGAATAGATCAGAACAGAGTAAAGCCACATGTAAAGCACCTTAAAGAAACTATTTCTCAGGCCTAAAATTTAATTATAATCTGATAGAAGGTATTCATGTATTTATGTCAGAGGTCTCCAAGATGATTCCCAGGTTCAGTGATTTCCTAGGAAGATTCACAGGACTCGGCATATAGTCGTACTCACTGCTAAGATTTAGTACAGTAAAAGGATACAGAGCAAAACCAGCAAAAGAAAAAGATAAGTGGGGTGAGTTTGGAGAAAACCAAGTACAAACTTCCAGGGGCCCTCTTCCAGCGGAGTCACACAGGATACACTTAATTACCCAACCAACAAGTTGTGACAACATGGATTAAATATTATCTACCAGCAAAGCTCATTAGGAACTCAGCAACCAGGGTTTTTATTGGGAACTGGTCTTGTGGGCACTCTCTGCCTGGCTCTTAACAAAATGCTACACTCCCAGAAGGAAAGCAGGTGTTCAGTATAAACCATCTTGTTTGCACATTCTAGGGACAGCGAGCCACTCTTTATCAGTTCTGCTAATGGTAGGAATTTTCACCAAAACTAAGTTCCCAGAAGCCAGCCAGGGGCCAACCCAATAAGCAAAACTTTCGAAGGATGGCAGTCTGGCTTGCTATGCTAACTCTTCTCTGCACAGTATTATTGGGGGAAAAAAAAAAAAGTCAGGAGAGAAGTTCGTTAGCAAGGAGTGCAAAGAAAAAGGAGACCTTTAGAAATAAATAATAGCAATGTCCATTTTAGCACTATCTAAGAGGAAAAGCGACATGGCTAAGATCCCTAAAGCCATCTTTAGGGATCTGTAGTGCAGAAAATGCCTCAATCTGCCTTATCAAAAGAATCATTCAATTTACTCCCTGTGTTTGGATTACAAAATATTTCTAATATATCTGAATTACTTGCTTAATTTTTTTTTTTTTTTTTTGAGACGGAGTCTTGCTCTGTCACCCAGGCTGGAGTGCAGTGGTCCGATCTCAGCTCACTGCAACCTCTGCCTCCCAGGTTCATGCCATTCTCCTGCCTCAGCCTCCCGAGTAGCTGGGACTACAGGCACCTGCCACCATGCCCGGCTAATTTTTTTGTGTTTTTAGTAGAGATGGGGTTTCACCGTGTTAGCCAGGATGGTCTCGATCACCCGACCTCGTGATCCGCCCGCCTGGGCCTCCCAGAGTGCTGGGATTACAGGCGTGAGCCACCGCGCCCAGCCTATTTGCTTAATATTTTTAGTACTGGTATTACATTCACAAAGTCACAGAATCAAAAATTTCAAGAAGTCATATTGTGAAATCTCTTCCTCCCGCCTAGTCCCAATGCACTAAATTCCTATCTCTCCCTATAGATAATCACTGTTACCTGTTTCTTATCCTTTTAGAAAAAAAGTTGTAAATGGATATACAAACTAAAACAAATAGTCTTTTTTTTATTTTTATTTTTTGAGATGGAGTCTTCATCTGTTGCCCAGGCTAGGGTACAGTGACATGATCTTGGCTCACTGCAACCTCCGCCTCCTGGGTTCTAGCAATTCTCCTGCCTCAGCCTACCTAGTAGCTGGGATTACAAGCACACGCCACCATGCCCGGCTAATTTTTGTATTTTTAGTAGAGATGGGCTTTCACCATGTTGGTCAGGTCGGTCTCAAATTCCTGACTCAAATGATCTGCCTGCCCTTGGCCTCTCAAAGTGCTGGGATTACAGGCATGAGACACACCATGCCCAGCCAAGAAATAGTCTTTAGTTTTCTTAGTTATATAAATAGTAGTAACATCTTGTACCACATTGCACCATATCTTTTTTCATTTAATAAGAAGTATTGAGGCTGGGCATGGTGGCTCACACTTGTAATCCCAGCACTTTGGGAGGCTGAGGCAGGCAGATCACTTGAGGTCAGGAGTTCAAGACCAGCCTGGTCAACATGGCGAAACCCCGTCTCTACTAAAAACACAAAAATTAGCCAGGCACAGTGGCATTCCCCTGTAATCCCAGCTACTCAGGAGGCTGAGGCACAAGAATCACTTGAACCTGGGCAGCGGAGGTTACAGTGAGCTGAGAGGTGGAGGTTGCACTCCAGCCTGGGCGACAGAGCGAAACTGTTTCAAAAAAAAAAGAAAAAAAGTATTGGTGACCCTTCATACCTGTTCATAAAGAACTTCTTTGTTCTTTTTTATAGCTGTTTATTATTCCATTGTATTATTGTAGCATAATTTATTGTACCAATCCTGTATTTCTGGTCATTTGGTTGTGTTATTTCCATTCCTTCACTATCACTAACAAGGCTTCAAGGAATAATTTAATACTTACGTTATTTTATTAGTTGCATAGTGTATCTATAGGGAAAATTTCTAGTTTGGGAATTTCTGTGTTAATATGCATTTGAGTGTAATAGATGCTGCCAAGTTAAATTGTCTTCTAAAGTGTTTATATCAATTTATACTCCTATTACCTACATATGAGTATTTCCCCACATTCTTGCCAACAGTGTATATTCTCAAACTTTTAGAAATTTTGCTTAACTGATAGGGTAAAAATGGAATTTTGAGATGGAGTCTCGCTCTGTCATCCAGGCTGGAGTGCAGTGGTGCGATCTTGGCTCCCTGCAGCCTCCGCTTCCCGGGTTCAAGTGACTCTCCTGCCTCAGCTTCCTGAGTAGCTGGAATTACAGGCATGCGCTACCACGCCCAGCTAATTTTTGTATTTTTAGTGGAAACGGGGTTTCATTATGTTGGCCAGGCTGGTCTCCACTCCTGACCTCAGGTGATCTGCCCACCTCTGCCTCCCAAAGTGCTGGGATTACAGGTGTGAGCCAACGCGCCTGGCTAAGAGGCTCTTTCAATATTATGAGATTAATCCTTTGTAATGTGAGTTCCAGATATTTTCTTCAGTTCATTATTTGACTTTTGATTTTGTTTATGCTATATTTTACCATTCATAAGCTTTTGATTTTTATGTAACTAGGTTTATCAATCATAGTTAATCATAACAGGAGAGTCTAGGTAAAAAAAATAATTATTTTTTTCACCACTTTTATTATTTAATTTTTTACATTTACATCTTTGATATATTTGGAATTTGTCCTAGTGTGTGGTATGAAGTATGGAACCAACTTTCTTTTAGATGGCTATTCAGTTTTTCCAGCCAATCTGAGGTGTCATTATTATGTGTACATAAGTCCTAAATGTTTTGGAGTCTAATTCTGGACTTTTCATTCTGTTCCATTGGTTTCCTGCCTACTCTTGTACCAGCACCACTTTAATTACTGACGTTTTTCTTCTGTTATGTTTTGTTTTGTTTTGTTTTTTGTTTTGAGACAGGGTCTCGCTCTGTTGCGCAGGGTGGAGTGCAGTGGCACAATCAGAGCTCATTGTAGCCTTGACCTCCCTGGTGCAAGTGATCCTACCACCTCAGCCTCCCAAGCAGCTGGGACTGCAAGCATGTACCACCACATTTGGCTAATTTTTCTATTCTTTGTAGAGTCGGGGTCTCACTATTTTGCCCAGGCTGGTCTCAAACTCCTGGGCTCAGGTGATTCTCCCACCTCCCAAAGAGCTGGGATTACAGTCGTGAGCCACTGTGCCGGGCCTCACTGAGGTGTAAAGTATGTTTCAATATCTGATGAGTCTAGTTCCCCCTCTGCTCTTTTTCAGAGTTCTCTTGGGGAATCCAGTTTTTCCATATGAACTTTAGAATTACTTTTTTCAATTGTAGGAAAAAAAGTCTGTGGTTATTTTTATTGAGGTTGGTTTAAATTTTAATAAGTTAGTGTAATGACATTTTAGAATTGTTTTATCTCTAAGAACATAGTATGTTTTGGCTGGGCGTGCTGGCTCATGCCTGTAATCCCAGCATTTTGGGAGGCCGAGGTGGGTGGATCGCTTGAGCTCATGAATTTAAGACCAGCCTGGGCAACATGGCAAAATCCCATCTCTACTAAAAATATAAAAATTAGCCAGGTGTGGTGGCATGCACCTGTAGTCCTAGCTACTGGGGAGGCTGAGGCAGGAGAATCGCTTGAACCAGGGAGACGGAGGTTTCAGTGAACCGAGATCGTGCCATTGCACTCCAGCCTGGGCAACAAGAGCACGACTCAAAAAAAAAAAGAACATGGTATGTCTTTACATTTGTTCAAGTCTTCATTCAAGAGTATTTTAAAAAATGTTTTTGTTGTTTGATTTTTTATTTCTTTTTAAGTTTACTCCTAGGAGTTTTATTTTTCTTGTTGCTTTACCACACAGCTTATGATTTTACTTCCCTTGTAGATATACCTTCAGGGAAAGGATATGATTAATTATGTAGAGTACTTTAGTTTGAGTGTCAGCTTGTTACTGTAAATCACAGATTCACATTCTGGTCTTTTATGTCATTCCATGAGAGCAGTTATTATGACCCACAATAAGAGATGACTCCAGGAATCAGGTTTTGGAGCTGAAAGCCAGATCCTGGATCTTGGAAAGTTCACCTTTATATATATAAGTGTGTGTTGCTCGATGGATTGGCCTCTTGGTATACAGCCAGATGACTTCTCCGTGCAAAACTACAATCATGTTTATGCCTTGTGTTTAAAAAATCAGTAGTTCACTCAGTAAACTATTTCAATTGAGAGCCTTTAAGAAAGCCTATTATGCATGGTACTTATATATGAATGGCAGTCTCCTTAGCTGTTGCTGATGTTTCTGCATCTATTTATGAGTTTAAGGGCCCAATCTATACACTAAAAATATGCTTTGGAAAATTACTAAGTAACTATCTTTGGTCAAATCTTTAATGCAAGTTTTAAATTCTTATATATTACAGAATTTCACAAACTTGTTTGGACAGCCACTAGTCTGCTTGCTTTCTCCTACAGCATATCCAAAAGCTTTACAAGGTATGTACCCTCATTGCCTGGTATAGCCATAGGTTGCAAATAAACACTATCTATATTATGAATAGTACTGATCTTTGTTTTTTCCTCCCATAATGATCGCGTGTGGATTTATGGTGTTTAATATGGCAGGTGTCGCTCTGAAATATACCCAGAAGCCTTGCCAACAACCAGGATCCCTTAATGTGCTACCGTTAGGCCTTGAAATAATTCATCCCTGAGAAAGAAGTGGTTTTGTTCCTTGCTGATGGGGAACTCATGATTTGTAAATTTTAAAATTTGTTTTATAGGTGTTTGTTTTGATTTGCTGGTCATATCCATATAGCATGGTTTTCCTATACCTTTGCAGGCATGTTTTAAAAGATCCAAGGCATCTTTTAAGACTTTAAGATTGCTGGTCTAGGAAACTTCTCAGTCTATGCCACAGAGTTAGGATAACCTAACTGGCACAACTTAAAGTGTTTCTTTTATTCACATTTTTACCTTGTTGTGATTTAAAAATAAAAGAACCTCTTCTAAGTCTGCCAGAGAGACAGGTTAGTGTTTTGGCCATTTCTTCAATGGCTGAGAATCAAAAGACTTTTTGTCCTTAATAATTTGTCTTTAATTAGTGACACATAAAATCTAATTCTAACTCCCAGTCATTTAGTAGGTAAAATACTAAACAACCTTAACACTGTTTTAGCAGTACTTGTCACTGTTTCACTATCTCCCTAACTGTGAATAGTGCTGATGTCTCTCTGTGGGAGATGGCATTTTACTGCTACTTCCCAGCCAGAAGTCCTGTCTGCTGACATAGTTTGACACAGGAAGTGATGGTCAGCATTTGAATGCCTGAGAGAAGCTGGAGGCTTTCACCGTTGTTTTAAGGTAAGTTCTGCTGTTTAACAGGGAAAAACATGTAGAAATATTAACTTCATGTATCCAAAAGTAAAATTACTAAGGGATAGAACTTACCTTCAAACAACGGTAAAATTCTCCTGCTTTGAAGATTTTGTTATCCTGTTTCTTATCATTTCTGGAGGAATGTAATCTCTTTCAGTTACTGAGCAGTACTTTTTGCTATCAATCTGTCCTATCATTATGTAGTTTTATTTAAATTTACATGGTCAAATAGGTTAATACCAAGATTATTCGGTCTGAAAGACTTCATTGTATAGAGGAGAAAAACAGACTTTGGAGGCAAACTGACTGAATTTGAATCCCGACTCAGCCACTTACTTGCTGTGTGACCTTGGGAAATTATTCAGCCATTCTGTGCCTCAGTTTCTTCATCTATCAAATGGAAATAATAATAGTATCTACCTCATAGAATAATGCTGGGTATGTAGTAACTACTCAATATGTGCTGTCATTATTATTATTATGCTTAGTTGTAATACATGTCCTTCACACATTTTATCCGGTTTCCTATCTTCATGCTACAAAGCTTAGACCTCTAACACCTTAAATTAATTGTTCAGTTACAAAAGCAGATTCAAAATTCTTCTGTGAGAAATGTTTTGGATTTATCCATAGGCATAATTGCTACTCACCTCTGCAAAAGGGGAGAGCCTTCCATGTGGGTGCAAAACTAGCTGATCAGTAAGCACTTCTGAGATCTAAAGCCTATAGTTTTCTCATTAGCCAAGAGTTACTTCATTTATTCAATTTTTTTTTTTTTTTTTTTGAGATGGGGTCTCACTCTGTCACTCAGGCTGGAGTACAGTTGTGTGATCATAGCTCACTTCAGCCTCTACCTCCTGGGCTCAGGTGATCCTCCCACTTCAGCCTCTCAAGTAGCTGGGACCACAGGTATACACTACCACACCCAGCTAATTTTTGTATTTTTTTTTTGTAGGGACTGGGTCTCACCATGTTGCCTAGGCTGGTCTCAAACTCCTGGGCTCAAGAGATCTGCCTGCCTTGGCCTCCCAAAGTGCTATTCAACATTTATTATCAGGTACTGTGCTGGGCACTGGAGATAGCACTATGACCTGACAAGCACAGTTACATTCTTCACAGAGCCAAATGTCTTGTGGCAGATAGACAGAGCCTGATGGGCGGTTATTATAAGTGATTCACAAGAGGATGCCTGCAAATGGACGAGGAACTCCTGACTAGCAGCACAATGAAGACGAGGGAAGGGGATGAGATAATGTCTAACGTGGACGTTAAGAACATGGAGAACTAGATGGGGGTGGGAAATGACCGAGCAAGAGTGTTCCAGCTGAGAATTTGCATGTGCTGTGGCCATGAGATAAGACAGCTTAGGGAGCATGTAGAGAAATTTATTTTATTGTATTTTTTTGAGATGGAGTCTTGCACTGTCGCCCAGGCTAGATGCAGTGGCGCAGTCTCAGCTCACTACAACCTCTGCCTCCCAAGTTCAAGCGATTCTCCTTGCCTCAGCGTCCCGAGAAGCTGGGATTACAGGCGCTCGCCACCACTCCCAGCTAATTTTTTTGTATTTTTATGAGAGACTAAAAATGTTGGCCAGGCTGGTCTCAAACTCCTGACCTCGTGATCTGCCCGCCTCCGCCTCCAAAAGTGCTGGGATTACAGGCGTGAGCCACCGTGCCTGGCCTAATTTTGTATTTTCACTAGAGACAGGGTTTTGCCATGTTGGCCAGGCTGGCCTTGAACACTTGACCTCAAGTGATCCACCCACCTTGGCCTCCCAAAGTGCTGGGATTACAGGCGTGAGCCACCACACCTGGCCAAGCACATAGAGAAATTAGTCATTCCTTCTAGCTAAAGGGTAGAGTTTGAGATTGTGTGATTGAATTGTGAAAGAATTTCTAAGATTTGTTAAGTAATTTAAGTGGAAGACAATGGGGTACAGGTTGAGCATTCTTAGTCCTAAAATCTGAAATGCTCCAAAATTCAAAAGTTTGAGTATCAACACGATACTGAAAGTGAAAAATTCCACATATCAGTACTTAGCACAAGGTTTGTTTCATGTACAAAATTATTTAAAATATTATGTAAAGTTACCTTTAGGTTATGTGTATACGGTACATATGAAACATTAATAAACTTCGTGTTTAGACTTGGGACCTGTCCCCAGGACATCTCATTATGTATATGCAAATATTGCAAATCCCAAAAAACCCAAAATCCAAACACTTGTGGCCCCAAGCATTTTGGATAAGGGATACTCAACTTGTACCATCAAAAGATTTAAACAGGAGAGTAGCATGAAAGAGCATTCAGTTAATGTCCTAGAGAATGAACTTGGGAGGGGCATGGATGAAAATAGGGAGATGGCTGGAGATAGCACAATGACTAGTAGCCAGCTGCAAAGATACTAAGCCCATAGAACCATAGAACCAACAGGACTTTGTGATGGACTAGGTGTGGGGAGGGAAGGCAGGAATAGACTTCCAGGTTTCTGGCTGAGATGCTGGTAGAAATGATAATACCTGATGAGAAGCATATTTGTAGAGAACAAAAGGGGAAATAATTTGCTTTGAGTTGTTGACATGTTGAGTTTGAGGTGCCTTTGAGAATTAGGTTGAATAGAGTAGCCTAGAGCAGCAGTACTTAAAAGAAGTAAGAGTGTGAGTCATTAAATTTTCTATTACCTATATCAAAAACAGTAAAAAGAAACAGGTGAAATTAGTGTTAACAATGACATTTTGTACTAAAGCTTTGAAATCATCTAGTCACATTTTACTCATCTAGTCACATTTTTAGTGTCCAGTATTTTACTCATCTAGTCACGTTTTTAGTGTCCAGTATCTACCGCAAGACAGAGCAGTGCCAGACCTAAGGAATTCAATTTAGGCTGCTGATAGAGAATTAGAAATTTGTAGGCATATAAATGGTAACTAAAATCATGGGAGTGAGAGCAGTCAGCAATGTATGGGGCCAAAGAAAGAAACTACTCATATTTAAGAGATAGGAAGGGAAAGAGCAGCTCATAGAGAGCAACTCAGAAGAGAATGAAAAAGACTGGCGTTTGTAGCACTCATCAGAGAATTCTATCAAGATAACCCATAATCCAACACTTGCCATATTTGGATGAAATTTGTTAATTGAGAGCAAAAAATAGTAAGAAATATCATTTTCCATTTCTCTTAAGTTTTCTAGGCTCTTTCTGAAGTTTGTTCAGCAGAAAGCAACATAGCAAAGTTTTTGTAGTTTCGTGAAGAATCTGCTTTGATGAATTATGATTTAATGAGATAGCTTTAATTTTATATATTATCAGTATATTAAAATGTTCCTCATATGTATCTCTTATCTTTTGCAAAACTATTGTCTATATATATAACATGTTTGTTATTACAGATCAATCTCAGCGAGGTAGCCTCTTCACTCTCTTTTTGAACAATCCTCTAATGGCCTTCCTATTTGTCTCTGGATTGTCAAGCATGCGCAGAGGCCTATGGGAAAAGTGTCAAGAATATCTTCGAAAAATCAACCGTGATATTGCCCAGCTACTGACTCATTCACGTTCAATAGGTACCCTCCTAATCTAACTGCACGTTTAACAGAATGTACTATAATGGCTTAAAATGGTTACTTATTTTAAATTGTTTGAATTTTTAAAGGTATGTGTCCCAGGCAGGAAAGTTGAGAACGCTTTCCTGAAGTTTCCTTCCCCTTTGAAACATAATTTCCATTTAAGCATCTTTTTACTGTCACTTTTCTCCTCTTTGCAGATCAGGCATTTCTCCAGTTTTTTGGAGATGAATTTCTTCGCTTGCTCCTCACAAGATTTATCTTTTGTTCAGCCACCATGAGGATGCACAAGATTTTTCGGGTAGGCAAAGAACATTATTAAAGACGAATTTTATCATTTTAGGTATTTAAGAACCATGTATTATATTTTACCTGTATAAAATAAGGTTATAATAAAATAATATTATTTTGGATAAATTCAAAATAATATTTACAAATGTACCGTCACACTGGTCTGCTAAGTAAAAAAATACATTTGAATACGTAAAGTATAAAGATTAACAATATTAAGGCACATTTGAGTACCTATCGTTTGTTTAAAAGTAGAACATTTTCTGGCTGGCCGTGGTGGCTCCCGCCTGTAATCTCAGCACTTTGGGAGGTCGAAGCTGGTGGAACACTTGAGGTCATGAGTTGGAGACCAGCCTGGCCAACATGCTGAAACTCCTTCTCTACTAAAAATAAAAAAATTAGCCAGGTATGGTGGCACGCGCCTGTAATCCCAGCTACTCTGGAGGCTGAGGCAGGAGAATTGCTTGAACCCAGGAGGCGGAGGTTGTGGTGAGCAGAGATTGCATCACTGCACTCCAGCCTGGACGACAAGAACGAAACTCCAACTCAAAAAATTAAAAAAAATAAAAGTAGAACATTTTCAATACATCCCTGATCCTATCTCCCTCTCAAATGAAACTTACATCCTGAATTTTATTTATTTATTTATTTATTTAGAGATGGAGTTTCACTCATGTTGCCCAGGCTGGAGTGCAATGACTCGATCTCAGCTCACTGCAACCTCTGCCTCCTGGGTTCAAGTGATTCTCCTGGCTCAGACTCCCAAGTAGTAGCTGGGATTATAGGCGCCCACCACCACACCTGGCTAATTTTTTGTATTTTTAGTAGATACAGGGTTTCACCATATTGGCCAGGCTGGTCTCGATCTCCTGACCTCAGGTGATCCACCCGCCTTGGCCTTCCAAAGCGCTGGGATTATTGGCATGAGCCACTGCACCCGGCCCTGAAATTTTTTTTTTAATCATTCATTTTTCTTTGTAGTTTTGCAGCATGTATTTCTATTCCTACACAACATATTTATGAATCCATATTGTATGTATTCTGCAGCTTCCTTTTTTCCAGTTATTCCTGAGATTGAGCCATGTTGATTGACTATAGCTTTCACTCATTCATTTTGTTTGACTGTGCAACACTAGGCAGTGTTTGACTATATATTGCAAATCACTTATTCTTCTGATAATGGACATTTGGGTTGCTTCCAAGTTTTTATTATTATATAAATGATACTGGCCAGGCGCAGTGGCTCACACCTGTAATCCCAGCACTTTGGGAGGCAGAGGCAGGCAGATCACAAGCTCAGGAGTTCAAGACCAGGCTGGCCAACATGATGAAATCCTGTCTCTACTAAAAATACAAAAATTAGCCAGACATGGTGGCATGCACCTGTAATCCCAGCTACTCGGGAGGCTGAGGAAGGAGAATTGCCTGAACCCAGGAGGCGGAGGTTGCAGTGAGCAGAGATCATGCCGCTGCACTCCAGCCTGTGCAACAGAGCAATACTCAGTCTTGGAAAAAAAAAAATGATGTTACTGTGAAATTCTTGTATCAGTTTCCTGGTACACATATGTAAGATTTTCTCTGAGGAATATACCTAATAGTAGAATTGCAAGATCAGAGGATATAAGCATATTTAATTTTACTAGGTAATGCCAGACTGTGTTCCAAAGCGGTTGTATCAGTTTACACTTATACCAGCAGGATATAAGAGTTGCTATTTCTGTAATCCTTCCTTTCCAACACTTGTTGCAATCATACTTTATAGCTTTTGTGAATCTGCTGAATGTAAAGTGGTAGGACATTGTGGTTTTAATTTTTATTTCGAGGATTACTGTTAAGGTTGAGCAACTTCTCATATGTGTTCTGTTTTTCTCTTTGTAAAGAATGTGTTCAAGTCTTTTGCTTGACTTGATAGTCCAGTTTTCTAGCTGTTGCTTTTTTGTGTATGGATGTACCTATACAACACTTCATTGAGGTTTTAAATATTTTAGCCATTATATTTTTCACTTCTGTAAGGAAAATTTTTTTTTCAAATATGCCTGAACAGTTAAAAAAATATTTTGCAGCTTTTGGTTTCAGAATATTATTTCTTTCTGTTTTATTATGATAATTTTGAAATGTAAAAGAACTGTGCAATGGGCCAGGCGCAGTGGCTCACACCTGTAATCTCAGCACTTTGGGAGGCCGAGACAGGAGCATCACTTCAGGCTAGGAATTTGAGACCAGCCTGGGTAACATAGTGAGACCTCATTTCTACAAAGAAATTTTTAAAATTAGCCAGGAGTAGTGATGTGTGCCTATAGTCCCAGCTCTTCAGGAGGCTAAGGTGGGAGAATTGCTTGAGCCCAGGGGTTTGAGGCTGCAGTGAGCTCTGATTGTACCACTGCATGGGCCAACTGTGCAGTTCCACTTAAGACACAGCCTTTTTTTTTTTTTTTCCAAAAAATAAATTGGAAAAATTTTGGAGATTTCCTACAGTTTGGAAAACAGATGAACTACATAGCCTAGGAATATTGAAAACATTGCTCACCTGGGCCCTGCGGCCAGCAGAATTGGCCCCGCTCTATGGCTGCTGGGGCCTGCGCACTGGAATCGCCGTGGCCTGCGCACCCCACCATGCCAGTTTGAACCTCCATGGCCTCAACCAGATTCGGAATGTCAAAAAGCAGAGTGTCTATTTGATGAATTTGAGGAAATCGGGAACTTTGGGCCACCCAGGCTCTGTAGATGAGACCACCTATGAAAGACTAGCGGAGGAATCACTGGACTCTTTAGCAGAGTTTTTTGAAGACCTTGCAGACAAGCCATACACGTTTGAGGACTATGATGTTTCCTTTGGGAGTGGTGTCTTAACTGGTAAACTGGGTAGAGATCTAGCAACCTACGTGATCAACAAGCAGACACCAAACAAGCAAATCTGGTTATCTTCTCCATCCAGTGGACTCAAGCGTTATGACTGGACTGAGAAAAACTGGGTGTACTCCCACGATTGCGTGTCCCTCCATGATGTGCTCGCTGCAGAGCTCACTAAAGCCTTAAAAACCAAACTGGACTTGTCTTCCTTGGCCTATTCTGGAGAAGACGCTTGATGCCCAGCCCGGTTTTAAGGATATTAAAAGCTGTCAGGCCAAGACCCCAGCTTCATTATGCAGCTGAGGTCTGTTTTTTTGTTTTTCGTTTTTTGTTTTTCATTCCTGCTTTTGAGGAACAGCTCTGTGGAAAGAACGTGTTGCCTCCTACCTTGCCCACAAGTTTTGATTTTTAATTTCTACAGAAGATTTTTTTGGATTAATTGTCTGATTTCCTCCCTCATATGATATCCTTTATCTTTTATAATGTCTTATCCCTATACCTGAATATAACAACCTTTAAAAAAGCAAAAGAATAAGAAGGAAAAATTCCAGCAGGAGAAATGAATTGTCTTCACTCTTCATTCTTTGAAGGACTTACTGCAAGAAGTACATGAAGAGCAACTGGTTAACCTGCTCACTGTTCTGTCTCAAAATGAGACACATTAACGGGTAGGCTACAATGTTCCTGGGCTTCTTTCAAAGTGGAAGCACTTCTGAGCTCTTTAGCATTGAAGTGTCAAAAGCAATTCACATGGGAAGACAATTTCTTATATGTGCTTTGTGACTGCCAGGGTGTGGCCTGCACTGGGTTGTCCTGGGAGACCTAGTGCTGTTTCTTCCACATATTCACGTGTGTGTGTGTGTGTGTATTTTTTTATTATTTTTTCATTTTAAGGGTTAGTATGGAATCAGCTGCTACAAGAATGCAAAAAACTTCCAATGACAAGAAAGGAGGAAAAAAAAGCCATTTTCATGAGCTGAGTGATGTAGCATAATAAACAAAATCATGGAGCTGAGGAGGTGCTTTGTAAACGTGAAGGGGCATAAAAAGGAAAGAGATACTTGTGTCAATAAAGAGAGCCTGGTCCTAGACGTAGTTCAGCCACAAAGTAGTTGTGCCTTTGTGGACAAGTTTCCCAAACTCCCTGAGCCTCTGCTTTCCCATCTGTTAAATGAGGGGATAGAATATGGTTGATTTCCAGCATTCAGTGGTCCTGTCAAGCAGCCTAACAGGCTAGCTCTAATTCCCATTGGGTAGATGAGGGGATGACAAAGAACAATTTGTGAGCTATATAGGAAACATTGTTATTGGTGTTGCCCTATCAGGATTTCAGTTGAATTCATGTTAAAATTACAGCCGTCCTTTATTGTACACTTATTGGGTTAAGCCTATTATACCATATTACCTCATTTTAATTTTTACTGACCTGCACTTTATACATGAAGCAACAAGGCTCCAGGACATTAAAACTCACACAAAGTTATGCTCATGTTATATTATTTTCTTACTTAAAGAAGGATTTATTAGTGACAAGTTTGTATTAATATGTAGCAAAGGCTTTTCCAATGGGTGAATAAAAACACATTCCATTATAGTAAAAAAAAAAAAAAAAAGTCAAGCTGGGAGAAGTGGCATATACCTATAGTCCCAGCTACTCAGGAGGCTGAGGCAGGAGGACTGCTTGAAGCCAGGAATTGGAGATCAGCCTGGGCAACATAGGAAGATCCTATCTCTTAGAAAAAAAAAACTCTTAATAATGAAACAGTATAAACAGAAGCTAAGTAAAATATTTTCTTTCTCCTGAAATAAAATTATTTTTTGAGTCTGATGGAAGTGTTTAAGTGCAGTAGGTCAGTGCCAGTGAGAAAAAAAATAAAATCATACAAAAAAAGAAATATTGAATAAATTAAGAAAAAGGTATATCATGAATACATAAAATATATGTAGACACTAGTCTATTTTATCATTTACTACTATAAGATATATACAAATCTATTATGAATGATTAAAATTTATGCACACACTTACAGACCATATATGGTACCATTCACAGTCCAGAGAAGTGTAAACAAAAGTAATGATGCAATATTAAATCATAACTGTCCTTGTGATAGTTTGCTGAGAATGATGGTTTCCAGCTTCATCCATGTCCCTACAAAGGACATGAACTCATCATTTTTTATGGAAGGACAAAAAACCAAACACCGCATGTTCTCACTCATAGGTGGGAATTGAACAATGAGAGCACATGGACACAGGAAGGGGAACATCACACACCGGGGCCTGTTGTGGGGTCGGGGGAGGGGGGAGGGATAGCATTAGGAGATATACCTAATGTAAATGACAAGTTAATGGGTGCAGCACACCAACATGGCACATGTATACATATGTAACAAACCTGCACGTGTGCACATGTACCCTAGAACTTAAAGTATAATTTTAAAAAATCATAACTGCATAAAATCACTGTAGTGCCTACTGTACTACTGTAATAATTTGGTAGCCACATCCTGTTGCTCTGGCAGTAAGCTCAAGTGTTGCAAGTACTGCTTAGAATGCCTGTCATTTCCGTGAGCAGTTTGTCTCTCCAGTAAATTGTGTATTGTAATAAAAAATGATCTCTAGTGGTTCTCACATATTTTTTATTGTGTTTAGTGCAGTACTGTAGTAAACCTTGCATAACACCATGGGATCCATATGAAGTGATGCTTCAAGTGCTCCCAAGAAGCAATGAAAAGTCATGACATTACAAGAAAAAGTTGAATTGCTTGATATGTACCATAGATCAAGGTTTGCCATTGTGGTTGCCTGCCATTTCAAGATAAATTAATCCAGTAAGGAGTGTTGTAAAAAAAGAAAAGAAAATTTGTGAAGCCATCACTGTAGCTACGTTAGCAGGCATGAAAACCTTACACTTTTTGTGAAATACCTTTTTATCTCATAATGAAAATGTAGCGTTTATGTAGGTGCAAGGTTGCTATAAGACATACTTACAGGCCGGGCACAGTAGCTCACGCCTGTAATCCCAGCACTTTGGGAGGCCACAGAGGGTGGATCACCTTAGGTCAAGATTTCAAGACCAGCCTGACCAATATGGTGAAACCCTCGTCTCTACTAAAAATATAAAAATTAGCTGGGCGTCGTGGCGTGAGCCTGTAGTCTCAGCTACTCGGGAGGCTGAGACAGGAGAACTGCTTGAAACCAGAAGGCGGAGGTTGCAGTGAGCTGAGATCACACCACTGGACTCCAGCCTGGGCGACAGAGCAAGACTCCATTCCCCCCCGACATACACACAAAAAAAAGACATATATTATGATTTGAGAAAAAGCAAACTCATTATATAACAAAGCAAAAGGAAAGTGAAGGATCTACAGCTAGAGAATTAAATTCTGGCAAGAAAGGGTTTGATAATTTTCGAAAGAGCTTTGGCTTTAAAAATGTTAAGATAACACGAGAAGCAGCTTCTGCCAACCAAGAGGCAGCAGACAAGTTCCCAGAAAGTACCTTTTCTGGAAAAAAAAAAAAAACCTGCCACAAAAGACATTTATTAGTAAGGAAGAGAAGTGAACACCAGGATTTAAACAGGAAGGGATAGACAACTCTGTTATTTTGTGCAAATGCACTTGGGTTTATGATCAGGAGAGTCTTTATCTATAAAGCTGCTAATGCACCTTGACAGAAAAGATAAACACCAGCTGCCAGTACAACAAGAAGGTCTGGACAACAGGAACTTTCTTCCAGATTAGTTTCGTTGATGCTGTGTCCTTGAAATCAGGAAGTACCTTGCCAGTAAGGGACTACCTTTTAAAGTTTTTTTGATATTTGGCAATGCCGTGGCTGTCCAGAACCCCATTAATTCTATACTGAAGGTATCAAAGTGGCCTACTTGCCCCAGAACACAATGTCAGCCTCTAGATGGGGGGTCCTAAGGACCTTTAAGGTTCATTACACAGAGTATGTATTATCAAAACTATGGAAGAGAACCCCCAATGGAGAGAACATCATGAAAGCCTGAAAGGATTCCACCATTGGAAATGCCATCATTATTACAGAAAAAGGCTTGAAAGCCATCAAGCCTGGAATCATTCCTGCTGGAGAAAACTGTGTCTAGATGTTGTGCATGACTTCAGAGGATTTGTGACAATCAAGGAAATCATGAAAGAGATTGTGGATGTGGCAAAAAGGGTGGGGAGTGAAGGGTTTCGAGATACAGATCTTGGAGAAATTCAAGAGCTAATAGACACCACACCAGAAGAATTAACAGAAGATGACGTGGGGTGGACATGAATGTTTCTGAACCAGTGCCAGGAAGCAGACATAGAAGAAGCAGTGGCAGAAAACAAATGGACATTAGACAACCCAGCAGAAGGGTTTAGATTATTCAGGATTGGGCTTTTGACTTCTATGAGATGGATGCTTCTATGATAATGGACACTGAAATGAAAGCAAATAGTGGAAGGATTGGTGCCATATAGAAACATTTTAGAGAAATGAAAAAGCAGAAATGTCAGACACAAATTATGACATATTTGCATAAAATTATACCCAGTTGCCTGTCTCTCCTGCCTCCCCTTCCATCTCCTTCACCTCTCCTCTCTCTGCCACCCCTGAGACAGCAAGACCAACCCCTCCTCCTCCTCCACAGCCTACTCAATGTGAAGGCAATGAGGATGAAGACCTTTATGATAATCCACTTCCATTTAATGAATAGTAAATATATTTCTCTTCCTTATGATTTTCTTTTTCCTTTTTTTTTTTTTTTTTTTTTTTTTGAGACAGATTCTCACTCTGTTGCCCAGGTTGGAAGGCTGGAGCACAGTGGCGCGATCTCAGCTCACTGCAACCTGCACCTCCGGGGTTCAAGAGATTATTCTGCCTCAGCATCCTGAGTAGCTGGGATTACAGGCATGTTCCACCATGCCCGCCTAATTTTTGTATTTTTAGTAGAGGTGGGATTTCGCCATGTTGGCCAACCTGGTCTCGAACTCCTGGCCTCAAGTGATCCTCCTGCCTCAGCCTCCTAAAGTGCTAGGATTACAGGTGTGAGCCACCGTGCTCAGCCCTGGCCAATTTTCTTAGTAACATTTTCTTTTCTCAGCCCGGCGCTGTGGCTCACGCCTGTAATCCCAGCACTTTGGGAGGCCAAGGTGGGCAGATCATGAGGTCAGGAGTTCAAGACCAGCCTGGCCAACATGGTGAAACCCCGTCTCTACTAAAAATACAAAAATTAGCCGAGCATGGTGTGAGCACCTGTAATCCCAGCTGCTCGGGAGGCTGAGACAGGAGAATCGCTTGAACCTGGGAGGCAGAGGTTGCAGTGAGCCAAGATTGCACCATTGTACTCCAGCCTGGGTAACAAAAGCAAAACTCCGTCTCGGGGGGGAAAAAATTCTTTTCTCTAGCTAACTGTATTGTAAGAATACAGTATATAGGCTGGGTGTGGTGGCTCACGCCTGTAATCCCAGCACTATGGGAGGCTGAGGAGGGTACATCACCTGAGGTCAGGAGTTCAAGACCAGCCTGGCCAACATGGTGAAACCCCATCTCTACTAAAAATACAAAAATTAGCCATCTGTGGTGGCATGCACCTGTAATCCCGGCTACTCAGGAGGCTGAGACACGAGAATCACTTGAACCTGGGAGGTGGAGGTTGCAGTGAGCCAAGATCGCGCGACTGCACTCCAGCCTGGGTGACAGAGCAAGACTGTCTCAAAAAAAAAAAAGAAAAAGAAAGAAAAAGAAAAAACAATATATAATACATATAATATACAAAGTATTTGTTAATTGACTGTTTATGTTATCTGTAAGGTTTCTAGTTACTGGTAGGCTATAAGTTGAATTGCTTGATATGTACCATAGATCAAGGTTTGCCATTGTGGTTGCATGCCATTTTAAGATAATTAATCCAGTAAGGAGTGTTGTAAAAAAAGAAAAGAAAATCTGTGAAGCCATCACTGTAGCTACGTTAGCAGCCATGAAAACCTTACACTTTTTGTGAAATACCTTTTTATCTCATAATGAAAATGTAGCATTTATGTAGGTGCAAGGTTGCTATAAGACATACTTACAGACCGGGCACAGTAGCTCACACCTGTAATCCCAGCACTTTGGCAGGCCACAGCGGGTTGGTCACCTTAGGTCAAGAATTCAAGACCAGCCTGACCAATATGGTGAAACTCTCGTCTCTACTAAAAATACAAAAATTAGCTGGGCGTCGTGGCGTGAGCCTGTAGTCTCAGCTACTCGGGAGGCTGAGACAGGAGAACTGCTTGAACCCAGAAGGTGGAGGTTGCAGTGAGCTGAGATCACACCACTGCACTCCAGCCTGGGCGACAGAGCAAGACTCCATCCCCCCCCGCAAAAAAAAAAAAAAAAAAAAGACATATATTATGATTTGAGAAAAAGCAAACTCATTATATAACAAAGCAAAAGGAAAGTGAAGGATCTACAGCTAGAGAATTAAATTCTGGCAAAAAAAGGGTTTGATAATTTTCAAAAGAGCTTTGGCTTTAAAAATGTTAACACGAGAAGCAGCTTCTGCCAACCAAGAGGCAGCAGACAAGTTCCCAGGTGCCACTGAGGGGAAAGGATACCTGCCTGAACAGGTTTTTAGTGCAGAAGAAAGTACCTTTTCTGGAAAAAAAAAAAAAAAAACTGCCACAAAGGACATTTATTAGTTAAATTTCAGGTAGTTAAAAGTTATACATGGATTTTTCAGGGAGTTGAAAGTTATACATGGATTTTTAACTGTGTTAGGGAGGGGGCTCAGCATCCCTAACCCCTGCATTGTTCAGGGGTCAGCTATATTTGAGTTCTGACATATTTGTCCATTTATGGATTCGTCTTACCATTCATCAGTAGATCTTTTTTTTTTTTTTTTGAGATGGAGTCTTGCTCTGTTGCCTAGGCTGGAGTACAATGGCGTGATCACTGCTCACTGCAACTTCTGCCTCCTGGGTTCAAGCAATTCTCCTGCCTCAGCCTCCCGAGTAGCTGGGATTACAGGTGTGTGCCACCACGCCCAGCTAATTTTTGTATTTTTAGTAGAGATGGAGTTTCACCATATTGGCCAGGCTGGTCTCGAACTCCTGGCCTCAGGTGATCCAACCGCCTCAGCCTCCCAAAGTTCTAGGATTACAGGGATGAGCCACCACGCCTGACACCATCTTATTTTTTAATGCATTTTGAAGTAAATTGCGGACGTCACCCACAAACACTTCATCATGCATATATGTAATATGTTTACTTTTTTTTTTTTTAATGAGATGAGATCTTCCTATGTTGCCTAGGCTGATCTTGAACTTCTGGATTCAAGCTATCCTCCTGCCTCAGCATCAAACATAGCTGGAACTATAGGCACATTGCCACTGCCCAACTACTAATTTTTTTTTTTTTTTTTTTAATTTGAGACAGAGTCTCTGTCTGTCATGCAGTTTGGAGTACAGGGATGCAATTGTAGCTTACTGCAGCCTCAGTCTCCTGGGCTCAAGCAGTCCTCCTGCTTCTAGCCTCCTGAATAGCTGGGACCACCTGAGTACGGTGCACCAACATGCCCAGCTAATTTTTAAATTTTTTTGTAGAGATGGGGTTTTGCTGCATTGCCCAGGGTGGCCTCAAACTTCTGGCCTCAAGCAATCCTCCCACCTTGGCCTCCCAAAGTGGGGTAATAGGCATGAGCCACTGTGACCCACCTACTAATTCTTTTTTATGTAAAGTTTACATACAGTGAAATGCACAAAATTAAAGTTTACCATTAAGTGAGTTTTGAGGAAATACATCTGTGTAACCTAAACCTTTGTCAATTTGTACAAGATAGCATCATTCCAGATTGTTCCTTCTATCCTCCTTTTTAGTCAGTCCAGTACCCATTACCCCAGAGGCTGTCACTCTTGTGATTGTTTTCACTCGAGATTACTTGCATCTGTTCGTGAACTTGACTCACACAGTATGGACTCTTGTGTAAACCTTCTGTGACTAAGCATTGCATTGTGCTTGAGATTCATTCCAGTTGTTTCAGATATCAGTAGCTCATTCCTTTTTGTTACTGAGTAGTATTCCATTGTCTGAGCATACCACAGTTCAGGCATTCTCCTCCTGATGAATACATGGCAGTTGTACAGTGTTGGCTATTACGGGCCAGGGCATGGTGGCTCCTGTCTGTAATCTGAATACTTCAGGAGGCCAAAGCTGGGGCGTCGCTTGAGCCCCAGCAGTTCCATGTTACAGTGAATTATGATCACGCCACTGCATTCCAGCCTGGGTGAGAGAGGGAGTTCCTGTCTTTAAATAAATAAATAGTTGGCTAATAGAAATAAAACCGCTTTTTATTATAAAAAGGCTTGTACAAGCCTTTGCACAGACATTTGTTTTGAATTTTTTTGGTCATAGTATTGGTATGTGTTTAGTTTTATAAGAAATTGCAGTGATTCCTCAGGGATCTAGAACTAGAAATACCGTTTGACCCAGCAATCCCATTACTGGGTATATACCCAAAGGATTATAAATCATGCTGCTATAAAGACACATGCACATATATGTTTATTGCGGCACTATTCACAGTAGCAAAGACTTGGAACCAACCCAAATGTCCATCAATGATAGACTGGATTAAGCAAATGTGGCACATATACACCATGGAATACTATGCATCCATAAAAAAGGATGAGTTCATGTCCTTTGTGGGGACATTGATGAAGGTGGAAACCATCATTCTCAGCAAACTGTCGCAAGGACAAAAAACCAAACACCACATCTTCTCACTCATAGGTGGGAACTGAACAATGAGAACACTTGGACACAGGAAGGGGAACATCACACATCGGGGCCTATTGTGGGGTGGGGGGGATGGGGGAGGGATAGCGTTAGGAGATATACCTAATGTAAATGACGAGTTAATGGGTGCAGCACACCAACATGGCACATGTGTACATATGTAACAAACCTGCATGGCACATGTACCCTAGAACTTAAAGTATTTTATATATATATATATGTGTGTATATATATGTGTGTATATATATATATGTGTATATATATGTGTGTGTGTATATATATATATATATATATGAAATTGCTAGGCCTTATCTCAAAGTGGTTGTACCATAGTTACATTCCCACCAGTAGCTTTTGAAGGTTGCTTTTCATTCTTGCCAACATTGTTGTCAGACTTTTAAATCTGACCATTCTGATGGATATGTAGGGGTATTTAAAATTTCATCAAAATTCTTTTTTTTTTTTCATTTGAAATGCTTTTTTTTTTAAATTTTATTATTATTATACTTTAAGTTTTAGGGTACATGTGCACAACATGCAGGTTTGTTACATATGTATACATGTGCCATGTTGGTGTGCTGCACCCATTAACTCGTCATTTAGCATTAGGTATATCTCCTAATGCTATCCCTCCCATTGAACAATGAGAACACATGGACACAGGAAGGGGAACAAAATTCTTAAAAAATAAAATTTCATCAAAATTAAAAGTTTAGTTCAATGCAAATTGAAGCTACGATGAAAAATCTGAGTTTTTTCTTCTCTGATTTGTGTTTTTGTGTATTATCCCAGAAATCTTTACTTAAAGTTACAGAGATTTTGTTTTTTTGTTTGTTCTTTTTTTTTTTTTTTTGAGACTGAGTCTCACTCTCACCCAGGCTGGAGTGCAGTGGCACAATCTTGGCTCACTGCAACCTCTGCCTCCCGGATTCAAGCAATTCTCCTTCCTCAGCCTCCCGAGTAGCTGGTATTACAGGTGCCCACCACCACACCCAGCTAATTTTTTTGTTTTTAGTAGAGAGGGGTTTTCACTATGTTGGCCAGGCTGATCTCGAATTCCTGACCTCAAGTGATCCCTCTGCCTTCACCTCCCAAAGTGCTGGGATTACAGGCGTGAGCCACCACGCCTGGCCTTCTCCTATTTTCTTCTAGGAATTCTATAGTTTCAGCTTTTACATGTAGGTCTATGGTTTATTTTGAGTTAATTTTTGTTTAAAGTGTGAGATAAAGGTTAAAGTTTTTTAATATGCATATGCAGTTGTCCTAGTACCATATGTTGAAAAGATTTTTCTTTTCCCATTGAGTTACTTTGGTAACTTTGTTGAAAATCAATTAAGCATATATGTATAAGGATATTTCTGAACTCTAAATTCTCTTCCATTGACCTACAGGATTTGTCTCAAATACACTACTGCCTTTACTATTGTAGCTTTAAAAAAGTCTTAAAATCTGATAGGGAGAGTCCCCTTCCCCAAAAGATTTTTAGGTATTTTGGTTGTTTTAGTTCCTTTGTACGTCTATATAAATTTTAGCATCCATGTCACATTTTGCTTGGAATTGTATTAAAAATCTATATATAATTCACCTGTGGGGAATTACTATTTTAATAATATTGAACCTTCCAGTCAATAATAATGGTATATATCCTCATTTACTTATATGTTTAGTTTCTTTCACCAGGATTTTATAGTTTTTATCATACAGGTCTTGCATGTGTTTCATAATTTATTCCAAAATATTTTATGTTCCAGTATGCTTTAAAAATTGAATTATTTGGCTGGACATGGTGGCTCATACCTGTAATCCCAGCACTTTGGGAGGCCAAGGTGGGCAGGTCACCTGAGGTCAGGAGTTAAAGACCAGCCTGGCCAACAAGGCAAAACCATATCTCTACTAAAAATACAAAAATTAGCTGTGTGTGGTGGCGGGTGCCTGTAATCCCAGCTACTTGGGAGGCTGAGGCAGGGAGAATCACTTGATCCCGGGAGGCGGAGGTTGTGGTGAGCCGAGGTCGTGCCATTGCACTCCGGCCTGGGCAACAGAGTGAGACTCCGTCTTTTTAAAAAAAAAAAAAAAATTGTATTATTTGGCCAGGCGCGGTACCTCACACCTCTAATCTCAGCACTTTGGGAGGCAGAGGCGGGCGGATCACAAGGTCAGGAGTTGGAGACCAGCCTGGCCAAGGTGGTGAAACCTCATCTTTACTAAAAATACAAAAAAAAAAAAAATTAGCCGGGTGTGGTGGCGTATGCCTGTAGTCCCAGCTACTTGGGAGGCTGAGGCAAGAGAATCACTTGAACCTGGGAGGCGGAGGTTGCAATGAGCCGAGATTGCACCACTGCACTCCAGCCTGGGCAACAGAGTGAGACTCCATCTCAAAAAAAAAAAATTGAATTATTTTTATTTCATTTTTCAGTTGCTTGTTGCTAATACATAGAAATGCACTTTTAAAACACTGGCCTTGTGGCTGGGTATGCTGGCTCACTCCTTTAATGCCAGCACTTTGGGAAGCTGAGGCAGGCAGATCACTTGATCCCAGGAGTTGGAGACCAGCTGGGTAACATGGTGAAACCCTGTCTCTACAAAAAATACAAAAAATTACTTGGGCTGTGGTGGCACATGCCCATAGCCCCAGTTACCTGGGAGGCCGAGGTAACAGGATCACTTGAGCCTGGGAGGTCAAGGCTACCCTGAGTCATGATCATGCCACTGCTCTCCATCCTGGGTGAAAGAATGAGAAACCCTTTCTTAAAAAAAAAAAAAAAAAATACAGTTGACCTTGTGTCCTGCAGTCTTGCTAAATTTTGTTAGTTCTTTTAGCTTTTTTACATGTTCCTTAAAATTTTCTATATACAAGATCATGTCATCCATCCTTAAACAAAAAACAGCTTTACTTCTTTTTTTCCAATCTATATGCCTTTTCTTGTTATTAGTGCTTTATATCAGGGCTAGGTCTTCTAGTAAAATGTTGAATAAAAGTAGTGAAAATGGACATCCTTGCCTTCTTCCTGATTTTAGGGGAAAGATGTTAGTCTTTAACCATAAATTATGATGTAAATTGTTGGTTATTCATAGATACCCTTTCTCAGATTGACTGAGCTCCCTTCCATTCTTAATTTACTAAGAGTTTGTATCAGGAATGGGTATGGATGATTCGCAAAACTTTTTTCTGCATCTACTGATCTAATATATTCTGTTAATGGAGTGAATAACATTAATTGATCTTTTAATGTTAAATCAGCCAGGCGCGGTGGCTCACGCCTGTAATCCCAGCACTTTGGGAGGTCGAGGTGGGCAGATCACCTGAGGTTGGGAGTTCGAGACCAACCTGACCAACATGGAGAAACCCTGTCTCTACTAAAAATACAAAAATTAGCCAGGCGTGGTGGCGCATGCCTGTAATCCCAGCTACTAGGGTGGCTGAGGCAGGAAAATCTCTTGAACCCAGCAGGCGGAAGTTGTGGTGAGCCAAGATTGTGCCATTGCACTCCAGCCTGGGCAACAAGAGCGAAACTCCATCTCAAAAAATAAAAAAAAAAGTTAAATCAACCTTGCATAGCTATTAAACCCATTTTGTGGTCATATATTGTCCTTTTTGCATTGCTGGGTTGAATTTGCTAATATTTCATTATGGATTTTTATATCTGTTTTATGAATGATTTTGGTTTTTATTTTTCTCGTAATGTCTTCATGTGGTTTTGTTATCAGGATAGCGCTGACCTCATAAATTGAGTTGATATGTTCTTCATTCTCTTCTATTTCTTAAAAAGTTTGTTTAGATTAGAATTATTTCTTCCTTGAAGCCACCTGGGCCTGGAATTTTCTTTTTTAGATTTAAAATTATGAATCCACTTTCAAAGGGCTGTTTATGCATTCTGTTACTTCTTAGTCAATTTTGATAATTTGTGCCTTGAAAGGCATTTATCTAATTTGTTGGCATAATATTGTTTATAATTTTCCATTGTCCTTTTATTCCTGTAGGCACTGTAGTGATCTTTCATATCCCTTATTAGTAATTTGTTTTTTCTTTCTTTTTCTGTCTTGGTAAACTTCCATTAACTTTCGTTTTTTTCACTACCGTTTGTTTCTTTTTTTTTCACTTATGTATGTATTTATTTATTTAAAAAAATTTTTTTTGAGACAGAGTCTCACTCTGTTGCCCAGTCAGGAGGGCAGTGGCGTGCTCTCAGCTCACTGCAACCTCTGCCTCCCGGGTTCAAGCAATTCTCATGCCTCAGCCTCCCAAGTAGCTGGGATTACAGGCACCCGCCACCATGCCCAGCTAATTTTTGTATTTTTTGGTAGAAACTAAAAAACGAATAAGGCCATCACACCCGGCCTTATTTATTTTAAATTTTTGAGACAGTGTCTTGCTATGTTGTCGAGGCTGGCCTGGAACTCCTGGGCTCAAGAGATCCTCCCATCTCCATCCCCTGAGTAGCTGTTTCTCTTTTCTGTTTCATTTATTTCCATTCATACTTTATTATTCTTTCCTTTTTACTTTAATATATATTATAGTGTTTTAAGCTTAGATCTGAAACCTTCTCTTCTAACACAAGCATTTATCTTTAATTTTTTTTTTTTTTTTTTTAGACGGAGTCTCGCTCTGTCGCCTAGGCTGGAGTGCAGTGGCGCGATCTTGGCTCACTGCAACCTCCGCCTCTTGGGCTCAAGCAATTCTCCTGCCTCACCCTCTCAAGTAGCTGGGTACTACAGATGTGCACCACCACACCCAGCTAATTTTTTGTATTTTTAGTAGAGATGAGGTTTCACCATGTTGGCCAGGCTGGTCTTAAATTCCTGACCTCAGATAATCCGCCTGCTTTGGCCTCCCAGTGTGCTGGGATTACAAGGGTGAGCCACCACACCCGGCCACCTTTTATTTTTGACCACATATTATATGACTTATTTATATGGAATGTCCAGAATAAGCAAATTTTTTGATACCAGAAGCACATGCGTGGTTATCCAGGGCTGAGGGAGGGGACTGGGGCGAATGGGGGAGGGATCTGCTAGAGAATAAAGAGCTTCTTTTGGGGGTGACGAAATGCTCTAAAATTGGTTGTGGTGATAGTTAAACAACTTTCTGGATATATTAAATGCCACTGAATTGTATACTTTAAATGGGTGAATTGTATGGTATGTTAATTGTATCTTAATAAAACCGTTACTAAAAAAATACAAGGTGCCTCTCACTAGCTGTGTGACATTGAAGAGTGATCTCACCTTTCTTAGCCTTAGTTTACTTATCTGTAAAATGATAACAGAAGCTACCTCATGAGATTGCTGTGATGTTTCAGTGGGAGGATTGTGTAACTATTGAGCATAGAAGTACTTACCTTTTAAGCATTGCTTTAACTGTATAGTTTCAGTTTTAAAATTTATTCAGTTTGTTTTTTAACCCAAGCATGTGAATTATCTTGGCAGTGGTTTTATCTGCACTTGAAAAGAATTCAGTGTATTCTGCTATTACTAGATGGAATGATATAAAAATGTCAGTTTGTTCCATTTGATATTAAACTAAATTGAAGAGTGTTCTTTGTATCTTCTGTATTTTTGTTGATTTTCTGTCTGCTTTTTCAATTTCTGAAACAGTAGTATTTAAACCTCTAATTAGGGCTGGGTGCAGTGGCTCACGCCTGTAATCCCAGCACTTGGGGAGGCCCGAGGCGTGTAGATTGGTTGAGCTCAGGAGTTCAAGACCAACATGGCAAGACCCTGTCTCTACAAAAAATACCAAAATTAGCTGCGCATGGTTGTGCACACCTGTGGTGCCAGCTTCTTGGGAGACTGAGGTGGGAGGATTGCTTGAGCTCATTGCAAGGCTGCAGTAAGCCAGCCTGGGCAACACAGTGAGATTTTATCTCAAAAAAAAAAATTTATTTTTGTAATGTGTGAGTGAGTCCTATAGGTAGAGAGAAGTTAACATTTGTATGTATGAACTGTTGCATGAAATGTACAGAAAAGTAGCAACTTCTTCAGGAAATTTTAAATGTATGGCAGGATTATAGTTTATAGAACTTACCAAATGAAGAAGAATTTCTAGGCCGGGCACGGTGGCTCACGCCTGTAATCCCAACACTTTGGGAGGCTGAGGCGGGCAGATCACCTGAGTTCAGGAGTTCGAGACCAGGCTGGCCAACATGGTGAAACACCTGGGCTGGAGTGCAATGGCGTGATCTCAACTCACTGCAACCTCCGCCTCCCGGGTTCAAGCAGTTCTCCTGCCTCAGCCTCCTGAATAGCTGAGATTACAGGTGCCCACCACCATGCCCGGCTAATTTTTGTATTTTAGTAGAGATGGGGTTTCAGCATGTTGGCCAGGCTGGTCTCAAACTCCTGACCTCATGATCTGCCCGCTTCGGCCTCCCAAAGTGCTGGGATTACAGGCGTGAGCCATGGTGCCCGGCTGCCCCAGCCTCATTTTAATTTCCAAAGCAATATCTTTTTATTTATTTAACATATACTTGTTGAAATTCTATATGTGTTAGGATTTTCCCCCCAGTAGCATGAATTATATGGTTTCCACGTGATACAGAGCATAGTGTCTAGCAACAATAGGCCTCAGTAAACATTTGTGGAATAACTCACTAAATGAATATATTACATTGATTCATCTGAAACTGTCATTTTTAGAGGTCAAAATGGTTAAATATCAGCAATTCAATATTCAACAAATATATTAATAAGAATCATTCCAGTATAAAAGTGAAAATACATATTACTCCTTGACACTGTTATCAATGTGTATAATTTTCTTTCATTAGACTACAAAACTTGACTTTTCTCTTCTTTGCCTACCAGGAAACACGAAATTATCCAGAATCATATCCACAACTGCCAAGGGATGAAACAGTGGAGAATCCTCATCTCCAGAAGCACATTTTGGAATTAGCATCCATTCTGGATGTTCGAAACGTGTTCTTTGAGAATACCATTGATGACTATTAAAACAAAAACCCTGTTGTCGAAACAAGTTTTCATTTTCCACAAATTTTAAATGGTGCAGTTTTCTAACGTGATAAGACACATAGTGGTGTTACTTAGTTTTTATTTTTTAATTTAGGGCCACCATTTTAAAAACAAACAAAAAAATGTTCACACTTTTAGGGTAACTGTTTTAAAATGCAACCTTTCAGGTCTTTTAAAATCTTAACCTTGGAATTTTTATTTTTTGATTTTGAGGGATGGATATTTACCTCCAACTTCTAATCCTACACTCAAATAGTCACTATTCTCACCCTGAGAAGAGTAAATCATTTATTTTTGTATAATGAGGTAAATCCAACTCTTATACTTGGACCTAAGTTAAATGTCTGGATTTGGAAATATGTAATGGTTCATAATGATGAAGCTAGCCACCATGGACTACTGAAAATCAAGAACAGAGTCCCTCCATAATATATTTTTTCTCATTCCAACTTAGCTGGTAGAAAAATGTTTGATCCTTTGAAACATGATCAAGCCAGTTTTTTGAAATCATTTAATTTCTTTCAATACTGTCATAATTTCAGAAATTGGATTGAATTGCATCTGAAAGCTACATCTTGATTGAGGACTTGAGGTGGTAATATTACTTGGAATGTATGAGTATTATGAGATTTATTTGCATATTTTCTTTGTAGTCTGTGAATGCTGGAAATGAAAAAGGAAACAACTTTGAAATATTTTAGTCAAAAAACCATGTCATTGGTTTCATAATACAATGTCTCCAATAGGAATTCTATTTAAACTCTTGGTTTATGAGATCACATTTAAAGACTGGATTGATGTCTGTGACATAAAGTTTTAATTTTTTGCCTCATTCAAATTTATGAGACTTCAAAGTCATAGATGTTTTAAATTTTGGTAAGGGGTAACTGGGTGTTATGAAACCTAAAATGTAAGTTGATTTTGCATTGGTAATTTGGAAATAAGATTTATTAACATTCCCTGTATTTAGTATTTTATATTCATGCACAAAATTTTTATTATCTTAAATAGGACTCAGTGTATATTATAAAGATTTTTCTTTTTTGTGTTTTCCTTCCCTGTCATTCCCTTTATAATTTCACAGTCACTTGCTATGAAGTCCTCCCTCCTTTTTGATTATGCAGCATTCAATTTCAGAAATCTATGAATGAGAAGGCCTTATACCTAATTTTCTGTACAGGATCACATCTGGCAGTCCCAGGAGAAGTGAGCTGATTGCTTTTGATATCTCTTTCCCATGGCCCTAGGTAAATTATACTCTAAATTTATTTATTTTTTTTGAAACAGAGTCTTGCTTTTGTTGCCCAGGTTGGAGTGCAGTGGGGCTATCTCGGCTCACTGCAACCTCCGCCTCCCAGGTTCAAGCAATTTTCCTGCCTCAGCCTCCCGAGTAGCTGGGATTACAGGTGCCCGCCACCATGCCTGGCTAATTTTTGTATTTTTAGTAGAGACGGGGTTTCACCATGTTGGTCAGGCTGGTCTCAAACTCCTGACCTTGTGATCTGCCTGCCTCAGCCTCCCAAAGTGCTGGGATTACAGGCGTGAGCCACCGCACCTGGCTATTATTTTTAACTTGGTTTTCATTTCTGGCATAGAGACTAATTTGGGTCTAAGTTATTCCCATTCCTGCTTTGATTTGCTGATTTTTCAAACCTGAAGTCCAAAGTTACTGTTTTTGGGGTTTGGGGACTTGGGGAGTATTTTACTTTTTTTTTTTTTTTTTTTTAAGAGACAGAGTCTTGCTTTGTTGCCCAGGTTGGGGTGCAGCGGTACATTCATGGCTCACTGCAGCCTCAAATTCCTGGATTCAGGCAATCTTCTCACCTCAGCCTCCCAAGTAGCTGGGACTACAGGCATGCGCCACCATGCCTGGCTAATTTTCTTTATTTTTTAATTTTTTGTAGAGACATGGTCTCACTTTGTTGAGCAGGCTGGCCTCAAACTCCTGGGCTCAAGTGATCCTCCTGCCTCAACCTCCCAAAGTGCTAGGATTACAGGTGTGAGCCACTGTACCTGGCCTGTTTACTTTTTAAAAATTTTTTTGTTTGTTCTTTCAAACAGTATTTCAGAAAGCTTGGGAAAAGTTACCCTGGAAAGATTTCCTTTGCTAGTGGGTTTTCATTTTCAGGTAAAGACTGCTTTCCTTTTTTTTCAGTATCTTAATAAACTTCATAGCTTTCCTTTAGTAACAGTGTTCATTGAACTACAGCAATAGACTATCTTCGGTTTTCTGACCTCTTGTTTCAATTCCCCTTAAGTCCTGTGCCAGTTATGCTCCTACCAACACAGAGTTTCCTGTCCTCTAATGTTTAAAATAGTATTTACTGTTCTGAGCTTTATCCTCCCCCGTTAAGCATAAAGAACACTGGTCTGAGAACTAGGAGACCTAAGTTCTAGTCCTGGCTTTCCTGGTAACTTAAGCGTTATGCCCTTTGACAACTGTCTTCATGTCTCTGCTTGTTAGCACTCTCATCTGTAAAATGAAGAGGTTGGCCCAGGTCTTCTCCAACTCTGATTCTGTAATTTGGACTCTTGGTTCCAAAAATATTGATTTCCCCACTCCAACCACCAAGAGAACTATTTACCCTGTTTGTAGTGTACACAACCTTTTCTTTTGTAAGTCATATTTACCTAGATTTTGTTCAAGAAAATCTGGGTCCCACTTAGCTGTTTTAGAAACTAGTACAGACAGAGACTCTCCTGAGGAAATTAGAGCTTTTATGATTAGAAACATGCTTGTCTAAAAATGAGGGTCTTAGAAATCACAACATTGACCCTTATGATGTTGCCCCTTAAGCTAATAGTGTAATTCCTTACTGGTAGTTAAAAATCTAAAGTGGACTGAAGTGATCTTGAATCTTCAAAGAGAGGAAAACTGTGCTGGAAAATGTTATTGTTTCATTGATGCCTTCAAAAAAATGCGTATTAAACAAAGACTATACTCCAGATTTTCTTCTGGGCATTGGGGAAGCAAACAAAATAGACTTAAAAATCCTCATGTTCATGAAGCTTACATTCTAGTAGAAGGAGTAAGGCAATAAACATAAGTAATTTATGTTAGAAAATGTTAAGTAGGATGGAAAAGTGTAGATTATGGTAAGGTAAATCTTTTGTTTGTTTTCTTAAGAGAAGAACAATGTTTAAAAGAGTGATCAAGCAGGGCATGGTGGCATGACCCTATTAGTCCCAGCTACCTGGGAGGCCGAGGTGGGAGGGTCACTTGAGCCCAGGAGTTTGTGGCTGCAGTGAGCTGTGATTGCACCACTGCACTCCAGCCTGGATGGCAAAGCAAGACCTCGTCTCTGGAAAAAAAGAAAAGAAAAAGTGATGATCAGGGTAGGCTTCATTAGGAAGGTCACATTTGCATGAACACTTTGCCTTTTCTTTCTTTTTATGAAAGTTTTAAACATAGTTTTTTTGTTTTTTGTTTTTGAGACGGAGTTTCACTCTTGTTACTCAGGCTGCAGTGTGGTGGCAGGATCTCAGCTCACTGCAACCTCCACCTTCCAGTTTCAAGTGATTCTCCTGCCTCAGCCTCCCCAGTAGCTGGGATTACAGGCATGTGCCACCACACCCAGCTAATTTTGTGTTTTGAGATGGGGTTTCACCATGTTGGTCAGGCTGGTCTCGAACTCCTGATTTGAGGTGATCCGTTGGCCTCGGCCTCCCAAAGTGCTGGGATTACAGGCATGAGCCACCACGCCCAGCCTAAACATACAGTTTAATAAATCCTCCTTGTACCTTACCCAGCTTCTGTATTTCTTTAATCAAGGGAGAAGAATTATCTAAAAGGACAGTTGCCCAATGGGCTTGAGCTGATGATAGTGGCAAAGAATTTCATTTTTTAAAAATGCATACCACCTGCCCTTTATAAAAAAATTTAAACCCTAATGTATTTAATTTTATAATTCATAAAAATTTAAATATTGGAACTAAGAACAGAGCAAAGCAAAGGGAAAAAGCACTCCTTTGTTTTCAAATTGCACAAACTGTCCCTGGAGATTCTGATAGTCTCTCATCTCTCTTAACTATCACTGTAAACAACATAGAAAGCATAAGACTGCAAGAAGTCAGTTATACACAAAACAAAATGAAGCACAGTGGAATTTTCTCTTTCTTTATCTGTATATTTCTGAAGTTGGTAAAGCAACTATCTTCTCTATTTTACAGAAGAGAAAGCTGAGACCCAAAAAGCTATTCATAGTGATAGAGCTAGAACTAAAACTCAGATCTCCTCATCTCAGCCCAGTCTTCTCAGTAGCTCAGACTGCTTTCTATAATGAACAAGAAAGAATAATTAGGGATTTGTATTTTGGCACAAAACAGTATCAAATTTTTATTGTAAAAATCCACAAATCTGACATTTTATCTTTTATTCTAGCCAGGATGTATTCTTCATTTGCATGTGTGTGTTTCTCTTAGAAAGTGGTGCTCTCAAACCTTTCAAAGCACAGAATTTATTGTACCCTCTTTATTTTTACCAAATTGAAACGTTTCAGGATTTCAGAAGCAAAGTGCAATCCAATTGTGGCTGGAGTTTTCCTGATAGAGGATCCGGGTGGTTCCCTCCCCTCCAACTTCTGGCTACTGCCCTTTATTTCCTTTGTGCAATAGAATTCCCTGAAACAGATTATGTCGTAATTATACTGATTTAGTCAGGATAATGGGAAAAGCGACAAATCGGATTTATGTATTAGGTATTATGGAGCTTTCTTTAGCACTCTCCTCCAAGTTTAATCTCTGACATGTGTGATATAGTAACTTTCTGTCTCTGAGAAGCAGTTTGGACCCAGCTGAAAAATTTTATTTATGGAGACTTGTAATCAGCCTGATATACAGAGAACACTCTGGACTGGAAATATAGTCAGGTACCAAGGTCTGCTAATTTGGCCATTGCCAGTGATTCAAAACCACCTCCCCACCCTGAGTAAAAGATTTGATATGAATATGAATGCTATGAGTCTCCTGGTGATGTTTTGGGTGTATATGTTCCTGTGTGTGTTTGGAAATCATAGAGGGTATTTACCTTGAGGGCTCTTTTGTTGACCTTATTTATTTGAAATTCTTATTTTATTTGTAATGGCATATGTATATTTTTGTGATGCTACATGCAATCTCTGTGTATACTTTTTGTATATATGTATACATATTTGTAAATATATTGGTATGCAGTGATACAGTATGTGTATATTATGTACCCATACCCATTGTGGGCTGAATTTATTTAAGTTCTGTGAGGACATCCTAGTGGCATTGTTCATGCTGCTGTAATTAGGTTGTGGCTGTATCTCATTCATAAGCCTCTATTTTGAGAGGCTTGTGTTTGGATAAAATGGGCTAATTTGGAGTTGAAATTAGGATATGAAGATCTTAACAGAAAGCTAGATATTTATTCTTAGCTTTAAAATCACCTGCAAATTTTTATTTAAACTGATGATAAATTAGTGATATAACCTGAAAAACCTAAGTATGTGAAACTGAGACACCAGCAGATTCTTAGGCTGTAGTAGTCCTTTATTTTCTTGATCCATATTTAAGTATTATTACTGAGTAGTAAATTATGTATATTGGGGCTTAATAGAGAGGCTGTGGAAAAAAATTGCTTTAATCACATTTAAAAACATAGGAAAATGTCCATTAAATAGGGGAAATATATTCCCAGTTGTCATTTTTATGCCTCATACTGAATTTTGATTTTGGAACAATTCTTTTTTCATCAGTGTTTTATGTGTCTCTATGAGGCAGAAAAGGGGGCATTAGCTAAGGGATGGCCTAACCTAAGTAGGATAGGATTTAGTGAGGAACGGGAGGTTGTTAATTTGTATATTTGCAGCAGCTATGATTAATTTAGTCCTGTCTTGGCATTTCCGGCTACAGATTTTTTCTTACTGGACTTGCATATCAAAGGTGAGTAGGCTCATCTGAGAAAATGCTTCCACTGAATAAAATGCCTTCACTCGTATTGCTGTGTCTCTATGAGACCACTTGTGTTCTGCAAGTTGATGATATATTCGCACATGAAGTAGAGTTTTTAATATTAGATGCATGGTGTGCTATAAAAATCTGGGCCTTCAAACCTCTCCCAAGGATGATAGGGTTGGGGAGGATAAGAGGATAGTAAATACGTGCAATGCCAATTTGTGAACCTATAGAATGTTGCCAAGTATCAATGTTTGGTTACTTCAGTTGACATATTTATTTGCATGAAAGAGTGTAGGAGATGTTTAATATACACTTAAATACATTCACTGCAGAAATTAAGTAGAGGTTATTTTTGCATGATAAAATATAACTGCAAAGCAACTTTTTACACCGTATTCTTTGGAAGATTAAATCTATCTGATCCAATATTATCTTAAAATAGAGAAATTATCTCAGGAGTCTGTTTTACCACCCAAAAAAATGTTACATTTGCTGATTCATTATATTTTAAATAAAACAGCCAACTATTCATAAGACTTTTCAATTATAGTATTAAATTCAGAAATAATTATAACAGCATTTTTCTTGAATAAATATTAAAATTTGGTAATTTATTATTTCTGAAAAATCAGTGAAAACATCCATAGGATCTGATGGTTTGTTGTTTGAATAACCAAATCATTGTTTTTGCACTGGAGAGTAGTAGAGCAGATATTATACCATTTAAAATTCATGGAACTGACTCAGGCTCCTTGTGGATATTAATTTGAGGACAGTAGTGGTAATCAAAAGTACAGTAGAAAACACTTGACATTGTGAATGTGACCTCTGACCCCAACCGTTGTAAAGCCAATAACTTTGAGGGTGAATAAGGTAACACTTGCTTAGAAAACCCAGCCCTTTCCCCCAGTCTCCTGCGCTCTTATACATTGATACTTTACAACTATTTTTGCTGTACCTCTCAGTCTTTCCTGGATAATGGGACCACTTAAAAAAAAAAGTGATTCATCTTCCTCAAACTAGAATTTCAAAGCCTAATACTACACTATGTTCCAGCTTCACTGAGTTTTGAACAAAAAGACTTAAGCATGCCTTGTGTTTAAGGAAAAATAATTGATGTGTGAATGGAATCAATCACCTATTGACGGGAAGGGTGTCAGGATGATGTAGGGTGATATGCCTTTAATTGGATAAAGAGAACTGTATTAAGTATAACTAATTTAATAACTGATTGAAGCACCATTCTTAATTTTAAAATATTTTTGTTAATTTCTTTTGTGGTTTTAAAAATTAATAATTTTTTTTTTTTTGAGATGGAGTTTTGCTCGTTGCCCAGGCTGGAATGCAATGGCGCGATCTCAGCTCACTGCAACCTCCGCCTCCTGGGTTCAAGAGATTCTCCTGCCTCAGCCTCCCAAGTAGCTGGGATTACAGGCGTGTGCCACCACGACCAGCTAATTTTGTATTTTTAGTAGAGATGGGGTTTCACCATGTTGGCCAGGTTGGTCTCGAACTCCTGACCTCAAGTGATCCACCCGCCTCGGCCTCCCAAAGTGCTGGGATTACAGGTGTGAGCCACTGTGGCCGGCCTAAAAAAAATTCTTTTTAATAGTTATCAGACTACTTTAACCAGTGCCATGTTTAAACATACTTGGACAATAGACTCAGTTTTTTTAATAGTTTGAAGTACATTATATTAAAACTACAAACTCACTTATTCAAGCCTAAATTTCATCATAGACTATAAATTGGGTATCAATTTCCTATTTTGGTGGACAATTCCAGTCTGTCTACTACGACAATCATCTTTTTAGGTGTAATATTGTTTAAGACATAGGTAATTTTAGGTTTTATACTTTTCTCCTAGGCTTATGGAATGAAAGCTAATAGGATATCACTTTCAGAATGAAATAGGGAATTATGGCTAGCCTTCTTATAGGGCTGCCGTAAATGATACTTAAATGTTTGTTATATCACTGATTTTCTTTTCTCTTCTGAAGCTGTTGTGAATGTCCACTTTGCCATGATTAAAAGTTGAGATTTGTAAACATTACAATTTGAACCATAAATTTTCTCAAACATGAAATCAGTATGAATAAGTATAAAATTTGAAATGATCATACATGAGAATCCCAAAAGTAAATACTTCCAAACCATAGAGGGATAACCACTGTATTTTTAAAAAGCTTATTTCCACCCTTAAAGAAGCATGCTACTAATTGCTTTTTTTCTAAATTAAAACTATGTACTGTGGTAAATTAAAAATCTGCAGGAAAAATTGCTTAGTGTTTTAGCACAATAAGAATTTTTATTACTCAGGAGTTGGAGACCAGTCTGGGCAATACAGTGAAACCCTGTCGCTACTAAAATACAAAAAAAAAAAAAAAAAAAAAAAAATTAGCCAGGCATGGTGGTGTGCGCCTGTAATCCCAGCTACTTGGGAGGCTGAGGCAGGAGAACTGCTTGTAACCTGGGAGGCGGAGGTTGCAGTGAGCCGAGATCGTGCCATTGCACTCCAGTCTGGGTGACAGAGCAAGACTCATTCTCAAAAAAAAAAAAAAAAGGAATTTTTATTACTATTTCCTGAAGAATGGTTTTTGTTAACTTGTTACTGTATCATTAAAAAGACCTTCTAATGGTTCAGTACAATAATCTAGAACTTGATTTATGTGGCTTTTTATAGTTATCTGAATGCATTCCTTTTGCCACATAGACCATATGGCTAGTTCTCCAACTTTTTTGCTTATTTTTAATAAACCTTGCTGTTCAACAATCAGAGAAACCTTTAGATTTTGGATGATTCTTCCAGTTGAGGTAGAAACATCTTAGATAATAGGAAAGGCAAATACAAAGTCCTAACATTTTCATAGTAGAGTTTACAAGTAAAATAACTTATCCATATAGGTTATCTTCGTTGTGTAGCACCAGTATAAATAGTGATTTCATTAATCATTGAATCAGATGAAGCAGTTATAAATCACTTTTTACTTTGTGCTAAGAATTATTGTAATTTCAGGACACTTTATTATTTCCTCTGAGCAGTTTCCATTGGAAGGTTGAGTTTCCCTTTTTTAAGTTCTAATCATCACTAAAGGTTAAGATAATCAAATAGGAGTTAAAATAAGTTATGTTTGATCTTTTTCCCTTGAAAATAATGCTGAACTTATTGTCTACATTCTGATTATTAGGCAGAAATGCACTTGTTTAAATCATAGAAGTAATTCATTTGGAGGATATAATTACTCGATTTTCTAGTGGTGTGAAATACTTTTTAACAATTGTGCTTGTCTGTAACTGAAATGTTATAGAATTTTAACACTATAGGGATTATAGAGTTATATTAGCTCTCCTCAAGAGACTGAAGCACAATATTTTTCATGTAACAATTCTTATCCAAGTGCTGCTAATCTGTCGTGCAAATAATGAAGCTATTTGGTTGCCTATTTAGCTATTCACAAATCACTGTAATCTTTGAAACAATCTTGTCGTTCATTTGTATTAATATTTGGATATTGTGAGTTAATACTTTAGAAAAAAATCCATCAACTCAGCCCCGTTAGCAAAACTGTTTGGATTCATAGTTTTTATATGTGTTAACAGTAGAATAAATTTTGAAGGGGCTATTTACTACCAATGACTAAGGGGAAAATTATACTGTCACTATCATTTGACTTGAACATTTGTGGTATTGTAAAAGTCTTGTCAGTTGTGTTCTAAATTGCTTAAGCCATACGTTCTCTTAAACAGGATGTTTTTTTCTTCCTTTCCAGCAGCCTTTTTCTTCTTTGTCTGTTATGGTTAATACTCCATAGATTTTAGAAATTGAGAAGTTCTTGAAACATTTTATTTTCTTGAGTTCATCACTTTTGACTCTTGTATGAGATGTGATTTGTCATAAAAGATAGCCTTCCACTACTTCACTAAATGAATTTCAGAGTAAACACTGTGATTCTGCAGAGCGGATTCAGTAGGCTTTCCAATGTTTTCTCCTGCTATACAGTGCCTACCACCTTGAGGGCACTTCAGTACTAGAGGATGAAAACTGAAACGTTGTTTTGATGTTTATTGAATAACGAGATTAGAGAATATTTGATTTTTGTTGTCAGTGTATTAAAGAAATTTTCACATTGATAAATGTTCTCTAGGAATGTGTCTACATTCATCAGGTGTGAACTCTTGTACATGAATTTTGTACCTTGAATCCACATATATATTAAGTGTATCATCAATATAAAAATAAACATTATTTGCTTAAAGTTTTTGGTACTTTTTCGGTATTGACAGCTGAACTGTTAGGGTTTGCTTCATTCAAATATCTCAGAGGCTTTGAACTATCTTGGGGTTGATGCTTCTTGTTAGTTTGTCAATGTTTGAATCCTGGTTTTGGTTTTTTCCCTGCCCTGCTCCTGCAGGTCAGAACTGGAACACGCGAGGGAAGGGACTGTTGAAGAATTGGGTGGAATCTGCTTATTCTTGGGCTTGTGTTGAGTCTGGGGATGGAACCAGAGTTCCTTAAGGTGGAATGGCTGGCTTGGCATTGACGAGTTCAGGGACCTGACTTAGGGTACTGATTTGGACCGTGACTTTTTGTTTGAGATAGAGTTTCGCTCTTGTTGCCCAGGCTGGAGTGCAATGGCGCGATCTTGACTCACTGCAACCTACACCTCCCGGGTTCAAGCGATTATCCTGCCTCAGCCTCCCAAGTAATTGGGATTACAGGCATGGGCCACCATGCCCGGCTAATTTTGTATTTTTAGTAGAGACGAGGTTTCGCTATGTTAGGCTGGTCTGAACTCCTGACCTCGGGTGAACCACCCGCCTCGGCTTCTCAAAGTGTGGGGATTACAGGAGTGAGCCACCGCGCCCGGCCTGGACTGTGACTTGGAACAAGATAGTTTTTCCTCTTTTGTTTATTTTCCTACTGCCTGCATGATTGCTATTTATTTAAAGAGACGGAGTCTCGCCACGGTGCCCAGGCTGGTCTGGAAGCCCTGGTCTCAAGAGATCCTCCCACCTCGGTCTTCCGAGTAGCTGGGACCACAGAAGCGCGCGCCGTGCACTTTTGATGTTTTCAACTTCCTTCCTAAGCAGAAAGGAGACGGCCCAGCAGCGGATGGTGAAGCTAATCCAATATAGTGAGCTGCCACCAGCGTTTTTAAGTGCATTACATAGTAAGAACGTGGTTCTGCTGGACGTTATGTACTCGGTTGCGATATAAAACGCATCATCTACAGTAGGTGACAGGCGCCAAAGTCTAAAAACTGGTCTCAAGGTGTAAGGTCCCAGGACTAGTTTCTGGAGCTACTGGCTTGTGAGTGAAGCTGGAGGCGCAGACTTCCCGGGTCACACGGTGGCAAGGCAGCTGCCTAGGGTGCGGCGGGACCGGGCGGCGCGGGGGGGCGCCTGGCCAAGCAGTGCAGCCCCGGCCGGGTTTGTAGCCAGCACAGCACAGCGGGGCCTGTGGCACCGACTGGGTTCTTTTACTTTTGACACGAAGCCCCTCCCACTTACCACGCTCTGCACGCGCCCCTGTTAAAATAGAAAAAGACCGAGAGGCCTCGGAGACTCAGTCATCATCTGTGGCTCTGGCCGCTCGCTGACGTGGCGAACTGGGCTGAGGGAGCGCCCGGCTGGGCACCCGAGAACTCCAGCCGTTCCGGCCCAGTCGCCGCTCAGAGGTGGTAACAGTAGCCGCCAAGGCCGCGCACGGGCGCATGCGCGCGTCGGACCAACCCCCTCCCCCCACCGCGCAGTCACTTCCGGCGCGCTGGGAGACGTGCGGTTCCGGGTCGCTGCTCGGCTCGCCGGCTGGGCGGTGGGGGTTGGTGACGCGGGCCGGGGCTCACGAGAGGCCCGGGAGGCGGGGCTTTGCTGGCTTCCCAGAGAGAGGCAGGTGCGCGGGCCAGGACTCCGGGAATGCGAGCAGGCCCCTTATTCTCCCAGTGGCCTCGGTCTGTCCCCACAGCGGCCCGGTCAGGGTTGCCCGAGCCCCAAGGCGGGGGGCGGCACCGGGGTGCTGAAAGGGTGAGAGTGGGGGCGGAGGCGGGCTGCCCCGGCCTGGGAGTCTGGAGCCTAGGGTTCCGGGATTCCTCCCTGCGCGACCTTGGACAAGTCGCTCCTCCTCTCTAGGGCTCAGTTTCCTTGCTGTCAAATGGGAGAGATGTTGGATCCTTCCTTTCTTTGACAGTCCAAAGCACGGGCGGGGCTGGAGGTAGCCTGAGGGAGTGAGATCCAAACTGCCGTGGCAGGCACCTGCCTGCCTCCCTGGGGGTTAGACATCTGTCTTTACCCAATTTTGCCTTGCTTTTTGTCAGTGCACATCCGTGACCAGACGCCCAGGGTCTGGCCGGGTAAACAGTATGTGAGTGTAGTAATCAACTGAGAAATAAATACTGGCTCCAGGAAAACTTAACCTCATTCAAATTGTTTTGCTCAGGGCTCCCAGGGAGAAGTGAATTTAGGCACCCGCTGCGGTGATCAATTCTGTTCTATGCGCTTGTAAGTGAAGCTCTTAGGCAAAAAACAATTTCATAGGAGATCAGGGTTAGGGAGGGTATCCCATTGAGAGTTGTGACAGGTTTTCTTACCCCCTTTAATCCTTCTTCTGCCCCTCCTCTTCCTTCACTTCTTCCCCCTATCCCCACCCAACATTTTGGCCATACACTTGAAAAGAAATACCCAATGCATTTTATCTTTGTCTTCATGCAGGACAGAATGCTTTGACCTCCAAGCTGTTTTAAATCTAGTAGATAAGCCAGGTGAGTAAGTGGTTTACACACATTGAAAGTAAAGTTTCTGAAGAATTGTACAGCCTTAATGGAGGATCTGAAGTGGTAAGATGGCATTTGTGTATCTCAGAGCAGAGCTTAGGTATCCTCCACAAAACATGGAAAGTTAAGGTTGGAACCAGAATATTAGTGTTTTATACACCATTAGGAGGAAAAGGTTTTTGAATCTTACTTTGAATATCATGTCAAACATTCTTAAGAAAAGAAACTGTGAGGCCGGGCGCAGTGGCTTATGCCTGTAATCCCAGCACTTTGGGAGGCCAATGCAGGTGGATCATCTGAGGTCAAGAGTTTGAGACCAGCCTGACCAACACGGAGAAACCTCGTCTCTACTAAAAATATAAAATAAGCCGGGCATAGTGGCGCATTCCTGTAATCCCAGCTACTCGGGAGGCTGAGGCAGGAGAATCGCTTGAACCCAGGAGGTGGAGGTTGCGGTGAGCCGAGATAGTGCCATTGCATTCCAGCTTAGGCAACAAGAGCGAAACTCCATCTCAAAAAAAAAAAAAAAAAAAAAAAAAAAAAGAAAGAAAGAAAATAAACTCATTGGAGGTAATTTTATCAAACTCAAAACCACACAGCGTCTCTAGAAAATGTTCAAGGATATCAGATACTTATATAATAGAGTTGTCTGGTGTGTCTTCTTTTTTCTGTTACCAGCTTTTCCTATTGGACAGTTGATTGCAAACCATCCTGAAACAGTAGGATATTACACCTTTTACATATTGAATTACATATTGAATATTGAATTACATATGAATTGAATTACATGCATTTTTGTCTTCAACTTAAAGAACACTAAACTGTAGTTAAGCTTATTGGAGGAAGGATTTGAAATCATTAAGTCATGAATATATGATGTTGATGTCTGCTCTGGGACATTTTACCAAGTGTGTTATATGTCATAGCCAACATGTAATTAAAAAAAAAAAACGTAGAGATTTGTGAATCAGAGTCCTCTGTTCAAATACCAGCCCTTCCACTTAGCCACACAATCTTTGGTAGGTTACTTCATCTTCTTGAGACTGGGTTTCTTCATCTGTATATGCATATGAAGCACCTGAGTGCTTTTTAAATGTTTAGTAATTGTGTTCTATAAGTGTACATGTAAGTTATGAAACTTAGTTTTGAAATCTAAAACTTAACAACTCAGATGCGAAATCTTTCCAATGTTTAACTTTTGAACTGTCTCTTTCATCTGATTTGTAGATCCTGTGTTGCCATAAGCCCTTGGCCCACATTTAAGTGGGAATGCAGCTAGCTTGGATGTCTGAAACTTTGTAGGCGCCTCTGTCTGAATCCTGAACACAGGCACCAGGACTACTGAGAGCTCGTCATCTGTGCAGGATAGCCACACAGCAAACATGTTTGCAAAACTGAAGAAGAAAATTGCAGAAGAGACTGCTGTTGCTCAGAGGCCAGGAGGTGCTACTAGGATCCCACGGTCTGTGAGCAAGGAATCAGTTGCCTCAATGGGAGCTGACTCAGGAGATGACTTTGTAAGTACCTTTACTTAAGAAATAAAGATACTTTTGCAGGGTATTCTTCCAATAAATATTTTAAATTGCTTGATTATTTCATACCTTTCATGGTTTATAGCTGTACAAGAGCCTGTACATCTGATTCTTCTTACTCTGAGGTACCTTTTTGTTAATGTTTGGTTTGTAAATGTTAAGGTACTCTATATTTTTTTCCTTATTTTTCTGTGAGTTCCTCTCCATATTCTCTCCAGTGTCCTCTTGTACTGTTTTTCCGTCTATATACCTTATACATCTTCTTTTGCATTTCATTTCTGAAAATGTCTGGGCCTGTTTTCATTGCAGACATATATACTTATATAACAACTAAGTCATTGCTGCTTAACAAGGTCTCTGAGTTGTGGTATGGGGTTAGCAAGAGTGCATTGTTGTATTGGGACGATTGTTGGAAAGATGGCCCCAGTGATTACAGTATGTTGCTTTTTTTCTTTTTTCTTTCTTTTTTTTTTTTTTTTGAGATGGATTCTCGCTCTGTAGCCCAAAGTGGAGTGCAGTGGCCTGATCTTGGTTCACCACAACCTCTGCCTCTGGGGCTCAAGCAATTCTCGTGCCTCAGCCTCCCGAGTAGCTGGGACTACAGGTGTGTTCCACCATGCCTGGCTAATTTTTTGTATTTTAGTAGAGACAGGTTTTTACCATGTTGCCCAGGGTGGTCTCAAACTCCTGAGCTCAGGCGATCCGCCCACCTTGGCCTCCCAAAGTGCTGGGATTACAGGCGTGAGCCACCATGCCCAGCCTACAATATGTTTCTTATTAGTAAAATACATTTGTGACTATAAGATTTCAAAAAATGAAGATGTTGCTATATGAGGGAAATGTCATGCTTAAAAAATAAAGTGTGGCTTTTGCATATGACAGGATCCTCTTAAGTTAGATAAATTTCTTTTCTCTTCTTTTTTTTTTTTTTGAGACAGAGTCTCACTCTGTCAGCCAGGCCGGAGTGCAGTGGCATGATCTCAGCTCATTGCATCCTCCACCTCCCGGGTTCAAGCAGTTCTCCTGCCTCAGCCTCCCAAGTAGCTGGGACTGCAGGTGCCCACGACCACACCCGGCTAATTTTTTTTTGTTTTTAGTTTATTGTTTTTGAGATAGGGTCTCGCTCTGTCACCTAGGGTGGAGTGCAGCAGCACAATCTCGGCTCACTGCAACCTCCATCTCCCGGGTTCAGGCGATTCTCCTGCCTCAGCCTCCTGAGTAGCTTGGGACTACAGGCACCCGCCACCACGTCCAGCTAATTTTTGTATTTTTAGTAGAGACAGAGTTTCACTGTGTTGGCCAGGCTGGTCTGGAACTCCTGACCTCGTGATCCTCCCGCGTCGGTCTCCCAAAGTGCTAGGATTACAGGGGTGAGCCACCACACTTGGCAATAAATTTCTTTAAAACTCATTTATAATGCTGGATATATATATAAAAGAATGTATGTAATATATATGTAAAGTATAAAGCATAAAGTAAATCTATCACTCATCTGAAGAGATAGAACACTATCAATTCTGTTAAGCCACTTATATGTTTCTTCCAATTTCCTCTACCCAATTTAGGATAGCATAACCACTATTCTAAATTTTGTATTTTTCATTTACTTGCTTTTTAAAATATCTTACCAGATATGTATGTATTCATAAACAATTTATTATTTAATACTGCTTGTTTTTGAAGTTATAAAAGTTGCACACTGTAGACTTCTTGGATTTCCTTTTTTAAAATTTAATTCAACATGCTTATAAAATGCATCCATGTTACAGGAAGCTGTGGTTCATTTATTTTTACTGCTGTATAAGATTCCAGGCTGGACACAGAAGCTCACGCCTGTAATCCCAATGCTTTGGGAAGCTAAGGCGGAAGGACTGCTTGAGGCCAGAAGTTCAAGACCAGCTTGGGCAACATAGCAAGACTGCATATCTACAAAAGTTTTTTTTTTTTTTTTTAATTTGCCTGGTTGGTGGTGGTATGCCTGTAGTCCTAGCTTCTTGGGAGGCAGAGGCAAGAGGATCGCTTGAGCCCAGGAGTTTGGGATTGTAGTGAGCTATGATCGTGCCACTGTACTCCAGCTTAGGCAACAGAGCAAGACTCTGTCTCTAAAGATTTTTTTTAAAAAAAAGATCCCAGCATTTGAAAAGGCCACATTTAATGTCTGTCTTCTCCTGGCGATAGACATTTGAATTGTTTCCGTTGTCAGATGAGTCTTCCTCCTGCTTTCTTGTACTGCCTGGATCCCAGGTCAGATTACATGGCAGAAGTTATTAGGTTATCGGGATGGAGCAATAAGATTACCAGATCTACATTATCACTGGCTCCTATATTTAAGAGGAAATATAAGCACACATTTGAGCATCGGGCTGAAGGATGTAGTTTTAAGGCTGGGTTCTGTGACAGATGGACCTGTTTTGCCTTCATGCTGACACCCTAAATGAAGTCTTTTATTTAGTAATGTATTCCAAATACAGAGATTGACCCAGATTCAGGAAGTAATTTATTTTGGGGTTTCTCAAGTTTTGAACTTAATACAGCCTGATCCTCAGTTCCTATCTCCAGACCCTTATATCCAACTGCATATGTTTCTCCAAACAGATCCCTCCTCTGTGGCATCTCAAATTCTAAATGAACAAAATTGAATTCATTATTTCCATCTCCAAATGTGCACCTTCATCTTCCCAAGTCACCAGCCAGAAACCCTGGAGGTATTTTAGGCTCTTCCCTCCTTTCACTTCTTGGTGTCCAATCAGTCAACACGTATTATGGCTTCTATTTCTTTCTTTTTTTTTTTTTTTTTTGGAGACAGAGTCTTGCTGTGTCGCCCAGGCTGGACCCTGGGTTCAAGCAATTCTCCTGCCTCACTCAGCCTCCCAAGTAGCTGGGACTACAGGCACACACCGCCACACTTGGCTAGTTTTTTGTATTTTTAGTAGAGATGAGGTTTCACCGTGTGCCCAGTCTGGTCTTGAACTCCTGAGTTCAGGCAATCCTCTTGCCTTGGCCTCCCAAAGTGCTAGGATTACAGGCAGCTTTCATTTCTTAAATGTCTCAAACTTGCCTCCCTACTCCATCTTCTAGTAGTACATTTACTAGCAGAGGTTAAGCATCCCTAATCTGAAAATTTGAAATCTGAAATACTCCAAAATCTTAAACTTTTTGAGCGCCAACATGGCCACAAGTGGAAAATTTACACATAAATACTTAACACAACTTTGTTTAATGCATATCATTTAAAATATTGTATAAAATTATGTTCAGGCTATGTGTATAAAACGTATATGGAACATAATTTCACGTTTACACTTGGGTCCCATCCCCAAAATATTATATTATGTATATGCAGACATTCCAAAATCTGAAAAAATCCAAACTCCAAAACACTTCTGATCCTAAACTGTTTGGGCAAGAGATACTCAACCTATACTATCATTTGATTTCAAGCTGCCTTTCTTTCTGGGACAAACTTGTAGTCTATCTGGGTTCCCTGTCCCCAAAGTGACCTTTTTTTTTCTTTGAGACAGGGATCTCTTTCTGGCACCCAGGCTGGAGTGCAGTGGCCCGATCACAGCCCACTGCAGCCTTAACCTCCTGGGCTCAAGCGATTCTCCCATTTCAGCCTCGTGAGTAGTTGGGACTACAGGCACGTGCCGCCACACCCAGCTAATTTTTGTATTTTTTGTAGCGACGGAGTTTTGCCATGTTGCTTAGGCTGGTCTCGAACTCCTGGGCTCAAACGATCTGCCCACCTTGGCCTCCCAAAGTACTGGGACTGCAGGTGCTAGCCACTGTGCACAGCCCAAAGTGATCTTTCTAAAAGCAGATCTGTTCATGTCTCTCCAGTACTTAAAACTCATAAAACTCAGTGGCTTCCCCATTATTTTCAGGATGAAGTACAGACTCATTATTATAGCATAATGGTAAACTGTCATGGTCTTCTCTCAGCTTATATGGCCAGCATTATCTCACTGTACTTTGCTACACCCTGTGCCACAGCCAGACTGAATTTATTGCACTTTCTAGAATGGACCACATTCTTTCATGCTTACAATTTTTGCACATGCTATTTCCTCTCTCTAGAATGTCTCATTTCCCCTTTCACTCCTGCATTCCTCTGACAGACTCTTGTGCATCTTAAGACTCAGCTCATGTGTTACTTCCAGCAAACTCCCTTGACCTGACCTTCTCCTCTGGCAGCCCCCTACCCTTTACCCCTCCTGGCTGTTTGGTGCCTTGTCTTCTGCTAACCTCTGTAATAGCACCTGCTGTACTGCATTATTATTGATGATTTGCTTGTTTGTCTCTTCCACTGAACTGGGAGTTTCATGAAAGACAATAAAGTGTAGCCCTTAGGAACTCAGGTCAGGTTATAGAGTCATATCTGCTCTATTATTATTATGTGACTTTGGGCAAATTTCTTCATTTTTCCTTGCCTTATTTTTCACATCTATAAAATGGGGATAGGAACTGTATCTACCTTTATTAAAGTATGTGTGTCAAGGATCCCCAAGATCATCCCCAGATTTAATTATTCACTAGGAGGACTCACAAGACTCACCATATAGTTTTACTCACTGCTATCATTTATTACAGTGAAAGGATCTAAAACAGACTCAGCAAAGGGAAAAGGTGCATGGGGAAAAGCTTGGAGGAAACAGGTGCAAGCTTCCAAGATTCTTCTCCCAGTGGAATTACATAGGACATGCTCCATTCTCCCAGCAATGAGTTGTGACAACACATGTAAAATGTCTACCAGGGAAGCTCATTAGAGACTCAGTGTCCAGGCTTTTTATTGGGGACTGGTCATGTGAACACCCTCTGCCTACTATGTATCAAAATTCCAGAATCCAGGCCAGGCAGGGTGGCTCACACCTGTAATCCCAGCACTTTGGGGGACCAAGGCAGATGGATCAGTTGAGGTCAGGAATTTGAGACCAGCCTGGCCAACATGGCGAAACCCTGTCTCTACTAAAAATACAAATATTAGCTGAGCATGGTGACACACACCTGTAGTCCCAGCTACTCAGGAGGCAGGAGAATCTCTTGAACCCAAGAGGCAGAGGTTACAGTGAGCCAACATTGTACCACTGCACTCCAGCCTGGGTGACAGAGCGAGACTCTGTCTAAATAAATAAATAAATAAATAAATAATCCAGACTCCAGAAGGAAACCAGGTATTCAGCATAAACCCATATTTTTGCACAAACATTTTAGGCACAATGAGCCATTCTTAACAGAATGATGGGAACCCTCCCAAAATCTAAGTTCCCAGATGCCAGCCAAGGACCAACCTTAAAAGCAGGCCTTTCTAAGGATAACAGTCTGAGGCCTGTAATGTCAGTTCTTCTGCGTAGAATCTAAAGCACTTAGCATGGCGTCTGGCTCTAAGCATTTCATAATTAGCTTCTGTTGCTGCTGCTGCTGTTATTTTGGATAGGAGCTCTTTGTTTCACCACTATTCCTAGTGCTTAGCACAGTAGTGAGACATAGGATGTCTCCTATGTCTCACTAACAGTAATAATCATAACAGCTTCTTATACTGCTAGTGGTGTGGTCTGAATGTATGTCTCCAAAAATTGATATGTTGAAACCTAATCACTAGAGTGATGGAATGAGGAGGTGAATCGTCTCCGAGATGATTAGCTCATGAGGGAGGAACCCTCATGAATGAGATTAGTGCTCTTACAAAAGAGGCCCCAGAAAGCTGCCTTGCCCCTTCCACCATGTGAGGGCACAGCTAGAAGGTGTCATGTATGAACCAGAAAGTGGGTCTTCACTAGACACCAAATCTGCTGGCACCTTAATTTTGGACTTCCTAGGCTCCAGAACTGTGAGAAATACATTTCTGTTGTTTATAAGTCACACATTCTATGGCATTTCATTATAGCACTCAAACAGACTAAGACAACTAGTAATAGATGACACATATTAAAGCTAATATGTGCCAGGCTGTGTTTTAGGGATTTGACAAGTATTGATTTACTTAATCCTCATCACAGCTCTGTGAGGCAAATGCTGTTTGTTATCACAGATTGCAAATGAGGAAACCAGTGCACAGAGAAGTTGAGTAATGAGCCTAAGTTCTTACAGCTCGTAAGTGGTAAAGCTGCAACCTGAAGCAAGGTTTTCTGACACCAGAGACTCTCCTCTTAACTGTCCACTGTCCTGACTCTCAGTACATATTGGATGGGCAAGTGGCTGGACATGTAGATGAATATTTGAGGTGAATTATTGAATAATCTTTAAAAACATTTTGGGGATACAATGGGAAACATGATTAAGGACTGGATGTTAGTATTTTTTGTTAGGAATGATAATCATATGTTGCCTATGAAGAGAAATAGCCTTAATTTTTGGAGTATTTAGGATGAAATGCCATGATGTCTGTTATTTAAATTACTTCAGAAAAATAAAAATTGATGAAGCAAATAAGGGAAAGCATCAGCAATTGTGAAAGTAGATGGAGAGCATTATTTAGACCAATCTCTCTCCCTTTCTATATTTTGAAAAATTGTATAATGAAAAGTAAAAGAGATTTTAAAAACTGAGTTATTAGCAATTGCAAGCAGTGCCTATAGCAATAGTAGTATTCATTTATTTTAAAATAATCTGGTTTGTTGGGGAAAAATGTATGCCTCATTAATATATTGGTTTGTTGAATGCATATTATCTGCTGAAGTCTATGATGCAAGTTAGAGTTTTAGATTGATATCCGTTTGTTTCATAGATGAAGATACTGAAACTTTATCAATATCGGTGAAAGATTCGTAGTCATAGACCAGCTTTTGATCCCTAAAGAACCCCCGCCTTCTTTATCCCAGGACTTTACTTTTGGAAAGATAAAGTGATTTTTTTATCATGGCAAATATAGTTTTTGTATTATATACTTGCTGTAATAATGGATCTATTTACTATTATTTATTTCAGTAGCATGCGTACACATAAAATTGATCTGTTTAGCATCTCCTCTCTCCTTCACTTTATAAGAGGAAGAAAGCGTTGCTTCCACTTTCCAGGTAGAGAAACTAGGCCCAGCTTTTCAGTGATTACAATTAATTAAAGTGTAACCAAACCTAAAATAAGACTTGTCACTTTCTGGCTCAGTATTGTGGTCTCACACATATATGAATACGACCTTCCTTGTGTCTACCTCAACAGGCTTCCGATGGAAGCAGCTCCAGAGAAGATCTTTCATCCCAGCTTCTGAGAAGGAATGAACAGATACGGAAGTTAGAGGCCAGACTTTCTGGTATGTCTAAGAACTCATAAAAAGCAAACAACAGGAAACTTGCCTTGCTTGACTCTCTTCCTATAAAATAGCCATATAGGATGACTTTATAGTTATTTTCACATATCATTTTGATCTTTTTAGAAAGGAGCAAGTATACCCTCTTCTTTTGTTAGTGTAGTAAATAGTATAAATTCAAAACTGAATTTGAAAGTTTATTAAAAAATTTTTTCTGCTCCTGAGGTTTCTAGCCATGGAAATAAAAGATAATAATAATATATGTACAATAGATTTGACCATCTTCCACCATTAGCATAGCCTGCTTTCAGGTGGAAAGGGATGGCGTTAGTATTTAAAGGGAATGGCCAACAGATATTGGATTCATCAGCACCAGAGATTGGTGCTGTGTTGCCACTTCCTGCAGCTCATACCACCTGTGTAAGTGTTGTTGTAGGTCTTTGGGCCACTTTTCAATGGTATTTCTGACTTCAGCACCTGCATAGAAGGTGTCACTCTCATTATGTCTTTTGTCTGCAGTTTACAATTTACACAGCTCCCATTATATCCTTTGCCTGAGGAGGGCATGGTCATGATAGAATTGTGAGTTATTATTTTGGTTTCTGCCAGTGGATACATTTGGAAAGCTTCATCCTGTAAAGTGGTTCATGGCTTCTGTGTCTCTTTTTGTCCCTTGGCCTTTTAATGCCCATTTTATTGGAGTAAAACAGCAGACCGAAGTTCACCAAGTGGTATGTGAAATATTTATATTTGTGTAGCTATCAGACCCAAATTCACCAAATTGTATGTGAAGTATTTGTATTTATGTAGTTATCAAAGGTTCATAGCATAGCTCACAACTACCAGTTAATTATTTTGTCCTCACTAGAGCCTTATTAGGCTTAGCAAGGTTAAGGCCTCACAAGTAGTAAGTGGTAGAGCTGGGATCCAAACCCAGATTTATTTGATGCTAGAGTCTTAATTCCATCTGCCTTAAACTTAATTGTTGCTATCCTGTTACTCCTACCCATAAATAATATCAGTAACAGAGGTAAAGTAATTTTACATTTGTTTAATGTTGGAGAGAGAGTTATAAAATAATATATATACCTTCCCCATATGGTAGGAAGAATAGTTGAGCTTGACTTACGTTAGAGAAGGGACAGGGAAGAGCACTGACATTTACTGGGCCCACTATGTGGTGAGTATTGTCCTACAGTATTAGTATGAGTAATGATAATAGTCACAGTAACAATAAGAGCTACATTTTATTGAGCACTGTGTGCAAAGCACTTAAGGCACGTAAAATGTTTTATCTAATGCATCTTTTGTGGTAGGTACAATTAATATCATCATTTAATATATGAAGAAACTAATACTACAGGACCAATAATTTGCTTAAGGTCCCCAGCTAAGGACTGACAGAGTTGGGATTTGAGCTACTATGTTTTCACTAAACCATAACTATCTTCTTTGGCCACCTAGATAATTAATTCTGACATTCACATTTAATGTAGCGTAGGTTACCAAGTTCCTGTGTAGAAAGGGAGCTCACTTTTTTAGAGAATTAAGTGCTATCACTATAAAGACAATGCTGCACCTAAGGTGTTTGTTATTGCCCTAACTACTGTTCCTGAGTTGTGTGGACTATAAGCGAGCTGTTTAGTGAGTTCACTTTGATCTATCCTACTGCTAAGACCGGAAAAGGAAGTGGAAACTGAGATTTGAAATTAAGTCATGAGATAAATCTGTGTTTTTCATAGCAGGACATTTCTGATCACCAGGCTAAGCCTAATTCTTGTTTTTCTATCAAGGCTAAACAAACTTGCCTTTTTGTACTCACCATTTATACACCATGGATAGTTTGTACTATACTTGTTTTCCTGTGTTGTTCATTGTTAATGGGAGGCTGTCTGTCTAGCTTTCCTTAACAGGAATGGTTTTCAGGTTAAGAAAATCATCATCATTTCCATTCATTTTTTTGTTTAATTAACTTCCTTTCCTGATGTTTGTCCATTTCTGGTATGTGCGTCACCCTCCTCACCCAAGACTATGCTGAACAGGTCCGAAACTTGCAGAAGATAAAAGAGAAGCTTGAAATTGCATTAGAAAAACACCAGGATTGTACGTATTTTTTTCCTGCTTTTTTCAATCTTTTCAAGGTTTAGTTTTTGAAATGAAACAATAGTGTATGGTTAAGTTTGTCCTTCTTCAAAGCACAAATCTTTATTTTATAAGTAGTGTACTTCTTAATCAGGTTGATATAACATTTGGATGATATTTATAAGTATGCAAGTTTTATTTATGTTGGCTTATGGGCATGACTCTTAGGAGTAGGTCATTATGTGTATCAGCTTGTCTCTATCCAGTTGACCCCTTTATTTAGGCTACCCTCAGGTTTTAATAAAATCTAGTACCCATCCCTTAGGTCTGGATTAGGAAATGGGTTCTCACCACAGCTTCATTACTGCTGTGTTGAGTAACTGGGAGAAATCCCTGTCATCACTCCCTCAGCAATAAATCATACATTTTGTGTAGTCTACCCTCAATCATATATTCTTTGGGTACCATCCAAGAAAGATGTTAGTAGAAGTAGAAAGTTATTTTTTTTGTTGATATGTACTAAAACTTTTAAGGAAAATAAAGTAAAAGAAAGGTTTTTTGTTTGTTTTGATTTTTCTTTTTGTTTTTAATTCTGATAAAGTGGTAGTAGCCATCACTTAGCATCAGCTTTGATGTTTTCTGGCAACCTACCTAACTCAGTGTTCTATCATTGTACCATTTAAAAAGTTACCTTTTGGCATCTTTGTAAATATATATACTTGTCTATTACAAAAAACAAAAACGATAAGGAAACAAACAAAAACTGTGGTCTATTACCAAGGCCAAAATATTCTTCTGGAAAGTTGAGGTGGATCCAGCTTTTCCTAGTATCACAATCCACTTATGTGACTTTGGCCTTTTTCATTAGGTGACAGTTGTAATCACATGGGCTATTTGTCATGCTGTTTCTGAAGTGTTTTCATATCTCAAATAGAGCCTCTTTGTTAACAGCTTCCATGCGGAAATTTCAAGAGCAGAATGAGACATTCCAAGCCAACAGAGCCAAAATGGCAGAAGGACTGGCTTTGGCATTAGCCAGAAAGGACCAGGTATTTTATATGTGGCACTGCCCAGAACTGGTGGAAAGATTTCACTTAGTGACGTGATTTCAAAAATCATGACATAACCTATAGAAAATATTTATAGCCTAGGAGAAGAGAAATGTTAAAAGTTCGTTAAGGTTTTCTTTGGCCTTTTCTTGTAAAGTGAAGAAACTTTACAGTTCTAATCATGAAATGTGTCCAGAATGTGAGAGTATCATTCCTTGTATCTGTGTAGTTTCATAAAATTGAGAAGGGAAATAGTGTATCTGTAATCTGATGGCAGGCCCCAAAATAAGAGAAAAGGTCTCTCCCCTCTAAAAACCTCTCTGAAAGTCTAACCCCCAAACATTTGCCTTTTATCCTGGAGAAGATGTTATTAACTTAGTCATAATCCATAGTATACAGAGTTCTTCCAACCTCTGTTCCCACGTTTCTTCAATCCCAACCAGCAGGACAGAGGGGAAATCCTATAATCTCAGCAGAACCAACCACTGGAAGATGCTGAATGAATAACCACAAGGAAGGAAAATAATTCTGTTACTGGCTATTACAGTAATTATGAAGTATATTTTGTTCAAAATAATAGATGACATTTTAAATTTAAGATAAGCATCAATATATTATAATGTTAATTTTGATTTATTAAGACAGAGTTTATTATGTTTCACTTAAGAAATTGTATAATTTATTTCATCTGGAGGAGGTGGGTTGGTTGGTTGGTTTTAAAGTGTCTGTTCATCATCTAGGACATTTACTAGCCAGAAAAAATACAATTTACCAATACTTAGTGGATAACTGTGGTATGAATGTATATAAATGAAGAAATAATCTAAAATTGATGGATTCTGATTATAGGCAATCAGGATATTGCCTTTGTGCAAATGGGCTTTTTTTCCCACTATTTTATGGTTTGTGAATAAGGGGCATAATTCTTTTTCTTTTGACTTACACAGATGGCATAAAGCATGTTGGTAAAATCAAAATGAAAAGGAAAATGATTATCAGGGACTGCAAAAGATCCCCCCTACTCCCCCAGTTTCAGGAATTAATTTCTAAACATCATTTCCAGAATTACTCAACTCAGCTGGTCCCAGCTACCCACTCCCAAGAAATAACAGTACTCATGGCAAAACTCCCAGGAACAAGCCAAAAAGCTGCATCAGAACAGCAGATACAGCTTTTCTTGGGTGCCCTGCTTAGTAAAAATCTGCAGGCTTATATTCATGAATTCATTCCATTCTAGAATCTTAGATAAAGTTCATTTTCTTCTATTTTTGTGACTCTTGCCTTTCTTAATATTAAACCAAGTTTATAGATTTTTTTTTAATTGGCTTTTTTGTTTTGTTTGGTTAGTTGCTTTCTGGGAAGAGTTGGGTTGTTTTGTTTTCTGAAAATCTTGGTATTACAGATACTCTTCACTGGAAACCATACTTTTTTATTGTTTTGTTTTAGGAATGGTCAGAAAAGATGGATCAGCTTGAAAAGGTTAGTTCATCTTTATTTTTGTCTCATTTTTGTTGGTCTCGTCTCTGGGGTATGGAAAACGTTTTATCCGGTAACCAACATACTGATTGCTATACCACCTCTTGGAAGCAGGACAGTTTATGATTAGATACTGACTTGAAAAGCTCTGATCCTCCCCTTTTTTGGTGAATGTGCAGGATGTCTTTTGTTTGCCCCTCTTGATATACTCTGCACTCCTCCTCTCTTCCCTTTCTCTGTGTACCTGAACGCCGATAGAAACTGTATCAGCAGGGCTCAGAATGCCCTCTGGCATCCGGTTGGGTTCAGCCAGTGGGGAACCCTGAAAGAACCATGTGTGAAAGAAGATGTGGTCAGGATGTTTCTTCCCCCACCTTTCTCCATGTGGGCTCTCTTCAGCTTAGTTGCATCCCATGGCCAAAGTCACAGCTTCAGTTGGACCTTTGGTTTGCCTTCTTGACATAGTTTTTGTCTCTCTGGGTTTCCTATAACCTCTTCATCTTTTTGCCTCTTTATGGCCAACTGTTGCCAGCACATTATCTTTTGGGCTATCTTACCCATCCCACAGCTTTGATAAGCCCCTTTATTAAACCATCCTCAAAATGCCTGATTTGAGATGGCCGTCTCTTTCCTGCTGCGGTTCTGATTGACACGTGGTAATATTAGGAACACTTAAAGATGAAGCAGTGGGGAAGGAAGGCATTTCTCAAGGCTCAGCATTGAACATATATGAGAACCTCTTGGCTAGATGTAGATGAGGAAATTGATTATTCTAGTACCATTGCTTGCATAACACCGTACAGGTACCTTAAGTAATATATTCCTGGCTCCCACATATAAACGAGATGAAATTTCAAGTCTACAATTGGAAAAACATTTTAGTTTTAAAATAATCATTAGTGTCAACTATTTTTTTTCCATAAAACACCAAGTTAACTTTACTTTCTGTTCTATAGAAATCTGATTATCAAGCTGAGAGAATACATTAACTTTTTTTGAGACAAGGGGTTGTTCTGTTGCCCAGGCTGGGAGTGGCACAATCACAGCTCAGTGCAGCCTCAACCTCCTGGGCTCAAATGATTTTCCCACCTAGACTTCCTGAGTAGCCAGGACTGCAGGCTTGAGCCACAGTGCCCAGCTAATTTTTAAAAAAATTTTAATAGAGATGAGGTCTCACTGTGTTGCCCAGGCTGGTTTTGAACTCCTAGACCAAAGTGATCCTCCTGCCTGGCCTCCCAAAGTGCTAGGATTACAGTCGTGAGCCACTGTGCCTGGCAACAGTTTTATATAAGGAAAGAATTATAGAAAAGTCAAGTCCCAAGGAAACCTGTGCTTGAAAAAAAAAAAAAAAATCCTCAACCATATGCTATTAATGACAGTCTTCTTAAATATGGAGATATGGGTTGGGTTAAGGTTTTCTTGCTGTAAAAGAAACTCTTAAGATTATGGCAATTGAAATTCTCATTGAACTGTTTTTTTATCTTTTAAAATTTTGGTAAAGGGTATCCATATAGGACTGAACCAACTAAAAAACCTACTTAGGTTCACAAGGTTCACAAAGGGAATTTTCTCTTTGTTTTGTTTTTGTTCTTTTGAAGGAGAGGTTGGGGAAAATTTTTCTTTTTTTTTTTTGAGACGGAGTCTTGCTCTGTCGCCCAGGCTGGAGTACAGTGGCATGATCTTGGCTCACTGCAAGCTCTGCCTCCCGGGTTTACTCCATTCTCCTGCCTCAGCCTCCCAAGTAGCTGGGACTACAGGCACCCGCCACCACACCTGGCTAATTTTTTTATATTTTTAGTAGAGACAGGGTTTCACTGTGTTAGCCAGGATGGTCTCGATCTCCTGACCTCGTGATCTGTCTGCCTCGGCCTCCCAAAGTGCTGGGATTACAGGTGTGAGAGGTTGGGGAAATTTTCTAGAGTAGGAAATAGTAATGAGACACCTATATAGGTCTTCGAAGCTACTTTTCATCGTTAAAGTTTTTTTTTTTTTTTTCAGTCAAGAGTTAGAAACTGTAACAGAAGGGTTAGTCCTTAAGAGAGTCCTTTTTTCTTTTTTTCTTTTTTTTTTTTTTTGAGACAGGGTCTCACCACGATGCCCAGGCTGGAGTGTAGTGCAGTGGCACAGTCATAGCTCACTGCAGCCTCGACTTCTCAGGCTCAGGTGATTCTCCCACCTCAGCCTCCTGAGTAGCTGGGATTACAAGCACATGCCACCATGCCTGGCTAATTTTTTTGTATTTTTTATAGAGATGGGGTTTCACCATGTTGCGCAGGCTGGTCTCCAACTCCTGTGCTCAACCGATAGGCCCACCTTGGCCTCCCAAAGTGCTGGGATTAGAGGCAAGAGTCCACTGCTAGAAATGATCATTTAATAAATTGTAACCTGCTGACACCAGTCATGTCTAATTTTTTTTTCTTTTTTTTAGCTTGTTAACTGAAATCAGTTCTACTTTTAATCTACGTGCATTTAATTTTTTTCAGGCATTCAATCTTACTGGTTACTCATGTTTTTCAGCCAGTTCAGTGTGTCACTAAGAATAGACATGTAAAATAAGGCTGGGCACAGTGGCTTACGCCTGTAATCCCAGCACTTTGGGAAGCAGAGGTGGGTGGATCACCTGAAGTCAGGAGTTCGAGACCAGCCTGGCAAACATGGTGAAACCTCATCTCTGCTAAAAGTAGAAAAATTAGCCGGGCATGGTGGTGCATGCCTGTAGTCTCAGGTACTCAGGAAGCTGAGGCATGAAAATCACTTCAACCTGGGAGGCAGAGGATGCAGTAAGCTGAGATCTCACCACTGCAAACCAACCTGGGCAACAGAGTGAGACTCTGTGTCAAAAAACAAACAACAACGACGAAAGAGTAGACACATAAAATATATATCTGGACTTGCTAAACAGATGTAAGAACTTTAAAGTTCTACATAGGCCATGCACGATGGCTCATATCTATCAACACTTTGAGAGGCTGAGGCAGGAGAATGTCTTGAGGCCAGGAGTTCAAGATCAGCCTGGATAACAGAGCAAGATCCTGTCTCTACCAAAAAAAAAAAAAAGTTCTACGTAATTGTTGCTTTTATTCCCCTTTTTCACAATTATTTAAAACACATTTATTTTTAAATAAAGAATTAAATTCTCTAGTTAAAGGATTAATTCAATTAAAGAATTTGTAAATAATGCCATATTTCTGTAATGCTTTCCATTATCAATGCATCATTGTCCACTGGCATGAGATTTCCTGAAGATTTTTCCTTTATTAAGAATTCCACTTTCAGGCCGGGTGTGGTGGCTCATGTCTGTAATCTTAGCACTTTGGGAGGCCAAGGCGGGAGGATTGCATGAGCCCAGGAGTTCAAGGCCAGCCTGGGCAACTAGTGAGACTCTGTCTCTAAAGACAAAAATTTTAAAAAAGAAAAGATTTTCACTTTCGTAATACAGATTTCTAATGCTTTCGTTGCCTGAGTTGATGTCTTCTTCTTTCAAATAGGAGAAAAATATTCTGACAGCCCAGTTACAGGAAATGAAGAACCAGAGTATGAATCTTTTCCAAAGGAGAGATGAAATGGATGAATTAGAGGGGTTCCAGCAGCAGGAACTAAGTAAAATAAAGCACATGGTATGCATTTTTGTTTTAGTAGCTAAATACTGAATAGATGATTATTCACTCTGATTTTACTAGTCATCACTCTCTAATTGCTGATAAACATACACCAGTAATATGTGATATTAATCATATTTGATATTAATCATATTTGTATGTTTTTAAATTTATTAAAATAGAAAAGTTCTGTTTAAAATGTTCTTTTTCTGTTTTGTTTTGGGTTTTGTTTTGTTTTGTTTTGTTTTGTTTTTAACTACTGGGTATATAAATTCTCTTATAAGCCCACAAAAATGTTATAGAAATTTGGCTATTGGTCCACATTTTTTTTTTTAAATAGATGGAGTCTCACGGTGTTGCCCAGGCTGGAGTATAATGGCTACTCACAGGTGCGATCATAGCACACTGCAGCCTCAAATTCGTGGGCTCAAGCTGTCCTCCCACTTTAGCCTCCCAAGTAACTGGAACTGTAAGCATGTACTGTAGGTGTGTGCCACCATGCCTGACAAGCTTAGATTTTTTTTTTTCTTTCCTTTCTTTCTTTCTTTTTTTTTTTTTTTTTGAGATAGAGTCTCACTCTGTCACCCAAGCTGGAGTGCAGTGGCATGATCATGGCCCACTGCAGCCTCGACCTCCCAGACTCAAGGGATTCTTCCACCTAAGCCTCCCGAGTAGCTGGGACTACAGGCGCACTACCATGCCCGGCTAATTTTTGTATTTTTTGTAGAGGTGGTGTTTCGCCATGTTACCCAGGCTGCTCTCAAACTCCTGGGCTTAAACGATATGCATGCCTCAACCTCCCAAAATGGTGGGATTACAGGCGTGAGCCACCGTATCCAGCCGAGATTTAAGTGTATTTTTCTTTTTTACTTCTTTTTTTTTTTTGAGATGGAGCCTAGCTCTGTCACCCAGGCTGGAGTGCAGTGGCGCGATCTTGGCTAATTGCAACCTCCACCTCCCGGGTTCAAGTGATTCTCCCGCCTCAGCCTCCCGAGTAGCTGGGATTACAGGCACCCGCCACCACGCCCGGCTAATGTTTGTATTTTTAGTAGAGATAGGGTTTTGCCATGTCAGCAAGGCTGGTCTCAAACTCCTGACCTCAAGTGATCCACCTGCCTCAGCCTCCCAAAGTGTTGGGATTACAGGCGTGAGCCAGCATGCCTGATCTTAAGTGTATTTTTCTTAGCATAGCCCAATGAAACTTTGTATTTTTGTGTCAGCTTTTAAAAAAAGAAGAAAGTCTAGGGAAAATGGAACAAGAATTGGAGGCACGAACCAGAGAACTTAGTCGTACCCAGGAGGAGTTGATGAACTCCAATCAGATGTCATCAGACTTAAGCCAGAAGCTAGAAGAATTGCAGAGACACTACTCAACGCTGGAAGAGCAGAGGTTCTTGCTTGGTCTGTGGGGCCCTTGGGAAGAGGTGTTAGTGTAGTTCTGGCTATAGCCTGCCCACCTTTCCCCATTGTTCATTACACCACTTTCTGATTCCGGTGCTGGCAAAGGCTTCTGGACACATCCTTACCTGCCTAGGACTCAGGCCTCACCCTACCTCCAACCCATTTTCCCCTTCAGCTGCTGAAACTCAGGACAGTTCCACCCTGCTGAACAATTCAGTGTGGTTTTAGTTTGTAAAGTATTAATAGACTAAGGAAAGGCAGGTCAGGATTTCTTTCTTAAACTAGGGTGGACTTTTTCTCTTTGGGCTCCTGCTTCAGAGAGAGCCGAGGCTTTTTCCGTTGAAAACCTGCATGTGGCTAATGATGCTTGTAGCCCTGACACAGAAGAAACCATTTGTATTTTTCCTGCAGAAGACTGTATATTAGATGAGATATCCAAATTTGTTCATTGTCTGCTTTCTTTTGATGAAGAGATCATGTGATAGCTTCAAAAACAGGTGCAGAAAGTAAGATCACAGCCCTGGAACAAAAGGAACAAGAGCTCCAAGCACTCATTCAGCAGCTTTCCATTGATTTGCAAAAGGTAAGTAGAATATGAGGAGAAGACCTGGATTTCTAAGATTCATAAAAACTAATTCTTTCAGAAATTTCTGCCTGAGAGTAGCTACTGAACATACATTTCTCATGCAGTCCACATGGCTCCATTTCCTGTACTAGCCAGGCTGCACTCAGATGGAAATGGCCATACAGCTGAACAAGGGTTGCTTAGCAGAAGTAGTCAGTATTTTCCTGTCAGGAATTCTCAAAGTACACCATTTGGTCGACTCAAATATGTCTCTCTTTTTTTTTTTTTTTTCTTTTTTTTTGGGACAGAGTCTTGCTCTTGTCGCCCAGGTATTATAGGCGCCCGCCACCACACCCGGCTAATTTTTGTATTTTTAGTAGAGACAGGGTTTTACCATGTTGGCCAGGCTGGTCTCAAACTCCTGACCTCGTGATCCACCAACCTCGGCCTCCCAAAGTGCTGAGATTACAGGCGTGAGCCACCGTGCCTGGCCTGACTCAAATATGTCTTTAAGCACATAATGGACCTTGAGCATGAAAAATACAATAGTGGCTGACATGACCAGGGCTGTACCTTTGACATACTTGGCTCTAATCCAGTTTGTTTTATGGCACGTAATCAAATGATGTCATTACAATTTGTTTTTTCATTTCATTGACATACATTTGTTTCTACATTAGGGCTGTGCTACACTCTGAGAATATAAAGATGAATGATAATATTTTTGAATATAAAGTAGTGTTTCTCAGGCCCAGCACAGTGACTCAAGCCTGTAGTCCTAGCACTTTGGTAGGCCAAGGCAGGAGGATCACATGAGGTCCTCCTCTTGACCCCATCTCTACCAAAAAAAAAAAAAAAAATTAGCCAGTTGTGGTGGTGTGCACCTGTAGTTCCAGCTGTTTGGGAGGCTATGGTGGGAGAATCGCTTAAGCCCAGGAATTCAAGGCTGCAGTGGGCCATGACCATATCACAGCACTGTAGCCCAGGCAATAGAGCAAGACTATCTTTAAAAATAAAAATAAGGCTGGGTGTGGTGGCGTGCACCTGTAATTCCAGTACTTGGGAGGCTGAGGCAGGAGATTCGGTTAAACCTGGGAGGTGGAGGTTGCAAGTGAGCTGAGATTGTGCCACTGCGCTGCAGCCTGCCTGGGTGACAGAGAGAGACTCTGTCTTAAAAAAATAATAAAATAAATAAATAAATAAATAAATATAAATAAAATAAAGTAGTATTTCCCAATGACATAATTTATTATTGGCATTTTGAGCAGAACAACTCGTATTGTATGATTGTCCATTGCATTGCGCGACATTTAGCATTCCTGGCCTCTGGGTTCTGAATGCCAATAGCATCCTTCAGTCATTGACATCCAGCCCTTCCCCTCACATCACAGAACCACCCCCTATTCGGCAGTGCCATCCACCCTACCCTCATCTTTCAGAATTGCTGATCTCAAGTGAGACAGAGCCTTACAACATAATTACAGTACAGTAAGATTTTGTCAATAGAGGTCTTAGCTAAGTATTATCATACTTACAGATACCTAAGTGGAAACTAAGAGGTTATTGACCTTGTTCACAGTTATAACCGTAAGTGACAGAGTTGGATTCTAACCCAAGTCTTACTCCAGAACTCATGCTTATTCTACTGCACTTTGCTGCCTCACAATAAGGAGCACCCAGTAAATATATACGTGAATGAATGACTGTGATACAGGCTTTTTACCCTCAATGAACTAAAAATCTCAATACAGACATTGTTTTCCTTCAGAGGCTTACAGTTTCATTATAGAACTCAAACCTACTGTAATCACAAGAAAAGAAATGCTCAAACAAGAAGTCTCAAGTAAGTGAACTAGGTTTTTCTTTTTTCTTTTCTTTTTTTTCTTTTTTTTGAGACACGGTCTTGCTCTTTCACCCAGGCTGGAGTGCAGTGACGTCAACGGCTCACTGCAGCCTCAGCCTCCCAGGCTGAAGTGATCCTTCCACCTCAGCCTCCCAAATAGCTGGGACTACAGACACATGCCACTACAACAGGCTAATTTTTTTTTATTATTATTATCTGTAGAGATGGGGTTTCGCTATGTTGCCCAGGCTGGTCTCGAACTCCTGGGCTCAAGCAATCCACCCGCCTCAGCCTCCCAAAGTGCTGGGATTACAGAGGTGAACCACCACACTCAGCCCTAGATTTTTCAAATACAAAAGATATACCATAGGGGAAGTACATTCCAGCCCAGGAGTCAAGGAAATCTTCCTAGAGGAACTGGAATGTCAAGGATCAGGAGGACAGCAGGAGGCAGAAAAGGCAGAAGGTCAGAGAGTACATTTGGGGTCATGGAAGAAGGGGGAAAATAGATACACAACTTTGGTTTTTGTATTATTTTGTTTTTTTCTGAGACAGGGTCTCACTTTGTCACCTAGGCTGGAGTGCAATGGCGTGATCTTGGCTCACTGCAACCTCCACCTCCTAGGCTCAAGCAATCCTCCCACCTCAGCCTCCTGAATAGCAGGGACTACAGGCACCAACCGGGCTAATTTTTGTATTTTTAGTAGAGACAGGATTTCACCATGTTGGCCAGGCTGGTCTTGAACTCCTGGCATCAAGTGATCTGCCCACCTCGGCCCTCAAAGTGCTGGGATTACAGGCACCTGGCCACAACTTTGATAGTCAAGGGACCCTTTGATGTCAATTAGAACCATCTGTTGTTTTTATAATTGGAAAAATGGGGCTCAGGGAAGTCCAGACTTTGGTCACAGTAAGTTTCTTCATTCATTCTAAAAATATTAGTTGAGCTTTACTATGTGCTGGGCTCTGTGCTGGGTGTTCATAATATTATGGTGAGCAAAATAGATACAGTTCTTGCCTTTGTGGTGCTTATAGTCTAGAAGGGAAGTCAGACATTAATCAGTAATCACATATATAATTACTAACCGTGATGAGTGTTCTGAAAGAAAACTACGAGATTTAGTGAGATCCTATTAAAAGATATCAGATCAGGGCTGGGCTTGGTGGCTTACGCCTGCAGTCCCAGCACTTTGGGAGGCCGAGGCAGGTGGATCACCTGAGGTTGGGAGTTCGAGACCAGCTTGACCAACATGGAGAAACCCTGTCTCTACTAAAAATACAAAATTAGCTGGGCATGGTGGCACACACCTGTAATCCCAGCTACTTGGGAGGCTGAGGCAGGAGAATCGCTTGAACCCAGGAGGTGGAGGTTGCAGTGAGCCGAGATTGCACCATTGCACTCCAGCCTGGGCAAAAAGAGCGAAACTCCGTCTCAAAAAAAAAATATATATATATATCAGATCAGATCCAGTTGGAGCCGTAGAACACTTAAGGAAGTAACACTCGATACAGTGCTCAGGCTGGAGAGAAAGGGATGATGGGAGAGAATTTCAAGCAGGGAACAGCATGAACAAAAACTCTGAGGCAAATAAAAGGATTAGCACATTCAAGGAACTAGAAGAAAGCCAGTGACATACAGAATAAGAGAGAATAACAGATTACTCTGGCCGTTAGGAGACTGAGAGGGTCTTCCACTTAGGAAGCTTTTGCAGTTGTTCGACCGTAAGATGATGGAGGCTTTGACAAGTGTGGTGGTGAAGATAATAATGGGTAGACAAATGTAAGAACTATTGAAGAGATTGACAGACTTACTAATGTAATAGATATGGGAGGACAGGAAGAGAAAAGTCTGTATTTTTATGGGTGATTTATGGGCTTCTGGCTTGGGCAAAAGAAGGGCTGGTATTGTGTGAAGATTGTAAATTTGGAATTTGTTTTTTTCTTGTCTTTATTGAGTATATATAAAAACATATTTATAAAATATGAGTATGATAGAAAGTATAATAAGGCAATGAGCCCTCTGAGCTATCCCTCAGGTTAAGAAAAAGAACAATGTGTTTATCTTTGAGGTTCCCTCTGTGCCCTTCACTATTCCATCCCATTCCTTTTTCCTTTGGAAGTAAGTACTATTTGGAGATTGCTTCATTGTCTACTTTGCTTTCTAATGTTGTCAGTTTTATCCCTAAACTATCTTCTTTAGTTTCCCATGCTTGTTAATGTTATATAAATCATTCTGTAGGTATTTTTCTAAACTTACTTTTTGTGCTCAACATTGCACTCCTGAAAAACATTCATATGATACCTGGAGCTATAATTTATTTTTTCTCAATTATATAGTAATATAGTAGGGACATACCAAAATTTTAATTTTTGTCGATGGTGGGTTTTTTTTTTGTTTTCGTTTTTTTTTTTTTTTTTTTTTTTTTGTGTGTCAGGGTCTCACTCTGTCACCCAGGCTGGAGTGCAATGGTGCAATCATGGCTCACTGCAGCCTCAAATTCCTGGGTGTAAGTGATCCTCCTACTTCAGCCTCCCATATATCTGGGACTACAGGCTTACACTACCACACCTGGCTAATTAAAAAAAAATTTTTTTATAGTTAAGGTCTCACTATGTTGCCCAGGCTAGTTTTGAATTCCAGGACACAAGCAATCCTCCTGCCTCAGCCTCCCAAAGTCCTGGGATTACAGGCATGAGCCACTTTGCCTGGCTTGTGAAGATTTTTAATTACTGAATAGATTTCCTTAATGGTAATTCTAAGTTTATGTATTTCTTCCTAAGTTTTGTTAATTTATATTTTTCTACATAATTGTTCATTTGCTATAAGTTTAATGTTTTGGCATTGTATTTCTTATATTCTTTTTTTAGTTGCTCCCCTATCTTCATTCATAGTAGTATTTATGCATTTTCTATTTTTTTCTAGTTTATTCTTACCAGATGTCTGTCAGTTTGGAAACAAAATTTTACTTTAATTCTTTTCATTTTGTTTTTATTTAACCCACAGTGTTCAGAATTACACATTTTTTACTCTACTGGATAGCAGTTCCTCAACTGTAGCCATTATCTTTCAACTTCCCAATTTATGTTCTTCCTAACCTGTATTGTACTTAACACAATATTTTCATGGAATTCACCTTACTTTTTTTTTTTTACTTAAATAAGTATATTTATGTATTTATTTATTTATTTATTTATTTATTTAGAGATACAGTCTTGCTCTGTTGCCCAGGCTGGAGTGCAGTGGTGTGATCTTGGCTCACTGCAGCCTCCACCTCCCAGGTTCAAGTGATTCTCCTGCCTCAGCATCCCGAGTAGCTGGGACTATAGGCACATGCCACCATGCCCAGCTAATTTTTGTATTTTTAGAAGAGACAGGGTTTCACCATATTGGTCAGGCTGGTCTTGAACTCCTGACCTCTTGATCTGCCTGCCTCGGACTCCCAAAGTGCTAGGATTACACACGTGAGCCACCACGCCCTGCCATTTATTTTATTTTATCTATCTATTTATTTATTTTTGAGACAGAGTTTTGCTCTTGATGCCCAGGCTGGAGTGCAGTGGCGCGATGTTGGCTCACTGCAACCTCAACCTTTTTTGTTTTCAATTTTTTTACTTTTGTAGAGAAAAGATCTCCCTGTGTTACCTGGGCTGGTTTTGATCTCCTGGCTTTAAGCAAGCCTCCTGCCTCGGCCTCTCACAGTGCTGGGATTACAAACATAAGCCACTGGTCTCAGCACCATAAATACATTTATAATGAAGGAAAAAAAGGCATGTTGGGAGAACCAAAAGGATAGACAAGTGGTTAACGCTTAGAAAGGAAGTGGAAACGGTGCTAGATGAGGCTGGGAAGGTATGCAGGGCCAGTTGTATAGACTAAATAGTGAACATGAAATTTCATAAATAATCATTAGTGAATATTTAACAAGAATAGCTGAGCATTTACCCTGAGCTCAGTATTCAAGAGCTTTACAGATAGGGACTCATCGAGTCCTCACAACTACCCTTTGGTTAGACAGTGTTTTCCTATTTTACAGGTGATAGTAATGGGCATCTGACATCAAAGGCTAAATGATTTGTCAAGACCGTACAGCTGGAGTCAATGACAGAGCCAGGATTCAGACTCATGTCTGTCTGAATCAAGTGACCACCACCCAGAATTGATGCAGTCCATATTCTGGGACTATAACTGTGAGACCCAGACTCGGGAGGGAGTAGGTGAAGAGGGTGATCATTAGGAAAGGGGCAGGTTTGATGTCAGGGAGTATGGCTTGGTAACTGTTCCCGTAGTCCACATGAGGTGTAGAGGGCCTGAAGTAAATCAGCCAGCCTGGAGAAGGAGATCGCATATCAATATGTTGCACAAGAGGCATAAGTGGAACTTGGCCACTGATTCTTTTTCTGTCCCTAACTTTGCCTAACACAGTGACCTGTGTAAGATGTGTTGTTTTGGTTTTAACTGGAATGGGTCATCTATACCTCTTGAATTCAGATTGATGTGTAGGGGAACAAATGCAGACTTTGGATCCAGAAGACCTGGATTTAAATTCTTCATCTATCGCTAATAGGTATATGCCTTTGGGCTAGTCCCTAAGCTTCAGTTTCCTTGTAAATGGATGTGATAAAGAGCATTTGTAAGGACTAGACATAATAGGAAGTGCTTGCAGCGTTCCCTTGACCCTATATGTCTGTCTTTACGCTATTACCACACTGTCTTGGTCATTGTCACTTTAGAGTTGAAATCAGGTAATGTTCTCCAACTCTTACATCAACAGTTACTCTTTTTCTTTCCTTTTTTTTTTTCTTTGAGACGGAGTGTCGCTCCTCGCTCAGGCTGGAGTGCAGTGGCGCGATCTTGGCTCACTGCAAGCTCCGCCTCCCAGGTTCACGCCGTTCTCCCGCCTCAGCCTCCTGAGTAGCTGGGACTACAGGCGCCTGCCACCACGTCCGGCTAATTTTGTTTTTGTATTTTTAGTAGAGATGGGGTTTCACCGTGTTAGCCAGGATGGTCTCGATCTCCTGACCTCGTGATCTGCCCACCTCAGCTTCCCAAAGTGCTGGGATTACAGGCGTGAGCCACCACGCCCAGCCTACAGTTATTCTTTTTCAAGATTGCTGCAGCAATCTTGTTATAGCTGCTTCTGCTATATTACAGTTATAACTATTGCTAGTATTAACATTAGTAATAAGAGACCCATAAAGATGGGTCAACATGGCCAAAACTGGCTTTTTTTTTCCTATCACACTCACTCACTTTCCTGTGTTATCCACCTTGCATAATGTTACCATTTGCCCAGGTGTCTGAGCCACAGACCTGAGAGTTGTGTTCAGCTGTTCTTTCCTCCTCACCCAGCCTCTAGCCTTGCAGGACTTGTCTGTTACCTCTTTGTATGTGCTGCCCTTTATGCAGAATGATTGTTCCTCTTCCACCCTCTTTCACCTGGACTTGCCCATTCAGGAGGCCTGATCTGATTCTCCCAGTTAATCCCTCTTGCATCTCATATCTCATAGCACGGTGTGTGTCCCTCTGTTGAAGCACAGTTGTTTTGTAATTAGGTGTGTGTCTGTCTCCACCACCAGCCTCCATGCTGGAATTAATGTTGATTGTATCCTCAGAAAACAACAGATAGAGTTCAGGCTTGATGAAAGTTTATTGAATTGTGGGGTCATAAATCTAGTCTTCAGACTTCCCCTCCACTATCTCTGTTGTCCACCTGTGAGAATTCAGAATGGCAAATACTTCTTCCCAAAACCATACACCCTGGTTGCTGCATCTTATCCTGAGGAGAGATCGGCCAAGTTACAACTGAACATGAAAGTTTATGGCTTGAAATGGAGCAACGGAAGTGTAAGATAAGGGAATTTGAGGGAACAGAGTACATGTAAAGAGGTACAAGTCTTCACAGTGAGATTTTGTTGCCCTACAACCTTTTCTGGGGAAGAATGGGCATCCTCAGTGGGGATGTAAGAACTCATGTATTCAAAGCTTCCTGGATCCTCTGCTTTGACATTGAGCAGTGATATGGTTAGGCTCCGTGTCTCATCTCAAATTGTAATGCCCACATGTCAAGGGAGGGACCTGGTGGGAGGTGATCGGATCATGGAGGCAGATTTCTCCTTTGCTGTTCTTGTGATAGTGAGTGAGTTCTCATGAGAGCTGATGGTTTTACAGTATGGCACTTCCCCCCTCGCTCGCTTGCTCTATCCTGCCACCGTGTAAGATGTACCTTGCTTCCCCTTCTCCTTCTGCCATGCTTGTAAGTTTCCTGAGGCCTCCCAGCCATGTGGAACTGTGAGTCAATTAAATCTCTTTCCTTTATAAATTACTCAGTCTCAGGTATTCTTTATAGCAGTGTGAGAATGGACTAATACAAGCAGCAGTTGAAGATTAGTAGCAGTAAAAGGAACCAAGTTAGTCCCAACCTGTTGCTACCACCACTACCATCATAGCTAAAGAGATAGACTGGCCAGGCACAGTGGCTTACGCCTGTAATCCTAGCACTTTGGGAGGCCGAGGCTAGTGGATCATGAGGACAGGAGATTGAGACCATCCTGGCCAATATGGTGAAACCCCGTCTCTACTAAAAATACAAAAAATTAGCCGGGTGTGGTGGTGGGCGCCTGTAGTCCCAGCTACTCGGGAGGCTGAGGCAGGAGAATGGCGTAAACCCAGGAGGTGGATGTTGCAGTGAGCCGAGATCGCGCCACTGTACTCCAGCCAAGGCAACAGAGCGACACTCCGTCTCAAAAAACCAAAAATAATAGATTGAAATAAAACGGGCAGCTGTTGGTCTAAAGCCAAGGTATGAGAAGCATGGCAGCTCTGCTGTGGTCCCTGTCCTGTGAGCCAGGTGAATCTCATCATTTCAGAAGTTCTCTCTTTAGCCTTAAAGCCACTACATCAGCACTGTTACTGCTTTATCCAGCCCCTCAGCTTTCAGGAGCATTGTTCCATAGGTCATTGCAGGCTGAGTGCTTCTTGGTGGGATTAGTTCTGCTGCCTCTACCACGTAGGTAATGCCTTTGTTCCAGACTGTCAGTTGTTTAATTGGGAAGAGTGTTTGCTTCTTGCTGCACTAGGTCTGAGCTGGATCCCTGAGTTTTGCCAGGTTCTAATCTTGCATTTTCTGTATCCCATTTTCAGGAAGATCTCTTAGCTGTTTGTTCTTCTAGGATACAGTTGAGGACAGAGTTGCAGGAAAATGTGATGGCCCAAAAGAAAGCAGGAAGGAAGGAAGAGAGGGCTTCTAGTATAGAGTGATCTCTGCTTTCACCTGCAGGTCACTGCTGAAACTCAAGAGAAAGAAGACGTTATCACACATTTGCAAGAGAAGGTTGCATCCTTGGAGAAGAGACTAGAACAGAACTTATCAGGAGAAGAACACTTGCAAGAACTCCTGAAAGAGGTAACTTCTGTTCTCTTTGGGCTGGCTGGTGTTGGAAAGGCAGGGTTGATTCTGGTGACTTCACAATTCCTAGAGTTTCAGAGCTGTAGGGCCAGCAAACAGCATGGTAACAAAAGAAGTGTCTCCAACTTTGGCTTGTCCTGCTTACATCAGAAAGAGCCTTATGTCCCCTGTGGGTGACATGCTTTTCTCAGGGAAAGGGAGAGCTGTATTCAGAGATACATACAAACGGATAGCATCTCATCACCAATAAACCACACCTAGTGATTTCCGCCACTTGGGCTGCCTTGTCTTTCTGCACTGCCCTCTTCCCCACCATTTTGTACTCTGCAGTGGCCAAGGTAAATAGCTACATCTGCCCCTTGGCAAAAGCAAGAATTACCTTGGGCAGCATTCTCTCCTTCCCAAGGGAGGCTGTTGTGCAGACTGGCCTCTTCCCCAGTGGTGCAAGGGAACTTTCTCATCAGGCTGAGCTCATTGTCTGCACACATTCTGCTCTTCCCTCTCTTTCTGTTCCAGTGATTGGCCACACTGTGACAAAGGTGACAAAGCCCAGGTCATGAGGCTCCTAGATTAGACCCTCCCTTTCTTTCTTCAGTCAGTTTCAACTAAATACCTCCATCTCCAGTGCCACTGGTTGTACTTCAGGGTTTCCAGCAAATCTAGCCTAGTCTATGTTAGAAGTCTCCAGATTGGCCTACCCAGCATCAGTCTCTCTTCCTTCACTCTCTGACACAGTCTCCCACGCTCACTGCCAAACTGATCCTCCTAATCAGCACTGGTGACCATATCACTCTCTTAAACATCTTCTACAATTCCCTTCAACAGTCTACAGGAAGTGTAATGTGGGTTCTAGGGAATAAATTGATTTCTAGAATCAGAATGTCCATGCTTGCATTTTGCCTCTTCTGCTTACCAGCTTTGACTTGGAGCAGCAGTTCCCAACCGTTTTGGCACCAGGGACTGGTTTCGTGGAAGACAGTTTTTCCACAGATGGGGTCAGGTTGGGTCGGGTGAGGGGGTGGTTTCAGAATAAAACTGTTCCACCTCAGATCATCATCGTCCCTAGATTCTCATAAGGAGTGTGCAACCTGGATCCCTCACTTGCACAGTTCACAATAGGGTTCATGCTCCTATGAAAATCTAACACCACCACTGATGTGACTGGAGGCAGATCTTAGGTGGTAGTGCTTACTCACCACTCACCTCCTGCTGTGCGGCCTGGTTCCTAACAGACTGCAAGGTCTGTGGCCCAAGGGTTGGGGACCCCTGACTTAGAGCAAGTAATTTAATCTCTTTGTGTTTGCTTCCTCCCCAATAAAATTGGTTTTATTATACTATTAAACTCAGAATTGTTGTTAGGGTTAAATAAGTTACAATATGTGAAGTGCTTAGAATGATAACCGGAACAGAGTAGGGTCTCAATGTATGTCAGCTGTAAACATGATCAATATTATTATTGTGCCATCATCATTATTATAATGTTTAATGTGCATAGAAATTACTTGGGAAGTTTGTTTAAAGTATATATCTCTAGGCCAGGCGTGGTGGCTCACGCCTGTAATCCCAGCACTTTGGGTAGCCGAGGCGGGCAGATCACCTGAGGTCAGGAGTTCAAGACCAGCCTGGCCAACATGGCAAAACCCCGCCTCTATTAAAAATACAAAAATTAGGCCAGGCGCGGTGGCTCACACCTATAATCCCAGCACTTTGGGAGGCCGAGGCGGGCGGATCACAAGATCAGGAGATCGAGACCATCCTGGCCAACATGGTGAAAGCCCGTCTCTACTAAAAATACAAAAATTAGCTGGGCGTGGTGGCACATGCCTGTAGTCCCAAGCTACTCCGGAGGCTGAGGGAGGAGAATTGCTTGAACCTGGGAGGTTGCAGTGAGCTGAGATCATGCCACTGCACTCCTGCCTGGTGACAGAGCGAGACTCTGTCTCAAAAAAATAAATAAATAAATAAATTAGCTGGGCATGGTGGCGGGTGCCTGTAATTCCAGCTACTCAGGAGGCTGAAGCAAGAGAATCACTTGAACCCAGGAGGCGGAGGTTGCAGTGAGCCAAGATCGCACCACTACTTTCCAGCCTGAGCGACAAGAGTGAAATTCCATCTCAAAAATAATAAATAAGTAAATAAAGTATATATCTCTGGCCCTACCCTCAGAAATTCTGATTTCCTTAGGCTTGGAGCAAGGCCTCAAATCTGTGCAACTAGCTGAGATTAACAACTATCTCAGTAACAGCTATCTCAGCTAAGTCTACATTTCTTTTTTTTTTTTTTTTTTTTGAGACGGAGTCTCACTCTGTTGCCCAGGCTAGAGTGCAGTGGCGTGATCTCGGCTCACTGCAACCTCTGCTTCCCGGGGTTCAAGTGATTTTCCTGCCTCAGCATCCCGAGTAGCTGGGACTACAGGTGCACACCACCACATCCAGCTAATTTTTTTGTATTTTTAGTAGAGACAGGGCTTCACCATGTTGGTCAGGCTGGTCTCGAACTTCTGACCTCGTGATCTGTCCACGTCGGCTTCCCAAAGTGCTGGGATTACAGGCGTGAACCACCGCTCCCAGCCCCATTTTTTTTTTTAAGACAGAGTCTCACTCTGTCACCCAGGCTGGAGTTCAGTGGTACAATCTCTGCTCACTGCAACTCCGCTTCCTGGGTTCAAGTAATTCTCCTGCCTCAACCTCCCAAGTAGCTGGGATTACAGGTACCCACCACCACATCCAGCTAATTTTTAAAATATTTTTAGTAGAGATGGGATTTCACCACGTTAGCCAGGCTGGTCTCGAACTCCTGACCTAAAGTGATCTGCCTGCCTCAGCCTCCCAAAGTTCTGGGATTACAGGTGTGAGCCACCACACCCGGCCTAGAATTTCTACTTTGAAAAATGTTGCTTACAGAATCAAGTTCTAACTCCTTTTTGCAACATTCAAAAGCTTCTCATGAGCTGGCCCTTTTGCCTATCTTTCTAGTCTTGTTTTTTGACCTAAACCCATCATCATTTTGGCTTCTGAGGAGTAGTAGTTCCCTCAACGTAGCAGGCTGTTCACATAGCCGTTGGTCATCCCCCTGCCTGGGAGGCTCCCTGAACCCTAACGACTTTGTGAGTTCTAAAGCTGCCTACCTGCCCTGTGGCAGGGAGTATCTCCCACCCTGTGCTTCTTCCTCTTTGTGGACACTTACTGTACTCTATTGTGTAATTTTTTATTAGTCTTTTGTTCCAGCCTCAAGGTCAAGGGACTATTTCAAATTTATCTGTGTGTACTTTATGATATGTGAATTATTTCTCAATTAGCTGAATTATTAAAAATGTATTCATGTCTCTTGTGCCTAGCACAAGTCACAATATGTTGTAGATAATCTGTAAATATTTATTCAACTGAGGAATGATAGTCTTCTTTTACTCTTCTTTCAACTTACAGAAAACACTTGCTGAGCAGAATTTGGAGGATACCAGACAACAGCTCTTGGCAGCCAGAAGCAGCCAGGCTAAGGCCATTAACACCCTGGAGACTCGGGTACTGACCTTACTCCTGGTGTTTCCTAAGTTTGGGTGGTAACCTGGCTGAATGGCAACATGGTGTGACTGAGAATCTTCTTGGTCAGAGTTTTTTCACTAGAAGGGATTATTTTTGGATCTTACCTATACAGGGATGAGTTAGTCATTTTCTTCATCCTTGTCACATTACTATGATTGAGTTATATGTTTATTTATACCCTTTTATCCCCATTGGCCTCCCTCCCATAGGATACCATTCCGTTGTGGTTCATATAGATGCTCTTTTTGTTGGGTTGTTTTAAAATATGTAGCACTGGGTTTTTAATTTCTGTAAATGATGCAGCTATGGGTATGTTTTCTCTATTACTTTTAGCTGCCTCAACTTCTGTCTGTACCCACTTCATTGTACTTTGTAGTTATCTATGTGGTAGACATCCAGATTGCTTCCTTCTTCCTGCCACCTCAGATCATGCATAAAACCTAAAGAGACTAAGTACTATAGGAGAAGATTGTTCCCAGCAAGCCTGCACCTGGCTCTCCTCCTCCAGCATGCATGAGCGTTCCTATATATGCCTTTCTGACTTTTCCAGCATTGGCATTTCCAAGCCTTTACAATTTTTGCCAGTTTACTGAGTGTGGAGTGGTATTTCATTGCTTTAATTTGCATTGCTATGGTGATTAATGAGTTTGGCCTTGTCTTCATGTGCCTGTTAATTCCTGGGGGTTTCTGCTTTTGGAATTGCCCATTCATATCCTTTCCTTATTTTCTTTGGGGGTTTCAGTCTTTTCTTATTTGGTTTGTAGGATTTCATTGTATATTCTTGTTCCTAATGCTTTATCAGTTTCAGTCCTGAGTCATTCTGTTAACTTTGTCCATGTATCCTTTGTTGAATAGACTTTCTTAAGTTCAGTGTTACCAGATTCATCACATTTTTGCTGTGGAGTTTGAAGTTCCATTTAGAAAATCTATTCCTGTTCCTAAGTCACAGAGATCTACTGTTTTTTCCCTATTAACTTTATAATTTTTCCTTCACATAATAAATCTCTAATTCACTTACAAACTGTCTTTCTGTATGGTCTTAGGTAGGGATCTAAATATGGAGAAATTCTGCATATTTCTCAAAATCATTTACTAAACAGTCTGTCCTTTCTGAATTGATTCCTCTTGCTAACTTTATCACGTATTGTTTCTGTCTGCACATGGGTTTGTCTCTGCATTCTCTGTCCATTGGTCTGATTGTCTGCTCTTGTGTAAACACTACAATGTTTTTATTACTATAGTGATATCTGTACTATATCTCAACACCCAATAAGACAAATTCTCTTTTTTTTTCAAAGGTTGACTTTAACTATTTATGGGCCTTTAAAATTTTTAAGTTTTTGAGTTACTAAAAAATTCAACTTGAATTTTTATTGGGATTGCATTAAATGTATAGGCTAATTGGGAAAAATTGTCCATTTTATAATATTAATTATTCCTTCTAACAATGTAAATATATTCCATTTATTCAGATTATTTTCTGTGTGTTTTATTAAAATTTTACATTTTTCTCAATAGATGTCTTATTTTCTTGCCTAAGTTGCTAATTCCTAGAAACTTTAGAGTTTGTGTTGATACTGTGATGGTATCTTTTTTTTCTTTTGAGACAGAGTTTTGCTCTTGTCACCCAGGCTGGAGTGCAATGGCACAATCTCGGCTCACTGCAACCTCCACCTCTCGGGTTCAAGCGATTCTCCTGCTTCAGCCTGCCGAGTAGCTGGGATTACAGGTGTCCAGCATCACGCCCAGCTAATTTTTTTATATTTTTAGTAGAGACAGGGTTTCATCATGTTGGCCAGGCTGGTCTCAAACTCCTGACCTCAGATGATCCGCCTGCCTTGGCCTCCCAAAGTGCTGGGTTTATAGGCGTGAGCCACCGCGCCCGGCCTGTGATGGTATCTTATTTTTAATCTTTCTTTTTTTTTGAGATAGAGTCTCACTCTGTCGCCCAGGCTGGAGTGCAGTGGCACTATCTTGGCTCACTGCAGCCTCTGCCTCCTGGGTTCCAGCGATTCTCCTGCCTCAGCCTCCCAAGTAGCTGGGATTACAGGCACGTGCCACCACGCTAAGCTAATTTTTATGTATTTAGTAGAGACAGGGTTTCACCATGTTGAGGCTGGTCTCAAACTCCTGACCTTAGGTGATCCGCCTGCCTTGGCCTCCCAAAGTGCTAGGATTATAGGCATGACCCACTGCGCCAGGCCCTTATTTATTTATTTATTTATTTATTTATTTATTTTTTGGAGACACAGTCTCACTCTATCCCCCAGGCTAGAGTGCAATAGTGCCATCTCGGCTCCCTGCAACCTCCGCCTCCCAGGTTGAAGCAATTCTTCTGCGTCAGCCTTCTGAGTAGCTGGAATTACAGGCACGTGCCACCACGCCCGACTAATTTTTGTATTTTTAGCAGAGACGGGGTTTTGTCATGTTGGCCAGGCTGGTCTCGAACTCCTGACCTCAGCCTCGGCCTCCCAAAGTGCTGGAATTACAGGCACGAGCCACCACACCCGAACTTTATTTTTAATCATATTTATAATTGGTTATTTCTGGTTATTCTAGAGAACTGCCATTTTTTAAAGTTGATCTTGGATATCACACCCCTGCTGAACTTTCTTACTCTACTACTGTGTGATTTTTTTGTTGTTTTTCTTAGGTAGATAATCATATTATCTATGAAAAAATGACAACTTTATCTTACTCCTTCCAATCTTCCCACCTCTTATTCCATTTTCTGTTCATATAGCATTAAAGACCTCCAGACTGAGTGAAGCAATAAAAGGGTTAGTGGGAATCTTTGTTTTGTTCCCAGTCTTAAAGGAAATATGCCTAAAGTTTCATTATTTGGTGTAACATTTGCAGGTTTTTGGTATGTATGTATTTATTTATTTATTTATTTGAGGCAGAGTCTCACTCTCATCCAGGCTGGAGTGCAGTGGCATGATCTCGGCTCACTGCAACCTCCGCTTCCCAGGTTCAAACAATTCTCCTGCCTCACCCACCCAAGTAGCTGGGTTAAAAGATGCCTGCCTCCACGCCTGGCTAATTTTTATATTTTTAGTAGAGACGGGGTTTCACTATGTTGGCCAGGCTGGTCTCAAACTCCTGACCTCAAGTGATCCACCCATCTCAGCCTCCCAAAGTACTGGGAATACAGCACCATATATTTATTTATTTATTTATTTTTATTTTATTTTATTATTATTATTTTTTGAGATGGACTCCCGCTGTATCACCCAAGCTGTAGTGTAGTGTCCTGATCTCAGCCTACCACAACCTCCGCCTCCCAGGCACAAGCGATTCTCCTGCCTCAACCTCCCAAAGAGCTGGAATTATGGGTGTGTACCACCACACCCGGCTCATTTTTTTTTTTGTATTTTTTTAATTTATTTTATTTTATTTATTTTTTTTTTTTGAGACAGAGTCTGGCTCTGTAGCCTGGGTTGGCGTCCAGTGGTGCAATCTTGGCTCACTGCTCTCTCTGCCTCCTGTGTCCTGGTTCAAGCAGTTCTCCTGCCTCAGCCTCCCAAGTAGCTGGGATTACAGGCATGTGACCATGCCCAGCTAATTTTTGTATTTTTGGTAGAGACAAGGTTTCACCATGTTGGCCAGGCTGGTCTTGAACTCCTGACCTCGTGATCCACCTGCCTCAGCATCCCAAAGTGGTAGGATTACAGGCGTGAGCCACTGCGCCCAGCCTTTTTGTATTTTTAGTGGAGACGGGGTTTCACCATGTTGGCCAGGCTGGTCTCAAACTCCTGACCTCAAGTGATCTGCCCACCTCAGCTTCCCAAAGTGCTGGGATTACAGATGTGAGTAACTGTGCTGGCCAATTTGTTTAATTTCTTGAATTGAATATTTATCTCATTTTTAAAATCTTTCTTATTTCCTGATAAATACATTTTAAACTATATTTTTCTGAAAAGACTGTTTTATTATAATTTCAATTCTGTTTCTGAATATCCTTTTTGATCAGTGTACATTGTCGTACAACCATCACCACCATCCATCTCCAAAACTTTTTCATCTTCCCAAACAGAAACTCTATACTTATTAAACAGTAACTCCCCAATTCCTCCTACCCCAGTCTGGGAACCACCATTCTATTTTCTGTCTCTTTGAGTTTGGACACTCTAGATACCTCCTGTTGGTGGAATCATACAATGTTTGTCCTTTTGTGTCTGGCTTATTTGACTTAGTATATACATCTTCAGTGTTCATCTATGTTGTAGCATATGTCAGACTTTCATTCCTTTTTTTTTTTTAACAGAATTTTTTTTTTTTTTAGAATTTTTTTGAGATGGAGTCTTGCTCCGTCATCAGGCTGGAGTGCAGTGGCACGATCTCGGCTCACTGCAACCTCCGCTTCCTAGGTTCAAGCAATTCCCCTACCTCAGCCTCCCGAGTAGCTGGGACTACAGGCGCGCGCCTACAGGCACGCTCCACCACGCCTGGCTAATTTTTTGCATTTTAGTAGAGATGGGGTTTCACCATGTTGACCAAGATGGTCTCAATCTCCTGACCTTGTGACCCGCCCACCTCGGCCTCCCAAAGTGCTGGGATTACAGGTATGAGCCACTGTGCCTGGCCTATTCCTTTTTAAGACTGAATAATATTCCATTATATGTATAGACCACATTTTGTTTCTCCATTCATTCATTGATGAACACTTGAATTCCATTTGTCTTTTTTTTTTTTTTTTTTTTTGGTCTTTTTCTCCCCTTTTTGTGGAGAACAGGGTCTCCCTATGTTGCCCAGGCAGGTCTCCAATTCCTGGGCTCAAGCTATACCTTTGTTTCCCTAAGTGCTTGGCTTGCAGGCACGAGCCCCCGTTCTGTAAGCCCAGTACTTAGGGAGGCAAAGGCATAGCTTTTTTTTTTTTAGACAAAATCTCGCTCTGTTGCCCAGGCTGGAGTGCAGTGGTGCGATCTTGGCTCACTGCAACCCCCACCCCGCAGGTTTAAGCAGTTTTTGTGCCTAAGCCTTCTGAGTAGCTGGGACTACACATATAGACCACCACGCCTTGTATTTTTAGCAGAGATAGGGTTTTGCCATGTTGGCCAGGCTGGTCTCGAACTCCTGGCCTCAAGTGATCCACCCGTCTTGGCCTTCCAAAATGCTGGGATTACAGGCATAAGCCACCGCACCCAACCCACACCCAGCTTTTGATGGACATTTGCGTTGTTTCTATCTTTTGGCTGTTGTGAATAATGCTACCATGAACGTTCCTGTACAAGGTTTTTGTGTGGACTTAGTGTTTTCATTTCTCTTCAGTGTATACCTAGGAATAAAATTGCAGGGTGATATGGTAACTTTTTCTTTAATCTCTTGAAGATCTGAATCTATCTTGAACTTGGCTTCTAAATTGAGACTTAGGTATTTTCTGATCTCAGGAGTGTAAAACAACGTCTTAGTTTTGGCGCTACCACCAATAAAATTTGCAGTCATGAGCTAGTAACAATCCTGTTCTTCTCCGTGGACTAGTAGCCCCTTTCTCATGGGATTGTTTCGGTTAAATCTAAGATGTGAATGTATGTGAGGAGCCTAGGCCTTAAAAACGTCCTCTCCTTGGCTGGACACGGTGGCTCATGCCTGTAATCCCAGCACTTTGGGAGGCTGAGGCGGGCGGATCACAAGGTCAGGAGATCGAGACCATCCTGGCTAACACGGTGAAACCCTGTCTCTACTAAAAATACAAAAAATTAGCTGGGCATGGTGGCAGGCGCCTGTAGTCCCAGCTACTCAGGAGGCTGAGGCAGGAAAATGGCGTGAACCCAGGAGGCGGCGGAGCTTTCAGTGAGCCGAGATCGCGCCACTGCACTCAAGCCTGGGCGACAGAGCAAGACTGTCTCAAAAAGAAAAAAAATCCTCTCCTTGTGTGTCTACCTCTCCTTCACCAAGCTGCATACAGCCTTCCTTGTGCTTATGTTTAATAATAAAGCTCCCCAGCTGGGCGCGGTGAATCACACCTGTAATCCCAGCACTTTGGGAGGCCAAGGCAGGCGGATCATGAGGTCAGGAGATCGAGACCATCCTGGCTAACACAGTGAAACCCCGTCTCTACTAAAAAATAGAAAAAATTAGCTGGGTATGGTGGCAGTTGCCTGTAGTCCCAGCTACTCAGGAGGCTGAGGCAGGAGAATGGCGTGAACCCGGGAGGTGGAGCTTGCAGTGAGCCGAGATCATGCCACTGCACTCCAGCCTGGGCGACAGAGCGAGACTCCATCTCAAAAATAATAATAATAATAATAAAGCTCCCCAAGGCCAGACCTTATTCAGTAAATAAGAAGGCTTTCTAAGAGAAATTCATAGATGTAGCTTGAATCTGGTAAAACTGCCATCTTGGAGAGCCAAGTGCAACTCAGTACTAGACAGTGAGTCCCTGAGGGCCAGTCTACATCTGTCCCACTCACGGCACTGGCCTCGTGCCCAGGTGCAGTTCCTGGTATGGAGTCAGTCTTGCTCAGTATTTGTGGAATGAGTAAATCCTGAATTTGTATTGTGAACAGTAATTCCACTTCAAGGAATCTGTCCTAAGGAAGTGATTCAAACCAGTTAAAAAAATACTGTGTGTCCTGGCCAACATGGTGAAACCCCGTCTCTATTAAAAATACAAAAATTAGCAACCAGGTGCGGTGGCTCATGCCTGTAATTGCAGCACTTTGGGAGGCCGAGGTGGGCGGATCACGAGGTCAGCAGATCGAGACCATCCTGGCTAACATGGTGAAACCCTGTCTGTACTAAAAATACAAAACATTAGCTGGGTGTGGTGGCATGTGCCTGTAGTCCCTAGCTACTCAGGAGGCTGAGGTAGGAGAATCACTTGAACCCAGGAGGTGGAGGTTACAGTGAGCCAAGATTGCACTACTGCACGCCAGCCTGGGCAACAGAGTGAGACTCCATCTCAAAAAAAAAAAAAAAATAGCTGGGCGTGGTGGCGTGCGCTTGTAGTCCTAGCTACCCAGGAGGCTGAGGCAGGAGAATCGCTTGAACCCAGCAGGCGGAGGTTGCAGTGAGCTGAGATCACGCCACTGCACTCCAGCCTGATGACAGAGTGACACTCCATCTCAAAAAAAAAAAAAAAAATAGGCCGGGCATGGTGGCTCACGCCTGTAGCCCCAGCACTTTGGGAGGCTAAGGCAGGTGGATCACGAGGTCAGGAGATCAAGACCATCCTGGCTAGCACAGTGAAACCCTGTCTGTACTAAAAATACAAAAAATTAGCTGGGCATGGTAGCGGGCACCTGTAGTCCCAGCTACTCAGAAGGCTGAGGGAGGAGAATGACGTGAACCCAGGAGGCGGAGCTTGCAGTGAGTGGAGATCATGCCACTGCACTCCAGCCTGGGCGACAGAGCAAGACTCCATCTCAAAAAAAAAAAAAAAAAAATACTGTGTGAAGATGTTAATTGCTGCATTCTTTTAGATGGGAAAAACAGAAAGCCTAAGTAGGCAGCACAGTAGGCAAATGGGTCAGTAAATTACAAAACACTCTAGAGGAAATAATAATCTGAGGTCTAAAGATTACATGGAGACAGAAGGACATTTAAGAGTAGGGAAAAGATACAAAGTTTTACATTGTCCTATTAAAACTTTATATAAAGCTATAAACAAAAGTCATTAAAAGAGAGTTTAAGAAAATACGTTAGAATGCTAGTGTTTTATAATGGTAGACTTATGCAGTATCTTTTTTCTCAGGTTACATTTTTCTATAATGTACCTGTTTTATTTAAATCGCTTTGCATTTTAAAGCCATTTGTTACCACTCTTCAGCTTCTTGTGAACAGAAAGAATGCTTCTGCTTCCCTCTCAGGTGAGAGAACTGGAGCAGACCTTGCAGGCCTCTGAGGAGCAGCTCCAACAGAGCAAGGGCATTGTGGCTGCCCAGGAAACTCAGATACAGGAGCTCGTAAGTGCTTATTGGAGCTGCTGCATTCCAGGCCCTTAATGCTTTCTCTCCAGGCCTTTGCAGATGCTCCAAACTCATTCCGAACTTCGGCAACGGTACCTGGACCTGCCCATAGATACAGTTCTTGTGCTGGATGTGAGCAGGCCAGCAGCAGGGGGTGGAGGGAGTCAGGACCTAATGGTGGGCCTGAGTTACCTGGGAGGTGCACCAGCAGCTCCTTTCCACCTTACATCCCACCTTCTGGTCCAGCCTGGTCCTGGGGCTGTCAGAGGTGGCAGCTCCGCTAGGAGTCAAGCCTCAACTTGCAATCAGGGGCGGGGAGAACAAGTCCAGACTCTGGGGAGGATGGCCTGTGATGACAGGCCAAGCGTGGTGTGGAGTTAGAAGATAGGGAAATCAAACCAGCCAGCGTGTATTTCATATTCGCCATGTCCCAGGCACTGTGCTCAGTGCTATGCACGTGTTTTCGTTTAGTCCTTGCAGGAGACCTGAGAATTATGCACTGTCATCCTCATCCTGTAGACGAGGCAAGCTCAGAAAGATTGGCTCAGTAGCCCACAGGCTCGCAGCCAGTAAATGGCAGAATCCACATCTTTCTCCTGTCAAAGCCCTGTTCTTCATTGCTGTATTATACTGCCTCCCCAGTATAATTTCTCCCCAGGGAAAGCCGCAGCCACTGAGGCAACACTGAGTAGTGTGAAGGAGGCCTGTGTCTAAGGGCTGGCTGGTGCCCAGAGCTGTCCCCACACACCTTGAGGATGGAGTGATGACATCAAGACTCCATCTTCTGGACAGGCCAGGGTCCAGGAGCAACAGGCAGAGCCTGCAGGGGGGACCTCAGCAACGCCAGGGGGGATGGGGTCAGGAGAGAGTTGTTTCTGTTGGATACTCATCTTCTCACCTAGGGCCAGACTAAGATCCCCCACTGGAAACCATTGTCACCCTGACTGACCGTCCTTTGGTCTCCCCGCAGGCTGCCGCCAACCAGGAGAGCAGCCATGTGCAGCAGCAGGCCCTTGCTCTGGAGCAGCAGTTCTTGGAGCGCACCCAGGCGCTAGAAGCCCAGATAGTGGCCCTGGAGAGAACGCGGGCAGCTGACCAGACCACCGCAGAGCAAGGGATGGTGAGTGAAGAGCTAAGAGAGGGTGGGCCCAGGAGCACCAGGGTCCCCCACAGCGAAGTCAGCCTCGTGCTTGACAGTGTGTCACCACCTCTGCACTAGGAAACCACTTTAGAAGGCAGCTTTTTTTTTGTTTGAGACAGGGTCTCACTCTGTCACCCAGGCTGGAGCACAGTGGCATGATTACAACTGACTGCAGCCTCGACCTCTCAGACTCAAGTGATCCTGCCACCTCAGCCTCCCAAGTAGCTGGGACTACAGGCGTGCACCACCACAGCCAGCTAATTTTTAAATTTTTTGGAGAGACAAGGTCTCACTGTGTTGCCCAGGCTGGTCTTGAACGCCTAGGCTCAAGGGATCTGCCCACCTCAGCCTCCCAAAGTGCTGGAATTATAGGCATGAGCCACCGCACCCAGCCGAGAGCAGTTCTTATCTTTCCAGAGACACCTGCTCATGAGACTGGATGTATAAAGGCTGCTTTTTATAAAACAAAACAGATGGGTTTTCTTTTTCCTTGGAGTTTCCACAGAGACTTCCTACTTTCTGACCAGTCCCCTCTGCTTCTTCCCATTGGCTTTTAAAATGTATATTGTTCCTCCCTATGCCTTCTTCCTGGTCCATGCTCCCTGTGCCCAGGGAAATATGGTAGTGAAGACTTCTTTTATATGTGTTCTTCTGAATTGGCAGAGACAACTGGAGCAAGAAAATGCAGCCCTTAAAGAATGCAGGAATGAATATGAACGTTCTTTACAAAATCACCAATTTGAACTAAAGAAGCTGAAGGTATTTATCTAATTGAATCAAAGTTTCATAAAAGTGTTCATGTTTTCTACATGTGTATTTACAGTGCCCCACTTCTCATACTTACAGTACAGGAGGAGGAGAATTAGCATTTGTTCAATAGTTCTGTTAGGCATCGGCCAGAAATTGCCACTTCATTAAGTTCTCTCAGGGATCCAGGACAGTAGGAAGAATTACATTCATTTGGCAGTTAATGTCATTGAGGTTCCGAGGGTAAACCGTTTGTGCAAGTTGCATAGTTGGTTAGAGGTGATGCTGGTCTGACTTCACCCTACCACAGAGGCCAGCCCTTCCTCTGTGGAATCAACAGCTGCTTGAAAGTCATGCTGTCAAAACACTGCTCTTGCTGATATTTCCAGGGAGACCTTAAAGCAAGGCCTTAAAAGATGATAAGGACCTTTGTTTTGCTTGTTTATATCAGGGACCATGTACAGAAATGAAGAAACAATCTGCTGGATTGTTAAACTTTCTCTTCTGCAAACTTGGAGCTTTAATCAGAGGATGCCTCTTTCATTCCCTAAACATAACTGGATAAAAAGGAGGAAAGATTCTGTCACTTTCTTATATGCCCCCAGACTCCCGTGGCCCCTTTCAAAGCACCTTGGATAATGGGACATTGTAGTACTTGCCCAGCTTGGTCATGACTCAAAGATCTTATTGATCCCTTGGCAGCAGTCTTCTCTGAGAGTGTCCATAGATGAATGCCTGCACCTAGTAAGCTTCCAGTAATCAGATCTGATGAGTGACATAGGTACTAATGTAGTAGCATTGCATCATGAGAAGCATGGACTTTGGAGTCAGATTTTTTTTTCATGCATTCCTTCAATAAACATTTGAGTCCTGTAAGTGCCAGGCATCACTGTAAGTGCTAGGATGTATTAAATAGCAATGAGCCAGTGCGGTGGCTCACGCCTCTAATCCTAGCACTTTGAGAGGCCAGGGTGGGTGGATCACCTGAGGTCAGAAGTTCGAGACCAGCCTGGCCAACATGGTAAAACCCCATCTCTACTAAAAATTCAACAATTAGCCTGGTGTGGTGGTGTGCGCCTATAATCCCAACTGGGAGGCTGAGGCAGGAGATTTACTTGAACCCGGGAGGTGGAGGCTGCAGTGAGCCAAGATCATGCCACTGCACTCCAGCCTGGGTGACAGAGTGAGACTCCGTCCCAAAAAGTAAATAAATAAAATAAAATAAATAGCAGTGGAAAAAATAGGTAAAGTTCCTTTCTTGTGGAGTTTGTAACTAGAGATGGTAACCAAGTTACAAATTAACAATAAATGCTATGAAGAAAATAGAGCAGGGCAAGGACAGCCAATGGGGAGGTGGGAGAGGAGAGGTCTCTTTTCCATATGGAGTTAGGGAAGGCTTTGATGCTGGCAGAAGGGCCTACAATGTGAATATTTGAGGAGAAATATTCTAGACTGAAGAAATAACAAATACAAAGGCTCTGAGGCAGGAAAAAACCTAGTCTGTTCAAAGAATAGCACAGAGGCCAGTGTGGCTGCAGCTAGTGGCCAGGGGAGAGCATGGCTGGTGGTGAGGCGGGACACAGGCATTAAAAAGAATCATGGGAAGCCCTGGCAGGTCTTTTTTTTTTTGAGACAGGGTCTTGCTCTGTTGCCCAGGCTGGAGTGCAGTGGTGTGATCACAGCTCACTGCAGCCTCAACTTCCCAGGCTCAAGCAATCCTCCCACCTCAGCCTCATGAATAACTAGGACTACAGGTGTGCAAAATTTATTAATTTTTCTTTTGTAGAGACAGGGTCTTGCTATGTTAACTAGGCTGATTTTAAACTCCTGTGCTCAAGCGATCCACTGGCCTTGGCCTCCCAAAGTGCTGGGATTACAGGAATGAGCCACTGCTCCTAACCAGCTATGGCAGGTCTTAAGCAGATAAGTGATGTGAGAAGTTTTGTTTTAAAAGGATTTCTCTGGCTGCCTGTGAAGAATGTTTGGTAAGGGAGGCATGAGCAGAAGCAAGAAGACTGTTTAGGAGACTTTTTAGGAATCTAGGCCAGAAGTGACTAGCACATTAGTGGTGGACTTGGGAAGAAGTATTCAGATCAGGATTTATTTTAGAGATAGAGCTGTTTTGTTTGCTTTTTGTTTTTTGTATGTGAGACGGAGTCTCACTTTGTCGCCCAGGCTGGTGTGTAGTGGAACGATCTTGGCCTACTGTTACCTCAACCTCCTGGGTTCAAGCAGTTCTCATGCCCCACCTCCCAAGTAGCTGGGACTACAGGCACGTGCCACCATGCCTGGCTAATTTTTGTATTTTTGGTAGAGACAGGGTTTCACCATACTGGCCAGGCTGGTCTCGAACTCCTGACCTCAAGTGATCCACCTGCGTTGGCCTCCCAAAGTGCTGGGATTACAGGCGTGAGCCACCATGCCCTGCCTGAGATGGAGCTTTTAGGACTTAGGAATGAGAAAAAAATAGGAATTGTAGATGACACCTAGGTTTGGTTTGTATAACTCAGAGTTTCTCCACCTCAGCGCTATTGACGTTTGAGGCCGGATGGTTCTCTGTTGTAGAGGTTCTCTGTTGTGGATGGTTCTCTGTTGTGGATGGTTCTCTGTTATAGAGGGTCTCTGTTGTGGAGGGTCTCTGTTGTGGATGGTTCTCTGTTGTGGGTGGGTCTCTGTTGTGGGTGGGTCTCTGTTGTGGAGGGTTCTCTGTTGTGGAGGGTTCTCTGTTGTGGAGGGTTCTCTGTTGTGGAGGGTCTCTGTTGGGGATGGTTCTCTGTTGTGGAGGCTCTCTGTTGTGGAGGTTCTCTGTTGTGGAGGATCTCTGTTGTGGATGGTTCTGTGTTGTGGAGGGTTCTGTGTTGTGGAGGGTTCTCTGTTGTGGAGGGTCTCTGTTGTGGATGGTTCTCTGTCGTGGAGGCTCTCTGTCGTGGAGGCTCCCTGTCGTGGAGGCTCTCTGTCGTGGAGGGTCTCTGTCGTGGGTGGTTCTTTGTTGTGGAGGGTCTCTGTTGTGGATGGTTCTCTGTTGTGGAGGGTCTCTGTTGTGGAGGGTCTCTGTTGTGGAGGGTTCTCTGTTGTGGAGGGTCTCTGTTGTGGAGGGTTCTCTGTTGTGGAGGGTTGTCTGTTGTGGAGGGTTCTCTGTTGTGGAGCGTCTCTGTTGTGGAGAGTCTCTGTTGTGGAGGGTTCTCTGTTGTGGAGAGTCTGTTGTGGAGGGTTCTCTGTTGTGGAGAGTCTCTGTTGTGGATGGTTCTCTGTTGTGGAGGGTTCTCTGTTGTGGAGGGTTCTCTGTTGTGGATGGTTCTCTGTTATGGAGGGTTCTCTGTTGTGGAGGGTTCTCTCTTGTGGATGGTTCTCTGTTGTGGATGGTTCTCTGTTATGGAGGGTCTCTGTTGTGGAGGGTCTCTGTTGTGGAGAGTCTGTTGTGGATGGTTCTCTGTTGTGGAGAGTCTCTGTTGTGGAGGGTCTCTGTTGTGGGTGGTTCTTTGTTGTGGGTGGTTCTCTGTTGTGGATGGTTCTTTGTTGTGGGTGGTTCTCTGTTGTGAATGGTTCTTTGTTGTGGATGGGTCTCTGTTGTGGAGGGTTCTCTGTTGTGGATGGGTCTCTGTTGTGGATGGGTCTCTGTTGTGGAGGGTCTCTGTTGTGGATGGTTCTCTGTTTTGGATGGGTCTCTGTTGTGGAGGTTCTCTGTTGTGGAAGTTCTTTGTTGTATTTGCTGCAAATATGCATGATAAGATGCTTAGGAGCATCTACCCACTAGATGTCAGTAGCAGCCCCACTTAGGACAACCACAGTGTCTCCAGACATTGCCAAATGTCTTGTGGGGGCAAAAGCACTGCTGGCAGAGAACCACTGGGGTAACTGAATGAATAGGGTACGTACCATTCACTGAGATGGGGGTCCTGGGAGGTATGTCAAGAGTGGATTCCATTTTGGGCATGTTGAGCTTCAGAGGCCTACCCAACAGGCATATCTAGTAGTCTGTAGGCTGACAAGTCTGGAAAATTGGAGCAGATTCTGAGTAGACATATAAATTAGGAAGCCTGTGTGCCTATAGTTCCAGCTGCTTGGGAGCCCAGGAGGCGGAGCTTGCAGTGTGCAAGATCGTACCACTGCACTCCAGCCTGGATGACAGAGCAAGAACCTATTTCAAACACACACACACACACACACACACACACACACAAAACTTTAAATTAGGAAACCATCAATCAGCATAGCTCATAGGCAAAATTACAGCCAAATGGCTATCAATGAGTGCAGATAGAAAAGAGGCCAAAATGAAGGCCAGGGCCACACCCACAAGCACAGGCTCAGAACAAAAGGAGGGGCCGACAGAGAAGACGCCAAAGGAGCCGCAGGTAGGGTAGCAGTAAAAGCAGGTGCATGTGGGGCTCTGGAAGTACAGGGCAGAAAGCGCTACAAGAAGGATTGAGTAGTGAACTCTGTGATATGCTGCCAACTGGTCAAGAAAGGAGACAAAGAGCTGACCATTAGATTTGACGAGACTGAGTTTGTTGGCAACGCTGGGAAGAATAGTCACCGTAGAGTCGTAGGGAATATGGTTGACGAGAGCAGGTTAAAATGAGACTAGAGAGATGCTTCCACTTGCAGTAAAGGCAAACTAGGTAATTCAGACCAGCTCACCTGAGGACTCCCAGAAAAACTGGCCAAAATAAGAGAACATCTGCTTGTAGGAGCCTACAGGACTGAGGAATGGCCCATCCTGCCCAGGGACGGGAGTCCAGCATGCAAAGCAGCTTTTGCCGTGGTGGTATCTGCTGATCCTGAAGAGGCTGGAAGTTTATCTAAGTTTTTCATAGTTTCTCAGAGTTAGGGGAATAAAATTTGGAGTTTAAATTTTATTAAAGCTTGGATCCAGCCTGGGAGATCCTGAAAGCTTTGGTTAGGCACACCACAGGACTACACGCTAGGAGTAAGCTTGAACGGGAAGTAACCAGCACCCCATCTGCACCCCGCCCCCAGCTTTGATTGCACTAACTGAAGGACACGGGGTGGCCCAGGAAAAGCCCATTAGCTAATTTTGGATTAAAATGATCCCAGGTTATTAGTGCTCCTGGGTGACTAGAAAAAACAAAATCAAAGATAGGTAAACAAAAATACAAAACAACACAAAAGAAACAGACTCACAAGGGCTCAGATATCATATGCTTACTATGTTTAAGGAGATAAAAGACAAAATTTAAAATTTCAGCAAGATGTGGAATAGTTCTATTATTATAGTTATGATAAAAGACAGCAGTTTTAAAAAAGGAATCAAATAGAACTTTAGACCTGAAAAATAGAATAACTGAAATTAATACAATAAATTACAAAAGGACAGGAGGAAGCTTTCTGGGGGATGGGTATTTTTACTATTTTTATTAGGGTGATGGTTTCATCACAGTTCATCAAGGCATACACCTGTAGTCCCAGCTACTCAGGAGACTGGGGCAGGACGCTCTCTTGAGCCTAGAAGGTCGAGGCTGCAGTGAGCTATCATCACAAACTGGACTGCAGCCTGGGTGATAGAGCAAGAACCCATTTCCAAAAACATAAAAATTTAAATGTAAACATATAGAAAACTCTTATATGTTTACATTTAAGAAATACACTTTCTTTTTTTTTTTTTTTGAGATGGAATTTCTCTCCTGTTGCCCAGGCTGGAGTGCAATGGCGTGATCTCGGCTCACTGCAACCTCCGCCTCCTGGGTTCAAGCGATTCTCCTGCCTTAGCCTCCTGAGTAGCTGGGATCACAGGCATGCACCACCACACTAGGCTAATTTTGTGTTTTCAGTAGAGATGGGGTTTCTCCATGTTGGTCAGGCTGGTCTCGAACTCTCAACCTCAGGTGATCCGTCCACTTTTGCCTCCCAAAGTGCTGGGATTACAGGCGTGAGCCACCATGCCCAGCCTGAAATACACTTTCAAATAACCCATAGGTCAAAGAAAAAAATCACAATGGAAATTTTAAAATATTTTGAAATAAAGTTGGGCACAGTGGCTCACACAGTGAGCTGAGATTGTGCCATTGCACTCCAGCCTGGGTGACAAGAGCAAAACTCTGTCTCAAAAAAATAATTATAATATTTTGAAATAAATGATTTTGTAAATACTGTGGATCAAAATTGGTCAAGTATAACTAAAGCAGTGCATGGAAGGAAATTTCAGTCTCAGTGGCATCTCTTAGGAAGAAAGCCTGAAAATTGAGCCATGTATGCATCTCAAAAAGTCAGAAGAAGGCACAAATCAAACTCAAGGAAGAAATAACAAATATAAGCACAGAAATTAATGAAATAGAAAATAAAATGGGCCCGGCGTGGTGGCTCACCCCTGTAATCCCAGCACTTTGGGAGGCCAAAGCGGATGGATCACATGAGGTCAGGAATTCAAGACCAGCCTGACCAACATGGTGAAAGTCCATCTCTACTAAAAATACAAAAATTAGCTGGGCATAGTGGCACATGCCTGTAATCCCAGCTACCTGGGAGGCTGAGGCAGGAGAATTGTTTGAACCCGGGAGTCAGAGATTGCAGTGAGCTGAGATCGTGCCATTGCACTCCAGCCTGGGCAACAAAAATGAAACTGTCTCAGGAATGAAGTGAAGAAGGGAGGGAGGGAGGCTGGGCGCAGTGGCTCAAACCAGTAATCCCAGCATTTTGGGAGGCCAAGGCAGGTAGATCACCTAAGGTCAGGAGTTTGAGACCAGCCTGGCCAACATGGCGAAACCCGGTCTCTACTAAAAATACAAAAATTAGCTGGGTGTGGTGGCACATGCCTGTAGTCCCAGCTACTCGGGAGGGGGAGGCAGGAGAATCGTCTGAACCCAGGAGGCAGAGGTTGCAGTGAGCTGAGATTGCGCCATTGCACTCCAGCCTGGGAAACAAGAGAGAAGCTCCATCTCAAAAAAGAAAAAAAAAAACAAAAGAATGGGACCCTCTCATAGTAGCGAGGACTGCTGAAGCCTGAGGTGGATTATTTGAAGGTGAATAAAATCGCTAAGCTCTGGGTGAGACAGATCAAGGCCATATTTAGTTTAACAGTCTACTTGTTCCATCAGCTACTAAGAAGGGTGTGCTCAGTCTTCCACTACGATGGTAGATTTGTCTCTTTCTTCCTTTAGTTCTGTCTGTCTTTGCTTCATGTATTTTGAAGTGCTGCTATTAGGTGCACATACATTTAGAATTGTTTTTCTCCATCCACGCTCTTCAAAGCAGCTGTTCCCTAAGCCCATCCTGGAGAATCATCGCAGAGGCAGCCGTGCATGGGTGGCCTGGTGGCTTCTGCAAGCTGCAGGCCCTGCTTTGTGCCACAGTGAACCTGAGCAGGCACTGTCAACCCCACCTCCCACAGTGCTGGATCTTAGGTGGCTCTGAGGCGCTAGGGCAGACTTTGGAGCCACAGAGACTCAGTTCTGTCTTGTCAGCCTAGCCCCTCACTAGCTGATGCTTGAAGGAATCCATTTTCCTGCAGCCTTGACCTCCCGGACACAAGCAATCCTCTCGCCTCGGCCTCCTGAGTAGCTGGCACTACAGGCATGTGACACCATGCTCGGCTAATTTTTCTTATTGTTTATAGAGACAGATCCTCACTGTGTTACCCAGGATGGCCTTGAACTCCTGGGTTCAAGCGATCCTCCCACCTCAGCCTCCTGAAGTGCTGGGATTATTGGTGTGAGCCACCGTCCCTGGTCATTACTTCTTCTTCTTTCCATAACCAATTGTTCCAGTCCCCCACTCCATTCACGTGGCCTGCGAGTCTGACTTCTTGTTCTTGGCTACTGTCCTTAGACCAGCTCTTCAGGATAGGCCCCTAGCCTTGGTGTGGGTCCTGGCGGGGGTGCTCGTGGGGCAATCGATCCTCAGTGGTGTGCCATTTCCAGAGAAGTCGGTGGGTTGCCTGCCAGGATAGCTCTGAGAGGGATACTGAGGGCATGGCAGGGAGGGGCCAGGCTGGGAGCCTGGGAAGTGGGGAGCATGTTGGTCTGGCTCTGCAAAGCCATGCCCTGTCTGCTGGGCTTCTTGCGTGGCATACAGCTAAAAAACTGTGAACTAAGTTTTGGGGCTCAGTGGTTTTCTGCATTGTAGGAAGAATGGAGCCAAAGAGAAATTGTGAGCGTGGCCATGGCTCAAGCCCTGGAGGAGGTGCGGAAGCAAAGGGAAGAGTTCCAGCAACAGGTGGGCCCTGTTTCACGCTGAGGGGCGATGTCCCCCTGCAGTCCCACAGGCAGCAGGCCCATCCTGCCGTGAGACTGTTGGAGAGGGCCTGTCTCTCCAGGGTAGGGTAGTAGACTCAGGACTCAGGGAATGCAGTCAGCTGCGTGGGCCCCTGTGCTCTCTAGGAAGCTGGGAGACAAATGTTATAAAGAAACTCTTACCCCATAGGATGCCCTTTTCTGATTTTTCAACTATAATTACCTGGAAAGTGGTCCATGTCCACGGGCCTAGTGGGCTCTAATTCTGTGAGGTGACCTATCATTGCCCACCTGCCCCAGAGGCCACGTAAGGTTGGGTTGAGTTTTTGCAGGAAGTATGGGAAAGCCTCCCTTGAAGGTAGACTTTGCATCTGACCCCAGAGCTTCTAGTTAAGTGGCTTTAGGCCTTTGGTAAGTCCTTAACAAATCTGAGTCTCCTCTGATGAGGACTCTAGCCTTCTACTTACACCTCTGGGAAACTATTCTGTAATGAGGCAACATATATCAAATGCGTGTCTAGTGCTGGGGATGTTGCAGGCACTCAGGAAATGGAAGTTATGACAGCTTGTTGGGCTGGGCAGAATGGCCACGTCTCTGGTTGACCCACTGTTGGCCAGGGGGCAGTGGGAGGCGACTGCCCCTGTGCAGGGCCCCTACCAAGGAGAATAGATTTGTGCATGTTCATAGGAGCAGAGCTTAGCTGGGGGTTTGCTCTGGGTCGTGGACTTCAGGGAGGGATTCGTGGTGTACCCTGGAGAGCGGGGAAGTGGAGATTTCTGTGGGAAGATGGAGTCACTGCTCACAACCTTCCCTCTTGTTGATTTTTCTCTCCAAGGCAGCTAACCTGACAGCCATAATAGACGAGAAGGAACAGAATCTGCGGGAAAAAACCGAAGTGCTTCTCCAGAAAGAGCAGGAGATTCTCCAGCTGGAGCGAGGTGAGGAGTCGGTCCCTGGCTGAGCCTTCTCTCCTTTTCAGGCCCAGCATCCTGCCTTGTGACGGCCTTGCCACCAAGCAGCATGGAGTCACTGGGCTCACAGTGCCCCCTCCCCTCCTCCCCGACCTAGGTCACAACTCTGCCCTGCTGCAGATACACCAGCTGCAGGCCGAGCTGGAGGCCCTGAGGACCCTCAAGGCGGAGGAGGCTGCAGTGGTCGCGGAGCAGGAGGACCTGCTGAGGCTGCGGGGCCCATTGCAGGCCGAAGCACTCTCAGTCAATGAGTCGCACGTAAGTCCCAGCTGCACCTGCATGGGTGCTACAGCAAGATGCAGGGCAGGTGCCGAGAGTGCCCCTAAGGAGGCAGCAGTGGGGACACATGGTGGACACGACGCTCCCCTGCATGTAGGGTCCTTTCTTTGAAGTAGGGCACTTGGCCAGGCGCAGTGGCTCACGCCTGTAATCCCAGCACTTTGGGAGGCCGAGGCGGGTGGATCACGAGTTCAGGAGATCGAGACCATCCTGGCTAACACGGTGAAACCCAGTCTCTACTAAAAATACAAAAAATTAGCTAGGCGTGGTGGCGAGTGCCTGTAGTCCCAGCTACTCGGGAGGCTGAGGCAGGAGAATGATGTGAACCCGGGAGGCGGAGCTTGGTGGAGCCGAGATTGCGCCACTGCACTCCAGCCTGGGTGACAGAGCAAGACTCCGTCTCAATAAATAAATAAATAGATAAATAAATAAAGTAGGGCACTCATATGGCTAGGAGGCCATGAGTCCTGAAGAGCCCATCACAGATGGCACCCCTGTCGGTAGGCAGGGGAGAGCAAGCCCCTTCATCCCAGCAAAGACTAGTCGTGTGATTAGTTGTGGGCATTGGGCATTGGATCTTCTCCAGGAATTGCTTCCTGGCCAGTTGCCTGTTGGAGCACAACGCCCATACCTAAGGGACGAGTCTAGCTCCCCTTCCCTGTGTACCTGTGGCTCAGCTTCACCTGACCTGTCCTGGCTCTCAATTTGCTGCTGCCACCTTGTAGGTGACCTCGAGGGCCATGCAGGACCCTGTGTTCCAGCTTCCAACTGCAGGAAGAACACCAAATGGTGAGGTTGGGGCCATGGATCTCACACAGCTACAGAAGGAGAAACAGGACTTGGAGCAGCAACTTCTGGAGAAAAATAAGGTGAGGATGCCTTTTGCATGGCTGTTTCTGTCTCCACCAGGTCCTCACCCTCAGGCCTAAAATGACCCAGTCCATCCTTGGAGGTTTTTGTGGTTTCCCCCGCACCTCCTGGCAACCATGACCCCTCTCACCCAAAGGCCTTCCTCCTGATCTTCCGTTCCTCCTGCACTGTCCTCCTCCACACCCTCCCCAGCCCTCTTCTCCCCACCCCCTGGAGAACTGGACAAGTGTCAGGCTTGGGCAGCTGCAAGCCTGCATGTTCCCTGCCAGCTCTGCTGTCCCCAGCCAGGCCATAGCGACAGTCCTCTTTCGTCTATACTTCCTTTCTACAGCTGTGGAAGTAAAGCACTGATAGCTGCCTTTAAGGGTTTGTTTGGGTGGGAGGAGGGGGTTATGAAATGAAGGTATTTGTGAACCGTCCTATAAACTTTATAAACTCTCTGGTATTTGGTAGAGGCTCAATAAATGTCATGGTCCCCACCCTTCACCCTCCAGCCTTTCCACCTATATAAATGCAGGATCTCATTTAATCCTGGTTCTTAAAGTGTCCTGTGAAGCTTAGTGTGCCAGCCGGCTATTGCTCTGGCCTGACATTCTGCCCCCAAATTGTGTGTGTGTTTGTGTGTGTGAGTGCACGTGTGTGTGTGTGTTTAGATCTTTTACAAGGGGGAAAGTGTTCATTATGTCTAATATAAAATACAGAAGCTTTGCAGCAGTGGCAGTATCGTAGCCAATGAGGTCTATCCGAGGCGCGATTATTGCTAATTGAAAAAAAAAATACACACAGGAAAGTGTACAAAACAAATGTGTGTCTCAGTGAATTAACAGAAAGCAGACCCATGTAACCACCCCGATGCGAATCAGGATATTGCCAGCATCCCAGAAGCCCAGCCCCCTGAGCCCCTCCCAGCCCTGTCAGTCACTCCGATCCCAGCCCTTCTGGCAATGACTGCCTTGCTTTTTTCCCTAGTGTCACCTCAGCTCGCATTGCTCAACCCCACAGTTTCGTTTTGCCTGTTTGCAAATTTCCCGTTTGTCCCCTAGGACCTCCGTCCCTTGAGCCTCTGGCCTTACCAGCTGTGCTGCCTTCCTGCCTCCTTGTTCAGCGTCGGGTCTGTGTCTGTCACGGGATCACTGCCTTCCCGACACCTGCGGTCCTCTGGCCTCTCTCCCTTTCCTCAGACTGTCCTAGCCAAGCTCTGGTTAAACTTGGGCTAAACCCAACTCTTCCCTGCTCCCTGCCTGCAGCCATGGAGGCAGACCTGGCTGGAGAGTGCCATCACCTGGGCATTCAGGTCCCCTCGAAGCTCAGGACCATGGTCCTGCGGGCAGCCCAGTGTTCCCCGCAACCCCACCTCATCCGTGGGCCTTCACGCCCCTCTGCCCCTAACCCCAACTTCATGTCTACCTTCTCTCCTCTCTTCACCTCAACCCTGCCTCACCCACCCTGGTGCTCCCACCTCCTGCTTCTCTGAGAAGGGACGTGCCACAGCCTCTCCTCATATCCTGTTCCCCCACCTCCCCAAGCACTACGCCAGCCGCCTCCCCCTTCTTGCCTAGGTCGTTTTTTCTTGGAATCGTCCCATCTACTGAGAGGTGCGCCGTTGTGCAGGCACCTTATGAAAGCCCTCGGCTTGCACCCCTTTGCCCTGCTGCTGCGTCTCTGCTCACCTGCCGTGCTGACATGTTAAAACTTCCTATATCTGCCATCTCCATTCCCACTCCTCTTCTCTCTCAACCTTTCCTCCACCACTCCACAGAAAAACACTCTTGTCAAGCTCATCAGTAACATCTGCACTGCTAAATCCAGAAGGCAGTTCCTAATTTTCCCTCTGATTGGCCTGTTGGCAGCCTTGGACAGGCGTCTCTTCCTCCTCCTGAAGCTCCCATCCATGGCCTGCTCCTTCTCCGTCTCCTCTGACAGGCCAGTCTCCTTCCCACTGCCACCCGCCGTGCACAAGGGCAGCCCTCACAGCTCTTCTCTGCACTGTGCGCCCTCCTCTGCGATCTCAGCCATGCCCTGCGCAGCTGACTCCCCTCCCTACCTCCCGCCCAGACAGCTCCACGGACACTAGCCTCACAAACCTGTCTCCACATGAGCTCTAAGGTGTCTGAAACTCAAAACATCGGAAAACACACTTCGGCTTCACTGTGTTCCCTGGCTGCCATGCCACCTTTCCCATCTCAGTAGACGGCAAAAGCCTTGGAGTTGTCCTATCTGCCTTGGTTCTTTCTCTACCAGCATCCAGGCTGTTAGCAGATTCCTTCAGCACCCCCTTCACACATTTCCCAGAATCCACCACTTCACATCGCTGCCACCTGCTTCAGGTTACCATTGTCTCTTCTCTGGAAGATGGTATCAGACTTCTAACTGGTTTCCCTGGCACTCTTGTCTTAGCCCTCTGATGAAAGCCTGTCTCTGTTGATCTCTTATGAAAGCCTGAGTCCTTGCAGAGGCCCGCAAAGCCCTGTGTGGTGTGGCCCCTCATTACCCCTGCCAGCTGAGCCCCTCCTGTCCTCGTCACTCCCTCTCAGCCACAGGGGCCTCACTCCCATCAAGTACCCTCCAACCTCAGGGCCTTGGCACTTGCTGAGCCTTCCGTTTGGAAGTGCCTTTCCCTGGTCATCCTCACTTTCTTTATGCCACCCTGACCAGCCTCACCACCAGAACCCCACCCTCCCTCACCATGCTGCCTCTTCTCCATGCCTCTTCATACCCTCTGATACACTGCGGATTTGATTATTGATTTCTTTTTTTTTTTTTTTTTGAGACAGAGTCTCCCCCTGTCACCCAGACTGGAGTGCAATGGCGTGATCTTGGCTCACTGCGACCTCTGCCTCCTCGGTGCAAGCGATTCTGTTGCCTCAACCTCCCGAGTAGCTGTGATTACAGGTGCCCACGATCACGCCTGGCTAATTTTTTTTTTTTTGAGATGGAGTCTCTGTCGCCAGGCTGGAGTGCAGTGGCGCGATCTCAGCTCACTGCAACCTCCGCCTCCCGGGTTCAAACAATTCTCCTCCTGCCTCAGCCTCCCAAGTAGCTGGGACTACAGGCGCGCTACCACGCCCAGCTAATTTTTGTATTTTTAGTAGAGATGGGGTTTCACCATGTTGGCCAGGATGGTCTCGATCTCTTGACCTCGTGATCTGCCCGCCTCGGCCTCCCAAAGTGCTGGGATTACAGGCGTGAGCCACTGTGCCTGGCTTTTTTTGTATTTTTAGTAGAGACGGGGTTTTGCCATGTTGGCCAGGCTGGTCTGGAACACCTGACCTTGTGATCCGCCTGCCTTGGCTCCCAAAGTGCTGGGATTACAGGTGTGAGCCACCACACCTGGCCTGTTTATTGATTCTTTTCCCCTCGAGGGTGAACTTTTGACTTTTTTGTTGCCGTTTCTCCAGCCCCTAGAACAGTGCAGGGACTCAGTAACTATTAGATGAATTACTGAGTGAGGAAAATCCAGGAAACCAAAATAACGTAAGATAAAGTAGCCAATGTACTTTTGGGGCAGTGTCCAGCCTCATGGTCAGCCAAGAGAATAGAAATCAAAGCCACAAGGTGCCATTTTACAAAATTGGGTGTGTTGGAGGTCACTTAAGATGCCTCACAGTGGAGAAGTTAGAAACTGTGGTCTTCTGACTCAGTCATTCTATCCCCAAGAGAAACAATGGGGATTCCTCGCTTGGGGAAACAAAGCTTATCCCAGCTTTGTTTAAAGTGGAAGCCCAGCCACGCAGTAAGACAAGGGCATCCCCGGGAGTTCCTGTCACATTAGACATTACAATTAGGAAAGCTGGAGGAGGCAGTGATGACTCTGATACATGAAAAATGTATTTACAATTCCAGCCACGCTGTGCAAGAATGGGGATGTGGACTGGGGGTACATGGAAGAATGCATTTTGATATATTACCATTCAGAGACTTTGAATAAATTTTTATTTAAAACCGGGCGTGGTGGCTCATGCCTGTAATTTCATCACTTTGGGAGGCCAAGGCGGGCAGATCACCTGAGGCCAGGAGTTCGAGACCAGCCTGGCCAACATGGTGAAATCCTGTCTCTACTAAAATGACAAAAATTAGCTGGGCGTGGTGGCACACACCTGTAATCCCAGCTACTCAGGAGACTGAGGTGGGAGAATTGCTTGAACCCAGGAGGCAGAGGTTGCAGAGAGCCGAGATCGTGCCACTGCACTCCAGCCTCAGGGACAGGGTAAGACTCCGTCTCAAAAAAAAAAAAATTTTTTTTCCCTATATTATGAAGTTTTTAGTTGAGAAAATGTCTCAGCCTGTCTAGTGAATAATGGAATGTGTATGGAATGTGTAATAAATGTAAGGCTCATAATACTATTTAAACATCAAAGAAAATTAGCCAGGCGTGGTGGCGCACAGCTGTAGTCCCAGCTACTCGGGAGGTTGAAGTGGGAGAATTGCTTGAGCCCAGGAGTTCAAAGACTGAATCCAGCCTGGGCAACATAGTGAGATGCTGTCTCTTAAAGAAAACAAAAAAGGCCGGGTGCGGTGGCTCATGCCTGTAATCCCAGCACTTTGGGAGGCCAAGGTGGGTGGACCACCTGAGGTCAGGAGTTCGAGACCAGCCTGGCCAACATGGTGAAACCCTGTCTCTACTAAAAATACAAAAATTAGCCGGGCGTGGTGGTGGGAACCAGTAATCCCAGCTACTCAGGAGGCTGAGGCAGGAGAATCACTTGAACCCAGAAGGCAGAGGTTACAGTGAGCTGAGATTATGTCACCTGCAATCCAGCCTAGGCAACAGAGCAAGACTCTGTCTGAAAAAAATAAAATTAGCTGGGTGTGGTGGCACACAACTGTAATCCCAGCTACTTGGGAGGCTGAGACAGGAGAATCGTTTGAACCCAGGAGGCGGAGGTTGCAGTGAGCCGAGATTGCACCATTGCACTCCAACCTGGGCAACAAGAGTGAAACTCCATCTTAAAAAAAAAAGAAGGAGAAGAAGAAGAAAAAGACAAAAATGAGTCGGGCATGGTGGTGTGTGCCTGTAATAGCTCCCCTAGAGCCTGAGGCAGGAGAATCACTTGAACCCAGGAGGCGGAGGTTGCAGTGAGCTGAGATCGTGTCATTGCACTCCAGCCTGGGCAACAGAGTGAGACTCCATCTCAAAAAAAAAAAAATTATTTTCCAAATTATTTATCTAAAACTGGATGTTGATGAGTTGTGCAGAAAAACCATGATCTTTTTAGGGTGTTCAAAATAAGCATTGCAGATTATTCATGTATTTCAAGAGAGCAGTAGTGATGAGAACCGTAAGTCCTCGCCTAAGTATCCTACTTGGGGATCACAGCATAAAAATTGAATTTTGAGGGCAAAATCTATGGTCCAGAGCCTTTTCCAGCTGGGCTGTGTGTGGTGGACCAAGCCCCCGGGAAGGGATAGGCAGCGCTGGGGCACTCATGTCAACACAGAGGGACTGTGGCCCCTGTGGGACGTGGAGACTCAAGCGTGTGAAAGCAGTGGCCCAAGAGGGATGACAGCCCAACAGTCGTAGGCACAAGCATGCGACAGCTGAGCACCAGCCTCTCAGGATGACTTCTCAGGGCAGAGGCTCCTCACAGGTGTACAGGGGATCCCGTGGGATCTTCGGGTCTGTTTCCTTTGGTGAAACATGCATCTAACGATTGGCTTTCTGTGGGGTGGGGCTTGTCGCAGACCATAAAGCAGATGCAGCAGCGGATGCTGGAGCTCCGGAAGACTCTGCAGAAGGAGCTGGTGAGTACTCGCATGGGAGCTGGCCCCACTTCCCAGCACTCCCCCTGCTGCCTGTGCCCGGTCCTCCTGAGGTCCCTCGCCGCCTGACTATGCTCCCTCCACCCCCTAATTAATTGCAAGGGATCGCTGGGCAATCCAACGTTAGCTGGTGGGACAGCCTGCCAGCCTGCATGCACCTCTGAAGCAGCTCCGTGGCTACAGCCCTGTTCCTGCCTTCTCTGAGCCTGCATCCTCATCTGGAAGTGGGGTTGCCTGCCACGCCAGCGCAGTGATGCTCTAACAGTGTGTGTGTGTGGCAGAGTGCTTGGCCTGATGCGGGATGCGAGCAGCTTCAGGCCCCAGGGACATGTGTTCTTGCCATGGAAAACGGAATGTCTGAATTTACCCAAACGATGTCACTCCCTCCTCAAGCCTACCTGGAGGTGCTTCCTTCCCAGGTGGGGCCCTTTTTGCCCTACGATAGTGATCATAGTTTGGACCAGGTGAACCTCCCGTGTGATTTTTTCCACCTGTCTCAGAGGGTTCGGTGTAGCATCTTTCCCACTGGTTTTTCAGAAAATCAGACCCGATAATGAGCTCTTCGAAGTCCGGGAGAAACCTGGACCTGAGATGGCAAACATGGCGCCTTCCGTCACGAATAACACTGACCTGACAGATGCCCGCGAGATCAACTTTGAGTACCTTAAACATGTGGTTTTAAAATTCATGTCTTGTCGCGAATCCGAGGTAAAGGGCTTTTGAGGTGTCTTTTGGGTATTGAGGCCCCGCCCTACAGTCTGTCCTGCAGGGACCCCTGCCCAGCCCCTTTCTCTCTTTTCCTCGTACATCCTGGTTTGACGCCCTTGTGGTCACCCAGTCATTTCTCCTGCTGGCGTTGGCCTGCGGAGTGAGCGGCTGGCGGGAGAGGCCGTGCAGGAACTGGCTCCTGGTGGGAGACATAGGCTCCACTTCTAAATCCTGGCCTGGGTGCTGAGGCCAGAGGCCGGAAGCCGGGAACGGAATCCACCCATCGCTCCTGGGTCCTGCCAAAGGGTAGGGTAGCTGCTGGGGCAGTTCCCTTAAGCCTGCCAGGCCCCCGAGGATGCAGGGGAAGAAAGAACCTATCATTGCTGCCAAACTTCAGAGTGCCAGAGCGTCACCCACCACCTGGTCCTGCTAACCAAAGCAAGCAGGAAATGCCACGTAGCTCCCCCGACCCCACCCCGCCTCACCTTCACCAAGGCCTATGGCAGCAAAACTTACTGTGTTTCAGGCTTTTCATCTTATAAAAGCTGTGTCAGTGTTGCTGAACTTTTCCCAAGAGGAGGAGAACATGCTCAAGGAAACTCTGGAATATAAGGTAGGGTTCTCTGGTCTACTGTTCCAGCTTCCAAGATACGTTGTCAGTTATCCCAGCAGTAGCAGTGTAAGACCCCTTAGACCCACACCCGAGTGTAGGCACCAGCACAGCTGCATGATCAGCTTGGCTGCTTTTGGATGAACTTGATCCAAGCACTTTTTAGCGATGACATCCTTTGTGCCCAAATGTCTGTGCTGTACTTGACCAACAGGCCACGTATTTTTCAAAGCATTTTCATTGATAGCGCTTTATCGAGAGCCCCAGGTCTGGCTCGGCACTCAAATTCCAAAAGCGTCTGCATAAATGCTCTAATAGGAAAAAATACCTGCAGTTCCACTACCTTGTTCCTGTCAACTCAGTGTTTTTCTCTCATTTCCCTCCTGTACTGAGCACGGGCCTGCAGACTGGTTACTGGCACCATCTTCTTGCTCTGCTCAGAGCCAGAGGCAGGATGTGTGGGGGGCAGGAGTGACAGGCTCACGGGAGGGGAGGGGCGGTTCAGTTTCCCTGGCACCAAGTCCTGATTTGCATCTCAGAAGCCTTTTCTGTTTCAAATGCAGATGTCATGGTTTGGGTCCAAACCAGCTCCCAAGGGCAGCATCCGGCCGTCTATCTCAAACCCTCGGATACCATGGTCCTAGAGGGGACTACCCAAGGATGGAGCTCCGTGGGTTGACACTTTTTCTGTGAAAAGAACACTGACACACCAGTCTGGGTGGGTTTTTAATCACTGTAACTGCAGTATTTTGTACAAGTGTCTAAACATTGTTTACAAGACTAAGGCCCACTTCCCTGCAGGCTGACCTGAACCTCAGGGGGTAGCTGATCCTGTCATTCTGGTCACCAAACAGGAGGGTCCTGGCACTACCCAGATTTCCACAGTGCTGCTAATATCCCAGCTCCAGCCAGCACCCCATCTGCACCTGAATCCTCTAACTTCACGGTAGCACTTACAGCTGAAGCCATCAGCATCTGGCAGGCACACCTGAGTCACCATGTAGCGCTGCTACTGGAGGTAGAGACGGCCCTTTGAGATGGTGCCCAGCAGGCCAAACCCACCTGCCTCTGCCAGGAACAGCCAACTCCATGGGAACTCTATGGGAGTGGCTTTTAAAAATTCAGATGAGTTAGAAGCTTTTTATCCCTTCCTCTCAAGAAAATATTCTTTCACCCTGTCTCTCAAACCACCTAGAACTTTAGAGGATCCATCTTTAAGGGTCGGTGTGGATGAATGAGAAAATGCACCTTTCTGACAGTATCTCCACTTTACTTAAGAAAACTAGCAAATATATGAAAAGACCCTTAGTACCAAATACACTCAATTGCCTTTTTAATGAATGTACTTGTCTTGGATAGGTTGCTGGTAAACCATTTTAAACTATTTTTTATAGCTGAAGTTCTTCACTACTATAAACATGTCTTCTGTACTATAAAATCCATTTAACTGGTGTTCTTAAAATCAGAGCGTCCAGAGGAAATTCTTCCTAAAACTAGGATTCCTGTTCCTTTGTCTTCTCACTCGCACTCTGGCACTGCTCCCTCTGAAGTGCAGTGGGATCTCGTGTGCTTTGTCTTGATTCTGTGCTGCGCTGCCGCTGGGCGATGCAGACCACCTGTCTTCTACTGAAGGACAGTCCGCTGTCTCCAGTGGGGGCAGCAGCTGTCCCCCAGCCTCGATGGAGACACTGGGGCAGTCTGCCTTGTCTGTGGAGCTGCTCTCTCTCCCTCATCCCACCCCAAATACTTAAAATGACACTACACCCAGACGGCGCCCAGCTGGCTGCAGCACTTGTAGCATGCACATGACTCTGGTAGTAACCAACAAAAACTTGTTTTATGGATTCCTCGTTTACTGAGGAAAGGGAACATGCTGGTTCTGGAAAAGCCACAATATTGAATCTAAAAGGAAACCGTTTATTGTTTGATGAAAGTTTCACTGGTTAAATAAAAAACTAAATTAATAACTGGAGCCTCTAAATTTATTATCCATTATCCAGTGATGGAAAGTTGTATTTCTCAATCATGCTTAGGGCCAAAATAGGTATATAAAATGTGTCACAGAAAAACACGCATTTGCAACGTTAACCTAACGAAATTTCCATGAAGAACCAAGTCAGGGCAGCATCTCCTTAGTCCCAGCTCAGGCTCTCTGCCTTCCAGAGGCCGCTTCTCCAGTGACTAACCTCCTCCTCTGGCTCCTCCTTGCAGACAGTTATCCCTTGTTTAGAACACGAATTTCCATTTACCTGGTGGGAACACGAAACAGGAGTCTCTTCTGTTCTGCAAGTTTGATGGGTAAGAGGTAGCCTTTTTTCAAAGTAGGATTTCCTTTTTCAACTGTTCCAGGAAAGAATCTCTAAGACTGGGTAGCTCACAGCCAGCCAAAGGCAGCTACATTTCCACAGAAGCCCATCCGCTGCCTCCGTGGCTTCTCCAGCCATTGAACTGGTCCCACACGCACCCCAGGCCCCACTCCTCGGCAGTTTCAGGTGTAGCTGTGGGGCCCGTTCCTAGGTCTGTACTCACTTTAGGGAGGCTTCACTGACTAGGCTTTCCTCCTGCATGTTGAATTTCCTTCAGCTTTAAGAGGAAGAGTGGAATAAATATTCTAAGTGATTTAATGCACTTTGACTTGTATAAAACTTTCTGTGTTAGCGACGGTATCTATAGCCCTTTATACGAGCGATGGATCTTGAGCTCTCCTTCCATGTTGTAAATAGGGATTGTATTCTTGAAAACTGCTGTAGCAAATTCATCTGTGGTGCAATACACTTTTTGATTAAAGCTCTTCAATCCAGATGCAACTACAATGGATTTTACTAGTTTGGTGTGTCAGTATTTCTTTGACTCATTAAATCTGGTATTTTGTGTCTCATATTTAACACTCCAAGGCCAACCTCAAGGGCTAGAGAATGTTTGTCTTTCTTTCAGAAAGAACCTTCCCAGACTGGATTTGGGTGAATAAATATACGTAATTTAATGAAGCCAACAGCCCCATTCTACCCCCCCCAAGAATTGCAGTGGTTCTGAAGAGGGACTGAGGAGGGGAGAGCTGTGGAGGGGAGGACTGTGTCACTTTGGTCAAAGTCTGTATCCAAAGGCTGTATGACCCAGAGGAGCTTCTGGAGTGTGAATGGGGCCCTAACCTTTAACAGAATGCAAGCTGCAGTCACATGTGCTGAAAAGGAAAGAAAAGCATTTTTGCCCTTCAGAGAAGCTCTGTTATTGGTTATGGGGAACCAAATTATACCATCTATTTGCTGATTGATTGCTCCCCATTTCTGACGTTTAGTTCTTTAAAGAAAGCTTGTCCATGCAGCAGTGATTCTGCAGCACAGCCAACCCAGCATCAGGAGACGTGACCAGGCACATCTGAGGCCCCACCCTCAAAAGATTCCAAGTGCAATCCCACAAACTGAAGACTTTTAAAGCCTAGATCAATTATTAAATGTTTGGCACTTTATTAAATTAATTAAATAAGCTCCAAAATTAATTACATACAAATCAAAGGAATAAGAAACAATAAATAGTTTATTCAGCAAACACCTCTCTGCAGCAGCCGGCAGCTCTGAGGCCGAGGCTGGCGTCCTGTGGCAGAGGGCCTGTGGATTGCCATGCTCGCTCCCAGGGGTGGCTCAACAGGGACACAGGTCTACTCCTTCCACATCGGGTTTCCGGAACAACAACTGAACTCTCATTCATTACCATCCCATTCATTACCATTTTTTTTTACATACACGAAACACACCGCAATGTATAGACTAATAAGCCAAGAGCTTTATTGATGCAGCAGGCACTTTACAATGAGCCCAAGAGTGTCCACCTTCTCTGGGAAGACAGGATGTCTGTACAAACTCTTGGGTTTTTTTCCACTTCAAAAACACAAGCTCTCCCGTTTACCACAGCCCTTGGATCTGCACCTGCCCAAACCATCCCTCCCCCAGTGCACACAGGTGCATCTGACCAACACCAGCCGCCACGCTGGTAGACCGTCAAAATGTCAGTTCTGCAGTACTCGGAGACAAAGGCATAGACTATCAGATCCTAAACAGGATTTAGGAAACAGACGATTTTCCCCTCCACCTTGAAAATAAAATACATTTCAGCAGATACATGTCCTGAAATAGTTTACTTGGGAGTTCCTAGGAAGATGGTCCATTGTCAATCCCTTCTTCACCAGCCTGGGCATCCAGAATTCTTCTCAAGGTAACATGAGTCTTTTTATTTTTTTTAAACAGTCTTTCTTGCTGTAAGAACTCTTATAATGGAGCCTAGTCCTCCTACTGCTAAGGCCTGTGGGGGCAGGAAAAGAAAACGTGTCAGATGAGACCTGGCTGGCCAAGGGGAGCCTGGCTTGCCAGAGACAGGGGGGACATTCCCTGACCTAGATCCCGTCACAGATCCTCGAAAGAGGATTCCTGAGATAGAGCACATTCTAGGGAAGGAGCCCTGTCCTGGAGCCGTGGGGTCCCGAGAGCTGTTGGCTCTTGGGCAGAACTGGCTTGAGAACACTGTCACCAGCACACAAAGCAGAGCCCTCGAGCTTCCCTTTTGAGATGGGGTCTCACTCTGTTGCCCAGATCACAGCTCACTGCACAGCCTTGATGTCCTGGGTTGAAGCCATCCTCCTGAGTAGCTGGGACCACAGGTGTGCACCACCAGGCCCGGCTAATTTATTTTTTTTGAGACGGAGTTTCGCTCTTGTCACCCAGGCTGGAGTGCAATGGCACGATCTCGGCTCACTGCAACCCTGCCTCCCCAGTTCAAGCGCTTCTCCTGCCTCAGCCTCCCGAGCAGCTGGGATTACAGGCGCCCGCCACCACCCCCGGCTAATTTTTGTATTTTTAGTAGAGACGGGGTTTCACCATGTTGCCCAGGCTGGTCTTGAGCTCCTGACCTCAGGTCATCCGCCTGCCTCCGTCTCCCAAAATGCTGGGATTACAGGCGTGAGCCCACCGCACCCAGCCTAGTTTATTTTTTTGTAGAGATGGGTTCTCACTACATTGCCTGGGCTGTTCTTGAACTCCTGGGCTCCAGCAATCCTCCTGCCTCAGCCTCCCAAAGTGCTGAGTTTACAGATGCACACAAGCCCACTGACTGCCGCCCGCTGAGGTGACTGGCAGGCACCAAGCTGCCTTAAAGGGACGAGAGGTCCTGGCCTCCCCATCATACAGAGGACTTGTTTACTTCCTTGAGCCCAGGAGAGGGGAGGCCAAGGAGGTGCAGCACACCCGCCAGCAGACCTAAGGCCACAACCACAGCCCAGCACCCACACCACCTTAAGGACTGGCCCACTGTAAAACCCCTCTCTTCCAACTCAACACTGAGCCTCTGAGGAAGGCAGGCAGGTTAGTAACTCCTGGTCTGCTTTAATGGTGGGCGTGCTTACTGCGGCACTAGGGGTGTGCAGGGGAGGGTGTGGGAGGCAGCCCCAGTGGTACAGGCACGACACAGGCTTGCCAAAGGCCTTGCTCTCACACGGACCCAAGCGAAGGGCAGACACAGCTCTTTCTGCTTCACCTGGACGAAGGCCATATTAAGTGAGGTCAAGGTTTCTGCCCACTGCTCACTCTGGCCTGCTAAGGCTGAGGCCAGGGCAGGAAGCCCTTAGAGCTGGCTGGAGGACTCTATTTCTAAGAACCCCCAACAGCTGCCTCCACCACTGCAAGTATCATGAAGCCCCAACCAACCAGCAGGCCCCCTTCCTACCTAGACTCCCTGACCACCTTACTATGCCATGTTATCTGCCCACATGTCCTGTACCAAGGGCACCCTGTCTTGCCTGACATAAATCGGCAGCTAAAAAGCAAAAAAGTAACTGCAATTACCACAGACAGCAGGTCCCTACCAGGAGCTTCCTTGGGAGAGGGAAGTGATGACATGTCCCAGGTTGGGGCTCGTCCTCTGACCCCACACGCCTATCAGACCGTCCTACGTTTGTTCTGGAAAATCTGGCCTGCTGATCGAACCCCAAGGCAAGCCAGGTGGCTCACTGGGGCGCGTGGCAGCGTTCACATACCTTTTCGTGCCACTGGAGTAACACTGCGCTGCTATTTTCTGTGGGCTTCTCAAAGCCTTTATAAATGTACTTCATTAACAAGTCAACGCCGTTTCTGTCCAGTGACTGCACAGCCTGCTCAATCTCACTGCTCTTGAAGTTTGTGAGCACTTTCAGCACCACGCCCTGGGCTCGCTCCTGCAGACGAAAAAGAGCAAGTGAGTCCCAGAGCTGCGAAGGCACCGCCATGCCATGCCCCACACCAAAGCAAGGACACAGATCACCAGAAACACTGCCCAGTTTCTAATTCGTCCAGGATGGTTAAAATAAGTGGGTTAGAACGTCTTTTGTGGATTTAAATTTCAAAGTATCTTTTATTTATGCCAACAAGTTACCCTACTTATTTTGGGGGAGTAAGTAGTTTACTAGGACAAGTATCAACTCTGAGAGAGAGAGAGAGAGAGAAGAGAAAAGAGGGAGAGAGGGAGGGAGGGGCAGGGTCTCGCTCTGTTGCCTGAGCTAGAGTGCAGTGGTGCAATCTCAGCTCACTGCAGCCTCTCCCAGGCTCAAGCAATCCTCCCACCTCAGTTAGGGCTACAGGCACATGCCACCATGCCCAGCTAATTATTTTTTTTATTTTTTAATACAGACAAAGTCTCGCTATGTTGCCCAGGCTGGTCTCAAACTCCTGAGCTCAAGCGATCCTCCTGCCTCCCAAAGTGCTGGGATTACAGGCATAAACCATGGCACCCAGCCCATCACTATTTTAGATGACACCAATAAGGCCTTATTATACTCCACAATGGTGGTGGACTATTAAAAAATAAAAATAAAACCAGGTTGACTCGGCTGCAGCGTCCCTCTTGTGTTCACACCCAGAAGGGTGGGGCCATTCCCCAGAACTCTGTGAAGGTGCAGCCACTGGTGACATCAAGATGCTGTCACAGCTGCCAGAATCCCAGCTGCAGGGAGACCCCTTTCTCTGAACCAAATTTTAGACTTGGTGATGCAGTAAGCACAATTTAGTTTTTAGAAGGTAGGAAAGCGTACGGGTACTTAAAATCCTCAGGCAGACAAAGCCTATTTAACAGTCTGTGGGAGCATAAGCACCACAGGTGAGCGAATTCATCCATTTTCCTCATCAGCCAGGGCCAGGCTGACTTCTCAGCCTACGAGGCCGTGAGCAGGAGTGAAGGCTTCTGTGGGGAGGTTCTCGTATATAAACGCTGACAGCGTTGATGTCAGAGAAGCCTCACCACCTAGGGAGCGCCAGGAGGCTTCCCTGGAAGCCCCGCCCAGTGCCAACTCACTCCCTCTGATGTGGATGAAAGCTCACACTCGCACTGGGCAGACACCCACAGCCCTGGTCCCAACAGCACCCAGCAGAGCCGCAGCGCCACCCCTTTACCTTCACAGCTTGATTCTTGGTGTTGACGGGAGAGTTCCGCAAGGCTGCATGGAATGCCCGAAGCATGTCCCCTGTGCATCACCACCAGTTAAGGATAGCTAGGCTCAAGCACATCCATGCCGTCATGAACAAGCTCACTTCAGAAACAGCTCAGGAACAGAGTCAGATGGGATCTCATCCATACCACCCACCTTCCACGGCTTCCAGGGGGGCAGAGACGGTTTACAGCCTGCACAGGGAGGCTGCAGGGCACCTCTGCCAACCATGCAAACCCTCCTTTCAACTCCCTCTCTACCTTCCACGTCAAAGCAACTGTCCTGGAGGGGTAACTTGATGTAAAATTGGATTGTGCTCACTTGCACCTGCTTGGTGCTGAGCACTGTATCTCCCCTACTGGATCCTCACAGCACCCGTACATGTGAACTGGAGGTCGTTCTCATCTTCTCATTCTAAAAAAGCGGAAAATGTAGGTACAAAGGGAGACCTCCTAACTCTTCATCAATGCTCTTCATCAATTAAACTATTAAGGAAATTAAGATGTGCTAGAACTTCTAAGATCTATCGGGATCAATGAGGTCCCAACTGTTACCTGGAAAGAGTTTATCAATCTAACAGAAGCTTTTGCCAACAATGAGCCAGTCTCCACCCTTACCCCCCAACCTCAGTTGCAATCCTGACAACACATTCTTTGCTGAGTTCTGAATACCCAGCATGCAAAAGAAAATTACAATCTGGGTTAGGTCCCCAAAGGTGACACCTATTTTAAACTGAATTACATCAGCCAACTTTCATTTCCTCGTATGAAACACTGGCTTCAGCCAAAAAGCTTCAAAAATAGAACAAGGAATGGCTTCTGCCCAATCGGGTCTCTACTCCTCTTCATGCAGTGATACCCACGTGCAGACAGGAAGGGCCTTCGGAGCAGAGCTGAATCTCCTGGCTTCCCCAGTATGAGATCCATCTTGAGTGAGCTGGGTCTGCGCCACCAGGCAAGCCACTCCCAGCGCTGGTTCCCCAGCTCCCTGCTTGGCTCTGATCCACCTTCCACACTCAAGAGGCAGTCCAGTCCCTCTGTCTTTCAGTTCTGGAGTTCCTTTTCCCCATCCAAACAAGGCCAGCCTGATATCAGCCACTGATAACCTCTACTTTGTAACTCCTTTTTTTTTTTGAGACGGAGTCTCGCTCTGTCGCCCAGGCTGGAGTGCAGTGGCGCAATATTGCCTCACTGCAAGCTCCGCCTCCCAGGTTCATGCCATTCTCCTGCCTCAGCCTCCTGAGTAGCTGGGACGACAGGCGCCCGCCAGCACGCCCAGCTAATTTTTTTTGTATTTTTAGTAGAGGCGGGGTTTCACTGTGTTAGCCAGGATGGTCTCGATCTCCTGACCTCGTGATCTGTCCGCCTCGGCCTCCCCAAAGTGCTGGGATTACAGGTGTGAGCCACCGCGCCCAGCCCTTGTAACTCTTTTCTAATGTGGTGTCCCCAAAGCAATAAGCAGGATCCCATAGGCTGAACAGAAAACATAGGCTCACTTGCTCTTCATGTAAACCTGGCACAACTAACAAATGACATCATTCAAATGATGGATGGGGAAGGGCAGGTATAAAACTAGTCCACGGGGGCAAAAAGCTACTGCTGTGGCGTTAACTCAGCACCACGCGTCCAGCAATCACTCGGCCCATTGATGGGTGAGGGCCTTCAGCAGTTGGGAGATGTGGGGCGCAGGGAGGACCTCCCTGAAGTCACCTATCATTTGTGAAGCCGGCTGTCATACTTGGCTGGCTTTAGGCCTTTTCAGAGAACAGGCTGTGGTGCTGAGGGAATCCTGCCCAGCCCTTGATCTCCTCTAGATCTTCCTCAATCACGGCACAACTGACACTGTGGACCCAGGATTCTCTGACGTGGGATCTTAGCTGTGTGTCATAGGCCTCTGCCCACTGGATTCCAGTGGCATCCCCAAGCTGTAACCATCAAAATGTCTCCAGTTTCCTGGGGGTGGAGGGGAAGGGTGCAAAATCGCTCACAACCACTGCTCTGGACAGAGCCCTGATCCAGAAGTATAGAAGCTGCTTCACTGAAGGGGAAAGGAACTCATACTTTTAAATCGCCACAAGGTCTCGGATCCTGTGCCAGGTGCTTTCACACGCCATCTCATTCCAAAAATCCTTGTGACAATAATCATTATCTCATTTTAAAGGCAATGGAATTGAGGCTCAGAGAACAGAAATTACCTGCGCAAGGTCACAAAACTAAGCTGTCTACACGGCCCTCACACCCAAGCTCCTCCCACAATCCCATGCTGCCGCTCTATCTGCAGACCCGAGCTGCATGTCCAGGACACTTGCTGTGTGCCCAGTGATGCTGATGTTAGCCCATGAGGCTCCCACGGAATCTAGGAAGCCAGCATGGCTGTCCGCCACGTAACAGAAGATGCTGAGTTGTGAAAGGGTATGCGACCTATCCGAGGTCACAGAGCCAGAGCATGGTAGTGCAGGGTGTGCGCAGATGCACAGCCGGGTTCCTTCTACTCCATCTGTGTCATCTCCTGCCACACACACTTCCCTATACAGCCCCAGGACAGGGCCCCTCTCTGCCCTCCCCAACCCCAATCCATCTATCCCTCTCCCTGCTCCCCTGTCCTCAATGGTCTAATATAAGTCCGATTCTTGGTACATGATAGAGACTCAATAAATATCAGTTCCATTCTCCTCCACCTGGGCCCCGTATTTGCCAGGGTTTCAGTTACCTTTATCCGTTAACCTCCCTTTCCCCAACCCCAAGTGGAGCACTCTCCATGGTAACAAGGTTTCTGACGCTTCTGACGCTGCCATGAATGGAGAAACGACCATCCCCTGGATGTGCTAAGCCCAGGCCTCTAAGCAGCCTCAAGGAACCTGTCACCAGGCAGGGGAGTCCCAAGACATGACCTTCAACAAGGTTCTGCACCCAGACCAAGGCAGCAGCTGACAGGCTTGATCTCATCTGTTCAATGAGAGTCCTGGGCCAAAGGCCTGACCCTGGAGCCCCTTTCAGCACTGACTGTCCATGAACTAGGCCCTACACCAGACTACAACCAACCTTCCCTCCTGGGGACCCTTCCCTTGACCCCATTTCATAAGGAGGGTGGATTGGGAGATCCTGATGGGGCAGGAATTACAAGCTTGAATCTCCACTTCGGAAAACACATTCCTGTTCAAATCAAGTCTGAAGGTTTTCGGTTTAAAGGCACACTCAGGAGCACTGCCGGGCTCCCCCTAAAGCAGCAGGCCCCACTTTCCAAGCTGAGTCAACTGGTTCAACACCGAGAACCTGATTTATGTACAGCATGGGCCTCCAACCCTGCCCCCACCCGTGCGGGGGGAGGGGACAGGCTTCCTGGAACACCATTTGAATAAAGAAAAATCCTTCCGGTGAGAATAAGTCAGTTTCCTGCGCTCATACTGCTAAAGGACCAAGCAAGGCTGTGACAATCACCTCTATTTTTAATCTTTTCTAAATGCTGTTTTCTGTGGCCACAAGAACAGTCATTTCCAGGCGTGGGGCTCCACTTTCACACTTCGCTTCAAGGTGTCTGGTTTTTCTTAGCTCTGAACTACTAGTTTTCTCCGCTGCTTCCTGCACCAGAAGGGTACTGGGGGGAGCCAAGACTCACTTGTTGAGCGTGGCTGAGACCACCAAGGTGTCCAGGGGAACCACAGGGTCCCCCTTTCTCAGCATTAAGCGGGAGGGTTAGACTGACTGGGGGAAGAGAGACACAATCTCAGACCCCAGGGCTGAAATACGGCGGCCGCCTCCACTCCCTCCTGGGTTCTGTCTTCCCCACAGCCGTCCACCCACCTATCTTCACGCCATGCAGCAATCGGGCCCCGGAGGACCGCGCCCCAGCCTCCCCGATCACTCGGTTACTCAGATGCGGCTCACCTCCGCCCTGCCGCCGACCCAGCCCCGCCATAGGCCCGATTTCCTGCAAGGGAGGGACGGAGTGCTGGGGCCCCAAGGAAGGGACAGCGTGAGGGGACGAGGAGGCAAGGAGGGAAGAGGGCGCGGGACCTGCGGGGGTGCCGAGGGAGCCCGTCCACCGGGTCCAGGGGCCTGCGGGACGGCGCTGCAGAAGAAGGCGCCAGGGCTGGGGACGAGGGACCCAGGGAGACTGGGACTCAAGGGAGCACGGCCCAGGGAAGCCGGGTCGGCAGGGAGCTGGAGGCTGACCTGAGGGGGCCAAGGGTCGGAGACAGGGGAGGCCCGCCCGAAAGGGCCCGAGAAGGTGGGAAGGTGGGAAGGTGAGAAGGCCGCGCGCAGGCCCGGACGCCGCGTCAGGGAAGGATATTGCCGCAGGAGCCCGTCCACCTCGCTCGGGTCCGGGCCTGGCTCCGCCGCCGCCGCCGCCGCCTCCTCCTGCTCGTCCACAAATTTGTTCTCGTCAAATTCGTCGATGTCCACCCGGCGGAAGCGCGAGGACAGCGTGTTCCGGGCCATGGCGGGAGCTCGGCGCCCGCTCAGCCGGCTCCGCTCGCGGCCCGACCTCGGCTCTGCTCCGCTCGCACCGGCTCCTGCTCGGGGGCGGGAAGCGGCTGCCCGGCTGCTCCCAGCACCTCCTCCACCGCCTCCGCGCGCAGCCGCCGCCGCCCGCCCACTTCCGGCACCCGCCGGATCCGGAAGCGCCGTCAGGGGCGGGGCGGAGCCTGGCACCTGGAGTGCGGTATGGGATCACCGCAGCCTCCCCCACCTCAGTGTCCCTTCCACGGAGTCTCTATTTTGTCACTGAGGATCGGGCGCCCGGCATCTGTGCAGGCCCCGCCTCGTGTGTGCCGTAACTGCGCTGGTTCCCCGGCTTTCCCGCGCCTCCGAGGAGCCCCTGGCCTCAGCGGGGCCGGGCGCGTGCTCCCGGGGTGATCCCTGCCGGTACTGGGGAAGGCTGGGCCCCCGGGAGAAGGCTCGCGGCTCTACTTCTCGAGTGCCGGGCAGGCTTCTTGGAGAAGAAACCTTCGAGCTGATGACTGAGGGATGAGTAGGAGTTCCTGTGCCCGGGGAGTGGCGCGGGAGGCGCCTGTGTCTCGGAGCCTTGAACGCCACCACACTTAGTACGAGGAGGCCGCCTGTACACAGAGGTGACCCTCTTAAAGGAGTAGGGGGCTTTAAATACGTTTAGTGCGATCACGGGACTGACAAGACGTTGAAGACGTTGTGACTCGAGGGATTCTGCGACCCCACGTGTGTAGCAGTCACCTTGGCCAGGCAGTTGGGGGCGCCAGGAGAGGGAGATGGCCCTGTGGCCACCGTCCTGGCAGGAGAGGCCTGGCTGGAGAGGCACATCTTGACAGAAACCAAATTCTCAGAATCTGAGATGGGGGAAAGCGGTTTAGGGAAGTCAAGGACGACTCTGAGGTGCCAGATTTGGTGCCTGGGCTGTTATCCCAGGGGTTCTGTTAATTGATCTTAGCCTTAGGGTAAGTAAAATGGGTCTTTTTATATAATAGTGTGAAAACTATTTTCATCTAATAGTACTCTTTTTAATAAAAGTCAGTAGTTGGAATGTGATTCATTTTTGCTGCTTCGAATACCTCTCATTGAACTGTGTCTAAAGATAAAAAAAATATTGCCAGACTATGATGCAACCTTATCTTCGGTGGTAAGGATACAGACTCCCATAGTGGGAAACTAGTGGTGAAGAAGTCTCTGCCTGTAATCCTCAGCACTTTGGGAGCCGAGGTGGGCGGATCACCTGAGGTCAGAAGTTTGAGACCAGCCTGACCAAAATGCTGAAACCCCGTGTCTACTAGAAATACAAAATTAGCCGGGCGTGCTGGCGCATGCCTGTAATCCCAGCTACTCGGGAGGCTGAGGCAGGAGAATCGCTTGAAACCGGTAGGTAGAGGTTGCACTGAGCTGAGATCGCGCCATTACGCTCCAGCCTGAGCGACAAGAGCAAAACTCCGTCTCAAAAAAAAAAAAAAAAAAGAAAAGAAAAGAAAAGTCTCAGGGGTCCTGGAAACATGCAAAGCCCACCTGCAATACAGTTCCATATCTGGGAAAAAATATTTGTGATTCAGGTCTGCCACGAGACAGCAGAAATTCATATCCCCAGAACATCCTGGTCAGAAGGAACTTGAACCCAGAAATGCCCATTTTACAAGTAAAGAAACAGCCCCCAAAGAAACTAGTAAATGGAATAATGTCCCAGCTCATGGTCATGGACTTTCATTCCAGCCAGGGAGACACAATTTAAAAATCCATATTATACGATGTCAGGGCTGACAGTGTTGAGAGGGAAAAAAACCATGCAGTGCCTGAGTGTGCCTTAGATAAAGTGATCAAAGGAGGTGTCCTGGCCGGGCGCAGTGGCTCACACCTGTAATCCCAGCACTTTGGGAGGCCCAGGGGGCAGATCACCTGAGGTCAGGAATTCGAGACCAGCCTGGCCAACATGGTGAAAACCCATCTCTACAAAAACACAACAATTAGCTAGGCATGATGGCGCACACCTGTAATCCCAGCTACTCGGGAAGCTGAGCGGGGAGAATCGCTTGAACCCAGGAGGCAGAGGTTGCAGTGAGCTGAGATCACACCATTGCACTCCAGCCTGGGCGATGGAGTGAGATACCATCTCAAAAAAAAAAAAAAAAAAGGTGTCCCTGAGGAGGTGACACTAGACAGAGACTGGAAGGAAATGAAGGAGGCAACTAAGCGAAGGCTCAGAGGTTGGGGTGGGCTCAGTATATTCGAGAAACAGCCAGGAACAGAAGAGAGATGAGGTGGGGGTTGGGAGGAGAGTAGGGCTCTGTAGGCCGAGGAAAGGACTCAGTCTTAATTCAAATGGGACAGCCCTGGAAATTCTGAGCAGAACAGTAATAGATCAGAAGTCTGAATTGTTTGAAAAGGGCCTTCTAAGCAGCTGTATTGAGAACACATCTGGGATCGAGAACCAAAGTAGAGAGGTGATTTAGATGGTGACAGCAACCATCCAGGGGACAGACAGTGGTAGCCCAACCAGGCAGGGGCCAATGAGGATGGTGGGAACAAGCTGGGTAAATTTTTTTTTAATTTTTTTGAGACGGAGTTTTGCTCTTATTGCCCAGGCTGGACTGCAATGGGGCTATCTCAGTTCACCGCAACCTCTGCCTCCCGGGTTCAAGCAATTCTGCCTCAGCCTCCCGAGTAGCTGGGATTACAGGCATGCGCCACCATGCCTGGCTAATTTTGTATTTTTAGTAGAAACGGGGTTTCTCCATGTTGGCTGGCCTAGTGTTGAACTCCTGACCTCAGGTGATCTGCCCACCTCGGCCTCCCAAAGTGCTGGGATTACAGGCATGAGCCACCGTGCCCCACCAATTTCTTATTTTGTTTTATTTTATTCATTTTTTTTGAGATGGAGCCTCACTCTGTTGCCCAGGCTGGAGTGCAGTGGCACAGTCTCAGCTCACTGCACCCTCCACCTCCAGGGTTCAGGTGATTCTCCTGCCTCAGCCTCTGGAGTAGCTGGGATTACCGGCACCTGCCACCACACCTGGCTAATTTTTGTATTTTTAGTAGAGACAGGGTTTCACCATGTGGGCCAGGCTGGTTTCAAACTCCTGACCTCAGGTGATCCACCTGCGTCGGCTTCCTAAAGTGCTGGGATTACAGACGTGAGCCACTGCGCCTGACCTGTTTTTTTGTTTTTTTAAGAGGGAGTCTCACTGTGTCGCCTAGGCTAGAGTGCAGTGGCCCAACCTCAGCTCACTGCAACCTCCGCCTCCAGGGTTCAAGTGATTCTCCTGCCTCAGCCTCCCAAGTAGCTGGGAGTACAGGTGCACACCACCACGCCTGGCTAATTTTTATATTTTTAGTAGAGACAGGTTTTCACCATGTTGGTCAGGCTGGTCTCGAACTCGTGACCTCATGATCTGCCCGCCTTGGCCTCCCAAAGTGCTGGGATTACAGGTGTGAGCCACCACGCCCAGTCCCAATTTTGTTTTTTTTGTTTTTTGTTTTTTTGAGATGGAGTTTTGCTCTTTCGCCCAGGCTTGAGTGAAGTGGCGCAATCTTGGCTCACTGCAACCTCTGCCCCCTGGGTTGAAGCAATTCTCCTGCCTCAGCCTCCCGAATAGCTGTGATTATAGGCACCCGCCACCATGCCCGGCTAATTTTTTTTGTATTTTTAGTAGAGACACGGTTTCACCATGTTGGCCAGGCTGGTCTCGAACTCCTGACCTCAGGTGATCCACCTGCCTTGGCCTCCCAAAGTGCTAGGATTACAGACGTGAGCCACCTCACCCGGCCTTAAGTTGGGTAAATTTTGAAGGTAGAGTACCTGGAATTTACTGGTTGACTAGATGTGGCGTGTAAGAGAGAGTCACAAATGACTTCAGGTTCGAAAAAGATGTGCAGAGTCATTAACTCTAAGCATTTAAAAATATAACAGCAAAGGCACTGTGCACCATTAGACTTTCCTTTTTTTTTTTTTTTTTTTTTAGACAGAGTTTCCCTCTTGTCACCCAGGCTGGAGTGCAATGGCCCGATCTCGGCTCACTGCAACCTCTGCCTCTGGGTTCAAGCGATTCTCTTGCTTCAGCCTCCAGAGTAGCTGGGATTACAGGCGTGCACCACGTGAGCCACCACGCCCGGCCTAGACTTTCATTTAAGACTAAGCTATGCCGGCCAGGTACAGTGGTTCACACCTGTAATCCCAACACTTTGGGAGGCCGAGACAGGTGGATCACCTGAGGTCAGGAGTTTGAGACCAGCCTGGCCAACGTGGTGAAATGCCGTCTCTACTAAAAATATAAAAATTAGCCAGGCATCATGGCGGCACCTGTAATCCCAGCTACTTGGATTACAGTAGCTGTAGGCAGGCTGGGAGGCTGAGGCAGAAGAATCCTTTGGACCCAGAAGGCAGAGGTTGCAGTGAGCCGAGATTGTGCCATTGCACTCCAGCCTGGGCAACAAGAATGAAACTCAGTCTCAAAAAAAAAAAAAGGTCCAGGCGCACTGCGCCGTGGCTCATGCCTGTAATCGCAGCACTTTGGGAGGCTGAGGCAGGCGGATCTCTTGAGGTCAGGAGTTTGAGACCACCCTGGCGAAACCCCGTCCCTACAAAAAATACAAAGATGGGCCAGGCGCGGCAGCTCACACCTGTAATCCCAGCACTTTGGGAGGCCAAGGCAGGCGGATCACAAGGTTAAGAGTTCAATACCAGCCTGGCCAACATGGTGGCCAGGTGAAATATGGTGAAACCCCGTCTCTACTAAAAAAACAAAAATTAGCTTGGCTTGGTGGTGCATGCCTGTATTCCCAGTTCCTCGGGAGGCTGAGGCAGGAGAATCGCTTGAACCTGGGAGGCAGAGGTTGCAGTGAGAGCCGAGATTGTGCCCCTGCACTCCAGCTTGGGCAATAGAGCAAGACTCCATTTTGGAAAAAAACAAAAATACAAAGATTAGCCGGGCATGGTGGCACGCACCTATGTAATCCCAGCTATTCAGGAGGCTGAGGCACAAGGATCGCTTGAACCTGGGAGGTGGAGGTTACAGTGAGCTGAAATTGTGCCACTGCACTCCAGCCTGGGTGACACAGCAAGACTCCATTTCAAAAAAAAAAAAAAAAAGTCTAAGCCATGCCGGGATTGCCCTCTCTCTACTCTCTTTTTTCCCCATATCCCTCCACCTCCTGAAAGCCTTCCTCACCTTGGTGTGGGTCAAGGTTCATTAATTCATCCAACAAGCATCCATGTACTGGGCCTGGAGACTAGAACAATTAATTCAGTTGTCCGCCAAGGTTCTGTCCCCAGAGAACTTCTAGGTTGGCTGTGGAAATAGACACATAAATGCATCATTTTATTTCAGCCTGTTTGGGGCTAAGGAAAGGATTGCACAGAGGTTGCTACTCATAGGAGATGGGAGAAGTCTCCTTGTGGGTGGTTACAGCTGGTAGTAACAAGAGGACAATCTGGCTTCAACCATAACTCTAAGAGGTGGCATGTCTTTATTAAGGGCAAGGGAGTGGCACTGGAGTGCTGATTAATGCCTACTGGTTGGCAGACATTAATCAGAAAGCCTAAACATGCCCTGCCTTGTGAATTCCCGTTTCACTTTCCGGGCTCTACTGAAGTGTTCCTTCCTCTGGGAACATGAACACCAATGATATTTTGAGCCATTGTTATGCGTCAGATTTCGGGTTAACAGCTTTACAGATATCTCCTCTAATTCTCATAAATGCCTCATTTCACATGTGAGCAAACTGAGACTCAAGAAAGGGGAAGAGATTTCCCAAGAGTCTCAACTACTACCTTGGCAGCAGAGCAAGAATTTGAAACCTGGTCAGGTTCACTTTAAAAAAGGCTGTACTAGCCGGGCGCAGTGGCTCACACCTGTAATCCCAGTATTTTGGGAGGCTGAGGCGGGTGGATCACTTGAGGTCAGGGGTTTGAGACCAGCCTGGCTAAACCTTGTCTCTACTAAAAATACAAAAATTTAGCTGGGTGTAGTGGCACACACCTGTAGTCCCAGTTACTGGGGAGGCCAAGGCAGGAGAATCTCTTGAACCCGGGAGGTGGAGGTTGCAGTGAGCCGAGATCGCGCCACTGCACTCCAGCCTAGGCGACAGAGCCAGACTCCATCTCAAAAAATATATAAAAAATAAAATAAAAATAAAAAAGGCTGTATGGCCAGGCGAGGTGGCTAACCCCTGTAATCCTAGGCACTCTGGGAGGCCGAGGAGGGCGGATTGCTTGAGCCCAGGAGACCACCCTGGGCAACAGCTCTACAAAAAATAAACAAATTAGCCAGGCCTGGTGGCTTGTGCCTGTAGTTTCAGCTACTCGGGAGACTGAGGTGGGAGGGCTGCTTGAACCCGGGAAGCGGAGGTTTTGGTGGGCGGAGAGCGCGCCATGCCTTCCAGCCAGGGTGACAGAGCGAGACCCTGTCTGAAAAAAAAAATTAAAAAATAAAAAAAATAAATAAAGGCTGGGGCCAGGCGTGGTGGCTCACGCCTGTAATCCCAGCACTTTGGGAGGCCGAGGCGAGGGGATCACCTGAGCTGAGGAGTTCAAGATCAGCCTGGGCAACATGGCGAAACCCCGTCTCTACTAAAAATACAAAAAATTAGCCAGGCGTGGTGGTGCATGCCTGTAATCCCAGCTACTCAGCTACTCGGGAGGCTGGGGCAGGAGAATCGCTGAACCCGGGAGGCGGAGGTTGCAGTAAGCCGAGATCGCGACACTGCACTCCAGCCTGGCACCCTGGGCGACAGAATGAAGCTCTGTCTCAAAAAAAAAAAAAAAAAAAAAGGTGTAAATGCTCTTTGCAGTTCCATATACTGCCTCCCCAGAACCTTTATGGAGTTGGATTATAACTGCCTGAGCCCGCCCCTCCCGTCCATCTCGCGCTTTAAATTCCTCCGCGACGTGAGCCTCGGTTAATCGTCTTTGAAAACTCTGGCCCCTCCTCCCGTCAGCACCCCCAGACTACTGGCGCCCAGCTCAGAGTTGCCCAGATTGGGAGATCTGCAAGGTTTCCCGAAGGAATGAATGAACGAATGACTGAATGGACGAATTTGAGTCCTCCGTGTGCCATCTCTGGTAGCTGCCGCCCACGTTGGGCCTCGGTTTCCCCAACTGCGCGCCTACACCGTGACGCCGACCTCGCTATCAGGGGTGCCGTGAATGAGGCGAGCACTACAAGGCGGGGCTCCGGCCCTACCAGGCGGGGCGGGCAGTACCACGGCGTTCCTCGGGGGCGGGGGAGATGAGGCGGAGCCGGGGCTCCCCCGCTGCGGCGCCATTGGCCGCGCCCGCCGCCACCCGGCAGTAGTTGCGGAGGTCAGCCCCGCCTACTTCCTCTTTCCCTCGGAGCGGGCGGCGGCGTTGGCGGCTTGTGCAGCAATGGTGAGAGCTGCGGAATCGGGCGCCATCCGAGCGCTGTGAGGCGCGGGGGTTGGGGAAGGCGGTGCGGGCTGAGCCCGCGGATTCTATCTGCCACCTAGGCCTGTGGGGCGCCGCGCAGAATGGTCTGGCGCCACCACAACCCGCCTCTTCGCTTGGCGCCGGGAGAGGCGCGCGGCCCGGGCCTGGGTTACTCTGCCCAAGGCACGGCCGGCGAGGGAGACTGTCCTGAGCCCTGGTTGGGGCTCCGGCGCACTCGTAGTCGATGGCGAGTCGCGCGCCTTTGGGGGCTGGCCACGCAGGTGAAGGGGATATGGCCCCGCGGCCTGGCTGAGGCACACTCTCTCTTGCGCGCAGGCCAAGATCAAGGCTCGAGATCTTCGCGGGAAGAAGAAGGAGGAGCTGCTGAAACAGCTGGACGACCTGAAGGTGGAGCTGTCCCAGCTGCGCGTCGCCAAAGTGACAGGCGGTGCGGCCTCCAAGCTCTCTAAGATGTAAGTGAGGCGGCCGGATCACAGCCCTCGTGGGTGGGGAGCACGTGTGCATCGGGATCGTCGGAGGATTTCAAAGTTGGCTTAAGGAGCTGGCCGCTTAGATGCCCACTCCGTGCATCCTGGCGCGCATGGGAGACCCGTTGTGTGCTTAGCCTCTTACCTGCCTTGACCTTGCGGTCCTTGTGCCTGGAATGCATCCCCGGAGACCCATCTTAATGCTGCCTTCAAAGCCTACCCGGACCCCTTCCTTCCGCTTCCCACCAACACTTGAGTTTTTAACCCCCTTGGCAGGTGGGTGGCTTGCACCCTGGAGTGGCAGCGTAAGTTATTTTACATGGCTAAGAGTGCGGGAGACTTGTGAAAGGAACATGGGTTTGGAGTTCATCAACCTGGGTACAAAGTCCACTTCTCAAAAAAAAATTAGATGGGTGTGGTGGTACAGGCCTGTAGTCCCAGCTACTCTGGAGGCTGAGGCAGGAGGATCACTTGAGCCCAGGAGTTGGGAGGCTATGATGGGGCCACTGCTCTTCAGTCTGGTTGACAGGTGAGACCCTGTCTCCAAAAAAAAAAAATGGTGGTTGCCCTCTTTGCCCCCAAACAACCTTAGTAGAGGCAGGGGTGGGAGGATTGGACAAGCACAGTTGCACACTGAATCCTCAAAAACCATGTTGACCAGCTGTCTACTAGGTGACTCCCTCATCCTGACATGACTACAAATAACTTCTCCCTGGCTCGTTGTTTGCTTCAGTCTCCTGGCTTGTAGTGACTCCACTTTGCAAATGTCTTGTTTCTCTCTCCTGCAGTTCCCTAAGCTAGCCTGATTGCCTGGTTTGTGGCATGATTCCTTCCCATCAGCTCATTGAAATTGGCATTGGTTGGGTCTTAGCCCTCAGGATAAATTCGTGTTCTGGGATTGAAGGTCTTTTTCTGATCTGCCTCATTTATCCAGCCTGCACTTCCTCATAAAGCCTCTGCTGTCTCTCCCATGCCCCTCTCTTCCCTCCTCAGACCTCACTCCCAGAACGCCTTCCTCCTGAGTGAATATGGATGGGTTGATGGGGGAGGCTGCAGCTATTGCTGCCCTATGTGTGAGTCCTGAGTCTTGGGTAGTGCTATGTGTCTTCCCTATCTTCACTGACATCTCTGTTTTGTAGCCGAGTCGTCCGGAAATCCATTGCCCGTGTTCTCACAGTTATTAACCAGACTCAGAAAGAAAACCTCAGGAAATTCTACAAGGTGAGTCTGCCTGGACATAGGGAGGGTTGGCTGCAGGAAGCCAAGTGCTAGCCGTCCCTGGCCGGGGACATGGTAAAGAGGTTTTTCTTGGTGCGTGGGCTGAGAGTGGTTAGCCTTCCCAATTTGTTGCTGGGCTCACTCTTCTACCAGTGTCTTGCACTGGCACGTGGCTCTGCAGACCACTTCCTCAGGCTGCAGATGTCAAGAATTCATTGGGGCTTGGGGTGTCCTGGCTGGAGACTCAGTTTTTGAAACCAGCCTTCCCAGTTGAGTGGCTTGGGCAGTGATAGGACTGGCTGTTGAAGGTTTTCACTGCCTCTTACTGGCACTGGGTGTCAGTCCCTGCCAGGCACCTGCCATGCTCATTTTTCAGATGAGGGCCCTGAGGCCTAGACACCCACAGTCAATGGCATGATGGGCCCTGGTTCCAAACCTTACCTTGGGGAGGGTCGGCTTTAGTGTTCTGGGAGGTGTGCACAGGTGTCTGGCCCCCTCTTAGTCTTGAATTTTGATAACCATTTTCTGGTCTTGTCCTTAACATTCATCTTATTGGGGTTCAAGCAGAGAAAACTAGGGGGAGACGGTGTGTGCACATGCATCCAATGTATTCTGAAGAATGGGCATAGGTGATTGTGGGGGCTGGCTGGGACTCAGGGCTCAGGTTGAAGCTGCTGTTCCCAGTGGGTACTTGGAGGGAGCCTCAGCCCTGTGCTTAAGACTTACAGCTGATTGGATCGGGCCTTCTGGGATTACCCAGGATAATCTCCCCTAAAGTTACCTGATGAGGGTCTTTAATTTCATCTGCAAAATGGTTCCACATCACTACCCAAATTGTGTTTGAATAACTTGAAGATTTGACACAAGGGAAAAGCAGCCATGGCTGATGAAGTGCCACAGGCCTATAACCCCAGCTACTGGGAGGCCGAGGCAGGAGGATGGCTTGAGCCCAGGAGTTAAAGTGTAGCCTGGGCAACATAGTGAGGCCTCATCTCAAAAAAATGAGAAGGGCCATAGTGTGGCTATGTTAGCTGTTCAGGGGACACTAGCACGTGTGTGGCAAAAGTAAACCTTTAATGTCAGCAGCTACGTGTGTGGCTAGTGGCTGCTCTGTTGGACAGCAGAACTCTAGGGGGTTAGCCAATGTGAAAAGGACGAATGCCCAGCCGATGCCAGCAGGAGTGAGGGATGTGGGAGGACAAAGACTTTCCTGCTTCCAAGTACCCTCCAGGGCTGGCCCTCATTGTCCAGGATCTTTCTGCAGTCCTCTGCCCACCTGCAGGGGCCTGGGGCCCTGTGACCTCAGAATCCCCCATACCATGGGCCACTTGTTACCTGTTCAGTCTTCCCCCACTAGGCTGGGACCCCTGAGCAGGGACTGGGTCAGATCCTTTGCCAAGCCAGCTCCCAGCACAGGGCCCAGTCCTGAAGGGGGCCCAGGGGACCTTTGCAGAACACAGGAGAGACCAGTGAGAGCTGCCATGGTCTAGAACCCCCTGCTGGAGAACAAGTGGGGCAGGAGTGGGAGCCAAGGATGGAAAGACAGATGATGGCTCTGTGACAGCTGTGGGCAGGGGCCCCAAAGCCGGAAGCAGGTGGGGCAAGTGGCCTTGGCCAGCCAGGCCTCTGAGGCTGGACGTTCATACAGGCAGCAGCTGGTGGGCCCTGCATACAGATGGACAGAGTACTGCCTCAGCCCCCAGCATGCTCTTGCTAACCAGAGCCGAGGTAATGGTAACTACCCCCGGGGCTTGGTGGGTGCTGCGTGCCCTGTACTAGGTTGTCATGTGACTGTCCTCGTGACTGGGAATCGGGCAGTGGAAGGAGCACTGAGTTGGGAGTCACTTGACTGAGATGCAAGCCCCGGCTCTTCCACAGCTTTGCCAAGACTTGGACACTCAGCCCAGTAGGTCAGCAGACTTACATGAAATGAGGATGGTCCCACCAGCCTTAGATTTGGGGGGATTAATTGAGTTAGTGACATGTGTGGCCTGCTGGCAGTCCCATGGTGGCAGCCTCCTCCTGAGTGGCTCTGGATGGCCCTCCCCAGCCCCCTTAGCTGCTGCAGTAGCTCCTCAGCCCTGGGTCCTTGGATTCACCCTGCCGTCTGTCTCCCAGGGCAAGAAGTACAAGCCCCTGGACCTGCGGCCTAAGAAGACACGTGCCATGCGCCGCCGGCTCAACAAGCACGAGGAGAACCTGAAGACCAAGAAGCAGCAGCGGAAGGAGCGGCTGTACCCGCTGCGGAAGTACGCGGTCAAGGCCTGAGGGGCGCATTGTCAATAAAGCACAGCTGGCTGAGACTGCTTTGTTTCCTGGCACTTCCACTGATTGGGTGGAGGTGGGTGGGTCTGGTTTTGGGGACCAGGTGTCTGATGGGTTCCAGCAAGCGTCCTGCCCACCACAGTTGTCTGCTCTGGTGGGGCCTGGAGAGTCCTGGCCATGGGGATCTGCTGGATGCCAGCACAGTCACTTTGCGTCTGTGGGGAGAAGCGGCATGCCTGTGCGCCACTGAGGGGAGCGGGTGAGGTCGGCACCATCTAAGGTGGTTGGTGTTAGGTTTGAGGGTCCCTGGGTGATTTGGACGTGCGGGATATTTGACGTCTAGTCTGATCGGCAGCTCCAGACACTAAGATTTTCCCATCTGGGGTGAAGGCACAGGTGTGGGCCACATCCAGGACTCCCTGCTAAGAGTAGAAGGTGGGGCTCGAGGCAAGTCCTGCCTTGGGAGAAGCTGTCCACAGCTTCCTCAGTGCCACAGCGCCGTGCCTTACCTTCAGGGTCTCAAGGCACTTTCCTGTGTTGCAGTCCCAGACTTTGACCTGGAAAAGGAGGGGGGCATGTCAGGAAGCCTCACCAGGCCACTGTGGCATCTGAAGCCACCTCCAGGAAAGTCCCAGACAAAATATGAGATGAGTCTTCGCCTGAACTCCTGACCTCAGGTGATTCACCTACCTCCACCTCCCAAAGTGCTGGGATTACAGGTGTGAGCCACCGCCCCCGGCCCAAAAAACATCTGAACCTCTTGGTGTAGGTTTTGTTTGGAGGCTGTATTTGAAATTTCAGAGCAGGAGTTCCCTTTTGCCTGATGCCATTTGGGTCATGGAAATGTCAATGCAACTACCAATGGGCCAGCCCTAACCTTGGTGCTGGCCATTAGGAAGAGAGGCTGGCACCCAGGTCCTGCCCTTGCCCCCTCCTAGCTAGGGCAAGTGGGGATGTGGGCATTTCTGGAGTGAGTGCTGAGGGCTCCTGGTGGGGTGAGGATGGGTAGGTAGGAGCAGGATGGGCCCGGGGTGGTTACCATGCGGGAATAGCCGGCGCTGGCCAGCCACAGCTCGTCGGGAGAGAAGGCTATGCTCTTCACCCAGGTGACATGGCCCTTCAGTTGGATAAGCAGGCTGCTGGTTGTGGGCTTCCAGATGTGGATGGTCTTGTCCCAGGAGCCGGATGCCTGGACAGCAGACAGCTCTGATCCCCAGGGTTTGGGGCCTGTGAGCTCACTGGGCCCCTAAGTGGCCTGGGACCCTTAAGGGCCTGGCTGCCAGCAAGGGACCAGCCTGGAACCCAGGACACCCCACTTACCAGGAGGCCGGATGCTGAATAGCACAGGCAGCTGATGTTGGCACTGTGTCCCTCTAGCGCCTGGTGGGAGACTGCTGGGGTCACCATCCGCAGGTCCCAGATGTGTACGGTGGAGTCCCAGGAGCCGGTGGCCTGCAGGCAGCTTCTGTGAGTCTGGCCCAGCCAGCTCTCCACCCACTCTGCATCTAGGCGGGACCCAGAGTCCATCCCCTTCCCACCACTCAGCTCCAAGTGGGTATGGGGCCACTGAGGTGGGGCCCAGGGCAGAGGGTAGGCTCACCAGGCAGTTCACCGTGGGTGAGAAGTCGCTGCTCTGGATGGAGTCACGGTGCCCAACTAAGAGGCGCAGCATCTGGCCGGACTAGAGAGAGCCCTGAGCTGCAGAAGGCAGCAGAGGGCAGCCGGCTACCTGGCCTTGACAGTCCAGGAAAGGGGGACCTCGTGCAAAAAGCCTGAGGGCTGCTGTGTGCAAGGAAGCCTGGAGAGGCGGCTGTGGCCAGGTGGGGGCAGCCTTGGTTGCCTGCTGTGGGCATGGGCCATGGGAACCAGTGGAGGGTTTGAGCTGGGAGGGCAAGACTGGTGACATCCTCTCTGGAACTGGTCCTTGAATCCCAGACTGGTGGCCCCAGCCCCTCAACGTACCTGCACATCCCAGAGCATCACCCGCTTGTCCCAGCCACCTGATGCCAGCTGTCTCGAGTCAGGGCTGAAGCTGACCGTCTCCACACTCCGTTGGTGACCTGCAGGCACCAGCCCGGGGTCGGGGAAGGTGGAAAGGTGACGTGACACAGGACACAGCACCATCTGAAAGGGAACGCTGGCCTGGCTGCTTGGCTCCCAGCTCACTCACCCTTCAGGACCCGCAGACACTTCGCTCTTGCCACATCCCACAGGCGGACAGTGCAGTCACAGGAGGCGCTGGCGAAGAGGTGGCCATCAGGGGAGAAGCGGCAGAACTTCACGGGGCCTGGGCGGGTGGCCACAGTCAGGGGACAGAGCACTGCCCGCCACTTCTGCCCACGCAGTCCAATCCTTGCTAATTTCTCCAGCCTCGTCGCCAGCCTCCCCTCACCCAAACTCCAGCTTCCCAGAAATGCCTGGATTTCCATGCCTTGGCCTGGGCTGGGCTGTCAGCCTTGGAGCACCCAACCTCAGTGCTCATCTGAAAAATCAATCCCCAAGTCAAAGTAGGGACCTCCCAGAAACTTGCCCTAACAACCGCTGCCTAGGTTCACTGCCTCCTTTGAGCTCCAGCCCCTGATTTTCCCTCCTTGCAGCATTAACCAGACTGCCTGTAATTGCCTGATATTTTTTCTTGTCTCCTGAATAATAATTACAATAGTTATATCTATTGAGTCCTTACTGTGTGCTAGGTACTTTGCTTGCATCGTGCCAGTGGAAATGGCTCAGCGAGGTGACAGGACTTGACCAAGATCACAGTCAAAACAGTGGTAAGCACGACATGGCTGAACCTTAAGTACATCATGCTAAGTGAAATAAGCCAGTCACAAAAAGACAAATACTGTGTGACTCCACTTAGAGGCACCCAGAGAGGTCAGATTCATCGAGACAAAAAGAAAAACAGTGGTTGTCAGGGGCTGGGAGGAGGGAGATTGGGGACTTGTTTAGTGGGGACAGAGGTTCAGTTCTGCAAGAGGAAGAGCTCTGGAGATTGGTGTCACGACAATGTGAAGGTACTGGATTCTCTGAACTGTACACTTAAAAATGGACACAACAAAGCCGGTGCAGTGGCTCACGCCTTTAATCCCAGCACTTTGGGAGGCCGAGGTGGGTGGATCACGAGGTCAGGAGTTCAAGACCAGCCTGGCCAAGATGGTGAAACCCCGTCTCTACTAAAGATACAAAAAAATTAGCTGGGTGTGGTAGCAGGTGTCTATAATTCCAGCTACTCGAGAGGCTGAGGCAGAGAATTGCTTGAACCCAGGAGGCGGGGGTTGCAGTGAGCCGAGGTTGTCCAGCCTGGGTGACAGAGAGCGACTCTGTCACACACAAAAAAGGATGCAACAGTAAGTATTACTGTGTTACATTACAGTTGTTTTTGTATGTATGTGTGTGTGTGTGTGTGTTTTTAAAGAAGGCTGAGTCCAGGCCTGTTAGAGTCTAAGCCCCAGCACCCAGATATCTCGTCCCATCTCCCAACCTGCCCAGCCCTGCCTTGCACCCGTGCCCAGCTCATCGGAGGTCACTGCAGTCAGCTCTGCAGCATGCCAGACCCTTGTGCCTCGGTCTTCCCGGCCAGGTGTGGGAGCCCCACCTGTGTGGCCACCCAGCCTCCACAGCAGCTGCCCACTCCGGGTCTCCCAGCCATACACGCAGCCATCTTCTGAGCCTGTGAGCAGCATCTGGCCATCAGGGGAGAAGGCAGAAGAGTTGACCTAGAAACAGCACAAAAGCGGTCCCATTCTGGGGAAGAAACCCCTGTCCGCTCATCTCTGACCCCTAAACACTGCCCCCCAAGAGCCTGGGGTTGGAGCTTGACTTCAAGCCTCACTCCACCACCAGAGCCCAGAACCCGGGACCCACTGGGCCCTCTCTCGAGTCCCGTAAAGCCAGAGCCTGCAGTTGGAGGCAAGAGCCTTCTCTGGAACCAGAGCCTGGAACCCCAGAGCTAAGAGCCCATTCCAGAGCCGCAGCTGACAACGGAGAGTCCAGAATCTACTCTAAGTTCTGAGTTCACTTTAGAGCCAGGGCCCCAGAAAACACCAGAGTCAGCAGGGAGCTTTGTGCCCCTCTCGAGGCAGAGCCCAGAGCCCGGGGCTCTTTTTACAGGCAGAGCTTAGAACCTAGAGCTGCTCTGGAGCTGGGGCCCGGCACTGGAGCTGAGAACCTACTTCGATCCTTCTTGGGTTAGCAAAGTCTACTCTGGACTCAATGTCCTGAGCCACTGCCCAGAGAACATTCTGGAACCCCCACTACACAGAACCAGGAACCACTCTGCATCCAAAGCCGGGAGTCTGGGCAGAGCCCGCTGGACCTCACCTCCCCGCCGTGCTGGCCGAAGAATTTCACTCTCCGCACGGCCAGCGTGGCCGGGACCCCGCTGTTCATGGGCACCCGGCCCCGCCCCGCCCCGGCGGGCTCCCTCCTAGGCGGCCGCGGGACCCCAGGACTGGGCAGAGGAAAGAGGAAACTGTGTACAGGCGGTCTCCATGGTAATCGGGGCGGGGCGTGCGGCCATGGTGGGGTCCCTGCGAAGCCACGAGGACTGACAGGCAGGCCAGACCGCTTGCAGTTCGGCGGAGGTGGAGCCGCAGCAGGCGGGACCGCGGCGGGCTGGGAGAAGGGACTTCCCGCGCCAGCGGCTGCGCGTCCACTCTAGGGCAGCTCTCGCGCGGGGCAACACGGCAGGCAGAGCGGCCACTAGAGGGCGCGCCAGCCACACGCACCGCGCGGCCCAGAGCCCGGCCCCGCGCCCTGCGGACTGCGAACTGCAAGGGGTCCCTGCACCTCTTTGATACAGGGGAGCAACGAGCCTGTCTCCCCATCTGCACAACCGGGAGCATCAGCCCTGCCCCACAGGACTCCAGGGGTGAGCCAAGCACAGGGCCTGGCACACGGTAGATGCCCAAGAGGGCCCCCTCAGGAGCCAATACCCCTTCCGTCCAGGAGTGGCCAGTACTGAGGTTAAGGATGTCCCAGGAGAGCGCTGGGGACAGTAGCCAGCTCTGTCCTCCAGGGCGTGGAAGCCAGAGGTAGTGTGTGTAAAGTACATGGCATTAAAAGTGGGGTCACGTTGCTGTTAACATTCCTGGCAGCACAAAATGTGCCATCTGAGGATGGGGTGGAGGCTGGGGCTGGGGGGCAGTTGCCCAGGAGCTGCCAGGATCCTTACCGGATAGCGCAATCTGAAGCTTGGAACGAGCAGGACTTGGTTTCATTGTTAATTTACAGGTGAAGAAACTCACCCGGAGAGCTGGGAGGACTTGCTCAGAGCCACTCAGCCAGTAGGAGTGGAACTGGGATTTCAGCCCATGGCTGTCTGACTCTGGGTGTCTGTACTGGGACCACCTGCCATGAACTCCAGGGACCTCTCAGCAGATGTTGAGGTCCGCAACTCCTGGTACATCTGGGAAACTGAGGTCCGAAGGGGGCAGGACTTGGCCCAGCCATCTAGCCGGTGCTTCCATGGCAGAGCTGGGGCAGGACCCAGTCTCCCCACTCCCACAGCAGGACAGGGAGGGAACAGAGGACCCCCCACCTGCCCCGCCCATGGATTCTAGGCTCCCTGGGGGCAGGGGTGGAGCAGCTGGGCTTTGGGAGCTTCAAACTCAAGAGTTCCCAGCGGCGACTCACACCCTCCCCCCCTAAACCTCTTTGCCAGAAACTTCTCAGGAGATCCGCTGTGCTCCTGCTATTTTAAGTCCCAGACAGTCAGGCGGGTGAGGGAGCGACAATGACAGCTTTGAGGCAGTCCCACTCCATCCCAGATCCCAGAGGGCCTAGGTCACTGTGGGACCCTTCTGAGCTGGGCCTATAAAGCTGTCCCCCCACACCCAGATGTGGCTCCCAGACACAGCTCCCCAGAGCTACTATTCCCTGGCCCTCTGGCTCTCCTGCTCAGGCACCCCCCCAACCCATGCCCCGGCCCTGGGCACATTGTCTAGCCACTTGGTTGCTCCTGCTCTATCCAGAGGGCCCAGAGCCACCTTCCCCAGCCCAGCCCTTCACTCCCAGAACCCTCAGGGTAGACCTTGTCCACCAGGCCCAGTGACTGCTTGGCCGAAGGGGTGGAGCTGGGGTCGAAACCCGTGGGCTTGGCTCAGGCATCTGTAGGTGGAACCACCAACGTGAATGCCAGGGTCCGGAGGATCATCTCCGCGGATGAAGTGGTGGAGAAGTTTCTGCCAGTTTTCCACCACTGACTATCTCTTCCTTCTCCTCAGGGAGCCTGCCGCCTTCTCTCCTGTATTTGGCCAGGCTGTCCAGGGAGAGGGCTCTACCAAGATGTCCAGGATGGATGCCGCGCTGGCTTTTCTCACTGTCACTCCATTCCCTGAAGGGGACTGGAGGTCCTGGACCAGCCTTGCCTCTCCTCAGCTACGCATGTCAACCTTAAAACACCCCACAGGGCCAGGCATGGTGTTTCATGCCAGCAATCCTAGCTCTTTGGGAGACCAAAGCAGGCAGATCATTTGAGGCCAGGAGTTCAAGACCAGCTTGGGCAAGATGGTGAAACCCCATCTCTACTAAAAACAAAACAACAACGACAACAAACCTCACAAACATCTGTTCAGCAAAAAAAAAGAAAGAAAGAAAGAAAACAATCAAGGCAGGCAAAAAAGAACCCTCTATTTATTTGGATAAGAAAAGCAAGCAAAACCCCCAAATCTCCAGAGTGGTCAACTCTCAGGAGAGGAAGGGAGGGACTAGAAAAGGCAGGACCCTTGGGGTTTTGAGGAGCCACATTCCAGCTCTAAGCTGGGCAGGGGCCCCAGGTATCTGTTGAATTGTTCTTAAAGAATCGGCCCCGCCTGTCTGGCCCCTGCCTGCCTGTCCTTACTCTTCCTGGCTTCCTTGCCCTGCCCCATTTCTTATACCCTACCTGCAGTCCTACCCCAAGTCTGGAACAGTTTAGTGGGGAGCCAGCATTTCCTGACCGGTGCCCCAAGAAGCAGAGAATGTTGTTTTGTGGCAAGAGAGGAAGTAGGAGAGGGAGTTGGAGAGCCTAATTGCCCTGGTTTCTTCGAGGTTCCAGCTCCCAGCTCCAATACCTGAGCTGCTCCTCCTGCCCTCTAGGTTTTTTTTTTTTCTAAGATGGAGTCTCTGTCTCCCGGGCTGGCTGGAGTGCAGTGGCGCGATCTGGGCTCACTGCAACCTCTGCTTCCTGGGTTTAGGCAATTCTCCTGCCTCAGCCTCCCGAGTAGCTGGGATTACAGGCACCTGCCACCATGCCCAGCTAATTTTTGTATTTTTAGTAGAGATGGGGTTTCACCATGTTGGCCAGGCTGGTCTCAAACTCCTGACCTCGTGATCCACCCACCTCGGCCTCCCAAAGTGCTGGGATTATAGGCATGAGCCACCGCGCCGTGCCTGCCCTCCAGGTTTTAAAACATACCTGTTCCCAGCCAGATGCAGTGGCTCACCCCTGTAATCCCAGCACTTTGGGAGGCCGAGGCAGGCAGATCACGAGGTCAGGAGTTCGAGACCAGCCTGGCCAACATGGTGAAACCCTGTCTACTAAAAATACAAAATTTAGCCGGACACGTGATCCGCCTGCCTTGGCCTCCCAAAGTGCTGGGATTACAGGCGTGAGCCACCGCACCTGGCCTGTCATTATCCCTCTTAAAAAGTGTGTGGACCAGAACTAGAACCATGCTCACTGTTTGGACTGACAACCACCAAGCTGAAAGGTACTGTCATCTCCAGTTTCCTAGACACTCCATCTCTAGTAATGCAGTCTGCATTACTAGAGGCATTTATGTTTCCAAGAGCTATGTTATTCACTGCAAATGCACGAGAGCTTTTTCCCATGAACTGCTGTCCAGCCAGCCCTCCCTCCCCTGTCTGGTACTCACACAATGAGTTCTTCGGAAACGCACGCAAGACCTTACATTATGCTGGTTAAAGGTCATCTTCTTGGCCCCCATCCAGCCGTCTAGTCTTGAAAGCATTTTAAAAGTCCCACTTCTATTGCACAAAGCATTAATTCTGCTGCTGTGGCAGCTGCAAATTTTATGAGCGGGCCTGTGTTCTGGTCCAGATTGGGGAAATGATCAACATGACAGGGGTAAGAACAGAGCCACGGCCGAGCGTGGTGGCTCACGCCTGTAATCCCAGAACTTTGGGAGGCCGAGGCGGGTACATCACCTGAGGTCAGGAGTTCGAGACCAGCCTGGCCAACATGGTGAAACCCTGTCTGTACTAAAAATACAAAACTTAGCCGGGCATGGTGGCATGTGCCTGTCATCCCAGCTACTCGGGAGGCTGAGGCAGGAGAATTGCTTGAACCTGGGAGGCAGAGGTTGCAGTGAGCTGAGATGGCGCCACTGCACTCCAGCCTGGATGATGAGAGCGAAATTCCATCTCAAAAGCAAACAAACAAACAAAAAACAGAGCCCTTTGGTCTATCACTAGAGACCTCCAGTGATTATCTTTTTTGCCTCCATCCATCAGAGTCATGGGCTAACCATGGGGTCAGGGAGGGTACAGTCCCTTAGGAAAGGTCCGGGTGGGGAGGAAAGTAATTTAGATTCTTTTTTTTTTTTTTTTTTGAGACAGAGTTTTGCTCTTGTTGCCCAAGTTGGAGTGCAATGGTGCAATCTCGGCTCACTGCAACCTCCGCCCCCTGGGTTCAAGAGATTCTCCTGCCTCAGCCTCCCAAGTAGCTGGGATTACAGGCACCCACCACCACACCTGGCTAATTTTTGTACTTTTAGTAGAGATGGGGTTTCACCATGTTGGCCAGGCTGGTCTCAAACTCCAGACATCAGGTGATCCACCCACCTCAGCCTCCCAAAGTGCTGGGATTACAGGCGTGAGCCACCGCACCCTGGTGGTAATGTAGATTCTACCTCAAGCAGGGTTCTCTGGTTGCAAACAACAGAAACCATGGATGGCCAAAAGGGACCAAGAAGCTCTGGGATGACGGATTGGAAAGACAGCAACACTGTCACACCAGGGAAGGGCAGGAAGCAGTGCTACTCACTCATCCCGGGAGCAGCCCAGCAAATCAGGATCCTCAGAGAGCTCGTGATTGACCCAGCTGGGGTCAGGTACCCACTTCTCGGTGAGGGGAGGGCTGTCCAGATTAAGACCTGGGATTCTTCCCCCACCTCCACCCTGGTCTGTGAATCAATCAGGAAGCTCTAGTTCAGCTTAAAACCAGCTGTCACCTGTGTAGCCTCAGAAGCCAGGCAGCTGCACCCTGATCTGACTCCGTCACCTACCACCTGTGACCTCGGGCCAGTTACTTAATGCTTCCGTGCCTCCTTTTCCTCACCTCTAAAATCAGGATAATAATTAGTACCTGCTGCATGAGGTTGGCTTTGAGGATTAATGTATGTAAAGTGCTTGGAACGGCACCTGTGCATGGTTAGCTGGGCTATCATGAAAGCGTTATCATCTCATGAGTCCACCATTTTTTACTGTAGCCCCAAAGATACCAAGAAAGGCTCCCTGGCCAGGCACGGTGGCTCACAGCTGTAATCCCAGCACTTTGGGAGGCTGAGGCAGGCAGATCACTTGAGGTCAGGAGTTCGAGACCAGCCTGGCCAACATGGTGAAACTCCATTTCTACTAAAACTGCAAAAATTTATACTAAAAAATGCAAAAAAATATATAGCCAGGCATAGTGGCATGCATCTATAGTCCCAGCTACTTGGGAAGCTGAGGCAGGAGAATCGCTTGAACCCAGAAGTCAGAGGTTGCAGTGAGCTGAGATCACACCACTGCACTCCAGCCTGGCGAGAAAGCGAGACTCCGTCTCAGAAAAAAAAAAAAACCCAAAAACGAAAAACAAACAAAAAAAACGCTTAATGTCACTAATCACTGGGAAAATGCAAATCAAAACCACAATGAGATATCATCTCACCCCAGTTAAAATGGTTTTTATCAAAAAGACAGAAAATAGGGCCAGGCAAGGTGGCTCACCCCTGCTATCCCAGCACTTTAGGAGGCTGAGGCAGGTGGATTGCTTGAGCCCAAGAGTTCAAGACCAGCCTGGGCAGCATGGTGAAAACCAGTCTCTACTAAAAATACAAAAAATTGGCCGGATGTGATGGTGTGCACATGTGATCCCAGCTACTCGGGAGCCTGAGTGCGAGGATCACCTGAGCCCAGGAGGGCCAGGCTGCAGTGAGCTGTGATCATGCCACTGCACTCCAGCTTGGGTGACCAGAGTGAGACCCGGTCTCAAACAAACAAACAAACAAAAAACAAACAAAAAACCCCACAAAAGAAAATAAAAGATGCTGGTGAGGATGTGGGGAAGTAGGGGAGAGGGGAGGATGAAGAGAGGTTGGATAATGGGTACAAAAATACACTTAGATAGGCCGGGTGTGGTGGCTCACACCTGTAATCCCAGCACTTTGGGAGGCCAAAGTGGATGGATCACCTGAGGTCAGGAGTTTGAGACCAGCCTGGCCAACATGCTGAAACCCCATCTCTACTAAAACTACAAAAATTAGCCAGGCGTGGTGGCAGGCACCTGTAATCCCAGCTAGCAGGGAGGCTCAGGCACGAGAATCACTTGAACCCAGGAGGTGGAGGTTGCAGTGAGCCAAGATCATGCTACTGCACCCCAGCCTGGGTGACAGAGTGAGACCCGGTCTCAAAAAAAAAAAAAAATAGATAGAAGGAGTAAGTTCTAGTGTCAGATAGCACAGTAAGGTAACTATGCTTTTTTGTTTTGTTTTGTGACAGGATCTCGCTTTGTTGCCCAGGCTGGAGTGAAGTGGCGCAATCACTGCTCACTAAAGCCTTGACCTCCCGGGTTCAAGTGATCCTCCCGCCCAGACTTCTTGAGTAGCTGGGGCTACAGACACATGCCACCACACCCAGCTAATTAAAAAAAAAAATTAGCTGTAGAGCTGTAGAGCTTAAAGTTGTAGAGCTGGAGTCTCACGATGTTGCCAGAAATCCTCCCATCTCAGCCTCCCAAATTGCTGAGATTACAGGCATGAGCCACCACACCTGGCCAAGGGCAACTATAGTTAACAAGTTATTGTACGTTACAAAATAGCTAGAAGAGAAGATCTGGAATGTTCCCAACACAAATAACTGATCAATGTTTGAGGTGATGAATTTCCTAATTATCGTAATCTGATCATTACTCATTGTATATATGTCTCAAAATATCACATGTACTTCATAAATATGAACAACTTATGTATCAAAAAAACTGTCTCATTCTCTTCTCTTGTCTGCCGCCATGTGAGACATGTCTTTTGCCCTCTGTCATGATTGTGAGGCCTCCCCAGTCACGTGGAACTCTAAAGAAAACAGGAGGGCTGGGCGCGGTGGCTCATGCCTGTAATCCCGGCACTTCGGGAGGCCTAGGTGGGTGGATCATGAGGTCAGGAGACCGAGACCATCCTGGCCAACATGGTGAAACCCCATCTCTATTAAAAATACAAAAATTGGCCAGGCATGGTGGCTCACGCCTGTAATCCCAGCACTTTGGGAGGCCGAGGCAGGTGGATCATGAGGTCAGGAGTTCAAGACCAGCCTGGCCAAGATGGTGAAACTCCATCTCTACTAAAAATACAAAAAATGAGCTGGGTGTGGTGGCATACGCCTGTAATTCCAGCTACTCAGGAGGCTGAGGCAGAGAATTGCTTAAACCCGGGGGGCAGAGGTTGCAGTGAGCTGAGATCGCGCCACTGCACTCTAGTCTGGGCGACAGAGAGAGACTCTGTCTCAAAAAAAAAAAAAATTAGCCAGGCGTGGTGGCATGTGCCTGCATCCCCAGCTACTCAAGAGGCTGAGGCAAGAGAATCGCTTGAACCTGGGAAGCAGAGGTTGCAGTGAGCCGAGATCGTGCTATTTGCACTCCAGCCTGGGCCACAGAGCAAGACTCTATCTCAAAAAAAAAAAAAAAAAAGAGAAAAGAAAACAGGAGACTGTGACTAAATGAGAATCACAAAGCTAGTTGATCAGTGTGGAAGCTGCATCTGAAATCAGGGACTTCTAGATCCTGATTCAACTGATGTAGACATTTTGTCATCTAAAGAGCAAATGAACGTGGAAAATGAACCTGAGACAAAATAGAGCACGCTACTAAGGTGCGTGAAAAGTGACCAACCACAGCCCTGGAAGAGCTAATCCCTAATGGAGCACACTGATTATGTGAAACGAAGGACTGAAGCGAGGCAAGGCGGGTGCAGTGACTCCTGTGCTGCTCCGTGGCCTCTTCAGGGATTAAACTTTCATGCTCCAGCAACCGGAAGTGTCTCCGCTGATGGTTCACAGCCGAGGCCTTTCTCAGGTGTTGCCCTAAACTAGCAGAAACCGCTTCACTCAAATCTACCTCTTCCCAGGGGGCAGTTTAATTCAATAACTGATCCATGCAGGTGTAGAAAGACAAGCTACGTGGCTGCCAAACAAGCAAACAAACAGCAAGATAAAAACAAAAACAAAAAACTCACCCTTGGGTTCACGGCCGGGCGCGGTGGCTCACGCCTGTAATCCCGGAACTCTGGGAGGCCGAGGCAGTTGGATCATCTGAGGTAAGGAGTTCGAGACCAGCCTGGCCAACATGGTGAAACCCCGCCTCTACTAAAAATACAAAAATTAGCCAGGCGTGGTGGTGCACGCCTGTAGTCCCAGCTACTCAGGAGGCTGAGGCAGGAGAATCCCTTAACCTGGGAGGCGGAGGTCATGGTGAGCCAAGATCGGGCCACTGCACTTAAGCCTGGGCGACAGAGTGAGACTCCATCTCAGAAAAAAAAAAAAAAAACCTCACACTTAGGTTCAGTATTGAAGGATGTTATCTATAACGGCCACTATTCTTTTAATGGGTTACGTCATACTATTCTGTTCTGTTTTGGATGCCAAAATTAAATAAAGGCATAAACAAAAAACCAAAAAAGCCATTCAGCAGAACATTGACTCAAAAAAAAAAAAAGGAAACAAAAGATTTTATTTTATGTATGTATTTTTTATTTATTTTAGACAGAGTCTTGTTCTGTTGCCCAGGCTGAAGTGCAATGGCAAGATCTCGGCTCACTGCAACCTCCACCTCCCAGGTTCAAGCGATTCTCCTGCCTCAGCCTTCCGAGTAGCTGGGATTACAGGCATGCGCCACCACGCCCGGCTAATTTTTGTATTTTTAGTAGAGACGGGGTTTCACCATATTAGCCAGGCGGTTTCGAACTCCTGGCCTCAAGTGATCCACCCACCTACACCTCTCAAAGTGCTGGGATTACAGGCGTGAGCCACTATGCCCAGCCCTGAAACAAAACAATTTAAAAAGAAATAAAAAAGGAAAACCTCCTGTGTTTTGCAGAAATCCAGGCAGCCTGTGTGTGGGTTGGGCCCGGTCACCTGTTATGGAGAGGGACAACAGCAGCTTGGTTCACTTTCCAGTGACCTTCGTCTGCATTGCCAGTCACACTCCATCTTCTGAGGACTCTGAAATCACTTCCTGAACAATCTGCCCCCGACTTTGCTTGGCGAGTCTGGGCTCATGAGTCCATGACTCCTGGGCTCACCCTTCTAGAAGGGTGGGGTGATGGTGCTCTCTTCTCTACTGGCTTCTGGCCTCAGGCCTGTTTTTTTTTTTGTTGTTGTTGTTTTTTGTTGTTGTTTTTTTTTTTGAGATGGGTTTTGCTCTTGTCACCCAGGTTGGAGTGTAATGGCACGATCTCAGCTCATTGCAACCTCCACCTCCCAGGTTGAAGCGATTCTCCTGCCTCAGCCTCCTGAGTAGCTGGGATTACAGGCACACACCACCACGCCTGGCTAATTTTCATATTTTTAGTAGAGACGGGGTTTCACCATGTTGGCCAGGCTGGTCTCGAACTCCTGACCTCAGGTGATCTGCCCGACCTTGGCATCCCGAAGTGCTGGGATTACAGGCATGAGCAACAGCCCCCGGGCCATCTCTGGGCTGTTCTGTGTGGCGTCAGATTCATACCCTTCACTCTGGCTCTCTTGGAATACGATTTGCCAGATCTAGAAACTCAGCCTTATTTATCTTACCGTATTTTTTAATACGTGTTTTTCTAAGACAGTCATTCTGTTTGGATAGCAAAGTGACCTAGACGTCAGAAGGAACCTGAGAAGCCCAGGGGGTTTGACCACCACCCACTGTCCCCAGCGTGGGCCCACAGCCCCAGCCTGCATTCCCAGTTCTCAAGTTCAGGGACTCACACCCACGGGTCTCCTCCGGCCTCTCCCACATTCTGGTGAGTCTTACAGAGGAGAACTCTCTGAGGCTCTGAGCTGAGCACCAGTGGAAGGTCTTGAACACGCCACCCTGTGGATGTCAGGCCCAGGTCTGGGGTGGATCGAGGGTGCAGGGCAGGGTAGGGGGCAGCCAGCCAGTCAGGGCCTCTGTGACAGGCCTGTCCAGCTTGTGGGGGCAGGGCCACAACCCAGCTAGAGAGGATTTTTATGCTGTTTCATTTATTTAATTTTTAAGCTCTGTCACCCAGGCTGGATGTCACCTCTGCCTCCCGAGTTCAAGTGATTCTCCTGCCTCAGCCTCCCAAGGAGCTGGGATTACAGGGGTCCGCCACCATGCCCAGGTAATTTTTGTATTTTTAATAGAGGTGGGGTTTCACCATGTTGGCCAGGCTGGTCTCAAACTCCTGACCTCAGGTGATCCAACTGCCTCGGCCTTCCAAAGTGCTGGAATTACAGGCGTGAGCCACCGTGCCCGGCCAATTTTTTTTTTTTTTTTTTGAGACGGAGTCTCGCTCTGTTGGCAGGCTGGAGTGCAATGGTGCGATCTTGGATCACTGCAACCTCTGCCTCCCAGGTTCAAGCGATTCTCCTGCCTCAGCCTGCCCAGTAGCTGGGACTACAGGCACGTGCCACCACGCCCAGGTAATTTTTGTATTTTTAGTAGAGACGGGGTTTCACCATGTTGGCCAGGACTGTCTCGATCTCCTGACTTCATGATCTGCCCACCTCGGCCTCCCAAAGTGTTGGGATTACAGGCATGAGCCATGGTGCGATCTTGGCTCACTGCAACCTCTGCCTCCCGGCTTCAAGCGATTCCCCTGCCTCAGCCTCTCGTGTAGCTGGGATTACAGGCGCGTGCCACCACGCCCAGCTAATTTTTGTATTTTTAGTAGAGACAGGGTTTCACCATGTTGGCCAGGATGGTCTCGATCTCCTGACCTTGTGATCTGCCCATTTTGGCCTCCCAAAGTGCTGGGATTACAGGAATGAGCCCCTGGGCCTGCCCCCAATTTTTAAAATTCTTAAATTGTGCCACTGCACTCCTGCCTGGGCCACAGAGGGAGACTCTGCCTCAAAAAAAAAAAAAAAAATTCTTAAACAGTCTTGGACACAACAATATTAAAGCATAAACCAGGCGTGGTGGCTCACGCCTGTAATCTCAGCACTTTGGGAGGCTGAGGCAGGTGGATTACATGAGGCCAAGAGTTCGAGTCCAGCCTGGCCAATATGGTGAAACCCTGTCTCTACTAAAAATACAAAAATTAGCTAAGTGTGGTGGCGCATGCCTGTCATCCCAGCTACTCAGGAGGCTACGGCAGAAGAATCGCTTGAACCTGGAAGGCAGAGGTTGCAGTGAGCTGAGATCGCACCACTGCACTCCAGCATGGGCAACAGAATGAGACTCCATCTCAAAATAAAAATAAAAGTAAAAATAAAAATAAAAAACAAAGGGCACTCACCACCATAGGAAAGGTAAGAAACAAAAGCAAATGGGTAATTAACTAATCAGAATAAAACACAAAGGGCACATGTGTCTGCTCCCTGTCTTCTTCCACCAACTTCGCTCTTTTAAAGGAGACTGTGCACAGTTTGGGGGGGGGTGTGTCCTTCTAACAGCTTCTCCACTGAACCCCATTTTCCCTCAGTGAAGTGGTGCTTGGTCCCTGAGAAGGGAGGTGTTGCCCAGTTAAATGAGACCAAACCAGTGAGTGCCTGGCCCGGGGCCTTGAACATAGCTGGTGCTCAGAAAGTGGCTTCCTGTCCCGGGTGAGTAGCAGGCCTGTGGTGTCTGTGATGGTAGCAGAAGGCCTGCGTCCTGGAGGCCTACGCCGACCTCCTGGGGCTCTAGGGGGACCCGACCCCCCCCGGAAAGCAGCCCAGGAAGGCAGATCATCTGGGAGCTGAGCCATGAGATGTGGAACTTGGAGTGGGTGTTGGCTCATGACCGTTCTCCCTTATCCCTTGATCCTCTGGACTGGTGGCCCACCTGGGACCCTGAAATGGGGCTCCTGGAATTCCTCTCCTCCCTGGAGCCTGGAGAAGATGCTTGGCCCCAGGGTGGGGTGGAGGAGAGGAGAGAGGACGCGGGTATAGGCGCTAGGGGTGAGGGGAGGGGCAGAAGGTGGTGCCTTCCCCCGCCCCCCATTCTTCCCTTGCTCCTGCCCTCCACCCATTGCCTTCCATCTACATCCCTCCCTGTTCCCTCCCTCCCGTCCTTGCCGGATCACGCCCCTCAACCCCTCTGGGCCCCCTGACCTCTGCAGGGCCCCAGAGAGCTCAGGGAAGAGCAAGGGACCCTCTTTCCGCAATCAGGGAGGTCTTCTGGGAGGAGACAATGGGCTTCCAGGCCTCTGGAGTTAAGGAAGTATTTGCCAGGTGCTAAGCGGAAAAGAAGATTCTGAGAGGCAGAAACGGCATCTATAAAGGCCCCAGGGTAAAGCTGCAGAGCCTGTTTCTGAAGCAGCCAGGAATCGGGTGTGGTGGGCACTGGGTCACCTGGGGGACACCTGGGGAAAATAAGAATTAGAGACTTGGGGGAGGCGTGGGGAATGGAGGCTTGGAATGCCTAGCTAAGGGGTTTAGATGGCATTCTGGCCATGGTTTTCAAAGTAGGTGTCATGGAACCCTGACGGTGCCAAGGGTGGCCTCAGAGCTACCTGGTGCAGGGGGGTCGGGGGGTGAAATGTGGAGAAAGAGGAGACGCAGGGCTGGAATTCTGGGCCTCTGGCCCCCCTCCAGCCAGAATGACTCCAATCTCACGCGAGTTCTGAACTGTGCTGTCACAAGCATTGGGGGAGCCGTGGTGAGCAACAGGGGCCTTCAGCAGCAGCAAGGGACAGCCCAAATGGCCAAATGGAGCTTTAGGAAGCCAATGGAACTTCAGGGGTCAAGTGGCCCCCCAGCCACCTCTGCTTAGGTTCTCTGGCCTGACCATTTCTTCCCAGGCCACCAGGAGGTAATAATGATAATAATTAATAATAACCTGACCATCACAGCGCCACCAGCTGGGGAACTCGAGAATCCAGGAGAGGAAGAGACGCCAAACGAGGGTCACCAGCCAGTTCGGTGGCACAGCTGGGATACGGACCCAGAATCAGCTCCCCCATGAGGGCCTGGCCCCCCTCGGGCAGCCTGGAGCAGTTGCTGCAGGATCCCATCCCTGGCTGGGGCCTCGTGCCGCCAGCAGCCCCCTCCGCCCACCTGCCCTCCCAGCTGTCCCAGTCACACCCGGCACCCATGTGCCCTGTGGAAATCTGACCAGCCTCGCAGCGCCCTCCAAGGAGACAGCTGACGGATGGGGCTTGGGAGAGTGGGGGTCATGTGGGAAGCAGAGCTCAGGCCAGAAAGCGGGAGCCGCCCTGGCCGGGCAGGGAGACACTGGCAGTTTCTGCTTGCCGTGTGACCTTGAGCTCCTTGCTGAGCCTCTCAGGGCTGGCAAGGGCTGCTCTGAGCCACCTGGAGCTGGGGCTAAGTACAGGCAACTTGTGGGTTCCCGGGTCCATGGGCTCACACCTGGAACTTGGCACCGGCCTCCATTGGGCACCCCCCAGACCCCCACCCTGTGGGCCAGAATGATGGGATCTGACTGGCTGTGTGAGTCCAGGCTAATGTATCGGCTTGTCTGGGCCTCAGCTTCCTCATCACAAAGTTGAAAGTGTTGGCAGCTGGGGTGCCGTGCAGTAGCCCGGCCCCTCCATTCAGAAGCTTGTCTCAGCAGCCCCACACCTCCCCCAGGCCCTGAAATGCTTCAATGGCCATTTTGTATCAGGCCAGGGAACTGATGTTTGCTCAGCTGCCCCCACCCCTGAGACTTCATGATAATGGACTCCTGCCAGCCCAGGGCCCCTGTGTCTGGGGGTAGGGGTGGGTAGGAAGCCCTCCTCGGCCTGTCTGGGGCATTGCCCTTCCCTTCCTGACCAGTAGGGGTAGGAGGAACATCGAGTCATTTCCTCTCCCATTTCTTTCCAGAAGTTCAGGCCTAAATCTCAGCCTTCCACTGCCCGCAGCTGTGCCGTTCTATGCAAGTCTCCATTGCGCACTCTGCGAGGGCTTAGCATCCATCCAGACCTGGGTTCAAATCCCCACTTGAGGCTGGGTGCAGTGGCTCATGCCCACAATCCGAGCACTCTAGGAGACCAAGGCAGGAGGACTGCTTAGAAGCCAGGAGTTCAAGACCAACCTGGGCAACATAGCAAGCACCCATCTCCACAAAAAATAAAAGATAAACATTTAGCAGGGGCCAGGCACGGTGGCTCATGCCTGTAATCCCAGTACTTTGGGAGGCCGAGACGGGCAGATCACTTGAGGTCAGGAGTTCAAGACCAGCCTGGCCAACATGGTGAAACCCTGTCTCTACTAAAAATACAAAAATTAGTTGGGCATGGTGGCAGGCACCTGCAATCCCAGCTACTCGGGAGGCTGAGGCAGGAGAATTGCTTGAACCCAGTGAGAGGTGACAGCGTGCTGGCAGTCCTCACAGCCCTCACTCGCTCTCGGTGCCTCCTCTGCCTGGGCTCCCACTTTGGCGGCACTTGAGGAGCCCTTTAGCCCACTGCTGCACTGTGGAAGCCCCTTTCTGGGCTGGCCAAGGCCAGAGCCGGCTCCCTCAGCTTGCAGGGAGGTGTGGAGGGAGAGGCGCGAGCGGGGAACCGGGGCTGCGCGCGGCGCTTGCGGGCCAGCTGGAGTTCCGGATGGGTGTGGGCTTGGCGGGCGGGCTTGGCGGATGCACTCGGAGCAGCCGGCCGGCCCCACCGGCCCCGGGCCAGCGGCTGCAGAGGGTGTACTGGGTCCCCCAGCAGTGCCAGCCCACCAGCGCTGCGCTCGATTTCTCACCGGGCCTTAGCTGCCTTCCCGCGGGGCAGGGCTCGGGACCTGCAGCCCGCCATGCCTGAGCCTCCCACCGCCTCCATGGGCTCCTGCGCCGCCCAAGCCTCCCCGATGAGCGCCGCCCCCTCGCTCCACGGCGCCCAGTCCCATCGACCACCGAAGGGCTGAGGAGTGCGGGCGCACCGCGCGGGACTGGCAGGCAGCTCCACCTGCAGCCCTGGTGCGGGATCCACTGGGTGAAGCCAGCTGGGCTCCCGAGTCTGGTGGAGACGTACAGAACCTTTATGTCTAGCTCAGGGATTGTAAATACACCAATCAGCACCCCGTGTCTAGCTCAGGGTCTGTGAATGCACCAATCGACACTGTATCTAGCTACTCTGGTGGGGCCTTGGAGAACCTTTATGTCTAGCTCAGGGATTGTAAATACACCAATGGGCACTCTGTATCTAGCTCAAGGTTTGTAAACACACCAATCAGCACCCTGTGTCTAGCTCAGGGTTTGTGAATGCACCAATCGACACTATGTATCTAGCTGCTCTGGTGGGGCCTTGGAGAACCTTTGTATCCATACTCTGTATCTAACTAATCTGATGGGGACGTGGAGAACCTTTATGTCTAGCTCAGGGATTGTAAACGCACCAATCAGCACCCTGTCAAAACAGACCACTGGGCTCTACCAATCAGCAGGACGTGGGTGGGGCCAGATAAGAGAATAAAAGCAGGCTGCCCGAACCAGCAGTAGCAACCCTTTGGGTCCCCTTCTGCACTGTGGAAGCTTTGTTCTTTTGCTCTTTACAATATATCTTGCTACTACTCAGTTTTTGGGTCCGCACTGCTTTTATAAGCTGTAACACTCACCGTGAAGACCTGCAGCTTTGCTCCTGAGCCCAGCGAGACCATGAGCCCACGGGGAGGAATGAACAACTCCAGACGTGCTGCCTTAAAAGTTGTAACATTCACCATGAAGGTCTGTAGCTTCACTCCCGAGCCAGCGAGACCACGAACCCACCAGAAGGAAGAAACTCCGAACACATTTGAACATCAGAAGGAACAAACTCCAGACGCGCTGCCTTAAGAGCTGTAACACTCACTGCGAGGGTGCGCAGCTTCATTCTTGAAGTCAGTGAGACCAAGAACCCACCAATTCCGGACACACCAGGAGGTGGAGGTTAAACTGAGCTGAGATTGTGCCATTGCACTCCAGCCTGGATAACAAGAGTGAAACTCTTAAAATAATACATATATGTATATGTATACGTATATATGTATGTATATGCACAAATTAAACTTGTCATTATAAAATGTTTCTTGTTGTTGTTCTCATGCTATATCTTTTCCCATCCTTTTCTTGGACACCTCTAATAACATACCCTTTTATGTTGACCTTTCTGTATCATTTTGTTTCAATGTGTCTCAATTGAATGATTTATCTAGTTTGTTCACACTTACTGATTTACTTGGTTTTAAAAAATCTACCTTTTGTGCCTTTTTTCTTGCTTTTTATACATTTCCTTGTCTCTCGTTTCTTTAAATTTTGTTTACTTATTTGAGACAGGAGTCTTGCTCTGTCACCCAGGCTGGAGTGCAGTGGCACAATCTCACTGCAACCTCTGCCCCGGGGTTCAAGTGATTCTCCTGCCTCAACCTCCTGGGAAGCTGGGATTATAGGCATGCACCACCATGCACGCCTAATTTTTGTATTTTTAGTTGGGGGCGGGAGGGAGTCTGACCACGTCAGCCAGGCTGGTCTCAAACTCCTGACCTCAGGTGATCTGCCCGCCTCAGCCTCCCAAGGTGCTGGGGTTACAGGTGTGAGCCATCGCACCCAGCTGGAAGTCCTTTTTTTCCCAAAGTGAAAAATCATTTAATTTTGTGATCATAAGTTACACGTGAAATTTTAAATACTAGACAGTAAGAGGTATTTAAAAGTTACCTCAAATCCTCCCTAAAGATGCTAGCGTTCTGCGGTATATATTTAGACATATCTACAGACAAGGATATAACTTTCCCAGTTCTATTTGTGGGACCTGGGCGGTCCACCTCTCTGAAACTGTTTCCCTAGCTAAGAAGTAGGGGTGCGATCAACATGGGTAGGCTATAGTACCCAGTTACTTTGTCAAACACTAATCTAGGTGTTCCCATAAGGTATTTTGTACATGGGTTGAGTCAACATCTACAGCTGACTTCAAGTAAAGATTACCCTTGGCTGGGCTTGGTGGCTCACACCTGTAATTCCAACACTTTGGGAGCCCGAGGTGGGTGGATCACTTGAGGTCAGGAGTTCGAGAACAGCCTGGCCAACATGGTGAAACATCTGTCTCTGCTAAAAATACAAAAAAATTAGCCAGATGTGGCAGTGCACGCCTGTAGTCCCAGCTACTTAGGAGGCTGAGGCACGAGAATCGCTTGAACCTGGGAGACGGAGGTTGCAGTAAACCGAGATCATACCATTTCACTCCAGCCTGGGCAATAGAGTGAAACTCCGTCTTGAAAAAAAAAAGGGGGGGGGCCAGGCCTGGTGGCTCACTCCTGTAATTCTAGCCCTTTGAGAGGCCAAGATGAGCGGATCACCTGAGTTCAGGAGTTTGAGACCAGTCTGGGCAACACAGTGAAACCCTGTCTTTATTAAAAATACAAAAAATTAGCTGGGCATGGTAGTGCATGCCTGTAATCCTAGCTACTCAGGAGACAGGCACAAGAATCACTTGAACCCAGGAGGCGGAGGTTGTTGTAAGCCAAGATCACACCACTTCACTCCAGTCTGGGTGACAGAGTGAGACTCTGTCTCAAAAAAAAAAATTACCCTTGATGTGTGGGTGGTGGGCCTCATCCAATCAGTTGAAGGCTTTAAGAGCAAAAACGCATTTGCCAGAGAAGACATTCTGCCTCAAAACTGCAACATCAAATCCTGCCTGAGTTTCCAACCTGCTGGCCCACCCTACACATTTTGGACCTGCCAGCGCCCATAATCACATGAGCCATATCCTTAAAATAAGGTATAGGCCACACATAAACACACACTCTCTCTCTTTCCCTCTCTCTCTCTATATGTGTGTGTGTGTGTGTATATATATGTGCGTGTATATATATATGTGTGTGTATATATACACACACGTATATATAGATACACACACACACATATATATATATGTTGTATTCCCTATCTAAGACCCAGGGGAGGCAGAGCAGCATTCATCTCCACTGTCGGAAGGTAGTCCAAGGTCACCCCAAGGAGGCAGAACCCAGGGCTACAGACTCTCAAACCAGTGTTCTTCCCACAAAATCAAAGGCAGTGCAGTCCCTGAGAAAGGGTCATCTGGTGCCAGGCTGCCCAAGCGGGATCCCCACTGTGTGAGGCTGGGTGGGGAACTTGACATCTGCTCTCCTAGGAGTGGGATCATGGACCCCAGCTCACAGGGTCCTTGTGCATTTTCTATGCAAGTAGAGTGTAGTTCAGCCCGGCACACAGTAAATGCAAGATATTGTTGCTATTAATAAAACTCTAGAACAAATTCCCCAGAGGTCAAAGTCTGGCTGTGTGCCAGCCTCCAACAGGCTTCTGTGGCTGGCGGGGAGCCAGGCTACAGGGAAAACTCCCCGTACACCCAGACCTGGAGCCTGGGGCCTGGTGAGGAACGTGGGATGATTCTGAAACCAGTTGGCGGAGGAAGGGTTTATGGTGTGTCTCAGCGAGTGGTCAGCACGGCACCAGGGTGGCGTACAGAAGGGGCCTGGGAGGGCAGCCTCACCTACAGGGGCCCCTCTACAGTGCCACTGGCACCAGGGCCGTGTCCATCCCTAGGCTGGAAAACGTGCTTCCCACTTAGGGCCCCGGGGAAGCTGCTTGGGTCTGCTCTGCGTCGGAGGGAGCTCAGGAGGGAAGGCCAAGATGCCAGGCTCAGGAGGTCCCCTGCCCTCTGGCACTGCCTGGGACTCTGTCTCAGGTGCAGTCAGGTGGCTCCGTAAGTAGCTTCTCCCCTACACCTGGCCGGGCCTCCAGATTCTCTTAACAGCCTTATTAGTGCAAGTGTTCTTTGAGTCATCGGATGTGTCATTGGCCCCATTTGACAGATGAAAGTGTGGCTCAGAGGGGCAGGGACTCGCCTGAGCTCATGGCTGGATTGGAACCCTGCCCCCATCCCACCCAGCTCAGATTCCAGGCTCTCACACCCTGCCCCACCCTCAGCCTCGGCAGTCTGCCCCTTCCCAGCCCAGTGCCCCAGCCCCACAAGTAACACGCTCCCAGCCTGGTCCTCTCCTGTGGCTCCCTGCTGCCCGGTTCCAGCCTCTGCAGCAGAACAAGCTGCTGTCTAGTCCCTGCCTGGTTCCCTGTCGCTGTGCCCATCAAATGCCACTTACAAAGGCTCTCACAGCTCCTCAAAGCTACTGCTCCCCCTCCATCTGGAAATTGAGTTTAGTTTGTTTGTTTTGTTTTTGAGACAGAGTCTCACTCTGGTGCCCAGGCTGCAGTGCCTGGCGCAATCATGGCTCACTGCGGCCTCGACCTCCTGGCTCGGGTGATTCTCTCGCCTCAGCCTCCTGAGTAGCTGGGACCACAAATGCACATCACCATGCCTGGCTACTTTTTAAATTTTTTTTGTAGAGATGGGGTCTCACCACATTGCCCAGGCTGGTCTTGAACTTTGGAACTCAAGCCAGCCTTCCACCTTGGCCTCCCAAAATGCTGGGATTACAGGCGTGAGCCACTGTGCCTGGCCAATTTAATATTTTAACCTTCTCAAGCCGTTTTTTTTTTCAGAGTGCGATCCTCTCAGAAAGGCTTTGGGATATACAAATAATTGTTAGTAATTTGTTAACCATTCACTAACTGCTAGGTGCCGTGCAAAGTGCCTTCCGTGCACCGTCTCACCTCCTCAGCACTCTGAGGTAGGGTTCTGTGTCATTCCCATTCTACAGATGGAGAAACTGAGGCTCAAGGGGGCGATGGGGACTTGCTCAAAGACATATAGCAGTAACATCCCACACTCACTGGGCACTTAGTCTATGTCAGACACTGCTGTAAGCACTTTATTTATTTATTTTTATTTTGAGACGGAGTCTTGCTCTGTCGCCCAGGCTGGAGTGCAGTGGCGGGATCTCAGCTCACTGCAACCTCTGCCTCCCGGGTTCAAGCAATTTTCCTGCCTGAGCCTCCTGGGTAGCTGGGGTTACAGGTGCCCGCCATCATGCCTGGCTAATTTTGTATTTTAGTAGAGATAGGGTTTCACCATGTTGGCCAGGCTGGTCTCGAACTCCTGATCTCAAGTGATCTGCCTGCCTCAGCTTCCCAGTGGGTTGGGATTACAGGCGTAAGCCACTGCACCCGGCCTATTTTTTATTTTTTTTGAGACAGAGCCTCGCTCTGCCGCCCAGGCTGGAATGCAGCGGTGCAATCTTGGCTCACTGCAACCTCCTCCTCCTGGGTTCAAGCGATTCTCCTATCTCAGCCTCCTGAGTAGCTGGGATTACAGGTGTGCACCACTATGCCTGGCTAATTTTTGTATTTTTAGTAGAGATGGGGTTTCACCATGTTGGCCAGGCTGGTCTCGAACTCCTGACCTCAAGTGATCTGCCCGCCTTGGCCTCCCAAAGTGCTGGGATTACAGGCATGAGCCACCACACCCGGCCTATAAGCACTTTATATAAAGTGGGTCATTTAATGCTCACTGCATGCCTGTGAGGGCAAGACCATTCTAATCCTTACCTGAGAGGTAAGGAAACTAAAGCTCACAGGGCAGTGAGTTGGCCAAGGCCACAGAGCTGGAAAGTGGTTGAGTCTGGGTTCTAACCCAGGGCCTGGCTCCACAGCCTACACTCAAGTCTGGTGGCTCTCTAGGAGATAGAGATGGGATTCGAACCTGGAACCTGATGTATCCAGGACCCAGTTTCTTTCCCAGCCTCCCCCAGGAGGCAAGGAGCCAGCCAAGGCTAGGCCTCAGCCCGTGGGATGACTCCCAGCACATTAGGGCAAAAACCGCAACTGGGAAGCCAGCCAGCTTCCAGGCGGGCTCGGAGCTCGGGCTGAGTCCGAGGAAGTGGCTTTGGCCAGGACCCCTGAGGAGGTGGGGGGCTCCCCAAGGGCCACAATGGGGCAGGGCCTGGGCTCCCCACATGGCCTGGGGATTGGCTGGCATTTGTGCAACCAAGTGCTTTGTGGTAATTACCGTTTCCTGCCTCCACGAGCTTCCAAGTTTTTACATAAATATTTTTAGCAGATGAGGCCTACAACCTCCTTAAAAAAATTATCTACCATAAAACTCAGCAGCACATGTTCAGAGATTACCTCTCTTTATGTAATCTCCATGCTTTCCAAAAGTTACTTTTTTTTTTTTTTTCTGAGACGGAGTTTCACTCTTGTTGCACAGGCTGGAGTGCAATGGCACGATCTCGGCTCACTGCAACCTCCGCCTCCAGGGTTTAAGTGATTCTCCTGCCTCAGCCTCCTGAAAAGCTGGGATTACAGGCACGTGCCATCAGGCCCAGCTAATTTTTGTATTTTTAGTACGGACAGGGTTTTGCCATGTTGGCCAGGCTGGCCTTAAGCTCCTGAACTCAGGTGATCCACCTGCCTTAGCCTCCCAAAGTGCTTGGATTACAGGCGTGAGCCACCACCCCCAGACAAAAGTTACTGTTAAAGTTAAATGTGGGTCACCCACGTCTGCTTTGAAAGAACACTGGGATGAAGACTGCATCAGAGCGGTTAGGAGCTCAGGCCCCAGGGGCAGGCAGGCCTGTCTGACGAGCTGTGTGTCCTCAGACAAGTCACTTCACCTCTCTGAGCCTCAGTGTCTTTATCTGTAAAGGGGAGGTAAACAAATTTTCTCCTTTGTAAGCCCAAATGTGAAGCCTTTAGCAGGGTACCCTGAGGAGACACAAAATCTCTGGGTAATGGGGCATTCGGTGGCATTGGGAGTAAAAAAGGAACCAAATCACCCCACTGTGCCCAAGTAAACTGTGACTTCAGGCCAGCCAGCTGCAAGGTGATGAGCTGAAGCCTGCTCACCAGACTGTTTTCCTGGAAGGACGGGCGCCCTTGGCCCTATCTCTGGGTCCTGCCCTTGACTGGGCCTTGCTTCCTTCCATTTTCTCACGCTGAGGCAACAGCCCAGCTGGCTGTGTCCCATGCAGGCTCCACTGGGGCTGGGTGTGACAGTATCTGTCACCGGTGCCTGGAGCTGGCAGGCCCACAGCTCCTGGGGGTCAGTCCTCAAAGCCTTGAAGCAGGAGATGGAAGTGGGTAGGGGCTGGACCTGGGGCCCAGCCTTGACCTCCAGGCTTACAGGAACCTGCCGGGCATCTCCCCCCGCAGATTTCTTTTCTTTTCTTTTTGTTTTTTTGAGATGCAGTCTCGCTCTGTCACCCAGCCTGGAGTGCAGTGGCGCGATCTCGGCTCACTGCAACGTCTGCCTCTGGGGTTCAAGCGATTCTCCTGCCTCAGCCTCCTGAGTAGCTGGGACTACAACAGGTGCGTGCCACCATGCCTGGCTAATTTGTTATATTTTTAGTAGAGATGGGGTTTCACCATGTTAGCCAGGATGTTCTCGATCTCCTGACCTCGTAATCTGCCCGCCTCAGCCTCCCAAAGTGCTGGGATTACAGGTGTGAGCCACTGCCCCCAGCCCTCCCCCCGCAGATTTCGTATCAGGACGTCTCCCAAGAGCATGAAACGAATCCACCCTTTTCTGCCCTCACACCTGCTCCATCTCAATTATGGCACCTGTTTCCCAGTACTCAGCTCACCCTAACTAGGCGCTGACAATTTACCGAACGCCTATCCTGTGCAGGGCCTGGCCTAAGCGCTTTACTTGGTTTATCTGAATTAACCCTTAGCAACTCTATAATATAGGTGTTGTCATTACCTCTACTTCGTAGGTGAGGAAACTGAGGCACAGAGAGAGCAAAAACTTGCTCTGGATCATACAGCTAAGAGATGTGTAAGGCAGGACTCAGACCCAAGCAGCCTGGCTAGGCCCTGATGCTCATGACCACTGCACCCAATGCTCTATGCTATCTCGGTCTTTGTGCCTTAGCACAGCTGTTCCTTCTGCCTGGAATGCCTTTCCACCTCTTCTCTGCATGGAAAACTTCTATGTATACCTCAAAACCCACCACAAGTGTTCCTTCTCTTAGATGACAGTCAGCCTCTGCTCCACATCTTACCCACCCAGCTCTCGTTAAATCACCAATCGTGGTTTGAAGTGATTGTTGTGACCATGTCTGTCTCCCTGGGGACAGGGACTAGATGTGATCCGTGTCTATATTCCCCACACTCAGGATGGGCCTGGCACAGAGGCAGACACCAGTGAATGAACACATGAATAAACGAACGAATGAATGAATGAATCACTTCATCACATACAAATTATTAATCTGGGCATATCTTTGAGAATAGATTTCAAGACTTTATTTTAAAAGCCAGATATTGGCCAGGCGCGGTGGCTCACGCCTGTAATCCCAGCACTTTGGGAGGCCGAGGCGGGTGGATCATGAGGTCAGGAGATCGAGACCATCCTGGCTAACAAGGTGAAACCCCGTCTCTACTAAAAATACAAAAAATTAGCCGGGCGCGGTGGCGGGCGCCTGTAGTCCCAGCTATTCGGGAGGCTGAGGCAGGAGAATGGCGTGAACCCGGGAAGCGGAGCTTGCAGTGAGCCGAGATTGCGCCACTGCAGTCTGCAGTCCGGCCTGGGCGACAGAGCGAGACTCCGTCTCAAAAAAAAATAAAAAATAAAAAAATAAAAATAAAAATAAAAGCCAGATATTCCAAATCCCCCAAACTCCAGCCTTTGGAGAAAAAGAAGTGTCAAACACAAACAGCTGTATAATTTTCTCAAAACAAAGAGATTTACTTTGTTTACCTTGATTTTAATTCTGAGCTCAGCAAACACTTCAGGATCTTTGTAAAAACTCCAAACCACCCCTGGAGGGAGAAAGGGGGTATCTAAAACACCAGAAGCGTGCTCCTGCTGGGGTCGGGGGAGGGAGGGAGGTAAAAGAAAACAAGGGAAGGAAAAAATTCTTATCACCCCATGGGTTCCTTCCACATCCCAAATAATTGAAAATGGATGTTTTTTCTTCATTCGAAAAAGGCATTTTGTAAAAATGACACAGACCCTGTAAGTGATGCTCATTACATCACTGAAAAAGATTTAAACCAGCCAGAAAGGACAAAAAGGAAAATAAAATTACTCCATATCACACCTCCCAGCTACTTACACAAGTGCGTTTATTTGTATGGTCACTGAGCTACGCCTAAGAAGTGAGCACTCTGCTGTCATGCTATACTTTAATAAAAAATCGCACCACCCAGAGAAAGCTCTTGATGTCATCTTCCAGAGCTCACATCTGCCTCTTGCAAGGTACTAATTCTTCAGCCTAGTCAATAACTATTTACTGAGTGCCTACTCTGTGCCAGGCTCGCCTGGATCCTGGGGATGAAGGGTGGAGCTGTCTTCACGGGACAGACATGAATCAAAGCCCTGATCATGGTACTGCACTCCAGCCTCGGGTGGGTGGGGGTGGAGAGAGAGAGAGAGGAAGGAAGGAGAGAGGGAGAGAGAGGGAGAAAGACAGAGGAAGGAAGGAGAGAGAGCAACGAAAGAAAGACAGGAAGGGAGGAAGGAAAGAAAGAAGGAAGGGAAGGAGAGAGAGAGAAAAGAGAAAGAAAGAGAGAGAAAGAAGGAAAGAGAAAGAGAGAGAGGAAGGAAGGAGAGAGAGAAAGAAAGAAAGAAGAAAGAAAGGAAGGAAGGAAAGAAGGAGGGAGGGAGGAAGGAGAGAGAGAGAGGAAGGAAGGAGAGAGAGAAAGAAAGAAATTAGAAAGAAAGGAAGGAAGGAAAGAAGGAGGGAGGGAGGAAGGAAGGAGAGAGAGAGGAAGGAAGGAAGAGAGAAAGAAAGAAAGAGGAAGGAAGGAGGGAGGGAAGAAGGAAGGAGAGAGAGAGGAAGGAAGGAAAGAAGGAAGGAAGGGAAGGAAAGAGAGAAAGAAAGAGAAAGAAAGGAAGGAAAAAAGAAAGAAAGGGAAAGAGAGAAAGAAAGAAGGAAAGAGAGAAAGAGGAAAGAGAAAGAAAGAAAGGAATGAGAGAAAGAAAGAAAGAGAAAGGAAAGAGAAAGGAAGGAAGGAGAGAGAAAGAAAGAAAGAGAAGAAAGAAAACCTTCATATCTACAAGCAGTTACTCCCTATCCCCTCAGTCCTTGGCAACCATGAATCTCTGTCTCTCTGGACTTGCCAATTCTGACATTTTGTATATATGATATCATACAATATGTGGCCTTTTGTGACTGCCCTTCTTGCATACCACGTATCCTATCAGGCAATATTCTATGCAAATGGAAGAGCTCCTGCAATCACTTCTGTTTAAAATAACACTTTCCCTCCTCACTATACATACATACAATTTTATAGAAATAAAACTACACTCTACATGTGGTTTAAAATTTTTCTTTTCTTGGCCAGGCGTGGTGGCTCACGCCTGTAATCCCAGCACTTTGGGAGGCCGAGGTGGACGGATCACGAGGCCAGGAGATCAAGACCATCCTGACCAACATGGTGAAACCCCGTCTCTACTAAAAATACAAAAAAATTAGCTGGGCATGACGGTGCGCACCTGTAGTCCCAGCTACTCTGGAGGTTGAGGCAGGGGAATCGCTTATTTTTTTCTTTTTCTTTCTTTTTTTTTTGGGATGGAGTCTCGCTCCATCGACCAGGCTGGAGTGCAATGGCAAGATCTCAGCTCACTGCAACCTCCACCTGCCTGGTTCAAGCAATTCTCTTGCCTCAGCCTCCCTAGTAGGTGGGACTACAGGTATGTGGCATGGGGTTTCACCATGTTGGCCAGGCTAGTCTTGAACTCCTGAACTCAAGTGATCTGCTGGCCTTGGCCTCCCAAAGTGTTGGGATTACAGGTGTGAGCCATTGTGCCCAGTCCCCCAAACTTTCTTTTATTTAATAAAGTATCAGGGGTGTCTTTCTGTGTTAGTATAGATCTGCATAACCCTTTTGTAATGTTTGCAGAGTAAATTATGTGGTTAAAACAGTAAGTCTTGGTTGGGCACGGTGGCTCATGCCTGTAACCCCAGCACTTTGGGAGGCCGAGGCAGGTGGATCACTTGAACCCAGGAGTTTGAGACCAGCCTGGGCAACATGGCAAAACCCCATCTCTACAAAAAATGCAAAAATTAGCTGGGAGTGGTGGTGTGCACCTGTAGTCCCAGTTACTTGGGAGGCTGAGGAGGGAGGATCGCTTGAGCCTGGGAGGTTGAGGGTTCAGTGAACCGTGACTGCACCACTGCACTCCAACCTGGGTGATAGAGTGAGACCTAGTCTCAAACAAAACAAAATGAAACAAAACAGAACAATACAAAAAACCTCCAATAAGTCTAGTTCAAGCTCAGTGGTCAATGCTTAGGCCCAAGAAGAGGGCAGACTAGGCCCCTCTGCCTGGATCTCTATTGCATTTCTGGCTTTTCTTTTTTTGTGTGTGAGATGGAGTCTCACTCTGTCACCCAGGCTGGAGTGCAGTGGTGCGATCTCGGCTCACTGCAATCTCCCCCTCCCGGGCTCAAGTGATTCTCCTACCTCAGCCTCCCAAGTAGCTGGGACTACAGGTGTGTGCCACCATACCCAGCTAATTTTTGTATTTTTAATGGAGACGGGGTTTCACCATGTTGGCCAGGCTTGTCTTAAACTCCTGACCTCAAATGATCCTCCTGCCTTGGCCTCCCAAAGTGCTGGGATTACAGGCGTGAGCCACCACACCCGGCCTTGTACAATAGGATTCTTGTGAGGATTAAATAAGATTGTGTAGCAGCATGCCTGGGTCTTAGTCAATGCTTGATAAATAACAGGTACAATTTATTCAGGGATTACCATATCCAGGCCCTTTGCTAAGACTATTCATAATTGGTGATTGTTGTCTAATATATATATTAAATTGAATACCATGTTATTCAACTTAAAGGTAACTTCTGTGATAGTTATCATTATTATCACAGTGAAGTCAAGACCCTGTGTCTATCTATCCAGCTACAGGGTAAAGCCACTTGTTGAGCCGTTCGTCAATTTTCCACAAACATTTGATGAGCATTTACTATGCCCCAGACCAGATGTTAGGCACTGGCAGATAAAAGTGCTCCTAATTCTCCTCCATTCATATTAAGGAGACAAACAAATAAACATAAGCAAGATGCCTAGAAAATGACCAAACATATTAGCCCTACTATACATAAATGGGTTAATTTCTTTCATTGAAACAAAGGAAAAAACAAGAAGACAATCTGAGAATGGCGAAAAAGAAAATTTACTTACCCGTTATTTCCAATAGAACTAAAACAAGCTATGGGGAGAAACTAAAATTTCAAATGAAGAGCACTGTGTTTATAAATTTTGAATAACATTTCTTTTTGCAGCCTCTACTTCCCAGGCTCAAGCGATCCTCCCACCTGAGCCTCCCAAGTAGCTGGGACTACAGGTGCACATCACCACACTTGGCTGACTTTTGTATTTTTTGTAGAGATGGGGTTTCACCATGTTGCCCAGGCTGATCTCAAAGTTCCTGGCTCAAGTGATCCTCCTGCCTCAGCCTCCCAAAGTGCTGGGATTACAGGCGTGAGCCACCATGCCCAGACAAAAGTCACAATTTTGCTATACCAGAGTAATAATTAATATAGACAAGAATCACCAATAGATGGTAAAACTAGAGTTTGAAAGTTGGATGAGAAATAGAATATCAATATAGTCTCAATGTACTCCCCAACAAATGACTTATTATTTATAAAGAGAAAACAGTAATTTTACATTAGATAAGACTGGTAAGGTCAGTCTATATCCCAAAACTTTGAGAGGCTGAGGCAAGCAGATCACTAGTTCAGCCCAAGAGTTCAAGACCAGCCTGGGGAACATGGCAAAACCCCATCTCTACAAAAAAAAAAAAATATATATATATATATATACATATATATATACACATATATATATATACATATACATATATATACACATATATATATACATATATATATACACATATATATATATACATATATATATATACACATATATATATATACATATATATATATACATATATATATATACCAAAATACCAAAATTAGCCAGGCATGTTAGTGTGCACCTGTAGTCCCAGCTACTCAGGAGGTTGAGGTGGTAGGATGGCTTGAGCTTCGGAGGTGGAGGTTGCAGTGAGCCAAGATCATACCACTGCATTCCAGCCTGGGCGACAGAGTAAGACTCTGTCTCAAAAAAATAAAGAAATAAATAAAGGCTGGCAGACACCACTGTAACCAAGTGATCAAAGTAAACCATTGCCAATGATAGGACACACTGACATTAGGTGCTTCATATCATGCACTGAGAAGGACATAATGTCACTTCCGTGATTTCCCATGGAAAATACATCACCTGAATCTAATCTCGAGGAAACATCTGACAAATGAAAATTGAGGACTATTCTAAAAAACACATGGCCTGTAGTCTTCCAAAATGACAATGTCATAAATGACAAACAAAGGCTGAGGAACTGGTTCAGAGTTAAGGGAGACTAGAGAGACATGACAGTCAAATGCAATGTGCTATTCAGGATTGGATCCTGAACCAGGAAAAAAATTGCTCCAAAGGCATTATTGAGGCCGGATGTGGTGGCTTATGCCTGTAAGCCCAACATTTTGGGAGGCCAAGGCGGGTGGATCACTTGAGGTCAGGAGTTTGAGACCAGCCTGGTCAACCAACATGGCAAAACCCCATCTCTATTAATAATGCAAAAATTAGCCAAGCGTGGTGATGCACGCCTGTAATTCCAGCTACTTGGGAGGCTGAGACATGGGAATCACTTGAAGCTGGGAGGTGGAGGTTGCAATGAGCCAAGATGACACCAGTGCACTCCAGCCTGGGCAAGAGAGTAAAACTGTGTCTCAAAAAAAACCAACAAAAAACAAAAACAAAAACAGGCACTATTGAGACATCAAATCTGAATAAGATCTGTAAATTAAGAATAATATTACCTCAATGTTAAAGTTCTTTTTTTTTTTTTCAAGACAGAGTCTCTGATGCCCAGGCTGAAGTACAATGGCATGATCTTGGCTCACAGCAAACTCTGCCTCCTGGATTCAAGCGATTCTCCTGTCTCAGCCGTCTAAGTAGCTGAGACTACAGGCAGATGCCACCATGCCCGGCTAATTTTGGTATTTTTAGTAGAGACGGGGTTTCACCATGTTGGCCAGGCTGGTCTCAAACTCCTGACCTCAGGTGATCCACCTGCCTCGGCCTCCCAAAGTGCTGGGATTACAGGATGAGCCACTGCGCCTAGCCCCATCAATGTTAAAGTTCTTGGTTTTGCTAATTGTGCTGTGATAAATGTCCATGTTCTTAGGAAACGCACCTGAAGTATTTAGGGCCAAAGGGTCATCATATCTGCAACCTACCCTCAAATGGTTTAGAAAAAAGAGAATGACAAAGCAAATACGGCAAAATGTGAGCAACTGGTGAACCTGGGGAAGAGTCTAGGGAAATCCCTTGTACTATTCTTGGACCTTTTCTATTTACTGACATTATGTCAAAGTAAAAAGTTAAACTGAAAAAAAACCCCAAAAGCCTGTTTGCATATTTTTCTTTAAAGCAGCAGCTATTAGGCTACATATGGTGGTGAGCACCTGTAGTCCCAGATACTTGGAAGGCTGAGGTGGGAGGATCACCTGAGCTCAGGAGTTCTAGGCAGCAGTGAGCTATGATTGCCCCACTGCACTCCAGCCTGGGCGACAGAGGGAGACTCTGTCTCTAAAATAAATAAATAGTAGGCTGGGCGCAGTGGCTCATGCCTGTAATCCCAGCACTTTGGGAGGCCGAGGAGGGCGGATCACTTGAGGTCAGGAGCTGGAGACCAGCCTGGCCAACATGGCGAAACCCCGTCTCTACTAAAAAATACAAAAATCAGCTGGGCATGGTGGCACGTGCCTGTAGTTAAGGCTACTCAGGAGGCTGAGGCACGAGAATCGCTTAAACCCGGCAGGCGGAGGTTGCAGTAGGCTGCAACATTGCACCACTGCACTCCAGCCTGGGTGACAGAACAAGACTCTGTCTAAAAAAAAAAAAAAAAAAAAGTCTCCCTTCTGGTTTATTAAACTCACTGGTGGCAAATGAAGTGAGGTTTCTTTTTTGCTGCCCCTCTGATCTTGATCTGGTCTTGTGCATCAAGAACAAGGTTCTCAGTTTAACTTTCCGAGCTGCTTCCAATCCTCACATCTTGGTTCTTGAAGATCCTCAGATTAATGGAGTTCGAGGTTGAGATGTTTGGAAGTGAGTAGCCATAAATGAGACTGGGAACGTTAATGGAGGCCTTGATTTTCACCCATGGGAGCCGGATTTGATCCTCAGAACAATGCGGGGAACCTTGGGGTGGTGACAGGTAATGGAGTAAAAGGGTGATATGGCTTGGATCCACATCCTGCCCAAATCTCACGCTGAGTTGTAATCCTCAGTATTGGAGGTGGGGCCTGGCAGGAGGTGATTGGATCATGGGGGTAGGTTTTTCATGAATGGTTTAGTACCATACCCTTGGTACTTCCTCATGATGGTGAGTGAGGTTTTTGTTTTTGTTTTTTTTTTGAGACAGAGTCTCACTCTGTCGTCCAGGCTGGAGTGCAGTGGTGCAGTCTCAGCTCACCACAACCTCCGCCTCCTGGGTTCAAGTGATTCTTCTTCCTCAGCCTCTTAAGTAGCTGGGATTACAGGCAGCCACCACCATGCCCAGCTAATTTTTGTATTTTTAGTAGAGATGGGGTTTCACCATGTTGGTCAGGCTGGTCTCAAACTCCTGATCTTGTGATCCGCCTGCCTTGGCCTCCCAAAGTGCTGGGATTACAGGCGTGAGCCACCGTGCCTGGCCAGGTATTTCTTTATAGCAAACTGAGAAAAGACTAAAACAAAGGAACAGATTTTTTTTTTTTCTTTTTGAGATGGAGTCTGTCTGTCACCCAGGTGGGAGTGTGGTGGCATGATCTCGGCTCACTGCAACCTCCACCTCCTTGGTTCAAGCAATTCTCCTGCCTCAGCCTCCCGAGTAGCTGGAATTACAGGCGTGTGCCACCACATTCCGATAATTTTTATATTTTTAGTAGAGATGTGGTTTCACCACATCGGCCAGGCTGATCTCGAACTCCTGGACTCAAGTGATCCACCCACCTCAGCCTCCCAAAGTGCTAGGATTACAGGGGTGAGCCACTGTGCCCAGCCCAGATTTTTTTTTTTTCTAAGAGACAGGGTCTCACTGTGTCATCCAGGCTGGAGTGCAATGGTGCAGTCAGAGCTCATTTCAGCCTCAACTTTCTAGGCTCAAGCAATCCTCCCACGTCAGCCTTCCAAGTAACTGGGACTACAGGTGCGTGCCACCACACCCAGCTAATGAACATTTTTTTTTTTTTTTTTTTTACAGATGGAGTCTTGCTGTGTTGTCTGGGCTGGTCTTGAACTCCTGGCCTCAAGTGACCCTCCCACCTCAGCCTCACAAAGTGCTGGGCTTATAGGCATGAGCCATTGCATCAGGCTTGGTCAGATTTTTATTTCAGAAAATTCACTCCAGCAGTGGAAGTTGAGGGTCAAAGGATGGGAAGATATAAGAAACAGAAAGATCAGTGTGGAGGCTGTCAACAAATCCAGGTAAGAGCTAGAGTGGAAGTATTATTTAGACATAATACTTTCTATAATAGAAATGGCAAAATGTAGCATACATTCCACCACTCTAATTTCTTATTCTCAGCAGACATTGCTAATCGCTGAGTCCTTGTTTGCACTGGGCAGCTCACATAGATAGTCACTACTAAACAACCTGAGTAGACACATGGATGAATGAAATTTGCTCTTTCTGGACAAAGGAGAGGCATCACTTGTGAAGATATCCCTGTGCTTGCTAACAATTCACTCTGGGTTTACCCCAACCTGAGATGCTGAAGGTCAGACCGAGGGTGATGCCCTAAGTCAGTCTTTGATATCATGTACGTTGCATCCTGCCTCATTTTTCCAAGTGCCTTCTATGTTCCCATTTATGGACTTTTTTCATGTCCATGACCTCATTTTAACCTCACAATGTTCCTGGGAGATCAAGGTTGTCACTCCCATTCTACAAATGAGGAAGCTAGCTGGGGTGCGGTGGCTCATGCCTGTAATCCCAGCACTTTGGGAGGCCCAGGCGAGGTCCCGAGTTTGAGACCAGCCTGGCCAACAAGGCAAAACCCTGTCTCTACTAAAATTACAAAAATTAGCCAAGTATGGTGGTGGGCACCTGTCATCCCAGCTACTCGGGAGGCTGAGGCAGGAGAATCACTTGAGCCAGGGAAGCAGAGGCTGCAGTGAGCCAAGATCACGCCACTGCTCTCCAGCCTGGGGGACACAGCAATACCCTGTTTCAAAAAATAAACAAAAACAAAAACAAAACAAAACAACAACAACAACAACAAAACCCAAAAAACAATGAGGAACCAGAGATTAGAGACATCAAGCAGCAAGCATAGGTTCCACAGGTGGTAGGTGGCAGAACCAGGATTCAAACTGAAGGCTGTTGGGCTCCAAGAAACTCGGACAAGTTCCTTCCAAAATGAGCTTGCCCAGGCTGCAGCAGCTGTTTGCATTTGTCAGGGACTCATGCAGAAAAACTACAACAGATTTGGGCTGGACATGTTAGTAGCAGTGACTTTCCCCATCAATAAAATCTGTGGCTTAAACAGACCTGGGAAACTTGACTTTTGAATCACCCTTGTCTAATCCATCCTGGTGCTGAGCCATGAGGAAGGAAGGCTCTGGCCCTGAGTGGGGGTCAGGGGCAGCTGGGAGAGGGAAGATCTGCACAGATGGTGAGGGGCGGAGGCCTCTCATGGAAGAGAATAAAGTTTCTGTCCTTGCAAAATTGGAATGAGGGCCCTGGAGCCAAGCAGCCAGGGCCGGGGAGGGGCCAGCCAACCTTTGGCACGTGAAATGCCAGCCGGCTCTCATGGCAGATAATTTTCGGTGATAATTCATCCCACCAGCAGGCGCGCATTCTGAAAGCCCTGTCTGTTCCTGCCTCACGGGGTCCCTGCAGGAATGTGGGGGGTTGAGGGGCTGGCCCCGGATGTAGGCTGAGTGGGCAGGGCAGTGTCTGGGCACTGCCTGGGGCCAGAGGGAGCCTTTGTGCTCTGTGCCTTGGGAACACCCCCACTCATAAAGACACCCCATGGGGGGAAAGGCTATCACGCCAGGCTAGGGCCTGCTCTCTTGGTTTCTTCTTCTGCGGCAGCCAACCCAGAGGTTGCTTTCCTGGGTACAGCCTGGGATCCGATACACCTCTTCTTTCTCTGACTTGTGGTGCATGCATCAGCCCCCAGATTCGCCCTGCCATGCCGGGTCCACACCAGCTGCGGGGTGCTCCTTCCAAGTGCCAGGAGGGTGATGGGCAGGGGGCCTCTACCTGGAATGCATGGCACAATCTCCTGGGGAGCGTTTAAAACCCACCCAAAATGGGCCGGGCGCAGTGGCTCATGCCTGTAATCCCAGCACTTTGGGAGGCCGGGGTGGGTGGAACACCTGAAGTCAGGAATTCGAGACCAGCCTGGCCAACATGGTGAAATCCTGTCTCTACCAAAAATACAAAAATTAGGCTGGGCACGGTGGCTCATGCCTGTAACCCCAGCACTTTGGGAGGCCGAGGCTGGCAAATCATGAGGTCAGAAATTCGAGACCAGCCTGACCAACACGGTGAAATCCTCTCTACTAAAAATACAAAAATTAGCTGGGTGTGGTGGTGTGCACCTGTAATCACAGCTACTCAGGAGGCTGAGGGAGGAGAATCTCTTCAACCCAGGAGGCAGAGTTTACAGTGAGCCAAGATTTCGCCACTGCACTCCAGCGTGGGTAACAGAGTGAGACTCCGTCTCTAAATAAATAAATAAAACCCGCCCAAAACGGCTGGGCACCATGGCTCATGCCTGTAATTCCAGCACATTGGAGGCTAAAGCAGGAAGATGGCTTGAGGTCAGGAGTTTGAGACCAGCCTGGGCAACATAGTGAGACCTCATCTCTATAAAAAAATTTTAAAAACTTAGCTGGGAATGGTGGTGTGTGCCTGTTGCCCCAGCTACTTGGGAGGCTGAGGCTGGAGCATAGCCTGAGCATGGGAGGTAGAGGCTGCATTGTGCCATGATTGCACCACTGCACTCCAGCCTGGGCAACAGAGTGAGACCCTGTCTCGAAATAAATAAACAAATAAATAAAACTAAATAAAACCCTCCAAATTTTGGTCCTCGCTCCCACGGACTGGTATATGGTCCAGGGTGGCGTCTGAGCACCAGCATCTTTTGAAACTCTCCAGTGATTCTGACATGAGCCTATGTGGGCTGAGGTCGAGGACGATTGGTGCAGCTTTTTGAGAGGGTGGCACTGCAGCTCAGCCACTTCCAGCTGTGTGGGTGGCCTTAAACACTGTAGCAGCCTGTGCCTCAGTTTCCTCATTTGTGAAATGTGGGCAGCAACGGTACCAATTTTATGGGGCTACTGGGAGGATTCAATGAGATAGTGCCATAAAGAATCAGCACCACACCTGGCTTAGAGCAAAGGCTTGGACGATGTAGCTCCTGCAGATGGTTCCTACTCATTCCTTTCCCACACTGGCCACGGGGAGATTTGGAACCTTGAAGTCGCAGGAAAAAAGTCTAAAGAGCAGAGAGGGCCCTCTCGAGGACTGTACCACCTGAGGTGACCAGGGGAGGCTCCCTTGCCCTGATCCAAAGCTGGTTGGGAGGTGTGGGCCGCTCCGTGGCTCCTGTGCGGATTCCCATGGCTCCTGTGGCTCCGGGAGCAGCCCACACTCCTTAGCAAGGCACATGGAGGCCCCGGGCTCTCCACTCTTCCAGCAGTAAAGCTCAGCGAGAGGGTGTGGTTGAGTGTGGCTTCCCTGCTCCCAGCAGGCTCTCAAGGGCAGGGAAGGGACTTGCTGAACATGGTGCTTCTGAGCCTGGCACACGGAAGGTATGTGTCATGGTGCACAGCCCACAGCACATGACATGCAGACCTGCCAGGACAGAGAGCAGATGCTCTGAGCAGAGAACCACCTGGTCACAACCCTGACAGTGGCCACCACTTCCTGAACGCCCACCGTGCACTGAGCCTCAGGCTAAGAGCTTACTCACAATCGCCCGGTGACTGCTCTTTTTGGCATGTGATGTTGTCCGCCAGGATGATAAAGGTCAGAGATAAGCCTGTCCAGCCCCCGAGCCCACAGAGCTCTATGGCCTCAGCCTCTGTGGGCCACAGGCTTGCCTTGAACACTGGATCAGGGCACAGCCAGCCGTGTGCCTGCCATATCCAGTGCTGTGAGTGTTATTGCCACAGACAAGAGAAAGGCCACAGCTTTTTTTTGTAGTTGCAGACTGGGGTGGGGGTTTTTAGGCAGGTGTTTTTCTCTGAAGATGGGTTTTCTCATTTTCCTAGAACCGCAAGATGAAGAGAGTCGCCGTTAATATCCTGTCTGCTCTCCAGCCTCCATGATCTGAGATGGCATTCTAGAGATTTCTGTGTGGAACCTGACTTAACAAATATTGCTGCACAAATAAATGAAAGAAGTGTAGCTTGTGCAGCGGCCATGGCTTCAGAGCCAAGGGTGGCTGGCTCAGGAGTTCATGTAGGAACTTGCCCAAGGTTTCAACATACATCAGTTGGTTATCTGAGGACATACGTTGAGAATCTCCTGGGTGCTGACACAGTGGGGAACGAGGTCTGTTCTCACAGAGCTCACAGAGGGGAGATGGATGTGAAGCAGGTAAACTCATAAATTAATAGTAATTAGTGGCCAGGCATGGTGGCTCAAGCCTGTAATCCCAGCACTTTGGGAGGCCGAGGCAGGTGGATCACCTGAGGTCAGGAGTTCAAGACCAGCCTGGCCAACGTGGTGAAACCCCTTCTCTATTAAAAATACAAAAATTAGCCAGGCTTGGTGGTGGGTGCCTGTAATCCCGGCTATGTGGGAGGCTGAGGCAGGAGAATCTCTTGAACCCAGGAGGCGGAGGGTGCAGTGAGCTGAGACCGTGCCACTGTACTCCAGCATGGGGGACGGAACAAGACTCCGTTTTAAAAAAAAAAAAAGACAGAGTCTTGCTCTGTTTCCCAGGCTCAAGTGATCTTCCCACCTTAGCATCCTGAGTAGCTGGGACTATAGGTATGCACCACCATGCCTGGCTAATTTTTTAGTATTTTGCAGAGACAGGGTCTTACTGTGTTGCCCAGGCTGATCTAAAAATTCCTGGGCTTAAGTGATCCTCCCGCTTCAGGCCCCCAAAGTGCTGGGATTACCAGTGTGAGCCACCACGCTGGACCTCTGGCTGGGGTCTTAAGCCAGGAAAAATGGGGTAGTGGGGAGCAGATGGGACAGGCTGGTGAAGGGCTCAAGGAGCGATGTCATGATCCAGGTCACCCAAAGCCCAGCCATTTTGGCTTGCATGGGACTAGAGTCAGCCCCAGGGGTGTGTGCAGGGTGAGAAGGATGTGGCTCCAGTGGCCACTGCAGTGGTGGAGTGGCATTGCTGTTATGTTTCTGGTTGGTGTGTCTATGGAGAGCAGGACCCCTATCATTGCCAGGGGCTACAGGGACAGTGCCCAGGTCTGCCAAATCTGGCCTCCCACTGGGGGAGGCTGCGGAGGGAGGTCTGGCTGAGCAAGTGTGTCTGTGGGCATCTGTGCATCTGTGTATGTGGGGGTGGAGATGGTCTTAATCCAAGTCCACCCATGAGTAGTTGAGACAGCTCCTCTAAGCTGCCATGTGAGGGCCTGAATCATATGGGAGAGAGCTGTTCCCTTTCCATCCATTCCATCTCTCTGAGTATATTGAGGACAGTGTCCACTTGCTGCCACTTTCTGTCCACTGTACCCTTGACGTCCCGTAAACACTTGCTAATCTTCCTTTTTTTTTTTTTTTTCTTTTGAGATGAAGTCTCGGTCTGTCACCCAGGCTGGAGTGCAGTGGCGCAATCTTGGCTCACTGCAACCTCCGCCTCCCGGGTTCAAGCAATTCTCCTGCCTCAGCCTCCCAAGTAGCTGGGAGGCACGCACCACCACACCTGGCTAAATTTTGTATTTTTAGTAGATACGGGGTTTCGCCGTGTTCACCAGGCTGGTCTCGAACTCCTGACCTCAGGTGATCCGCCTGTCTCAGCCTCCCAAAGTGCTGGGATTACAGGCGTGAGCCACCACACCTGGCCTCTAATCTTCCTTTTTAACGAAGGGCGATGGGGCCTGAGGGCTAGTGGATACAGTCTGTATTGGAAGGCAACTGTGGTGCTTGTTGTCAATGTAGCATCCCAGTTTGTGGTCATTGCCACTGGCTTTCTTTTTACTATTGTAATATACATCTTCCTCCTTAAACATTTGTTTAAAAGCATTTTTTAAATAAAGTTTCCTTTAATTTTACTAAAATCATTTTAGTGAAAAGAATGGAATCATCTGAAAGAGAAACAGTAAGTCATGCTGAAGTTGGAAAAGGGAAATGGGAAAAATCACCAAGAGGGGTTGTGAATGACTGCAGTTTGGGCCACATGGGACTATGCGACCTCCAAGGTCCCCTCCCCAATTCCATGATACGCTCTTTTTCCTAGGAAAGCATTCTTTTTTTTTTTTTTTTTTTTGAGACGGAGTCTCGCTCTGTCGCCCAGGCTGGAGTGCAGTGGCACGAGCTCGGCTCACTGCAAGCTCCGCCTCCCGGGTTCATGCCATTCTCCTGCCTCAGCCTCCCGAGTAGCTGGGACTACAGGTGCCCATCACCACGCCTGGCTACTTTTTTTGTATTTTTAGTAGAGACAGGGTTTCTCCGTGTTAACCAGGATGGTCTCGATCTCCTGACCTCGTGATCCACCTGCCTTGGCTTCCCAAAGTGCTGGGATTACAGGTGTGAGCCACAGCACCCTGCCAGCCTTTCTTTTCTTTTTCTTTTTTTTTTTTCCTTACCTTTCCCTTGGCCCCACATTCTCTGACCCAGGAGTGAGTGTACCCTGCACCTCTCTCTGCAGTTGGCACAGGAAGGCAGGGAAGGGGCCGAGGCTAGTGTCTGAACACCTTTGGGAACACCTGGCTTGTCTTCTCCACTCGGCGGGGTCTGGCTTTCAGTCTCAGTTGGATTCTGCACAGCTCACCACTCCAATTAGTTCCATCGGCAGTGTAGCAACAATGCCAGTTCTCATAACAAACTCTTTATTTTTTATTTTTATTTTTTTGCATGCCACAACGCCTGGCTACTTTTGTTTATTTTTTGTAGAGAGGAGGTCTCACTATGTTGCCCAGGATGGTCTTGAACTCCTGGTCTCAAGTGATCCTCCCACCTCAGCCTCCCAAAGTGCTGGGATTACGCGCATGAGCCACCATGCCCGGCCTCCAATTCCCATTCAGCTAACAGCGTACTTAATCTCCCATCCACCTACCCCATTCATTTTTCCACACCATCAGTTCCTTCCAATGCCTGATCATGAATTTTTTTTTTTACTTTTTTATTATTATTTTTTTTTTTTTGAGATGGAGTCTTGCTTTGTCACCCAGACTGGAGTGTGGTGGCGCCATCTTGGCTCACTGCAACCTCCCAGGTTCAAGCAACTCTCCTGCCTCAGCTTCCCGTGTAGCTGAGACTACAGGCACGTGCCACCATGCCCAGCTAATTTTTGTATTTTTTGGTAGACAGGGTTTCACCATGTTGGCCAGGCTGGTCTCGAACTCTAGAATATATACAATATGATCTTCTCCATTTTAATAGGAGAAAGGTCAGACCCCAAGCAAATTCCCCAAGTTCGACCCCTGGTTTGACAGATTCTAAGGCTTATGCTCTTGCACAGTTGTTTGTGAGTGTGCACTCCTGTGCTGTGTTGACCTCTAGTAATCCACCTACCTCAGCCTCCCAAAGTGCTGGGATTACAGGTGCAAGACACCATGCCCAGCCGACAAATTATTTGTTTTAAAAGTTATTAAATGTATGTGTTCTGATAAAGATATGGACCACAGCATTTAGTCCAGACTTTTAAATCAAACCTTTGATCATGTCTTTATTTAGATATAGCCCATCTTGTTGCAAAACAGATATCTCAGCAACTTACAAAAATAAAGTACAATAGCATAAAAATAAAAAGATTAGGGTAAAGGTAAAAGCAGAAAGCTAGAATGAAGCGAGTCTAGTAGGAGACTCAGCACAATTGGAAAAAAAAGGGTCTCGAATTTGACTTTGAGCTTCCCAGCGGCCAAAACAAGGAAGAAAACATGACTGGTTACAAGATTCCTACCAACAGTTAGTCTGGGACTCTGGTACAAAAACAGACCTGGTTTATACCTTGACTCTACTGCCTGTTGGAGACGTGACCCTGAGCAGGTTGCTTAAGCTCTCTGAATTTGAGGCTCATCACCTGTAATGGGGAGGAATAATGCCGGCCTCGGGGCTCCTGGGGGGGGATTAGGGGTAAAGCTCTAGAAGGGTCTTGTCCTCACTAAGCTGCATGTTCTTAGCTGTAAGAGGGAGTTCACAGCCCTACCCTGAGCGGGAGAGAACTTGACCAAACCTGTGGCATAAAAGAGGTGGGGCTGGATTCCAACCCAGGGCTCCCTAACTCCCAGCCAGGGCTCTCTGCCAGCCATCCAGTGCCATGTCCTGTCATGACAGCGGCTTCCAATGCTATCCCAGAGTTAAAGACGCTTTGGAACACATGGGCTTTCAAGAGCCCTCAAATCATTCCCAGGAAAATCCCCCAGCTCCACCTTTAGCACTGCCCGCAAGGCGGGAGCTCCATTCTCTACCCCACCGCAGAGAAAGCCGATTAAATGTAAGGCCTGGACATCTCTAGGGGGAACGCAAGAGGTAGCCAAAGCCCCTCATGAGTCACGTTGTTCAGAAACACCCGAGACAGCTTCCTTTGCCTTCCTTTGCCTTTGTAGACGAGGTCAGCAAGAAGACCTGGTCCCCCTCAGTCCAGGCCCTCCCTTGTTTGAAGTACCTTTTGCCAAAAGCAACAAAGCCCAAGACAGGTAAACAAACAAACAAACAAACAACCTCAAAAGCTGTTGGGGATCAGGTTTCCATGACAGCTCACAAGTGTGCAGTTGTGGGCTGGTTCCAGTTCCCTACAAGAAAAACCTTTCCCTTCCTCACCAACAGGACAACATCCAACTGTCTTAGAATTTTTTCTCTGTAAATTTATACTTGACTTTGTTCTAAATATGACTGGAGGCATCCACTCCTTGGCTTGGCATTCAGGCTTTTTATGAGCTGGCCCCAACCTCCTTCTTGGGGCTTCTCTGTGGATGCAGTTTAGGGATAAAAGCAACAGCCTCCGTTTCTGGAGCTGCCACTGGAGTGACAGGCTGGTGGCAAAGAACACGCACTGACCAGCGCCTGGAACAGGCTGAGCTGCTGTGTGAGCCTGGGTAAGTCTCTTCTCCTCAATGTCCTCATCTGTAAAATGAGGACATTCAGGATACAGACCTCCCACTGTTGTGAGGCTGCAAGGATACGCCCGTGGCAGGCTTAGCACAGCTGGTGCTCAGTTAATGATGATGGTTTTCTTACCTGATTTTGAAACCTGGTTCTCCACTTAACTGCCTATGTGACGAGCGACCTAACTGTTCTAGGCGCCAATGTGACCATATGTAAAATGAAGAAACTGGCCAGGCGTGGTGGCTCATGCCTGTAATCCCAACAGTCTGGGAGGCTGAGGCAGGTGGATCACCTGAGGTCAGGAGTTTGAGACTGGCCTGGCCAACATGGTGAAATCCTGTCTCTACTAAAAATACAATTAGCTGGGCTTGGTGGCAGGGCCCTGTAATCCCAGCTTTTCAGGAGGCTAAGGCAGGAGAATCACTTGAACCCGGGAGGCGGAGATTGCAGTGAGCTGAATCGCGCCATTGCATTCCAGCCCGGGCAACAAAAGCGAAACTCTGTCTCAAAAAAAAGAAAAGAAAAGAAAAAAGAAAAAACTGACCATACCCACCACATAACCCACTTACAAGGGTATGAAAACAGAAGAGGCCTAGTGAATGTTTGTTTGGCGGCTGTGGCCAGGATCGTTCCCCCAGAATGCAATGCTGCTTGCCCCTTAACTTTTAAAAATCAGCCTATTCTCACTTTCCTTTTTTTCAGATTAATGAAGAAAGGGGGGCCTTCTCCTTCTTCTCACATGGTTGGGCTATGATGTCATGAAAGACACAGTCTTGTAAAACCCACACCCAGGGCCAAGGGAGATGCCGGGGCCTCGAGGCCCCCTGGTGAGTCTGGAAGAGGAGCCTGCAGTGGTTAGTTGGCCGGGGGTGGGGGCTGGATGTGACCATGATGAGTCAGGCCTGGCTGGGCTGGTTGTCATCATTCCCCTGTATTCCAGGGGTGAGTTAGAGCTTAAACAAAACAGCACCTGACAATGCCTGAAAGAAGTGTATTCTGCACAAAAAGCATTTGCTGGCCAGGCGCAGTGGCTCATGCCTGTAATCCCAACACTTTGGGAGGCTGAGGCGGGCGGATCACCTAAGGTCAGGAGTTCGAGACCAGCCTGGCCAACGTGGTGAAACCCCTGTCTCTACTAAAAATACAAAAATTAGCTGGGTGTGGTGGTGGGTGCTGTAGTCCCAGCTACTAGGGAGGCTGAGGCAGGAGAATCGCTTGAACCCAGGGGGCAGAGGTTGCAGTGAGCCGAGATCGCGCCACTGCACTCCAGCCTGGGCGACAAGAGCAAAACTCCAACTCAAAAAAAAAAAAAAAGGCATTTCTTTACACTCTTACACTCTTGGCTGTGCAGCTGACCTTCCTAACATGGCAACTGGTATTCAAACATACAGACATCCAGGGAGCTGGCATTGGGACAGAATGAAGGCAGCAAGGGCCAGGGGGCAGGTGAGGATGAGCAGTAAATGTCCTTCACAGGTGCTGGGGTGCCTTCCCAGGTAGGGCAGCCTCCATGTGCGGAGAATAAAGGATACAGACAGAACCCTTCTGGAAGGAGATCGGCTGTGCCCAGCTCCCAGTGTGACACTGAGCTGCTCTCTAAACTTTTCTGAGCCTCTTTTCTCTTTCATGAAACAGGGAGTTGGGCTAGAAAATTTCTTTCCAGCTCTAAAAATACTGTCTAAAAAAGCAGAAGAGGGGCAGGCTTGAAGGCCTCGTCCTCTGGGCTGTGTGGGTCTGAGGCTCTGGGGAGCCACCAGTGGCCCCGGGCAAGGTGGCCCCCGTGCATCCTCAACCCAAGTCCTGGGTCGAGCCAGGAAAAGTCCAGTCTGCAGACCCTCAGTTCTTCCCTCCCCGTTCCCACCCTCTGGTTCTCTCCTGCAACCAGAAGAAGGCCTGATGCCTCCCCTGGACCCAACTACTCACACCATGTCTTCTGCAGCCCCCAGGCTGCTGGGCCAGCCTGCCCAGTGACCAGGTCAGGGCTGGCAAGGAAGAGGGAAACTGTGCCATCCTGGCACCACACCAGACTTGGGCCTAGGGTCTTATTCATGGCAGACCCGGAGGTATCCCTGAGTGTGTAAAGGTTGTGGGTTTGAAAGCCCAGAGAAAAAGGACAAGGCGGACTCCAGGCCCAAAGGCTCTGGGATGAACCAGGGAGGGGACCCAAGGCCTGACTATGTGAACAACGCCAGTGCTTCTGGGTGGAGAGGGAGCCTCAGCTCAGCTCCCCACCCTGGCAGAGCTGCCGGCTGCCTTCTCAGCTGCTGCTGCAGAAACAAATGACGGCACTGATGAAGAATAAGAGAAAATAAAAATGAGCATAGAGCAGACAGGGGCCTTGGAACAGAGGATGGGATTTTCTCTCGGGGTGCGGTTTCTGCTCAGCAGCTAGGTGACGGTAGAGGTTTGGAATGTGGCCGGACAGCGGGTGGGGTGGGCTGGGCTGAGGGGGCTGGCCAAAGACAAGAGACAAGGACATTGGCTAAGGGGCCCAAAGCCCAGGGCCACCAACAGCTCAGCCAGAACAGGGCCCTAGGATGGCAGGCAGAGCCAGGGCCTCCACCCCACACCAGTACACTGGCCCTAAAGACCTCTGGTTCTGAGTGGCCCTGGGAAGGGAGACTGGGTTGAGAGAACAAGGGAGACCGGGGAGATGGGGGAGGGCAGGGAGGGGAGGGCGTGGTGAAGTCTCCTCATCCCTAAAATGGGGCTGTCCTGAGAGCACAGCCTGCCTGATCACAACTGAGGTGTTAGGCAAGGGACGGTGCCTCTCTGAGCCTGTCTCCTCGTCTGTTAAATGGGTTCATGATCTCTACCTCCAAGGGAGGTGCTAGGAGAATCAAACGGGTAAGTGTGTGGGAAGTGCTTGGCACGGTGCTCTGCAAGTGGAAGCAAGTATTACCCACTGGGTGCTGAGGAAGCTCAATCCTGGTGACCACCTCATGCCCAGTCCCAGCCCTGGGCTGGCCCCCAATAAATATTTGCGGACTGGGTCAGTTGCAGGAGCTGCTGTGCAAAGCCCCTCCCGCACTGCTGCCCCTCTCCGGGGAGCACAGGTCTCCACTCAGACCACGAAGTGGAGGGTGTAGGTGAGCTGGTGGCCATTGTCCCAGGCGTACAGCACCCGCTCCTTGGGGTTGTAGTCGATCTGGGTGGTGTAGGCGTGCTCGTTGAGGAACGGCAGCTGGGGGCGTGCGTCGGTGCCCGTGTGCGTGTCGAAAGCGTAGGCGACCTGGCCTTCCTGCTGGTTGTACGTGTCCACGGCATACAGGATGCCGCACACCAGGAAGCAGTTCCCGTAGGAGTTCCGCCGCAGCCGTGTCTTCCACGTGGTCTCCCGGTGCACGGAGAGATCGCCGGGGTCCAAGCGACTCAGGACGATCACCTCGGGCTGGGCCTCATCGCGGTCGTCCACGGCGGGGTAGATGACCCACAGGCCGCTCTCGTCCACGGCAAAGTCAATGTCCGAGTGTCCGCGCCACTTCCAAGGTGTGGTGTCCTCATATACCACGTCGGGCAGCAGCGCCCAGGAGGCCACGAAGCGCTGCCGTAGGTCGTACTTGATGATGTTCTTGGTGAAGGCGCGGTTGTAGTAGAAGGCGCCCTGGTACACCACGTGGCCTGTGCCGATCCAGTTGTAGGGTAGCTTGTACATGTTACTCCAGCGGCCTGCAGGCGAGGGCGATGGTCACCCCAGACCTCCCGAGCAACCCCAGCCCACCCACATCCCCTGAGCCCACCAAGGGCTCTCAGTGGCCCAGTAAGTGACTGATACCAAGCATGTGCAGTGTGCCTGGAGCTGGGATGACATCTTATTATGGCACAAGCGTCTCCTGAAGGAGGTCTATCGTCATCCCATCTGCTTAAAAAAAAAAAGGCTCAGAGGATCAAGGTCGCCCAGCTCTGGAATGGCACAGCTAGGATTTAGACACAGGGTGACATCAGCCCCATTCTTTGTCTCCAGGCCTTCGTCCCTGCTGTTCCTCTGTTAGGACTGCCATTCCCCAGGCCATCTGCTTGGGGAATGCCTGCCCATCTTTCAGAGCCCCAGGCCAATGTCACCTCCTCTAGGAAACCTTCACTGACCTCCCTAGCCTGAGTGAGGGGCCTCTCCTCCAGCCTCCCATAACCCTTTGTCTTTTATCCCCCCAGGACACGTCTGTAGCAGCCAGACAGAAGCCTTCATCTTGATACTTATCACTGGCTTCCTCCACCACCCTGTGCGCTGCTTGAGCAGAAAGCCGGCCAATTTTGAGCTAGCGGAGGAAGGATTTCAGTTGTTCCAGGCCTTTATTTTTTTCATATTTTTCGAGATAGAGTCTCTCTCTGTCATCCAGGCTGGAGTGCAGTGGTGCGATCTCGGCTCACTGCAACCTCTGCCTCCCAGGTTCAAGCAATTCTCCTGCCTTAGCCTCCCAAGTAGCTGGGATTACAGGCGCCTGCCACCACACCCAGCTAATTTTTTTTTTTTTTTTAATTTTTTAGTAGAGACGGGGTTTCACCGTGTTGGCCAGGCTGGTTTTGAACTCCTGACTTGAAGTGATCAGCCCACCTCAGCCTCCCAAAGTGCTAGGATTACAGGTGTGAGCCACCACGCCCGGCCTGTTCCAGGCCTTTAGTTGTGACTCCATGGCTCTCGGGGTTAAGTCCAAACTCCTTTATCTGGCTCACCAGGCCTGCCCCAGCTTACTCAGTCACCATCCCCCCTACCCCAGGCCATCACGTTTCCTCTCATTGCCAGGCCTCTGCATGTACTCAGCCTTCTGCCTGGAACACCCTTCCCTCTCCCTTCCGCATGGCTTACTCCTACTCTTCTTCCAGGGCCCAGCTCAGCATCACCTTCCTGGGAAGGTCTTCCCTGATCTCTAGGCTGGGTTCCCATAGCCCCTTCAGTGCTCCCTCTAATGCTGTACTGAAATCGTCTCTTTAAGCCTTTGCCTCCCCCACCAGACTGTGCATTTCTGAAGGGCAGGCTAGATCTAAATGACCCCTTCCTGGCATCATTCCCCAGGTTTGATAAGCAGAATTCTGCCCTTCCCTGTGCCGTCAGCTCCATCCTGGCCCCTGCCCAGACCTGCAGCTCCGCTAAGACCTGAGACACTGCGCACCTATAAAACAGGTGATAACCCCACCTCCTGGAGGTATGTAGCTACCAAGAGCTGATACACGGGGGGCGAGATCAGCACAGGGTAAGCGTTCAACAAATGGAAACTCAGTATTGGCCCCTTGATGGTAAGTCACACTTGTGAGGGCAGGACCATGTCTCTCTTGTTTGCCGCTGCATTCTGGTTCCTGGCAGGGTGCTAGCACACCGGGGTGCCATGGGGTCTGTCTGGGCCTCCAGCCCAGTGCCCTCAGCCCAGAACCCCCTCCTTGGGGTGGCTAACAATCTGGAGCTCAACCAGCCTATACCATAGAAACCCACAAGGCAAGGAAGGCCAAGTCCCCATGAGGACCCCTCCCCAGGTTGTCCATACCCAGCCCCCTCTCCACCTCCGGGGGTCCCTGACCTTGCTTGAAGTTTTCCAGGTTGCGGAACTCCACCAGGCTGTTTCCATAGTAGTAGTTGGTGACATAGATCCTGTCGTCTCGAGCTGCAGGGTCCTTCATCCAGGCTCCCTCGTGGCGCCCATAGCTGTGGTGCCTCACAGGGGGGTCCACAGCCCGGAGGGTGCCCTCACAGCTCGCCTCTCTGCCTGTGGGGAGGAGGGCAGGCAGCATCGGTACACAGACCCCCAAGCCCCCCAGCCAGAGCAACGGGCTGGGAATGTTATCTGGGTCTAACTTAAATCTCTCCTGAAATTTTGTTTGTGGCCTTCTTTCCCCTTTCCTCATCATCAAAACAATGCCTGATCGTTACCAAAAACATAAAACATTCAGAAAAGCAGAATGGAGGCCAGGCGCAATGGCTGACGCCTATAATCCCAGCACTTTGGGAGGCCAAGGCAGGTGGATCACCTGAGGTTAGGAGTTCAAGACCAGCCCGGGCAACATGGTGAAACCCGTCTCTACTAAAAATACAAAAATTAGCTGGGCATGGTAGGCGGTGCCTGTAATCGTAGCTACTCAGGAAGCTGAGACAGGAGAATCACTTGAACCCAGGAGGCGGAGGTTGCAGTGAGCAGAGATCATGCCACTGCACTCTGGGCGACAAGAGTGAAACTCTTCTCAAAAAAAAAAAAGAGAATGGAGAAAATAAAAATCTTCAAAGTTATATTATTCATTATATGTGGAATCTAAAATAGTCAAACTCGGCCAGGCACAGTGACTCACACCTGTAATCCCAGCAATTTGGGAGGCTGAGGTGGGAGGATCACTTGAACTCAAGACTTGAAGACCAGCCTGGGCAACATAGCAAGACCTTCTCTCTACAAAAAAAAAAAAAAATTTTTTTAATTAGCTGAGCATAGTGGTGTGCGCCTGTAGTCCCAGCTACTGGGGAGGCTGAGGTGGGAGGATTGCTTGAGCCTGGGATATTGAGGCTGCAGTGAGCTGTCATCACACCACTGCACTCCAACCTAGGCAACAGAGCAAGACACCGCCTCAAAAAAAATAAATAAATAAAAATTGGCTGGGCGCGGTGGCTCATGCCTGTAATCCCAGCAGTTTGGGAGGCTGAGGTGGGCGGATCACAAGGTCAGGAGTTTGAGACAAACCTGGCCAATGTGGTGAAACCCCATCTCTACTAAAAATAAAAAAATTAGCTGGGTGCGGTGGTGGGTGCCTGTAGTCCCAGCTACTCTGGAGGCTGAGGCAGGAGAATCACTGCAGGAGGTTGCAGTGAGCCAAGATCACACAATTGCACTCCAGCCGGGTGACAGAGTGAGACTCCATCTCAAAAAAAATAAAAATAAAATAAAAATAAATAAAAATAAACATTAAAAATTTAAAAAGTTAAAAAGTCAAACTCATAAAAGCAGAGAGTAGAATAGTGGTTACTAGTGGATGGGGGGATTGAGGAGATGTTGCTTAAAGCATTCAAAATTTCATTTAGACAACAGGAATAAGTTCAACATACTGTATACTTGAATTTTGATTGCTAAGAGAGTAGATTTTAAGTGTTCTCGCCACAAAAAAAGATACATAATGTGAGGTAATATATATGCTAATTAGCTTGATTTAGCCATTTCACTGTGTGTACACATATCAAAGCATTATGTTGTACATTATAAATACACACATTTAAAAAAATTATTCTTTCTGCAGTATGTCAAACAAATGAACACATACAATTTTTATTTGTCAGTACAAAAATTTAAATTTTTTTCTTTTTTGGTTTTTCTTTTTTATTTTACTTTTTAAAAAATAAAAAGAATTTAAACTCTTATAAGATAAAAAATAAAAACCTAAAAACTGCCATTATCCAGAGAAAAATTTTCTTCTGTTCTTTTATTCTCTTTTTAAAAATTGTATTTCACTGATCACTTGAGGTCAGGAGTTCAGGACCAGTGTGGTCAACATGGCGAAACACTGTCTCTACTAAAACTAGAAAAATTAGCCAGGCGTGGTGGTGTGTGCCTGAAATCCCATCTGCTTGGGAGGCTGAGGCAGGAGAATCTCTTGAGCTCAGGAGGCAGAGGTTGCAGTGAGCTGAGATCACGCTACTGCACTCCAGCCTGGACCGCAGAGTCAGACTCCGTCTCAAAAAAAAAAAAAAAAAAAAAAAAACCAAAAAAACCAAAACAACAACAACAATAATAATAAAATTTTATTTAAATAGTTTTTGGGGAACAGGTGGTTTTTGGTTACATGGGTGAGTTCTTTAGTGGTGATCTCTGATATTTTAATGTATCAGTCACCTGAGCAGTATACACTGCAGCCAGTATGTAGTCTTTTATCCTTTACCCCCTCCCACCATTCTCCCATCCAAAGAAAAATTTAAACATGTGGCATTTCCTTCCTTTTCTTTTTTCTTTGCATGTACAGTCATGCAGACATACTTTAAAAAACTGTGAGTATACAGTTTTATGTATCCTGTTTTTAGCCTCCGTTGAGCAATTTCTCTCATCATTAAATAGGCTTTTAATGATGTGATTTCAAGGTTCTGCCAGGCCGGTGGACAGCTGTGCCCTGAATTTATCTGACCAGTCCTCCCCATGTCAGCCCTTCGTGTTATTTCCAGTTTTCTGACATTAGAAATGATGCCATGATGCAACCACTTAAGCTGCAGCTGTTGTTCCCATTGCTGGTAGATCCTTCAGGAAAGATTCCTAGAAGTGGAATGACCTTGGACCAAAGCAGGACAGGGTTTGAAGGATTTTCACCACAGAGAGCCAAGATCCCTTCGGAAGGACGGGATCAATGACTTAACGAGGAAGATTTCTACCATGAGACACAGAGCAAAACTATAAATGCTGACATCAAAACAGAGCCAACGATTGGACACAGGAAATAAAGAAATAAAAATAGTTGCTGGATTTGATGATGGCATTCTAGGTGACATTTTAAGAAGAATTTGTTGAAAATACTACCTGGGCTTGGTGCGGTGGCTCATGCCTGTAATCCCAGCACTTTGGGAGGCTGAGATGGGAGGATCACCTGATGTCAGGAGTTAGAGACCAGCCTGGTAGTGAAACCCTGTCTCTACTAAAAATACAAAAATTAGCCAGGTGTGGTGGCGGGTATCTGTAATCCCAGCCACTCGGGAGGCTGAGGCAGGAGAATTGTTTGAACCCGGGGGATGGAGGTTGCAATGAGCCAAGATCTCACCATTGCACTGCAGCCTGGGTGACAGAGTGAGACTGTCTCAAAAAGAAAAAAAAAAAATTTCTTTCGCCCAGGCTGGAGTGCAGTGGCACAATCTCAGCTCACTGCAACCTCTGCCTCCTGGGTTCAAGCGAGTCTCCTGCCTCAGCCTCCCGAGTAGCTGGGATTGCAGGCACCCGCCACTACGCCTGGCTAATTTTTTTATTTTTAGTAGAGAGGGGGTTTTTCCATGTTGGCCAGGCTGGTCTTGAACTCCTGACCTCAGGTGATTCGTCCACCTTGGCCTCCCAAAGTGCTGGTGTTACAGGTGTGAGCTACCATGCTCAGCTATAAAAAGCATTTCTTAACTTGAGGGCTTCACAGAAACAGGCTGTGGGCTAGATTTGGGCACAGGCTACAGTGTGCTGACTCCTGTGAGGCTCACTCACCTTGGCTGGAGACTTCTGGACCTGAAGGTGGCTCGGTGGGCAGGAGACTGGTGGTGGGGGTTGGGGTGGTGGTGGCGGTGGTGGTGGTGGCAGGGATTGAAGTGGGGGTGCCAGAAGCCAGGTCCACTCGCTCGGAGGACCTGGGCTCAGCCTCATCCTGCTCTGCGGAGTTGGGCTCTGCGGAGTTGGACCTGCCCTCCACCTTGGGCGGCAGTTGCTCCAGCCAGGAAGTGCCCTGGAGGGTGTTGTCTGCAGAGAGAAGACCCCTGTGCTCAAATCTCAGCACCACCTGCTGCCGTGTGGGTCTCCCTAAGGTCCACTGGGCCCCCATCTCAGGGGCCCTCAGGGAGTGGAGGGGGAGGCCTCCTCAGGGCCTCCTCACACCTGGAGGGGGGTGAAAGGTCTCCAAATGGGAGGCAGGGAGGACTTCACAGCCAGGGCTCTAAACCCAGCCAGGTGGCCTCAGCCATGTCCCCCTGCCTTCCTGGGCCACCTCTGTGAACTGAGAGTCAGGAGCCCACCATGCTGGACTGTGGTGTTGACTACAGAAAAATGTACATAAACATTTGCACAGATCCCAGCAAATACGAGGTACCAAAAAGGAGATCCCTTTCCTTCCTATGCATCAAGCACTTTGTACCAGTTCTCTCATTTGCTAGATTCAATTCTAGAGAGAAGCTCTTGTTCCCGTTTTACAGGCCTTCTCCTATTATTCTGCCATGGAAAATGCAGCTGCTGCCAGAATCAAATGAGACGGCATGAACGAAAGTGCTTAGAGGGTTGGGCGCAGTGGCTGGTGCCTGTAATCCCAGCATTTTGGGAGGCTGAGGCCGGCAGATCGCTTGAGCCCAGGAGTTCAAGACCAGCCTGGCCAACATGGCAAAACCCTGTCTCTACTAAAAAATAGAAAAAATTAGCCAGGTGTGGTGATGGGCCCCTGTAGTCCCAGCTATTAGGGAGGCTGAGGAGGGAAGATCACTTGAGCCCAGGAGGTCAAGGCTGCAGTGAGCCATGATCGTGCCACTACACTGCAACCTGGGTGACAGAGTGAGACCCTGTCTCAAAAGAAAAAAAGAAAGAAAGGAAGGAAGGAAGGAAGGGTTTAGGGAAACACTTTTACACTTTTGTGACACCGGCCGGGCGCGGTGGCTCATGCCTGTAATCCCAGCACTTTGGGAGGCCAAAGTGGATGGATCACCTGAGGTCAGGAGTTCGAGACCAGCTTGGCCAACATGACGAAACCCCGTCTCTACTAAAAATACAAAAATTAGTCGGGCATGGTGGCACGTGCCTGTAATCCCAGCTACTTGGGAGGCTGAGGCGAGAGAATTGCTTGAATCCAGGAGGCAGAGGGTGCAGTGAGCTGAGATTGCACCGCTGCACCACTGCCTAGGTGACAACAGCGAAACTCTGTCTCAAAAAAAAAAAAATTGTGACACCAGGGAGACAAAGGAATGGTGCTGTTATTACTATGATGGTCTGGTGCCCAGGGGACCTCCTGGTCAGCTGGGTGAGGGGCTCAGAGAACCCTTGACTTGAGGACAATAACTTCTTCCTTTTTTCTCCATTTTGGGCTTCCTCTTTGCACAGGCCCTGCTGTGGGCAGCCTGGGCCCTGGCGGGGAAGGGGGTCATCCCCCTGGTCGAGGAGGACCACAGGGAGGCCTGGCCTAAGCAGCCTGCCAGGGCAGGGTGCCTGTTCCCACAGGCCTTGCTGGCAGAGTCAGATGCCTGCAGCTGTTCTTAGGCAGTGCCCCAGCCAGGGGTCAGAGGCTCTGTGCCATGTCCAGACCAAGCTGGCAGGGCTTGGGCCAGCAGCTGGGACCAGGGTAAAGAGGCCCCTGAGTCCTGAGAGGCCAAGAAACAAGAGGGCTCTCAAAGGAGCCTGGTCCCTGACTGTTTCACCTCCTTGCGCCCCTTGCACATGGGCTGGAAGGAGGGCTTTGCAGGAGGAGGTGGTCAGCAGGACCTAGGAAGGGGAGGAGCAGGTTTGGGACACCCCTCTGGGACATCAGAAGAGAGCAGCCATCTGGGGCGGGTCTTAGTGGGGGAATCAAGAACCACAACCCGTAGAGATGGCTCAGAAATTTGGGGTATCTTGAAACGTGTGTCTCTTGTTTGCCAATTACTTTGTCACCCTTCTCTGTGATGCAGCAGAGAGCTGCAGGAAAAATACAAGAGTCTGTGGGCTCTTCCTTGGGGATATAAGAAGAGGGAGGAGCTGGAGAGGAAATGAGAGATGCCCTGAAAGCCCTTGTCACTTCTCAGGAGCCCGGTATTCTCCTGCCCCTCACTGTGGCAGCTGCCTGGTCATAGGTATTTTTTCTCACTAGACTGTGAGATCTGTGGGGACAGGGACTGTGTCTCTACCATTCCCTGTCACCTGGTCAGAGCGGACCTTCAGCACATTTTCAAAAGCACAAAGAAAAGTCCAGTGAAGGTGAAGACAGCTGTAAATACTGAAAAGCCACTGAGTGGCCCTGCAGGTTGGTTCTGCCATCTCATCCCAATGACCCCCTGAGTGGGGTGTTATCCTCATATGTGAATGAGCAGAGGGCACCCAACAGGTAATCAATGGGTGGAACTGAATCTGGGGTGGTCCCACTGCAGAGAAGATGAGGGGATTCCTAGGAGGCATCCATCCCTGACTCCCCAGGGTCCCCATTCCCCTCCTACTCACCTGCCACCGCCTCGGTCACCTCCTGCTTGCCTGCCTTGTAGTAGGTGAAGCCCCGGATCACAGCCTGCTGCTGGGCCAGGGCGCGGGGCTTGGCTGTGGGCTGGAGGAAACTGCCCTTGCCGCTCTCCTTTCTCAGCTTCTCCACCTGAAGCAGCTTCTCCTTGGGAGGTTTTGGGAGGCCTCTGTCTGCAAAGCTTTTCTGCACACTGCCATACTTGCTGATGTCCTTGCCTTTTCCTCTAGCTGTGTCCTGGGAGGGAAGAGAAGTCTCAGACTTGAAGGACAGTAGAAGAAATGTTGTGGGGAGTCCTGGGGGCTCAGCATGTGGGGACTGGAGGTGGCCATGTTGCCCCAGGCCCTATGTCCCAAGCACTCACAAAGTCACAGCTTTCCTTTACCCCACCATGGTGGCTACATCCATGACTGGTTTGCCTCAGTTTCCTCACCCAGCTCTTTAGCTCCCTTGCAGGCTTGAAGTCCAACCTGATAGGTTAGATTCCTGTCCCACTTCTCAACTCCTGTCCAATCCCCCTGGGGGGCAGGCTAGAAGGACCAGCTCCCTGGGAGGCAGCCTCCTCCACCTGCTCACCTTCCCAGCCTTGTCTCTCTTACTCATTGGTCTTAGTACGTGGGCAGGGGAGAGGTTCTTAGGCACCTAGGCAAGGTGACCAACTCATCCCAGAGTGCCTGGAACATTCCTAGTTTTAGCACTGAAAGTGCTGCATCCTGGAAAAACCCTCAAGTCCCAGGCAAACTGGGACAGGGTTGGTCACCCAACCTCTAGGATATGCCATTTCTAACTTTTTGTGTTTTGTTATTTTCACTTCCTATTTAAATGCCTCCGATGCTGGCTTGGCACAAGAACACAGGGCCTGTGACATCACTCATCGTTAGGCAGAAGCTCCAGCAGATACGGCAAGTACAGTAGCTGGGTGCCTTCTGCACCATTGCCAAAACACGCTTCATTCTCGCCTGCGGAATTGGCACGGGAATGAGCAGGAAGCCAGCTGGGGGCCAAGGCACAGGCTTCCTAGCTGCTTTATCGGCATCTAGGCAGTCCCAGTTGCAGACACAAATGGCCGCATTATCACAATGTCAGCAAAGGAGACCGAGATGTGGAGAAGAAGAGAGGAAGAGGGTGGGCTTGGCAGTCACGCAGACCTGGCTGCCAGTCCCAGCTCCGCCACCGCCTCTCCATGTGACCTCTCTCCATGCCTCATCTGCCAAATGGGCAGGGGTCGCCCCTCCTCCCAGGTGACTATGGGGTTCACTGACAATGTCTGTGAGAAAGTCAAGTTTAAAGTAGGAATTCCACAAATGTCAGCTCCCTTCTTCAGCCACTCACCAAAACACAAGGCCAGTGTGAACAATGGTGTGGCTTGTGTCTTGCCCAAGGGTGACTGGCCAGAGGAGCCTGAATGGGGTTGAATCCAGTCTGCACTCCATTTGCCAAGCCACATACCCAGCAAAGGCAGGAGCCTCTGTGCAACCGGCTCACCCAAAAGTGGTTGTTCCTTCTAATTGATCTGCTCAGAGGGAGAACCAGCTTCACAGTTCATCTGCCTACAGAGAGGACGTTTATCACATTTGCACGCAGGTGTGTTATCTGTCATGGGTGGCTCTGCCTAGTGACAGAACCAGTGCCTCTGCTCACTCTGCTCTGAGCTTGGAGGTCGAGTGCCTGGGTATTGGCTGCAGGGGTTCTGTACCCCAGGGTGGGTTGGATGAATGGGTATCAGTCTGCAGGGGTCCCTGAGGCATTGCCCACCTCCCTCTGAGCAGGCTCAACCCAGCCACAGCAGGGGAGGCTAGAAGTGGTTTTGCTGCAGCCAACCTGGTCTCTGAGGGCCAGGCAGGGGGCACCACCTCCACAAGCTTGTCCCTACTAGTTTCAAGCTTGGGAATGAGAAGGATGCCAAACACCTGGCTTAGGGACCAGCCCCCTTGGCAGGATCCCCAGGCCTATCCCCCATTCCCTGTGCTGACTGTGCTTGCTGTACAGCAGGTATCCCCTGCACCTCACCCTGCCAGGGACTCTCTGGCTGTGCCAGTCCTCAACCCCATCTTACAGCCCCAAACCCCCATCGAGCTGATCCACAGGGCCAACGTCCTGGCACACTGAGCTCCCAAGTTCAGCCAGCTCCGGCCCCATGATCAGAGCTGGGGCCTCACCTGGGCCTTGCTACCAGTGCCCGTGGCAGGGGTGGCAGGGGCGGCGGCGGCATCCTTCTGCAGCAGCTGGAGGCCCAGGCGGGACAGCTCCTTCTTGATGCCCAGCATGATGGCAGAGTGATTCTCATAGTGCCTCAACTGCTCACTGAGGTGGCGCACGCTGTCCTTCACCACCTCATTCTCCCGGCTCAGGTTGGCCTTGATGCTCTGCGGAGGGGGCAGGATTGGAGGTCTTTCCTGGGCCAGCTTCCTCTGAACCCCTAGCCTGGAGGGACACCCCAGCTTTGGTCATTAGGCTTTGCTGCCCAGTCCCCCGAACGGGCTAGGGGCGGCCGCAGTGAGCATGAGCAGGAAAAATAGGCTCCAAGAGACCCTGTGTTTATGAACTTTTTAAATTTAAAAAGTGAAGGAATTAAAAAAATAGATAATACATGTGCATGGTACTAAATGTAAAAGATATCAACGGCTATAAAAAGTCACCCTCCCACCTTTATTTCTCAGTGCCAACAGTTATTATAGGTTCCTTGTATATCCTTCTAAAGAGAGTCTGTATATTTACGGGAACACATGTATACATACACACATATTTTTACCACTTTTCTTTTTTGCTGAACAGCCTATTTTGGGAACTGATGCATATCTGCATATATAGTGCTCCGTTCCTTCTCATGGCCACACAGTACACCATTGCTTAAAGGCCATAATTTATTTACCCAGTCCCTTATTTTTTCTTTTTCTTTTTCTTTCTTTCTTTTTTTTTTTTTTGAGTAGCTGGGACTACAGGCACCCACCACATGCCCGGCTAATTTTTTGTGTTTTTAATAGAGACACGGTTTCATCATGTGGGCCAGGCTGGTCTGGAACTCCTGGCCTCAAGTGATCCGCCCGCCTTGGCCTCCCAAAGTGCTGGGATTACAGGTGTGAGCCACTGCACCCAGCCGCCCAGTCCCTTTTTGATGGTTACTTTTTTTTTTGAGACAGAGTCTCACTCTGTTGCCCAGCTTGGAGGGCAGTGGTGCGATCTTGGCTCACTGCAAGCAATTCACTGCGACAACCTCTTCCTCCCGGGCTCAAGTGATTCTCCTACCTAGCCTCCTGAGTAGCTGTGACTACAGGCGCGTGCCTCCATGCCTGGCTAATTTTCGTATTTTTAGTAGAGACGGGATTTCGCCATGTTGGGCAGGCTGGTCTTGAACTCCTGACCTCAAGTGATCCACCCACCACAGCCTTGCAAAGTGCTGGGATTACAGGCGTGAGCCACCACCCCTGCCCATTATGGATGGTTACTTAAGTTGCTTCCAATCTTTTGCTACTTTAAAATTACTTTAAAATTGTATACATAATACATAAATATCTTCTGCTTATAAAATCTTCAAACAGTGTAGATGGAGTGGAACCCTTTGGGGTTTTGCTGAGGGTGAATCTCTGCTCCCTGCAAGTCTCCAGCTTCTCTCCTGGGCCGTGCCGGCTCCTCTCCCAGCACTGAGCCCTGCCTTTACTCCCAGGGCTGTTCTCCTTCCCTGCCTCATCTCCCCTTGCTGGGGCTCTGGCTCCTTGCCTACTTTTAGCAGCTCCCACACCAGCTCCTGGATCTACTCCTGGTTCTGAATCCTGCCAGGAGCAGACAGACTGCTTAGAACCATAATGCCCCTCGCTCTGTGAACCTCCCGCTATCTAGGGATCTCCTTTGCTGGGCTGTCACCCAAGCTGGCCTTGTTCACTGGAGAGGACTTGGAAACCTGGGGGGCCTGGCAGGTATCAGTCCCAGTTCGCCAAAGCTCTAGTAGATCTGGGATTCTTTCGTCTGAGTATACTTTTCAGCTAAAGCAGGACAGACAGAAGTCAGAGGCAGAAAGCACCAGTTTGCTGAGAAGCCGCGGAGCAACAGAATTATGGGTCCAGAATTTCATTTGTAGAAATTGTTACAGAGGAAAAGATAACCTAAAAGTGATTGACGTCCAGTCATCCCTGGGTGACTCATGTTCAGGGACCAAGAGGCAGCAGGCAGGAGTCGGATACCCTTGGATTCAAATCCTTGCTCTCTACTTCCTGGCTGGGTAACTTTGGGCCAGTAGCTACTTCTCCAAGCCTCAGTTTCCCTGCCTGAAAAGTGGGCTATTATGTCATCATACTAACAACTAAATGGCAGGGTCACTGTGAGGACCAAAAAGTCTATGGAATATGACAGTGCATTTTAAACTAGATTCCAGGGGCTGGGTGCAGTGGCTCATGCCTGTAATCCCAGCACCTTGGGAGGCCAAGGCAGGAGGATCGCTTGAGCCCAGAAATTTAAGACCAGCATGAGCAACATGGTAAAGCCCCATCTCTACAAAAAACACAAAAAACTAGCTGAGTGTGGTGGTGTGTACCTGCAGTCCCAGCTACTTGGGAGGCTGTGGTGGGAGGATCAGTTGATCCTGGGGGATTGAGGCTGCACTCTACCCTGGCCTACAGAGTGAGACCCTGTCTCAAAAAAACAAACAAACAATCAAAAAACTAGATCCCAGGGATGACAGAAGTCAAAGTGTATGACAGATTTTCTCAGCCTCATCACTATTGACATTTGCCAGATAGCTGTTTGCTTTTGGGGACTGTCCTGTGTATTGTAGGGTATTTAGCCAAATCTCTGGCCTCTAACCAGTAGAATCCCAGTAGCACCCATCCTGTCCCCCACTTAAGTTGTGACAACCAAAAATGTCTCCAGCTATTGCCAGCTTTCCCCTGGGGGCAAAGTCACCCCTGGTTGAGAACTATTGGTGTCAGGGAAGAGAGCAGAGGGAAGCTGAGACCCCAAGTTGCTGCTTATCCCCCGGGAGGTTTTTCCCTTTGGCAGAGGGAGCCAGCCTCTCCCAAGTGAGGCTGTTCTCTCCCCACCTCCTCCCAGGGTGAACAAAAGCTTTTTGCTTTTAATTTTTCCATAAGGTTATCACTTAGTAAACCATGGTTAACAGGAGCAATGCAAGATAATGCAAAACAGGAGATAATTAAAAAGTCATTTTTCTGTGGCTGTGGAAACCATCTCTGGTTGGTTCCAGGCCTAGCTGATATACCCTCCGGATCATCTGGCTCAGAGTTACATGAAGTGGGTTGACATTTCCTGAGGTTACAAGAGGAAAGATCAAAGGAGAATAACTTCAGAGCCAGTAACGGGAGGGCCTGGAATGTACTAGCTGCACAGGAAATACTGGGACACAGAAGAAATTCACCAAGTGTCAGCTTTCTCCCCTGCTGCCAGGGGCTTGGCCAATAGTAGGTACATACCAAACACTTTTCGAATACTTAAAGCCACTGTGATCCCAACTTTGGGGTGAGGAAGGGGTTAATCTCCTACTCTGGGGCACAGGATGCCCAGGTGCCCCCTCCCTCTGTAAAGGAAGCTGGGAAAGGAAGCCCCCACGCCCGCTCCTGGCAGCTGTATGTCCCCAGACTCCCAGTGGCCCAACAGAGGCCGGATGCAGGAAACAGGCGGAGGTGAGGCTGCGCCAGCAGAGATACAAACCTCGAACCTGCAGCTTGGACCCCCATGCTCGCCCAACTCTGTCCTTGTCCCCAGGGGCAGTCCTGGTCCCCTGCCCAGTCCTATAGCACATTCACCCTGACCAGGGCAGGACACGCAGCACCTCTGCCTCCACAGCAGCTGGGCACTAGCCCAGTGGGCTCGGTCAGTCCTGCCATGTTTTACCAACCCAGGGGGGGCACTCCGACAAGGTATCTTATTTTTTATTTTGAGACAGTCTTGCTCTGTCGCCCAGGCTGTGGCACGATCTCGGTTCACTGCAACCTCCGCTTCCCAGGTTCAAGTGATTCTCCTGCCTCAGCCTACTGAGTAGCTGGGATTACAGGCACATACCACCACGCCTAATTTTTGTATTTTTAGTAGAGATGGGGTTTCATCATATTGGCCAAGCTGGTCTCAAACTTCTGGCCTCAAGTGATCCGCCTGCCTCGGCCTCCCAAAGTGCTGGGATTACAGGTGTGAGGCACTGCGCCAGGCCACTGAGCCACCATGCCCAGCCACCAAGGAATCTTGTGCGAATGGTACCCCCAGAATTGTGGGTCCTGATCTTGGTGCACTGGGGGCAACTGCAAGTTCCAGCTCCCTCTGAACCCCTTTCATACAACCAGCAGGTGCCTCGGTTTCTCCACTCAGACTTCAGCTTCCTGCAGGCCCTTGAGCCAGTTAGACCTCTTCCCCAGAGGCTGGACCCTGTGGCCTGCATTTCCCTCCCCCAGCTCCTGGCTGGAGTCTGGCTTCCCATGGTCACCAGGGTGAAGCCTGGATTGCCGGGGCCCCTTCGGACAGTGCCCTTGGCCCCCAGCACCAGAGCAGCCTGGCCTCTGGCGGCAGCCCCGCCCTTACCTCTTCCAGTGTGTTCATCTGGGAGGCCACCTTGTGGACGTAGGCGTGCACCTTCATCAAGTCCATGCTGTACAGGGTGCCCTCCAGGAGATCCACCATGGACTGCAGCTGCCCGGGGAAGGGGGATGGTTAGGCAAAGAGTGCAGCACATGGCCGGCCAGACACAGAGGGTAAAAGGAACCCTGCTGCAATTGAGAACTCCAGAACCTGGGCCAGGCGCTGTGGCTCACGCCTGTAATCCCAGCACTTTGGGAGGCCCAGGCGGGTGGATCACCTGAGGTCAGAAGTTCAAGACCAGTCTGGCCAACATGGTGAAACACCATCTCTACTAAAAATACAAAAATTAGCCAGGCACAGTGGTGTGTGCCTGTAGTCCCAGCTACTTGGGAGGCTGAGGCAGGAGAATTGCTTGAACCCAGAAGGTGGGGGTTGCAGTGAGCCGAGATCACGCCACTGCACTCCAGCCTGGGTGACAGAGTGAGGCTCTCTTCCAAAAAAAAGAATAATAATAATAATTAAAATTAAAAAGAACTCCACAACCCCAGAGCCTCAGAGTGGCTGGCATGGGCCCTGAGCACTCACCAGCCCCAGCCTGCTAATAATCACAAGAAAAACCACAGGTTCCATCTTCTGAGCCCTTACCACGTGCCAGGCGCTGTGCTAGGGGCTTTAAGGAGTTATACCAATTAATCATTGTAACAACCTCGTGAGGTGTGTAGTGGGCACTGGAGGAGTTTGTCCGGATCTTCTGAGATCCCTCTTACTAGATTTTGTGCCCGTCCCTGGCTTCCATGTGCCTGCATCTGTGACTCTCTTTAGAGTTGCTTCGCCCCCAAAGTGCCAGGGAGTATACGTCCTCTTGCAGCTGCCTTGAGGCAATGATCTAGTGACATGGACATCTATAATCCCAACTCACTAGCCCCAGTGGGGATGAATTGAGCTGTTGTCCCCACTCCAGAGATCCTCTGGGGATGTGACTGAGGCTGGCACTTTTCCCAAGACCACACCCTCACTTGGATACCCTCTTCTCCCCACCCTGCGTCTCCCACTTCATTTCCAGTTTCTCTGGGGAGTATTTTCTTTTCTTGTTTGTTTGTTTTTCAGAGACTCTGTCACCCAGGAAAGAGTGCAGTGGCATGATCCTAGCTCACTGCAGCCTCGAACTACTGAGCTCAAGCAATCCTCCCACCTCAGCCTCTGGAGTAGCTAGGACTACAGGTGTGCACCATCCTGCCTAGTTAAGTGTTTTATGTTTTGTAGAGATGGGATCTTACTACGTTATTCCAGCTGGTCTTGAACAATGATCTTCCCACCTTGGCCTCAAGTGATCCTCCTGCCTCAGCCTCCCAAAGCACTGGGATTAGAGGGATGAGCCACCACGCCCAGCTCAGGAATATTTTCAAAATAAATCACTTGCACATGAATCTCTGGCTTCAGAGCCTGCTTCTGGTGGCCCAAACTAACACCAGGTATGGACAACTTTCACCCTCATTTTACAGATGGATGCAGTTCAGAGGGGGCAAGTGACTTGCCCAAGGCCACCCAGCTGTTCAACGGTAGAACCAGGAGCAGAACCCAAATTCATATAAATCCACGTCTCTTTCCCAACATTCGGCAGGGGAGATATCATGAATCACCGTCTCTTTCCTATCATGCTTTATGGCTCCTGTGTCATGGTCAGACGGGGAAATGGCAGCCGAGAGAGGGAGGGCCTTGCACAACAGGTCAGCAGCAGGACCTGGAGCAGCTGCTGGGCCTCCCTTGCCCAGCCCAGGGCTCTGCCCTACAGCTCCCCCTCTCCCTCTCCTCTGTCACGCCTCATCAGGATATAACACTCCCTCCAGATGGCCAAAATGCCAGAGTGTCAGGGAGACATTGGCACAAGGGGCTGGTTGGGAAACCAGCCTTCCCTGGCTTCTTGGGAAGGGCAGTTCCTCGGGCCCACCCTCACGCACAGCCCCACCCTGAGCCCTCCGGCATTTCCCAGGGCCTGCACAGGCCAGTGCTCCTGCCTGGTCCTGGCTGGCTGTTTCCAAAACAGTTTTACTCCCACCTTCCCAGGGGGTCTCAAACTGTTTTAAGCCAGGGAGCTTTTCTTTGAGCAGAAGCTGATCTCTAAAACAGAGACGGGGGCGGGAGGCTGTGCTGGAAGCAAAGATAGGCTCAGTGGCTTCTCTGCTTTCCCACAACCTGGCTTTGGCCCCGAGGGTCTGCATGGGACCCCTGGGGCTCTGGAACACAATTTGAGAATCATGCGCATAGACATTTCTGTGCCTCAGTTTTCTGTGTTAAGAAATGGGACAATAGGGCCGTAGTAAGGAGCAGCAGTGTATGGACAGAGCTCAGCACTGTGTGGACACAGAGAGGGCTTCATGAAGCCCAGCAGCACTGATGGCTCCTCCTAGGGGCTACATGGGAAGATCCCAGCTTCACTCTGCTGCCTTCATGGCCACCAACACTGGCTTTGGCGAGGGTCCCTCCCTTGCGAGATGACCCTCTGTGTCTCCCCACTGCCCACATGTGGCTTCTCATCTCCTGAGTCTGGCATCTGACCCCTCCATGATCTGCCCCTGCCACCCTCCTCCAGGCCAGCACATGCTTACTCAGCCAGGCACTGAGGAGAGTGATAAGCAAGACCAAGGGGCACCCTGGTCTCTCACAGACTGCCAAGGACACAGCAACACACAGGTGCCCAGATCTGGGGACAAAGGTAGTGACACATAGGCATCCAGATCAGGGGACACAGGTAGTGACACACAGGTGCCTAAATCAGGGACACAGTGACACACAGGAGCCTAGATCGGGGCACAGGTAGTGACACACAGGAGCCTAGATCAGGGGACAGAGGCAGTGACACACTGGAGCCTAGATCAGGGACACGGGTAGTAACACACATGTGCCTAGATCAGGGGACAGAGGCAGTGACACATAGGTGCCAGAATCAGGGGCACAGGTAGTGCCACACAGTTGACCAGATCATTAATGATGGGTGCTGATCTTTTCCGGGCGCAGGTGTGGATCAGGAAAGGCTGCCAGGAGGAAGTTTTGTTCAGTCCGAGCTCTGTAGGAGGAGCACTAATTAGGCAAAGATGCCCAGGAAAGGACATGTGAAGTAAAGGGAGCAGCCTGTGCTATGATCTGGAGGAGAGGAGAAGGATGGTGTTTCCAGCCATGCCACTCAATGTGCGATCTGCTGAGCAGCACAGGTTCAAAATGCTTAATAGCAGCCTGTGATACAGTCATTACAGAAAATGGGAGTAGGTTTTTTAGGAACTTTTGTAGCCACTTGACAGAGCAATTTTATATCTGTTGACTCTCACAATAAAACACTAGATTTATCCTGTGTATGTCTGGCTTTGTTTCATTTCTTTCTTTTTTTTTTTTTTTTTTTTTTGAGACAGAGTCTCGCTCTGTCGCCCAGGCTGGAGTGCAATGGCACGATCTCCACTCACTGCAACCTCTGCCTCCCGTGTTCAAGCAATTCTCCTGCCCCAGCCTCCCAAGTAGCTGGGATTATAGGTGCCCGCCACCATACTTGGCTAATTTTTTGTATTTTTAGTAGAGACAGGGTTTTGTCACGTTGGCCAGGCTGGTCTTGAACTCCTGACCTCAGGTGATCCACCTGTCTTGGCCTCCCAAAGAGCTGGGATTACACTCATGATGCACTGCGCCTGGCCTGCCTCATTTCACTTCTCTAATAATTCATTTGTATAGCATTTTACAAAACTATTGGTTCTTGAGAGACCTTTAATCTTTAAAAAACTGGCCCTTCACCACAGATAGCTTGAGAAGCGCTGTGCTAGAGGAAGTCACAGGTGCTGGCGTGGCCAGAGAAGAGAGAAGGCTCATGCCACACCCACCCCACTTTCCATTACCCAGAAATGCCCTCCTTTCCTCTCTGCCTGAGGGACTCTTACATGTCCTTCAAGGCCCAGCTCTATCCTTCTATCCCCTCCTTGGGGCTCCCACAGTCCCTGGGATGTCCCTTGGCCACAGTCCCTGATCATACTGCCATTACTGGGGTCAGCAACTGTGTCCTCACAAGCCTGGGGACTCCTCGAGGCAGGAGCCATGTCTGGTCCCATCAAGAAGAAAAAGGAGTGGGGAGGTGAAAAGGCACCCTCCAACCCCCAGTCAAGATGGGGACAGTAGTTATGCTACTCAAAGTATCTCTCCTACCACAGCCATGCTGCGGAGGACAAACCACAGCTGGAGCTATTAGCTTGAGGGGAAGGGCTGGGGTAGAGATGGGTGGGATACAGACTAGGTGCCCCAGCCCCATCCTGTGGGCTCCCCTTAACCTCCTTCCTTGGGGGATGCTTATAGAGAATGTCCTGCTGAGAGAGGGGGAGCCAAACTGAACAGGAGGAAGCCCCAACCCTGTCTCCTACTGCCTCTGCCGCCTTCTCCTCTTGGGGGTCCCTGAAAGTGTACCCACTCCCACCCTTGGGGTACCAGTGAGGCAGCATATCCTCTCCTCCTCCTCCAGCCCCACCTGCCGGGTCAATCCCCCTTTATCCTAAGCCAGTTCTGCTGACCCAGAGTCCTGTGGCAGCTGTGCACTGAGAAGGCCTAAGGGACTGTGGGCTCCTGGCTGAGAAGGTGGTCTCACGATTCTTCAGTGGGCAGGGGACAAAGTAGAGAATTCCTGGGTTCAAATCTTAATACTTGGCTCATGCCTGTAATCCCAGCATATTGGGAGGCCGAGGGACGTGGATCACTTGAGGTCAGGAGTTTGAAACCAGCCTGGCCAACATGGCGAAACTCCATCTCTACTAAAAATACAAAAAAAAAATGAGCCGGGCATGGTGGCGAACGCCTGTAATCCCAGCCACTCAGGAGGCTGAGATGAGAATCACTTGAAAGGGGGAGCCGGGTGGAGGTTGCAGTGAGCTGAGATCGCGCCATTGCACTCCAGCCTGGGCGGTAAAGTAAGACTCTGTCTCAAAAAAAAAAAATCTTAATACTGCCACTTTCTTGCTATATGATCTTAGGCCATAGCCCCTCTTTGGGCCTCAGATTCTCCCACTAGTAAAGCTGGTACCATAAGTCCCCTCTCCAAAGGGTTGTAGCAAGGATTAAATTAGCTAAGAATTAAATTAGCCAGCGTTTATGAAAGGGCTTTGTGTCCTCATGTCAAACATGTGTACAATATTCAGTTATCGAGAAGTTGACGTGAGCAGAAATTGGGTTTGTTCCTGTAACTGAAGACTGGCCTATGGCCTGGGTGCCTTGAGTCTGCAGGGTCCTAAGTGAGACCCATGTAGACAGTGTGATCCAGGGACTGCCAAGCTGTCAAGATGCCACTTTGCTTAAAATTCATTCCCCCTGACTCCCCACCCAATTTTGAGAGCTTGGCATTCATTCAGGCGTTACAAAAACAAAACTGAAGTTGAATTTAAAGAAAACATTTTTAGCCAAATGTTGGGAGACAGTTCTTCCCAGATCTCTTGCTTTTCTGCATGACTTGCGTGCAGAGGCACTGACTGTCTCTGTGCTGAGCCATCTAGCTGTAGAGTGAACAGCCCTGGAAGACAGAGACACTGTTTCCTTCCAGAAGAAAGGGCAGGCATCCTTGGTGCCCATTATAAAAGATACAGATTCTCTAAGCTCAGGGCTCCTTTCTGTAACACACCTTATTATACATGCAGGTGTTATCTGACCCTCACTGCATTAGCCCATGGCAATTGGAGCCGGGGAAACTTGGCAATTGCTGTAATAAAGTCCTTTGTCTTTGAACCAGGAGGCTGCATCTTCTGCCAGCTTCCATGAAACTGGCAGGCTAACTTGTTAGCTTACAAGTAGGGTAACATCTCAGACCTTCCACAGTTTCTGACACCAAACAGGCAAAATAGAGGGAGAAGTTATAAAAGAAAAACATACTTTCAAAAAGCACCAAACTGGAAAGGCACAGTGACTCACGCCTGTAATCCCAGCATTTTGGGAGGCTAAGGTGAGAGGATTGTCTGAGCCCAGGAGTTTGAGATTAGCCTGAGCAACATAGCAAGACTCCATCTCTACAAACATTTTTAAAATTAGCTGAGCCTGGGGGTGTGCACCTGTGGTCCCAGCTTGGGAGGCTGAGGTGGGAGGATTGCTTGAGCCTGGGAGGTTGAGGCTGCAGTGAACTGTGTTTGCACGACTGCACTCCAGCCTGGGCAACAGAGCAAGACCCTGCCTCAAAAAAGAAAAAAAGCAAAAACCAAAAGACACCAAACAATCTGGTCCTTTACAAAAAGGAAGACAGGAAAGCAAGGTGGTTTAGAACTCATGCTCTGGACACAGGAGGACCTGGGTTCAAATCTTAGCTCCACCAGACCCACTGAGCACCTAGCTGAGCATGGTACAAATGGCATGAAGGTGCTCACTGGCTGTGGGGACTGAGATCTACCCCAGACATGTCTAACCAAACCATGGGTCCTGGTGGGGGGCCCTAGTCTGGGGCTGTGTTGCCCAGAGGTGGTGTCTCTTCTCATCTTCCTATGGGAGGCTCAAGGGTTTCTTTTCTTTTCTTTTCTTTTTTTTGAGATGGAGTCTTGCTCTTGTTGCCCAAGCTGGAGTGCAATGGCACGATCTTGGCTCACTGCAACCTCTGCCTCCTGGGTTCAAGCAATTCTCCTGCCTCAGCCTCCCAAGTAGCTGGGATTACAGATGCGCACCACCATGCGGGGTTAATTTTTGTATTTTTAGTAGAGACAGGGTTTCACCACGTTGGCCAGGGTGCTCTTGAGCTCCTGACCTCGTGATCCACCCGCCTCAGTCTCCCAAAGTGCTGGGATTACAGGCATGAGCCACTGCACCCGGCCTGGGTTTCTTTATTTTTTTTTTTTGAGACCGAGTCTCGCTCTGTCGTTCAGGCTGGAGTGCAGTGGTGAGATCTCAGCTCACTGCAGCTTCTGCCTCCTGGGTTCAAGTGATTCTCCTGCCTCAGCCTCCTGACTAGCTGGGATTACAGGCACCTGCCACCATGCCTGGCTAATTTTTTGTATTTTTAGCAGAAACAGGGTTTCATCATGTTGGCCAGGCTGGTCTCAAACTCCTCACCTCAGGTGATCCTCCAGCCTCAGCCTCCCAAAGTGCTGAGATTACACGCGTGAGCCACCATGCCCGGCCGAAGGTTTCTAATTCTCACAAAAGTATGGCATAGATTGGAGGCTGCCCATCATTATGTGAGGTTGGGCAAGTTACCTAAGTTCTCTCAACCTTGGTTTTCTCACCTCTAAAATGAGGAAATGATCCTATATTTCACAGTATGGTTTAAGAACTCAGAGAAGGCCGGGCACGGTGGCTCATGCTTCTAATCCCAGCACTTTGGGAGGCCGAGGCAGGCAGTTCACTTGAGGTCAGGAGTTCAAGACCAGCCTGGGAAACATGGTGAAACCCTGTATCTACTAAAAATACAAAAGTTAACTAGGTGTGGTGGTGCACGTCTGTAATCCCAGCCACTCAGGAGGTTGAGGCAGGAGAATCGCTTGAACCCGGGGACGGAGGTTGCAGCAAGCCGAGATCGTGCCACTGCACTCCAGCCTGGGTGACAGAGCGAGACTCTGTTTCAAGAAATAAATAAAATAAAATAAAATAAAATAAAATAAAATAAAATAAAATAAAAACAACCCACTGCCACAAAATGTAAAGTATAGCTAGGTGCCAATGGATGAATTGGTTTGGGTAAAATATAAGACACTGGAATAGGTGATAAACTAGCAGAAGAATCCTGCCTTTGTCACTTCCTGGCAAGAAGTGACTTCCCCTCAGGGAGCCTCAGTTTCCTCATCTGTGAAATGGGGCAGTAACACCACTCGCCTCACAGAGTGTGTGGAATTTTCACTGGCAGGACAGCAGGCTCCAGCTCATGATAGGCCCTTACTCCCTCCATCACCCCACCAAGTCTACCTTGAGGAGCTCGGGCGCCTGCTTTTTGAGTTTCTCCATCTTCCACTCGTTCTCACAGGGGTTGAGAGAGGAGGGAGGTGCGGTACAGGAGCAGCGGCAGTCAGTGCCCGAGCTCACAGTCTCCACCGTGTAGAAGTCCTCCACGCGTGCCCGCCCACTGCGCACTCGGCTACACGCGTCCTTGCTCAGGGGCCGCATGATGCACTTGCAACGGCAGTCGGAGCCCTCCGAGGTCATCCTCACCTGGTCCAGGTCCCCAAACACCTGTTGCGGGGGGCAAGAGGGGCTCCAGTGAGTTGCTGCTAGGCAGTGCTATGGCAGGGAGGAAGGGAGAGATGGCAGAAGCCAGCTGGCCAGCCAGCCTTGGGATGAGAGTGTTTGGCAGGTAGGAGGGGGTGCAATTAGAGGTGGTGAAGCCCTTTTAATAATAATAACAACTCTGTGTGTGTGTGTGTGTGTGTGTGTGTGTGTGTGTGTGTGTGTGTGTGTCTACGTCTCTGCGTGTATTTTTTTTTTTTGAGACGGAGTCTTGCTCTGTCGCCCAGGCTGGAGTGCAGTAGCGCCATCTCGGCTCACTGCAAGCTCCGCCTCCTGGGTTCACGCCATTCTCCTGCCTCAGCCTCCCGAGTAGCTGGGACTACAGGTGCCCGCCATCACGCCCGGCTAATTTTTTGTATTTGTTAATAGAGATGGGGTTTCACTGTGTTAGCCAGGATGGTCTTGGTCTCCTAACCTTGTGATCCGCCCGCCTCGGCCTCCCAAAGTGCTGGGATTACAGGTGTGAGCCACCGCGCCCGGCCCGTGCGTGTATTTTTAAAGACAGGCTCTCTCTCTGTTGCCCAGGCTGGAGTGCAGTGGCCTGATCATGGCTCACTGCAGCCTTGACCTCCCAGGCTCAAGTGATCCTCCCACTTCAACCTCCCTAGTAGCTGGGACTACAGGCATGCGCCACCATGCCCAGCTAATTTTTGTATATTTTGTAAACAGGGGGTTTTGCCATGTTGCTCAGGCTAGTCTTGAATTCCTGGGCTCAAGTGACCCTCCCTCTTCCATCTCCCAAAGTGCTAGGATTACAGGCATGAGCCACAGTGCCCAGTCTTTTTGTTTTGTTTTGTTTTGTTTGTAGAGAGAGGGTCTTGCTGTTTGGCCCAGGTTGGAATGCAGTGGTGGGATCATAGTTCACTGTAACCTCAAACTCCTGGACTCAAGCAATCCTCCTGTATCAGCTTCCCAAGTAGCTGAGATTGTAGGTGCATGAGACCACACTCGGCTAATTTTTAAATTTTCTGTAGAGATGGGATCTCACTATGTTGCCCAGGCTGGTCTTGAACTCCTGGCCACAAGTGATCCTTCTGCCTTGGCCTCTCAAAGTTCTGGGATTACAGTATGTGCCACCTCACCTGGTTCGACAATTTAAATATTAATGGCGCTGTGAAAAAGTTTGGCGATTCCTCAATAAGTTAAACATAAAATTCCCATAAGATCCAGTAATTCTACTCCTGGGTATATACCCAAGAGAATTGAAAATGGGTATCCAAAGGCCGGGCGCGGTGGCTCATGCCTGTAATCCCAGCACTTTGGGAGGCCGAGGCAGGCAGATCACGAGGTCAGGAGATCGAGACCATCTTGGCTAACATGGTGAAACCCCGTCTCTACTAAACAAAATACAAAAAATTAGCCGGGCGTGATGGCGGGCGCCTGTGGTCCCAGCTACTCGGGAGGCTGAGGCAGGAGAATGGCATGAACCCGGGAGGCAGAGCTTGCAGTGAGCCGAGATCGCGCCACTGCACTCCAGCCTGGGTGACAGAGTGAGACTCCGTCTCAAAAAAAAAAAAAAAAAAAAAAAAAGAAAGAAAATGGGTATCCAAACAAAGACTTGGAAGTGAATGTCCATAGCAGCATTATTCACAGTAGCCACAAGGTAGAAACAACCCAAATGTCCATCAACTGAATAGAGAAATATTCAGCCATAAAAAGGAATGTAGGGCTGGGCACAGTGGCTCATGCCTGTAATCCCAGCACTTTGGGAGGCTGAGGCGGGCAGATCACCTGAGGTCGGGAGTTCGAGACCAGCCCGGCCAACATGGTGAAAACCTGTCTCTATTAAAAATACAAAAATTAGGTGGGCATGGTGGCACATGCCTGTAGCCCCAGCTACTAGGGAGGCTGAGATGGGAGGATCACTTGAGCCTGGGAGGTCAAGCCTGCAGTGAGCCATGATCAGGCCACTGCACTCCAGCCTGGGCAACACAGTGAGACTCCGTCTCAAAAAAAAAAAAAAAAAAAAAAAAAAAACAAGTAAAAGGAATGCAGTACTGATTCATGCTACAACATGGATAAATCTTGAAATATTATGTTAAGTGAGAGAAGCCAGACACAAAAGGCCACATATGATATGGTTCCATTAATATGAAATGCTGTATCCAGGAGAGGCACGTCCATAGAGACAGCAAACAGATTAGTGGCTTCCAGGAGTTAGAGAGAGACGGAAATGGGGAGTGGCTGCTTAATTGGTATGGGGTTTCCTTTTGGGATGACAAAGATGTTCTGGAACTATTAATAGATAGTGGTGATGCTTGCACAATATTGTGAATGTACCAAATGCCACTGAAGTGTATACTTAAAAATGATAATTTTTGTTATTTTGTTTTACTATGATAATAAAAATTATGGAGACCTTTTATTGATCACTTATATACCAGGTTTCACATGCATTACACTTTTAAATAATATCTCTGGCCGGGCACAGTGGCTCATGCCTGTAATCCCAGCACTTTGGGAGGCCGAGGCGGGTGGATCATGAGGTCAAGAGTTCGAGGCCAGCCTGGCCAACATGGTGAAACCCTGTCTCTACTAAAAATACAGAAATTAGCCGGGTGTGGTGGTGGGCATCTGTAATCTCAGCTACTCGGGAGGCTGAGGCAGGAGAATCGCTTGAACCCGGGAGGCGGAGATTGCAGTGAGCCAAGATCGTGCCACTTCACTCCAGCCTGGACAAGAGAGCAAGACTCTGTCTGTCTCAGACAAAAAAGAAAAAAAAAAAAAGAAAAAAACTACCTCTGTGTGTTGGGGAGGTGTTGTGACCTTCAAAGCCCTTACCGTGGCCTTCAAGGCCCATGTGAGTTGATACTCTCCCTTGAACCGCTCCTTATTGCCCTTCCCTTTCAATGGCTCTCTCCACTGCAGCCTCAGGGCTTTTGCATATGCCATACCCTCCCCAGAAACTCCTATCCCCCAATCTTTCCCTGGCTTACTTCCTTGTATCACTTAGTTCTCTGCTCACATGTTACCTCCTCTGAGAAGCCTTCCCTGACTGCTCACCTCCTGTTACTCTCTATCCCTTCATCTAGTGACTTGGTTTTCTTTACTGCACCTATTAGTACCTGAAATATGAGATCTGAGTTTGTGTATATTCTGTCTCCCCCACACCATAGGTACCATTAGAGGCAGGGCCTTTGTCTAGTTTCCTGCTATGTCTTCATAACAGTGCTTGCCTGGCCTGCAGTAGGAGCTCTGTAAATATCTGTTGGGTAAATGAGCCTGCATTTTGTAGACATGCTAGAGCACAAGGTTAAGAGCATGGCATCTGGAGCCTCAGTGAGACTGTAGGCAACTTAATATTTCTGTGCCTCTGTTTCATCTGTAACATGGGCTTTCACATCATGAGGTGGTTGTGAGGATTAAGTGAGTTAAAACAAGTAAAGAACAGGGCCTAGCACATATTGAGTGCATCTTAAGTGTGAAGTATTCTTCTTATTATTATCATTAATATTATTTTGAGACAGGGTCTTGCTCTGTTACCCAGGCTGGAGTGGAGTGGCCTTATCACACCTTGACCTCCTGGGATCAGGCGATCCTCCCACCTCAGCCTCCCAAGTAACTGGGACTACAGGCATGTGCCACCATGTCCGGCTAATTTTTGTATTTTTTGTAGAGATGGGGTTTCACCATGTTGGCCAGGCTGGTCTCAAACTCCTGGGCTCAAGTGATCCTCCCACCTTGGCCGCCCAAAAAGCTGGGATTACAGGCGTGAGCTACCATGCCTGCCCCCACTGCTTTTTCTGCAGCCTGCGGAGGGGCAGGGGAAAGTAAGAGGCAGGGAGCGTGGGGAGGAGGGTGGCTAGCTATGGGTGTGTCCTGGCCTCTCGGTGGGTGAAGTGTAACTCTGGGCCAATTCTTCTCTGCCTGTGAACACCAACAGTCAGGCTCAGGGTCCTGTACATTCCTCAGAGTTAGCGCCCTAACTCTGCCTGTCCTTCAAGACTCCTGGGTCCCCTTCCCAGCTCTGCTGGAATCTCTTGCCACTCCACCCACTCCCCCAGATGGGGTCAAGAGCCTAGCGGGTAGATGTGGGTGTGTTCTGTGTGGCCAGGCCAGGGAAGCCTCCTCCTGGGGACTCACCCATACTCCCAACACCCACCCGCACCAGCAGCTGCCTCCACATCGGACCGTGACATTCCTTCCCTCCTCAGATGAGGTGCTACCTCCTGATGGGGGCGGCCAAGGCCCTGACCTGGGCCAGGAATTGGAATAAGGCCTCTGCTCCCAGTGCCAGCTGCCAGGCACCCAGGCAGGGTCCCCCTTCCTGTGACTGCTACATCCTATGCTTGGCTGGAGGGCAGCAGAGCGCCAGGGGGAAGAGCCAGACCTGGGCTTAAGTCCCAGTTCCCATACCTCCTCCCTGCTTGGCCTTGACCCCTCTGAGCCTCAGCTTCCTCCTCTGTAAAATGGGAAGAATCACAGTCCCTTTGTCATAAGCTCATGGTGAGTCTGAACAATCAACGCATGCAGGGCCTCGGCATGGCACCTGGCACAGAAGAGCTGCTCTCTAAGGGGTACCTGCTATCAGAATCACTGCTGATAACTCTTCCTGCCATTTGCTCACAATTTTCTACCTCTCTGTGTTCTCACCATAACCCCACCTTAGAGAGGAGAAAGCTGAGCATCAGAGAAGACTAGGGGCTTGCCCAGGGTCACACAGCATGGCCTGACTCCAAAACTTGGTTTACATGTTGCCCCTCTCATGGCCACCCACAGTCACCAGGCAGGGGCTTCTCCCTGAGCAATTGGGCTGGGACAGATGGGTCTGTAGAGAGGGGGCCCTGGGGGGCATAGAACCTGAGGCTCCTACTAGGCCCAGCCCACCCTGCCCTTGGCATGAAGTCTGGAGTTGTGCCAAGCAGGAAAGTCCCTGCCTTGGCCCTGCATCTCTCCCTGCAGCCTTGCTCAGCACACACAGATGCCAAAGCCCCCAGAACTAGGAGTGGTTTGTGCTTAAAAAGGTACTCAGGTATTTGCAAGGAAATTCCACAGTGAGATGAAGGTGTATTTGAGATTTTTCTGCAGAGAGATGGATGAGTCTAGCTAGAGTGGAGGAGAGGGCATTCAAGCTGTGAAATGTTCCAGCAACTGAATAGACTCAACTTGTGTCTTTTTTTTTTTTTTTGGCCGGATTCTTGCTCTGTTGCCCGGGCTGGAGTGCAATGGCGCGATCTTGGCTCACTGCAACCTCTGCCTCCCAGGTTCAAGTGATTCTCTTGCTTCAGCCTCCTGAGTATCCAGGATTACAGGTGTGTGCCACCATGCTCGGCTAATTTTTGTATTTTTAGTAGAGATGGCATTTCACTATGTTGGCCAGGCTGGTCTCGAACTCCTGACCTCAGGTGATCTGCCCACCTTGGGCTCCCAAAGTGCTGGGATTACAGGTGTGAGCCACCACGCCCGCCCAACTTGTGTCATCTTGAAGTTGGGTCTGCCCTTTTTCCTCATGGCCAGCCCCGCCTCACCATGAGGCAAAGACCTCCCCAAGAGCACAGTAGCCAGTTGGGCACCTCCCCCTGGCTGCCCAGAGGTACCCCAAACTCAATCCATTCCAAGACTGGACCCAGCCTCTTCTCCCAGACCCATGTCCACCTACCCTCCTGCCCAGCCTGGATCTCTGAGCCTCCTTCTTACCCTGGATAATCTGTCAGTCATCGTGTTCTTCTGACCCTTCATCCTAAATATCTCTGACCTCTGTCCCCTGCTCTCCACTCCACAGCCATAGCCCTAGTTCGGGCCATATTAACTGCTACCTGGACAACACAGCAGCTTCCTGTGTTTGATGAATCTCCCAAAAGCTCCTCCTTGGTAATCTATTTTACTCTTGCTCCACAAACCTCCATGGATCCCTACTCCCTCCATGAGTTCCCAACTGGGGGCCATGCCTCAGAATTGCCTGGGGGTGCACCTGGGAGCTGCAGATGCCTGGGTCCTGCTCTAACCCGATGGTTCAGACGCTTTCCGGCTCCCCAGCCTATCTGGATGCTTCCTAGAGGCTCCAAGGCTCCAACTACTCAGGCTCCCTCTGTTTAGGAGTTTTGAACAACCTCAATCAGACTCTTTTGAGCCTCAGTGTTCAAGACCATAAAATGGGGAAGGGCCGCTGAAGCCTCAGAGTGTTGGCACAAGGGATGTGTAAGATTCTGCATGTAAGTGCTGGGGACATGGCTTGGCACACACGATGCTCCTCAAGGCTCTGCCCCAGATGCCCCAGCCAAAGGGAGTGTTGGGATAAGACCCTCCTTGCAGAGACACCCAGTAGGGCTTGGCCTGGCCTCACAGTCTTGATGTGTCGAAGGAGGACTCCATCACTATGTGGCCCTCGCCTGCCGGAGAGCCTGTTTCCAATTACACCCACAGGCGGAAACTCCCGGAGCGGAGGCGAAGCAACACCTAAACCCCCGGGACTAGCCTGGCCTGGAACATCTGATCCAGCCCCGGACACCACCGCCTGCCTGCTCTAGCCCCTCCTGCTCCCCTGGCTGGGCTCCCACAGTCCTTTGGGCTTCCCTCTGTCCTTGGGCCCCTGATCAGCAGGCTGACCAAAGACCCCCTCCCCACCCCTTGATGCTGGAGGGAGTGAGGCACCGGCAGCCCTTTCACAGATGGGGAAACTGAGGTAGAGATGGAAAATTCTCAGTCACATTCCAAGAACCCACAGCAAGAAGCAGCTCCCCAGAGGTCTGCGGTGCTATGCCTGGGTGTCATGTGGTTACCTGTCCATTCCAACCTCTGTGCTGGGCAGCCCTTCAGAAATACCAGGGAAGCTGTGGGGTCCCCCTCCTCCTCCCAGCCCCGACAAAGCACTTCCTTAGATGGAAACTCAAAATCCAGTTTAGGAGAGACCTAGTTATAAACATGAAATGAAAACACGTTGAGCAAGGAGCTGGCCAAGGAGACCAACAGAGTCCTGGGGTGAGCTGCCCTGGACCCCTGAATGTGCTGGGCCAGAGGGCAGACTAGAGCTCCCAGGAACAGGAAGCCCAAGGAGGGGCCAACTTAACCCTTTAGGGCCCTACATTGACTTCAAGTCCCAGGCTGGCCCTCCGAAGGGCTCATCCTCCACCCCAGGGAAAACGGAATGGGCTTGGAGAGGAAGGCGGGGTTGTGATGGGGGAAGGAGCGAGTGATAATGAAAACAGCTCTCTCTGCAGAGCCAGCAGGAGTCTGGCTCAGCTAAGGAATGCAGAGTAAATTCACCCATCACTTGATTTTTATTTTTCCCAGCTGGCTGAAGTGGTTTGGGGGTGGGAGGTGTCTGGGGGAGGGCTGTGCTGAGTCCCCCAGCTGTTCATCCTGCAAGCTCTAGGTTGTGCCTCTCCACCCCACCAGCCCCAGCTTGTCCTGGGACAGCTAAACACCCCCCCCCCACCACACACACACACAACCTAGCAAGTGTTTGGCTGACTCACTACACAAACAGGGTGTTGGGTTTTCTTTGTCTCTGCTTTGTTTAGAATGTGAGCTCTCCCCCACAAGCTCTACAGCTCTCTGCACAGACGATGCCCAACACCAAATATCCCTCCCAGCCAGAGATCCCAGTGGTGACAAGGCACTGATCAGGTTACCTAGGATTTTCTACTCACTTGTCATCATACCTGAGCCAGATCAGGGAATCCCAGAGGGCCCCATATGGAAGGAAGGTTGGGGAGATGTTTCTTAGATGAAGAAACTGAAGCCCAGAGACAGGCAGTGATTTGCCCAAGGTCACACAGCAGAAGAATAGCAGAGGAAGGCCAGAACCTAGGGTTTTAAATGTACAAGCCAGCTGCCTCTGTAAACACCCTAGTTTCCCCACCTGTAAATTAGAAAAAATACTCATTCCCTCCTTGTCTCTGGAGTACATGAGCAGCGTTGTACGTGGGTGCTTTCATGCCCTGAGCTGAATCAGGCTGAGAGTTGGCCAGTGCCCACTGCTCATATACTCACCGTGTGGCTAGTGGCTTCTGTCTTTTATCTGTCCGTGGGCAGGCAGGACACTCACATTCTACCAGGAAAGAGGCTGGAGAGGTATTGGAAGTCACTTTTTTGCCCTCACGCTCTGTGACCAGGGCTCTGGTCCTGCTCCTCACTCTCCCCAAGGTCTGTCCGTTTTTTTTTTTGTTTGTTTTGTTTTGTTTTAAGACACAATCTTGCTCTGTTCCCCAGGTTGGAGTGCACTGGCGCAATCTCCACTGACTGCAACCTCCGCCTGCTGGGTTCAAGCGATTCTCCTGCTTCAGCCTCCCGAGTAGCTGGGATTACAGGTGTGCACCACCACACCTGGCTAATTTAATTTAATTTTTTTTTTTTTTATAGAGACGGGGTCTCACTCTGTTGCCTAGACTGGTCTTGTGCCACTGCGCCCAGCTAATTTTTGTATTTTTAGTAGAGATGGGGTTTCACCATATTGGCCAGGCTGGTCCTGAACTCCTGGCCTCAAGCGATCCACCTGCCTTGGCCTCCCAAAGTGCTAGGATTACAGGTGTGAGCCACTGAACCTGGCCATCAGGGAGTCATTTCCAGAACACCCCAAGTGCTCTGGTGCTAAGTATTTTTTTTTTTTCTTTTTTTTTTTGACACGGAGTCTCGCTCTGTCGCCCAGGCTGGAGTGCAGTGGCGCGATCTCGGCTCACTGCAAGCTCCGCCTCCCGGGTTCACGCCATTCTCCTACCTCAGCTTCCGGAGTAGCTGGGACTACAGGCGCCCACCACCATGCCTGGCTACTTTTTTTTGTATTTTTAGTAGAGACGGGGTTTCACCGTGTTAGCCAGGATGGTCTCGATCTCCTGACCTTGTGATCCGCCCGTCTCGGCCTCCCAAAGTGCTGGGATTACAGGCGTGAGCCACCGCGCCCGGCCTAGTGCTAAGTACTTTACAGGCATGACCACACCGCATCTAGAGACCATCAACTGCAGGAAGTGGGTCCCATGATTCTCCCTGTATCTACAGGTGAATAGACGGAGGCTCAGATGGGCGATGGCGGATGAGAAGCGGATGTGCGACTGAACCCAGGTCGGCTTGACACCAGAGCAGATCCTCTTAGCCACAGCAGAGAACAGCTCAGACCACTTCTGGAGCTACCTAGTCCTCCAGGGGGTGCACCCGGTCCCTGGCAAGAACATCAGAGGCCAGGCGAGTGGCCAGCGCGGCTGCGTTCATCGGGTAGAGAAGACCCCCAGTCCCCAGCGGGCCGTGAAAGCCGTGGCCCAGGGCTTGCTGCAAGCCTGGGAGTCGTTGGGTAACAGTTGCCAGGAGCTTCCCCTACGAACCCCGAGTCTGGCCAGCACTCCGGGGAAATCCCCCGACCCCTCCGGGAATCGGACCCGGTCCCAGCGCCCCTTCCTCAGGCCCCGGGTCCCTAGCATCCCTACATCTCCAGCGCTTGTTCCTCCACGCGCCCCTCTCTCGGGGCCCCTGCCCCTGCGGCTTCAGTGCTGAGAAGTCCCAGGTTCGGTCTCTCAGCTCCCGGCTCCTCCGCCCTGGCCCCGGGCTCCCTCCCGGGCCGCACCCCAGCCACAGCGCCCCCTCGCGCCCCGCTACCCGCCGAGCCGCGCGGGTCCGAGGGGCGTGCGTACCTTACTGTCGGCGCGCGTGGGGCGGCCGCTCAGCAGCAGCACTAGCGGCAGAAGGAGCAGCGGCCGGGGCGGGAGGGCGGCAGCGGCCATGGCGCCACGGGCACGGTAGGCACAGGCGGCCGGGCACGGACGCTGGGAAGCGCGGGCTGCACTGCGAGCTCCGCGCCTTCGCCCGCTCTGCCTGCCCCGCGCCCCGCGCCTGCACCCTGCTGCCAGCCCCGCGGGTCTTCCAGCGCCGCCAGGGGCGGAGCTAGGGCGGAGGGGGCACCCCGCCCCGCCCCGCCCGCCGTTCGCGGGGCCTCCCCGTCGTCGGGCGGCTCTCCCAAGGGCATCCCTGCCCGCGCGCCAGGGTGGGTCTCGATCGCAGCCGGCAGGAGCAACGGGGCCAGGGCGAGGCGCGTGGGCTCCTCTCACGGACTCAGGTCCTGTCCTGTGAGTCGTGGGACCTTGGGCGTGTCCCTTCACCTGTGTGCCTCAGTTTCCTCATCTGTAAGATGGGGGACTCGTGCTTTCCTTTTGGAGTGTTTGTAAAGTTCGCATGAGAGACGGATGTTCCCAGGGCACGTGAGCCCTTGCGCTCTCCGATTTCACCCACTTCTGGACAGGGACCTGACTGCTGTAAGCCTTCCCAAGGCTCAGCAACCCCAACCTGTCTTCCGTCTTTCATTTCTCCTTCCCTCTGGAATCCCTCCTGTCGGCTCCCAAACTCCAGTAGCTTCCGGCTTTTAAATTTTTATTTTTCTCACTCTGTTGCCCAGGCCGTAGTGCAGTGGTGCGATCCCAGCTCACTACAGCCTTGACCTTCCCAGCTCAAGTGATCCTCCCACCTCAGCCTCCTGAGTAGCTGAAACTACAGGTGTGCACCACTACACCTGGCTAATTTAAAGTTTTTTTTTTTTTTGCAGAGACGGGGTCTCACTCTGTTGCCTAGACTGGTCTTGAACTTCTGGGCTCAAGCAATCCTCCCACCTTGGCCTCCGAAAGTGTTGAGATTACAGGCATGAGCCACTGCACCCAGCATTTCCTTTTTTTTTTTTGACTGGGTCTTCCTTTGTCACCCAGGCTGGAGTGCTGTGTTGCGAATACAGCTCACTGTATCGTCAACTTTCCAGCTCAAGCTATCCTCCTCCCTCAGCCTTCTGAATAACTTGGACTACAGGCATGTGCCACCATGCTGGCTAATTTCTGTATTTATTTTAGGGATGGGGTCTTCTGTGTTGCCCAGGCTCTCAAACTCCCGGGCTCAAGCAATCCAGCCACCCTAGTCTCTCAAAGTGTTGGGATTACAAGTGTGAGCCACCATGCTTGGTCTCATTTTCTTCATAGAATTTATTGCTCAATGGGACTGTCTTTCTTGTTGGTGTGTTTGTTTCCTTGTGTTGGAGCATGACTTCCTAGGGCACATTCTTAGTTTCTCCCCATGAACATTGAACTCAGTGGTTCTCAAAGTGTGGTCCTTGGTCTCAGCCTCCGCATCATCGGATAACTTGTTAAAAATGCAAACTCTCCCAGCCTGGGCAACATGGTGAAAACTCGCCTCTACTAAAAATACAAAAATTAGGCTGATGTGGTGGTGCATGCCTATAATCCCAGCTACTCGGGAGGCTGGGGCAGGAGAATCGCTTGTGAACCCGGGAGGCAGAGGTTGCAGTGAGCCGAGATGGCACCACTGCACTCCAGCCTGGGCAAGAGTGACACTCTGTCTCAAAAACAAACAAACAAACCCAAAAAACAAAACTTAGCTGGGCGTGGTGGCACATGCCTGTAGTCCCAGCTACTTGGGAGGCTGAGGCACAAAAATCACTTGAACCCAGGAGGCAGAGGCTGTAGTGAGCCAAGATCGTGACACTGTACTCCAGCCTGGGTGACAGAGCGAGACCTTCTCAAAGAAAAAAAAAAGAAAAAGAAATGCAAATTCTTAGGCCCCACTACAGACTCACAAAATCAGAAACTCTGGGCATGGAGTCCAGCAATCTGTGTTTTAACACACCCTCCAGGGCTCCAGGGGGCTTAGGGTTTGAGAACCACTGACCTGGCACAAGGTACGGTGCTCTACAACTCTCAGCTGAATTAAAGAACCCTGTGCAAAGCACACACTGAGTACAAATAAGCTGCTGCTGCTTCTTTTTTTTTTTTTTTTTCTTGAGACAGAGTCTTGCACTGTCGCCCGGGCTGGAGTGCAGTGGCGCAATCTCGGCTCACTGCAATGTCCGCCTCCCGGCTTCAAGCAATTCTCCTGCCTCAGCCTCCCAAGTAGCTGGGATTACAGGTGCCTGCCGCCACGCCCAGCTAATTTTTTGTATTTTTAGTAGAGACAGGGTTTCACTATGTTGGCCAAGCTGGTCTCAAACTCCTGACCTCGTGACCCGCCCACCTCGGCCTCCCAAAGTGCTGGGATTACAGGCATGAGCCACTGTGCCCATCCACAAATAAGCTTCTTCTATAACTAGAGATCCCCTGGGAGGCATCAAAACCGGGGCTAGATTAGTGTAAAAAGTAAATATCGTGTATGTTCTTATGGACATAGACTATCTGAAAAACAATGCAAAAAGTCAGCACGGTGGTTCTAAGGAGATCCAGGGAGTAAGAACTTTCATTGCATCCTGTGGGTTTTGTAATGTGTGTGTCCTATGTATTCAAAAACGGGACAGAGCGTACTTAAAAGAAATCGAAGCCGGCAGGGGGGATTCCCTCCCCAAGCCCTTTCTTGATGAACTGCGGCCTTGCTCTGACTCTAGGCAGGACAAGGAAGAGCAAGGCTGCCGTCACTAGAGGAACTCTGCCCCCTGCTGGCTGTTCCCCCACATGACCTGATAATCTCTGGCTGCCTCCTCTTTACCCTTCTCTCTCTCAGTGGGCTCTGGTCACCACAGATTCTCCCAGCTCCTCAAATGGGCCAAGCCGTGATCTGGCTGGCCTTGGGACCTTGGCACATGCTGTTCCTTCCACCTGAAAGCCTTCCTCTCCACCTAGTCTCACTTCTAGTCATCCCTCCCGATTGAGATCAGTCAATCTGACCCGCCTCGGCCTCCCAAAGTGCTAGGATTACAGGTGTGAGCCACCATGTCCGGCCATGCCTGCCTTGTTCTTAGCTGTATCCCAGTCTGGTCCCGTCTGTCTGCTGCCTCTGGCCTCAGAACCACAGCCCCCTAAGATCCCTCCTTACCCTTAGACACATTCCTTTCCAGATCTTTTGAGTCCTGCAGGTGGTAGCAGAGTCTTTTTCATCTTTCTGAACCTGTCCCCACATTTCTAAACTGGGGGAGAAAGTATTGATTTCTTAGGATTGTTGGAAGAAATGTAGAGAGATTAGATAAAAGGCCCCATAGTAGGTGCTGGACTCATAGTGAGTGCTTAGTTCATTGGGCTGTCAATGCTTAGGACAGTGGCTGGGGTCTCTAGCACAGTCATTTCCCTTGTTTTTCTCAGTCTTGTGGTATTTGACTCCTCCCAGAAGCACTTTCAGAAGACATGCATCTGAGATTTAGAACCACTCTTTAAATAACATTAGTAAGAGGTTCCATTTATTAGGCCAGACCTTTAATTGCTTTGCAAGCATCGTTTAATTCTCATAGCATTCCTGCTAGGTAGCAACTATCATTATTACCCATCCCCTTAGAAGACAGGAAATAGAGGCTCAGAAGTCACTCACCTAAGGTTAGCTGTTTTTATCCATTCTTTCACCCAGTCAGCAATTATTGAGAGCCTACTATGTGCCAGATCTGTACTCAGCAGTTGGGGTTATGAGTGAGAATAAAGGGATGTGACTAGTCAGGGAGGTGTGGGAAGGTTTATGGAAGGAAGGGACAACAGAGCTGTAGTCTGAAGGACTGGAGGAGTTGTTTCCAGGGGCTGAGCATTTGGCTGAACTCTTCTGCCCATCTAAAGAGGGTTGACTTAGAATCTTCATCAACTACCAAAACTCCAGGGCTGCACGTTTCTGCAGTGCCACTTAGGCTCTGATGGCATCTCCAGGGACAGAGAACTCACTACCACCAGAACCTGTGACAAAAAGGTAGATTCCTGAGAAAGGCCAGATGGTCCTGACTTTTTTTTTCTTTCTTTTTTTTTTTGAGACGGAGTTTTGCTCTTGTTGCCCAGGCTGGAGTGCAATTGCGCCATCTCGGCTTACCGCAGTCTCCGCCTCCTGGGTTCAAACGATTCTCCTGCCCCAGCCTCCTGAGTAGCTGGGATTACTGGCATGCGCCACCACGCCTGGCTAATTTTGTATTTTTAGTAGAGACGGGTTTTCTCCATATTGGTCAGGCTGGTCTCGAACTCCTGACTTCAGGTGATCCGCCCGCCTCAGTCTCCCAAAGTGTGGGGATTACAGGCATGAACCACGGCGCCCAGCAAGGTCCTAAAGTATTTTAGAACCCACAGCTGAGGGAATGGCAGGCCGTCCTCTCTTAGTCACAGGGTTTAGCTCCTGAAACACTGCTACCTAGCAGAGGGGATCTAGTTGTCCCTCGGTGGAAGGTATTAAGGAAGATGCCACTGAAGAAACATTTGAACAGGATCTTGAAAGATGAATAGGAGTTTGGGAGTGGGTCAGGTGAAGTCAGCCGCGTTCCAGCTTGAAGGAGCCAAGGATTAAGGTTCTGGTGTGTGACAGAATGGAGCTGGAATCCCCATCACTTCTGGTGGACTTCATCAGTGCTGGAAAGGGACAATATTGTTGCTATCTCATAGAGCAGGTATGAGGTTTAGACGGCAGAGCGTTAATGTAAGTCTCCCAGATTACGTATGAAATACAGTTTCACCAGGGTTGGTAAGGTCCAGTTGCCCCCAAGTGCAGAGAAGCGTTGCAACTTTCGTAGCAGGTGAGGGACGGGGTATGGTGCGAAATGTGGGCAAGGGTCAGGCCAAGCAGGGATGCGAATGCCAGGACGAGGACTTAAAATTAGGCAAAAAAAAAATAAAAGGGCTAAGGGATTGGTGGGGCGGGTGGGGCAGGAGAGGGCGAATGAGCGGCCACCGAGGAAGCTGCAGCATAATCCGGCAGAGCAGAAGTGGGCAAAGCACCAACGTTCTCGTTCTTTGTCTTCAAGTGGGCCAGGTAGGCCTTAGACCCTTGGCGGCAGCAGCGAAATCCTTTCCCGATGGGGTCGCCGAAGACGGACACCCCGGCGGGCCTAGTGACCGGTGGCCGCGCGCCACCTGGTGGCCGCAGCGGGTGGATTCGGCCGGGAGCCGCTGCAAAATTCGGGATTTTGCTTCCGGAAAGCTTCGGGAAACTGAGGTGGGAGGGGCAGGGGTTTGCGATCTTCCAACTTGATCCTGTCCTTATTCCAACCCCCTTTTACAGATAGGGAAACTGAGGAAAGGGGAAGGCAAACAAGGCTGGGCAAGGGATCCCTCTTAAACGGAAGGTTTCAAGACACCTGGGGTCAAGAGCCTAGGGCTTTCTTTAATAGCCCCAATGGCCCGGAGCTTAGTTTGCCCATCTGTTCTATGGGCAGGGGGAAAATGAAAGGGGAGGAGGGGAAACTTTAGTCTTTGCCGCCCACCCGGAGGTAAAAAGTCTTTAAAGACTACCCCGGAAAGAAGAGTTTTATATATTCCATTTGCATACGAACGCAGTCACCTCGAGTTAAACTCCGGTCCTTTAATCTCCGGTCCAATTTGTCCCGCAGCGGCAGGGAGAGGCCCACGTGAGTACCTTCAAGCCCCGCCTCCAGGGCCCCGCCCACAGGGCTGGGCTTCGTTGCACGTGCTCACCCGGCTGCCTCGCGATCCACCTCCTCGCAAAGACTCATTGTTGGGGTGGGGGGTTACGAGGACTCTTAGGGAACTTTGATCAGGTAGAAATCACAATCAAGACAAGGCCCGGAAGTATCCGCTTACTACATAGACATCAAACGCTTTGTCATGGTTCTTGATATTGACAGACTTTAGCTTTCCCTTCTCAGGACTTCTTATCCCTCCTTCCACCCCTTCAGTTGGTGCGGTCGGCGTGGCCGGCCTCGCTGAGCGGACTCCAACTTCCAGCGTGCCCCGCAGGGCCTTGCGCGGCAGCGGCGTGTGACGTCAGGGGAGGGAGCTGGCCAGTGCTGAGGGGGCGCGGCGCGGAGGGGCGCGGAGCGGCGCGGAGCCGGGCGGCTCGGGGCCCAGAGAGAGCCGCGGCCGGGAGCTCGCGGGCTCCTGACAACCTCCTCCCCTCGGCGGACGACGACCACGGCGACTAGGGCGCCGGTCATGGCGGAGCAACAAACCCGGCGCGGACCCTAGGCACCACCGCATGGAGCGGGACGAACCGCCGCCTAGCGGAGGGGGAGGCGGCGGGGGCTCGGCGGGGTTCCTGGAGCCTCCCGCCGCGCTCCCTCCGCCGCCGCGCAACGGTGGGTGAGGGGCCTGCGACGCCCGGGCCAGGCAGGAACCGGCTTCCTGAGCCTCCGCCAGGGATCCCCCTCCTCTCTGCCGACCCTCGCCCTGGGAAGCCGCAGCGGCCCCGCGGCCCCTTAGGGTGGCCCTTCACCCCGTTCCCCGTTGGCGCGGACCCTCCCTCTCCTCCCCGGTCTCGCTCAGGGTGGATCCTCCTCCTTCGTCCCTGTTCCCTTCTGCGCGGACCCTCCCCCTGCCCGGGTCCCTGGGCACCGAGCTTCATTTCCCCCTCCCCCCGTCCCCTCTGCACAGGCTTCCCCTCCCCCCGTCCCCTCAGCACCAATCCTCCCTCCTCCCCCCGGGTCCCCTCCCCCTGTCTTCCCAGCACCGAACCTTCCCCTCCCCCCGGGCTCCTCAGGTTGGAAGTCCCCACCGCGGTCCGTCAGTGGGGGCATCCCCTCACTCGGGTTCCCTTAACGCAGAGCCTCTCTTTTCCCCTACAGGGGTTCCTCCTCCCACCGAGGACGCTCCCTTCTTGCCCTGTTGACCCGACTCCACAGCACCCTTGTACCGCTCAGCTTTCTAGAGCGTTTTCCTCTTCTGCAGCCTCGAGCGTTCTTCCTTGAATACTACGAGCCCCCCACCTCTGCCGAACCCCCGTTCGCTAGACATCCCCCAGTCGTTTCCTTTTTCGGACCCCTTCGCGCCTCCTGCTTCCCCTGCGCCTCACCTTCCTCAACGCCCCGCGCGCTCTGGCCGGTCTCCGCCCCTGCTCAGCTCCCCTCTCCGCCAGGCAACGGCTTTCCCTGGCCGAGGGCTCCAGCCCGCCCCGGGGCCCCGGACACCTGCCTCCTCCCGGCTTCTGCCCGGCAGGTCCCGGTCCCCACCTCTTAGTCTCAGTTCTCCTCTTTCTTGTCCCGATCCGGGACCTTGGGAGCTGAGAATCCCTCACCTGGCCCGGCCCTTCCTACCGCTCGTCCCTCGCCCCCTCGCCCGGGCCGGGTCCTCAGGTTCCTCGGGGCTTCCTCGCCCTCCTCCCCTTCGCTCCCTCCCCCTGCGGGGTGTTTTATTTGTATCTGTTTGATATTTTCCTCCTCGGTGTTTGCCGCGGAATGTTTTTATTGGTAACGTGTTAGGAGCTTTTGTGAGGTCGTAAAAGGTGAACTTTTGAACTTGGAAAGCGCCCTGGAGCAATTAGCGCAGGCGATCGCCCCGGGAGGCCTGCATTACAAAGGGTGCTCGCACCGGCCGGCAAACGCTCCGGCGGCAAACCCGATTTATTTATTTGCCCTGTTTTCCACCTTTCACATCTCCTCATTTCCGAATAAAGGGAGGCTCTCAGAGATCAGTGCCTCCTCCCCTCGCTGCGCCATAAACTCGCAGTTCTCTGAGAGATCTAGGACCGAACAGTGTCTAACAAGTAACAGATTTCAAATTGAATGCAAACACCCGGGACAGTTAGGAGGCACTAAAAATTAACTGCTTCACCAAGAGGTTTCTCAATCAGGACAGTGACCTGGCAGGTGTGAGGAAAGTAACCTGAAAATAGGTCAGTTAGGCGCTCAATTGTTGAATGAGTGAGTAGCTACAGACGGTGGAAATCTTGGGTTGGATCCGTGCCTTCATACGTTTATTAACTAGTCAAACATTTTGTTAGTTCAGGAGATCTGGTGTTTTTTACAAAAGGGAAAAGTCCGTGTAGAAGAGAGCTTGGTTAACTTCACTTGATGTTGCTGATCTTAAAAATAATGATGTGTTTTCAGAGCTCTTTTTTTTTTTTTTTTAATTTGTGTATGATGTATGATGGCTAGGTGGCTGGCCGTTCCGTGGGCTGTCGTTGGCAACTAATTTCTGAATGTGAACATGTTTGAGATCAATAAAATTCCGTGTCACAAAGGGGGAAGCTGGAATCCAGTTAGGGTAGAAGGAGACAGTATAATAGGAACAAAGGATTTCTTTAATGCCTTTGACTTTTTAAGCTAGTTTGTGTGGAGATTTGGTTTGGTATTAATTTGTGAGTGTTGTAAATCCTGATCTAAATTTTCCCATGCTGATTTTTTTGAATCCAAACCCCAACCTATCTTATATCCCATATTAGCGTGTATATTTCTGTGATGCCTTCCTATGTGTGAATACTTCCTGTACCCACCTGTGCATATAATGTAGATGACGGATTTTACTGCAATTCAATATTTACTGCAATATTGCTTTCAATTCTACTTGAGAATAATAGTGTTGTAAGAGAAACCTAAGAACTGCATTTGTTATTAATTATTCATTAGTACATTTTAAAGAACTCAATGGTAATTTTAACTCTTAATCAGATTTCCCATTCATAGTCTCATTTCCTCAATTGGTCAGAACCATTTGAAAGAATGTTATCGAGCAATCCATTTAGACTAAGGTGGCTTTAAAGCTTTACATTAGTCTAAGTTAGTGGTACAGATGTTTTCTTTTTGCTGAAAATACAATGGGAACTTTTGGCAGCTTGATGGGCTTAAAATACACTAGACGCTAGACCGTTGTGGGATATTTTTCAGTGTAAAAACTAGCATTGTGCAATGTTTTACAATTTATGTTCATTAGCACTTATGAAGTTAACATGCTCACAGAAGAATTGCCAAAAATTTTTTTAAGTTTGCCTATGGAACAATGGGCACATTTTTTCTTTTTTGCTTCCTAATTAATATTTTTCTCCAAAAATATATGAAACTGCTTGTTCTGAGTAGAAAAGAAATGAATTATCTGTTTTTTACTCCTAGTGACTGATTTCTATTTTATATGAACTATTTTCAAGAGACAACTATACAGATAGGGGGTCTTTTGGTCTCTGTCATGAAGAAATAAACTGGAGGTGGCATTTTAGAAATGTTTTCCTACCGGAAACACCATTGATGCTGAATTTACAGTCCTTTGAATGGTTTTTATTCTGTCAGAACAGAGTTTCTTTCTAGCCTTTTGATGCACCATCATCCTTCCAGGAATTCCCTGTGCTGACTGCGCTATTTTCAGTTGTTGCTTGTAGGTTTTCATAACAAACATGAACTCATTTAGTTGTAATAGAGGACTGCTCCCTTTTGGGATTTCAAAGGAAGATGAATGATTTGAGGAAGTGTATGCTGAATATTGCATTTGTTCATTTTAAGAGAATGAGGGAATATACTTTTAAATATTTAAAGCAAAGGAAGGCAAAGGAAGGTTATAAGCCATTATAAGTAATTAAAAGCATATTTTATGTAATTACACTTTAGAGGAAATGGGGAGAAGTTCACTGAATAGCACGGTGCCTTTTTCTTCTGCTATAACCATGCCGTCCAAATGTTTATGCTGGAAAATAAATTGGCAAATATTTCCCATGATGATTTAACTTTTCAGTTCTGTGATTTAAAAAATTAAGTTAATTCTGAGTTGCCCCAGAATTTTTTCCTACTCCCATTAGAAAAAAACAAAACCAAAAACATGCTGTAGTACTGTTGTTTCTTAGTACATACAGCACGCAGGTTTTTCTTTTTTTTTTTTTTTTCTTTTTTTGTAGCTTCTGTGACCTCCAAAGACGGCTAGGGTAGAAGAAAGGCGACAGTGAGCAAATTCACTGGTGATTTTGCATAGCTGAGGTGGGAGATGACCACATTTACAGTCTCCAGTGTACAAGCCACCAAATCATTCAGCAGTTCTGATTCATGTAACCAAAATATGATGACATGATTCCTAATCTATAATTCATTCTGACTTCCGTAGCAAAAAGGTGTATGCAAGGCACATGTGTTAGTACATGAAAGGGAGTTGGATGGGGAGCTAATGAAAAAAATAACTGCTGGTAAATTTCCAAAAATATGTCCAAATCATGCATTTCCATATTTTATTTAGAATTTTCTGGTTTCTCATTCCCTACTTTTTTCCTAGGGTTTTGGGGCAAAGGTGGAAAATAGAGTTTAGATTAAAATACCACATTTTAGAATAGTAGAGGATGGTAGGTAGAAATGCCAACTGTTGCTGTAACATTGGTAGAGGAAGTTTCTTATACCACCCCTAGTGTTTGTTGTGCAAGTTGGCTTTAAATTGCTAATGATGCTTGCATGTTTTGGAGCTTGGAGCTGTGTTTCATTTGTGTTAGTGGGAAGATTTACCACTTCATTTTTATAATTGGGTAGATATTATTTATTGGTTATGTTGAAAAATTGGTTTGTTAATGAATTGTGTTCAGATGGCAACTTCTAGCTTAAGAATTGCATAAAGCCAGGATAGATTCTCCCACATTAGGAGACTTCATTGTCAGCAAATTCATCGAGATCTTTGGGGCTGGTCATAATCTTTGCTTCTTAAGTTTATTTTTGATTTATAGCCAAATTAATGACACTTTTCTGTTCAGTATTTTTCCATGCATAATAATTAAGTTGAAAGTGACACTTGAGAAGATGTGTTTTAGAGTAAATTTTACATTGTTGGGTCAGTCTGTTTTTTTTAAGTAGGACAGTAAAAGTGCCTTATTTCATGTGTAAAAACAGATTCTAGTCATGTGGGAAAAAGGTCAGAATTAGAAAAATCAAAGTTCTGAATCAACAGATAAACACGCTTGTATTTCAATAAAGAATAAATGTGCTTGAAACAGTTTTTAACAGAAGGTAGCTATCTAATCTGCCCACATAAGTAGTGATCTGATATACCCAACTCTTTGTAATACTTTGAGAGCATTTCCAAAACCAATTAAGTTGTGAAGGAAAATGTTTTTCACACTTCTGCATTAAGATCAACCTTAACTTTTTAATTAAAGTTTTTTCCTGGCTCAGGTAATTTCTTAAGGGTTTATGGATGCCTTCGATAACTAGGGTTCAGAAATACCAGAATTATTAAAAATGAGCAAGAAAGTGGTTTGGTACTGAGCAGGTAATTCTTTCTTGGGTATTGAGCTTTTTAGAGCTTAAGTTTCAGATTCAGCTGAGCTTAAATTTAAAAAACGTCTCTAGATGTAACTTTGATATACAGTATTTCTAGAATCCAGCCCAGTCTTTTGTTCATTGATTGTTTTCCAACATGGCTTGTCTTTAAGAAAAAGACAAGGGTGTTAGACTGTAACACCCTTAGTAAGTAATAGAAAATCAGAAGAAAACCACTGTGAGATGTCTAACCTGTTTTTCAGTATGGCGGAGAAATAGCCACAGGAAAAAGAGGAGAGCATCATTTGAAAGAATAAAACATTTCCTACGGTATTTCGTTCTTCATTCTTTGTTACCTGCTATTAAACAGCAGCCTTTGTAGAAAAGCTTCTCAAAAAAACCCAGAGTTTTTTCAGTGGTTACAGTTATTTAAATAAGACTTTACTAGTGTAACCCGGTAATTCTAATTAACAGTGATTTAGTTTGGGAGCGGACCAGGATTTCCTCAGCCGGCTGCTGGGGAGCTGAATTGCTTTTTTCCCCACCCCCAGCTGCACCAAATCTTTTGATCCCCAAGCTACAGTGGTTGTCATTTGAGAAAGCAAACTGAGAGAAAATACGTTGTGAAAATAGCCTACTTTGAAACTTCATTTGCATTTTGGAATTTTTGTTCTTAAAAAAATTATAGGAATAATTGAACTCCCAAATTTTTATCTTGACAGAAGCAAACTGGCCAAATTCTTACGTCTAAATAGAAAATTCCTGGATTTCCTAAAATTTTTTTGCTTTAAAAATTTCGGGGGCTGTTTTAATATTGACAGTCACGATTTCAAAAGAGAAATGATTCTAATTATAAATTCACAGGAGGGCTTCAAGTGTTCTGAGTTTCTTTAAGGAGTGTGTGTTTGGGACAAATAAAGTTATGCAATGGAGTAGTTTTCATTCAGGGTAGTTTGTGGTTTCTCCATCAGCATTATATAATCTCAAATACAGAATCACGGATTCTTACGTCTTATACTAAATAAACCATACAATTCGTTACATTAAGAATTAACTTTAAAAAAGTGTCTTTAAATGATGAGGCCTTTGGATTCTAATTGTAAACTCTACACCCTTCAATTTGTTTACACCAGAGAAGCTATTCAAGCATAAACCACAGATGGCAGTAGCAGTATATTTTTCTGTTTCTGGACTGATTCTTGCCTTTAAGTTGGTGTCAGTTCTATGGGCCCTGCTGATAAGTCAGCTGGCAGGTGTAATGTTTCTAAAACCAATTCCCTGGGCAGCAACATGTAATGTATTCAGGGAAACAAATCCAGGCATTTGATTTGAAGATATACTCTGTGGGTGGTTTGACCCAGAATAGTGACTTTGCACTCACTGCCCAAGTGAGAAATTATTTTAAAAATTTGGTAATAGTGATTAAGGGAGTTGTTAGAGTAATAGCTATAGCACATTGGAATTGTAGTGGTATTATTAGCAGAGAATGTATCTAACAGATATTTGCTTGAACAACTATTTGCATTGTAAACAATTTATAACTCATTAAAAATATACTCAAGATTCATATTTTGAGAGAGAAATGCACAACTAAATTCTTCATGTGAAAAAGATGGATAATCTTCCCAGCTTTTTATTTCCAGTTCCTCCTTACATTTCATAGAATCATGGATTTTTAGATCTGTGTATAAGAGCATTTTGGAGGTCTAAGAGTGGGTTCTGCTTGCTCTTCCAACCCATCATTGTAATGCCCAAATTTCTGTATTCTCTATTTTCTTCTAAAACACTGATGAAAAAAAGAGATGATTGATTAGATTTCCTGTGATATTTTATCTATGATGTTTCCTTCAGGTGTAATCCCATAGTTTAGAGCTCAGGAAACATTTTAGTAACAAATCTACCGCAAAATGAAGCATAGACTGAATCAGTGAAGGGAATAGCTTAACCAGATAGTTTTTTCTTTTCTTTTTTTTTTTTTTGTGATGGAGTCTCACTCTGTTGCCCAGGCTGGAGTGCAGCGGTGCGATCTCTGCTCACTGCAACCTCAGCTTCCTGGGTTCAAGCGATTCTCCTGCCTCAGCCTCCTGAGTAGCTGGGATTACAGGCATCCACCACCATGCCCAGCTAATTTTTGTGTTTTTAGTAGAGACAGGGTTTCACCATGTTGGCCAGGCTGGTTTCGAACTCCTGACCTCAAGTGATCCACGTGCCTCAGTCTCCCAAAGTACTGGGATTACAGACATGAGCCACCGCGCCTGGCAGTTTTCATTTTTAAAACTAGTTTTATTAATTCAAGTCCCCATTTCAATCATGAAGCTGTATGAAGCTGTATCACCTTGGAAGAATTAAAAATTCAGTCTTTTAATTCCTTATGCTCCACTGGATCAGATGCAATGTTCTTTTTATTATGGCTAATTCCAGTTTATCTAATTTAGTCTTTCTGTCACGAAAGAAAAGCTAGAAGACAGAACACTTCTGTGTAGCCTTATGTACTTTATCCCCCTTCCTCATCCCTTGCTTTTTAAAATTTATAAACAAATAATGAAGTAGTACTCAATTGTATTTTCTGTCATTCTTTGACCATTCATTACTATTGTTTGTTTCAAACTTAATCTCTTCCCATTTATTGAGTCCTTAAATTTATTTATGGTTGCATCCAAACCAGTGATTTTCAAAGTGTGGTCTGCAAACCTCTGGGGGTCCTTGAGACCCTTTCAGGATGTTCTTAAATATATTTTAATCGTAATGCTAAGACATCATTTGCCTTTTTTACTGTATTGACATTTACACTGATTTTGCAGAAACAATAGTGAGTAAAAACTGTTGGTCCCTTACCAGAAATCAAGGCACAAACTGTATTAGTAGTCATTATATTCTTCACTTCCATGCACTTGTATTTTTCAAAAAGACTTTTCCACTTAATGTCATCCTTGATGAAGCAGTAAAAATGATGATTAAATCTTGACCCTTGAGTACATGTACTTTTGATATTCTGTGTGACAAAATGGAAAAGTACATGCCAAGCACTTCTGGTGCAAACTAAAATGGTTGTTTTAAGACAAAGTGCTTGTGTGATTATGTTGTGATCTGAGCCAGCTACTTTTGTTCATGGAATACTTGAAATAATTAAACTATACTTGATTCAGCCTTGGGCATTTGGCAGACTATTTTTTTCTTAAACGAACAGTGAGTCTGTCATATCAAGGAAAACTGACAGTATTGGTTGCCAGTAAATAAAATTTGAGCTTTCAAGCAACAATTAGTTTTGGAAAACTTGTACTTGCCACTAAGAGCTTGACAGCTTCCCAATGATTAATGTCTTCTGATGAGATGGATGATGAAATAAATATGATTTTCGATGTTATGAAATGTGTCAACATTTTGAAAATCTGAATATCTCAGTAATTCAGTATTTTCCAAAAGATCTATGTGTGATATTACAGGATCCTACACAGCTAAGAGATCTGTTCAAAATGCCAGATTGATCAATGGATTTTAATGTAACGGATTACACATAGTTCATTGATATGGTTTTAAACTCACACTGAACTAACCTTTAAGAAAGTACCACTTAATTGAGTTTTGGTGTAGTATCAAAGAAGACTATCCACAATTACTTTAAAAAGCAAATACTTCTTCCTTTTCCGATTATAAATCTGTGGGGCCAGATTTTCTGCCTGTGCTTCAACAACAACAAAAAATCACAATATACTGAATGGGTAAACAGATAGGAGATCTAGCTGCTAGGATTAAGCCAGATATTAAGGAGATTAGCAAAATGTAAAACAATGCCACTCTTCTAATTTTTATGTTTTATTGGACAATTTTATTTTTCATAAAAATGTTATTTGTACTAACGTGAATTTATTAAATTTAAATGGATTATCAAATATTTTAAATTTTTCATAGGTTTATTTTCCAGTATGATAAATATCAATAGACAAAGCCACATAAATATCAACCCTTTAGGGTCCTTCATAATTTTTAAGAGTGTAAAAGGGATCCTGAAGAACACTCAGGCATAAATATATGAGAACTCCAGGTCTAAATGAACTAACGAAATGTGTAAAGAAGATGGTGACTTCACCAGATACCATTAGTAGTACTTTTTTTACTTTGGAGTTTTCTTACTTCCCTCGATAATTGAGCTACTTTTATTGAAAATGAGTTCATATCATTTTAAGTTTTCTTTGCTTGGGAATACATGAAATGTGTGGTAGTGCACTCTCACTGAGTTCTCTGATAAAGCTTTTGTTACCTGCTACATGAAACCTGTTGCTTAACTGATAATTGTCTTGTGGCAGCAGTTTTTCAAGAGAACCAGTTGCCTCACCAAGGGTAGACTTACATTTGTGGAAATAAATCTGACAACAGAATTTCTTAAGAGTCATTGCTATAGAATAATGAACAATTTATAAGAGATAAAGATCCTATCGTGCTTTTTAAAACTTCCATCAAGAATAGTTTGCTTATTTGCTTTCCTTAGACATGTTTGGCTTCACTGAGTCTTAGAGTTGTGATTTCGGTAATGCAGTTTTGTAAATTGGTTTGCTTTTAACCTGGTTTTCACTGAGATGGTAATAAAGTCTGTATAGGAGAGGCATCTCTTCCTCTGGTCGAAGAATATCCTTTCCTAGTGTGAGTAACATTTTAGTGTAAGTCAATTACTGTGTTGTTAAAGAGTTAGAAATTTACTCCTTAGGGTAGTTACTAGGTAGAACTCATCCTGTAGTGGGCTTGCTGGCTGAAGAAATGTCACATAACAATGTGAATAACAAATAAGGAGTTACCGCATCAGAACTCAAGGTGAAGCTTGGATAGGTGTTGAAAGATCAGTGAGATAATTATTTGGGCTTCCTTCCTAAGAGCTCTAATTATCTTGATATTCTTGGAGTTTCATGTAATGTACCTTTGAAAACATTTTTGTGTTTTGTGGGGATTGCAGCTTAGTTATAAGAAAATACAAGCCTTTCTTTTATTTCTTAATGTTTGGATTTGAAGATTCATGTGAAATCTTCAATTGCATTCTTCAGTTGAGTTAAATTGCTTTAATTACGAAACCTAATAACTGAGACAGATTTGGCTTTTTTCTTCCATATTCTTTCTGTACCCTTGAAGTCTAACCTGTCAGGAGACTTCCTCTCTCTATTCTTGGAATCCTTCCCCCAAGATGCCTTTTTAGCAGGATAATAAACCACCTGGGGGAAGCCCCCCATTGACATGCATTTAGAGGGCTTTGTTTTTTGGAAATGGCAATAGTAGTCCCATCCAGGGAGGAAGGATTTTGGTTAGATGGTGTGAGGCAAAGAGCAGGGACTCTGGAGTGTGGCCTAACAAAGATCACAGCTATGCGACTTTGTCACTTGACTTCTCTGAACTTTAGTGTTCTCATTTAACATTAATAGCTAACATTTACATAGTGTTTATAATCTAAACACCTTATGTATATTTATCGTCTTAACTCTGAGGTAGGTGTTCTGTTATCCCCATCTTACAGGAGAAAACTGAGACCCACAGAGTTTAAACCTCCAGATTTCGCAGCTAGTAACAGCATTAATAATTTGTTTCATAGATTTAACATCCCCTCTTCTCCAATATACTCTGACATTTCTGAAATTGACTGTAGGGTTATAAGGATTAGAGACAAGGTCTGTAAATTGCCAAGCATAGTATCTGCCTAAAAGCAAAAACCTGAGAATCTGGGGCATTTATCTATGTTGGAGAGGCCCAGAATTCAACTTTTATTGATTAGAGAGCCAAAAAGACCCACTCTTAGAATTGCAAGTGACTTTTTTCTTTTCTCTCATGCTGGCTTTTATTTTATTTTTATTTTTATTTATTTATTTTTTTTTAGTTGGAGTCTCACTCTGTCTCCCAGGCTGGAGTGCAGTGGCGAGATCTTGGCTCACTGCAGCCTCCGCCTCCCTGGTTTAAGTGATTCTCCTGCTTCAGCCCCTGGAGCAGCTGGGATTACAGGTGCCCGCCACCATGCCTGACTAATTTTTGTGTTTTTAGTAGAGACGAGATTTCACCATGTTGGCCAGGCTGGTCTCGAACTTGTGATCTCAGGTGATCTGCCTGCCTCGGCATCCCACCTCATGGTGGTTGTTTTTTTTTTTTTTTGAGATGGAGTCTAGCTCTGTCACCCAGGTTGGAGTGCAGTGGTGCGATCTTGGCTCAGTGCAACCTCTACCTCCTGGGTTCAAGCAATTTTTCTGCCTCAGCCTCCTGAGTAGCTGGGATTATAGGTGCCCACCATCGCACCCAGCTAATTTTTGTATTTTTAGTAGAGACAGGGTGTCACTGTGTTGGCCAGGCTGGTCTCGAACTCCTGATCTCATGATCCACCCGCCTTGGCCTCCCAAAGTGCTGGGATTAACAACTGTGAGCCACAGCCCCTGGCCTCATGTTGGTTTTAATAAGCCTTTGGCCAGAAAACAATTTTGCCAAATCAGGGACAATCTTCGGTGAACCCAAGGGGTGCTAAGGAATGAAGGCGTTTTGAGTTACTCAAGGCAGGAGTACAATGTCTTTTATCTGTATCCTAAGCACTGAGAATTGGTGTTCCATGAATATTGAATGAATGAAAGAGGCAAGTCAGGAATATGAGCCTTTTGCTTATCTCAGAGTCCCTTGCTGGTAGTCAGAGTAAGTCTACAAAATATAAGGGAAAGGAATGTGCTTTTCAGCTACTTGAGGAAATTGGGGCCAATATCTAAGTCAAGCAGTGTGTTTAAGCTAAATCCAAGGTTTGATAGGCCCTCCTGGAACTAGAATGTAGTTTCTGTTTGGAAACATGGTTCTCCTGTAATTTAAAGTGACTAGATATCCCAGATTAAGACGAGATGGCCAATAAACTAGTGGCTGTTTGCTTGACTGTATTCGGGAATGCAGTTTAGGAAAAGGTGGCCTTTGTCCCATGTACCTTTTTAAAATTCTGTCTCACAAAAGAAATATAAGAGCTAGGTGTCCAAAATTTATAAAATACAGAAGGTGATTTCCTAATGAAAAGAGAGATAGTGAGAAAGATGTAAAAGAGGATAGGCAGTGTGGGTTAATAGATTATGTTAGCAAAGTAGTTTGAATAGGAAAAGACTTTAGAGAGGAGCCCAAACATTGAGGAGTTATGAGGCCCAGGAGATACTTTATGCCTAGGATCTGATTCTAGCTCTGTCTCAAATGCATGTCTCTGTGGGTCCACCTATAAAAATGGAGGAGCTAAATTAGATAATCCCTGAAAGGATTTTCCAGGTTTATGATGGAATGAATTGGGCAAAACAGGAAGTTGCAATTTAGAAAAGTTCTGCCTAAAGCAAATAGCTGTGGTACTGACTGCCCACATTCTCTGGGATGATTTTGATGTCAGATACTGTTCAATCATCCCTCTGAGAATATTTACATTTACCAAACTGTTTCCCTGTTCTGCTTTAGAACCCTTGGCTGCTTTAAAGTCTGTGAGATCCCATAATTTATCTGTAAATTTCATTCTTTGAGTCTGCCTTATAGAAATGTTTACAGTTACAGTTCTGATGTTATGATAATTTGTAATGTAAATTTGAAATAAATTATGGAGTATTTTTGTTGTTTAAACAAGATCACTTTTTTCATTTATAACCCCTCCATGCCACACTTTCTCTTTTTTGAGTACAGTTTCATTTGCTGAGTCAAACTCATAGTTAATTTTAGAGTTTTTCCTCATTCCTTGTAATGGGATATTTATCTGCAAAACTCATTCAGCATTGAGAAGAGTGCTGTCTTCCTAAGATTAAATGCGCTTCATTTGAGAACGTTGATTCATTAAGGGAAATTGCAAAACAGAAGGGAAACTTCCTTAAATGCTGCTGGTCTGTAAAAAGGGAACCCAGCAGGAAAGGGGAGAGGTGCATGGGGGAGGGGTGAAGTGAAGAGTGTAGCAGGGTAGCTGCAGTTGAAATATTCATCAATCATTTTACTGGCACCAGGAAACCAATCAGCCTTTTAGGGAGAGAACTTAATCAATCACCTAATGTGGGAAAATACAATTGCTTTCCCACAAAAAAATATTCCCTTTCTTGGTGACAGATCGAATCTGAGAGATACTTTGGTTCCCTGGAATTCAGAACTGACTGCAAGCAGTTGCTGAAAGTACTGCTGTGAAGAAGTGCATTTAACATTTGGAGATAAAATTTCCTATCTGCTGCGAGCCTTTTCAAAATATTTCAAAATAAGTTTGCTTTTCGTACAGTGTGCCCATCAAAAAATAAATACTGAGCAAGCCGAAGTGTGTGAAACACTGTAAATTTATTCTCCAAAGCTAGTTTCAGAGCATAGATAAGGACTCCTGGCTGGAGAATACCCGATGTTTCAAATGCCTTGTTTGGAAAGCAGGGTTAAAGCGTTGTCTAAGGAACATACCCTGGGAAACACAGTTGGAAGTGCTTGCATATAAATAAAAGCAGGAAAGATACAGCTGCATCGTATATTTAGGTTTTAAATACTTGTGATTTCTGAGGGTCTGTCTGTGCTTGAATTGCCTGTGGCCCTTAGGTCCTTTGGTTCTTAAGATGTGAGCTGCTTAAGAATCCAGTGTTTTTAAAATTAATGCATGGTTACTGAAGAGAATATGGAAAACGAAGGGAAAATAACCTATAATCCTACCACTAAGCAACTTTCATTAACATTTTCTTCTAGACCTCAAATCCAAGGTTTTTTTTTTTTTTTTGCATTTTTTTAGTCATACAGTATATACTATTACGTTTTCTGCTTTTTGTTTAATTTTAAATGTTTTTTCTCCTGTTATAAACTTCACTCATTGAACATCAAGTTATTTGAAACTTTCGATAGCTGTATGACAGCCCATTGTTTTTCATTGCTGGCCATTTAGATAGGTTTTATTTTTTCAGTGTTATAATAGTACTTCTCACACCATCTTGTGCTTGCTTTTATCTTGGCTTATTTTGGGGGATAATTTTGAGAAGTGTGTGTCTATCTCAATGTACCCTCACCAACAACTACTTTAATTTACACTGAGATACCTTGCATACCAACATCCAGGGCTGCCAGCAGTACTTATTTATTTTAATAAATGCCTGGTGCTTGAGATAGAATTTGAGATACTGTGGGTAGGCTCTTTGCTTTTTATCATTTTGGGGTGAGAGAGAGTCATTCCCCCCCTACCCGCCCTTTTTTTTTCTTTTTGATTCTGGCACTAGAATGTTGCCCTGCACCCTCATCCTAGCATCTCCAGTCTGGTCAGAGCTGTGCTTAAGGACCCTTCTGAGGCTACCTTCGAATTCTTATAGATATGGGTGAATGGGTGGCAGAGACACCCTAGAGCCTTCTCTGGTTGCCTCTAAAAATCTCGGGATGATAAGTTGATGTGCGTGTGTCTTCTAATACAATTATATCATCTCCCACAGTCTTTAATGTGTCTTGAGACCTACCTATACCTGAGTGTGAATAGAAATTAAGTACATGCAGAGAGAATTTAAACTTGCATTCCTTTAGAAATCTGCATGGGTTCCTCAGTGGCTAGTTTCTATCCTGATCCTGTGCAGTGTTTGATGGTGAAAGAATCTAAATAAATCTTATGCTAATTTGAAGGGCATTCACAGTTTTTAACAGGTCTGATTTCAGAATGGAAATAGGAACATTTTGGGAATCCAGCTATCTATACATTTTTTTATTAAAGCATAAGTCATATTTGCTGAAATTAAAATTAAGTAGTCTTTAGACATTGTTAAAGTTTATGTTGATTGAAAGTAAACATGAACATTTGAAGATCATTTGCTTTGCTGCTTTGTGCTCACCACTGGTGATCAGAAACTTGTAATTTGCCAAGATAGGTTTTATAATGCTCTTTAATAAGAAAATGAATAAGCCAGCTGCTCTTTCTCTCAACTATAGCGGGTACAAACCTCCTCAATTCCTGGTTAGTAATTAAAAGCCTTGAGATGACCTTGAATCTAACTGAACTACAAAAGCTGTCTTGAGTTAAATTTATAGCTTTTGTCAATTTCAAAAGAATGGTATTCTATTTGCTAAAACATTAAGCGTAGCCTTGGGTGTACATTGAAGATCAGAAATAATTAATAAGAGGTACTACTAAAGTGCAAAGGGAAGCCTAATATGGGCTACAAAAATAATTAAGTTTGTCATCTATTTGTTGATCATTTAAAATATGTACTTGAAAAGATTTAAGAGAGGGTGGCATTTTTCAAAGTGTCATTTTGTGCTATTCAGATTTGCTGAAAAGATCTATCTTTTCCCCATCTTAACATCAAAGAGGTTTTTGAACCCAGTGGGGAATCAGAACAAATATTTAACACTTTTTTAAAAGTAACAGTTTAATTGATTCTTAAAATATTTTACACAGTGGGAATTTTCTTAGTGAAAGTTTCTGATTATACTCAGTCAGTGTAAAAGTAAAAATATTAATGTTTTAAAAATGCTTTATATGTGAGCCACATCTTAAGTTCTATGAATAAAGAACTTTTCTGCTTACCAAAAGGGTAGAATATATTCGCAGCTGTTTAGAGAGCCTTGAAGTACTATCTTATTGATAGAAAGGACCTTGACATTGTTGCTATAAGAAAAGTTAGGTTTTATGTGTCAGTAGGTCAGATAAGACATGTCTTCCAGCATCATAAATGTGATAAATCCCTGAAGAGTCCAGCAGTAAAGCAGATAGTTTGAGCAAGCGGTAAGGTGTTACATAGATCTTGCAGATTTTAGGATTATTTTAGTTTTTACATTTATTTAATGAGACTAACCTAGTCACTCTTAGATCACAATAATGAAATTACATGCCAGTGTGCTTGTGAATGAAGCCAACATAATGAACGGAAAAAGTTGTTAATACACAGCAGGGATTGCCAGTCTGAGAGTCTCTAATGGAAGTTCTCAAGCAATTTCAGTTCTGATTTGATCTGAAATCGTGTGAGCAATAAGGTTGTTCAGGGTAAATAAAATGAGATCTCTGAAATACTCTTTTGCCTGAAATATTTCCACGGTAATGTGACTCAACCTCTGAAAAGCAGATCTTTGCAGAAAGGAGTTACTGTAGTAATGGTAGACAAACTTCAGCAGTGGGAGGGCAGGGGTTAAAAATTATTTCAGCAAATTGGTAGGATGTAGTGATAACTAGGTGCATTAGAGCCTGAGCTTTAACGTTAGACTTGGGTTTAAATCCTGTCTATTCTTGTGATTTTTTAATGTATTTTTTTGACAGTTGAGTGGAAGGGGGGTGGAGATACTGGGTGGAGGGTGGTAAAAGGATGTGGAATCACCACATTGATTATTGGAGAATGAAATGAGGTAGTTTATGGAAAACCTGGAATGTAGCTGTATTACTTTACAAAAGTTTCTGAGTTAATTTCCTTATCTGTAAGTAATGTTAATATCATCGATCTCATAGGTACAGCAGACCAGTTTACCACAATCCAAGTCATTGAAAACCAGTTTCCCAGATGTTCAGTTTACCCAGTATTCCATTCAATAAAAGACAGTTTGCTGAATCTAATCTGTAGACCTTACAGAACCCGTTGTTCATCTCGTTTTTCTTAAATGCTCCCCACCATTTTTTTCCTTTTTGTTTTTCCCGTTTCCTATACATCATTTCTCCCCCATGCCCTGCAGCCCAGACAAGGATGTATATTTCTACCAGCAGAGGTCCTCTCTGCTTCAGCTCTCTCCAGCTGCAGTGTAGAGACAAATTGAACATCTTAAAAATGCTGGTATTCCAACGGTCAGTTCTGACTTGGCAGAAATCCTTAAAAGGTAATTAACTGTCTCATCAATATGAATTTTTATAAACTGTCCAAATATTTAAAACAAATTTTTGACAAATTTAGAGAATTGGCTATTTGGAGATTTGGCAATTTGGTCAGTTGACTTGGAATTATCTCATATAGGTTTGGAAAAATTTGGCAATATATGTAAAATAAAGTGCCTATTACTCACAATGGTGGGACTGTAGTAAGTACTCAGTTGGTGTTCCTTTTCTTGAAGCATTCCTACTCTGAGTTGGAACTCCTCCTCCCAAGGTTTTTCTCCCCTGTGGGCTCTAGTTTGACAATATCAGGTGATAAAGGCTGGTTATGAACCACCTAGTGACTTTCTTTTCCATTACAGAGTTGTTGAATTTGCCCAAATGAAATACTTTATTTTGGCTTGGACTTGTTATAAAATGGTCCTTCCTTCCTTGGTGCCCTTTAGGGTTTGACTTCTCAGTGATTTAAGATATGTGCCCCTTTTCTGTAGCACTTTATTCCCAGTCTTGCTTGTAAGTAGAATTATGAGCCTTAGGAGAGTAGACTGCAGCTTTATCAGGGTAAAAGCAAGGCTAGGTCCCTGGAGGTTCTTAGTGGGAAGTATTAGAACCAGAGCAAATGCTCCTGTCTCTGATATACAGGAAGCCCAGCATCCCCATCCCCTACCCAAAGTCTCTCTCTGGAGGTCTCTAAAAAGGTTTTCTGGTAATATCCTTAAAAGGGAAGGGAACAAGTAGTTGTTGAACACTCAGCACTAGGCACAGAGCTAAACTAACTCATGTAATCCTTTCCATAACTTTTCTTTGGATAGGTGGTGATATTCCCTTATTATAGATGAGTAAACTGAGGCTTAGAGTTGAAAATAACCTTCTACTAACCACTACTCTGCTAAACCAGTATTTTTAAATCTTCAGTTTTTCCTGTATCACCACATGATTTTTGTCATTTTCTAATATATTGCTTATTTAATTTTTTAAATATTGAATAGTTAACATTCTGCAACCCAACATTTATTTTAAAATGAATTTTTTTATTAGCTTAAATGAAAAATTATTTGCCACAAGTAGAAAGTAACAATGAAAAAAATTTAATGAAAATAGAATTGTGTTAAATTCTAAATGCTATTGTCTGCCAAGGTCTCTGACCAGGCCTTTGATAGAGAGATTAGTAAGCACTAGAGAGGCACTAGAAAAACTAACACCACATTTTTCTTCTGATGTAATCAGAAGGATTGAAAGAGAGTGGAAAAGGTACTAACAGCTTTGGAATGTTTTATGATGCCTTCTCTTTGTACCATTTAAAATCATCCAGTGGTTTCCTTGCTTTGGGAAACACTGACATAGGTGATGGTGTGTACATTTTACAAATGAGTAAACTGAGTCTTAGGGAAGAGGAAATTTGTTCGAAGTTGAACCAGTCCCACAGGCCTTACTGCCTAGGTACCCCCTCCTTACTTTTCTTTCTCTCCTTTCATCCTTCCTCTTGCCTCCCTGTCCCTGCCTCTCCTCTTTTCTTCCTCATCCTCTAAGAGAATTCAGCTAACTCCAGAGTAGTGTAGAGATTTTTAGATGTGTTTTTCTGATCTTTTTTTTTTTTTAATTTAACTGCTGTGAGATAGGATTTCATCTTTAAAAACTTAGGTCTTTCTTAAAACATTGTGTTTCTTAGTGCTTAGTGAATTTCAGAAGTTGGGTGTAAAATATATAGTAATTTTGTAGGTACTTGTACCCCTACATAAATGATTTATTGAAATAACTGTAAAGACATCATAAACATTCCCTTGCCTCCTCATTAGATAATGTTGGAAAAGTGAGCTTGAGAAAAGATATTGCCAGCAGTTTTTGAAACAGATGTTATCTCAAGTGCATTAAAGGACAATTTCTTTGACTTTTATTGCGTGTTGTAGTTTTGTAATTTATATTAATAATTATGTTTAATTACCATTTTATTGTGTTCTATTGGAAACAATAGGTAGCTGATGTAACTTTACCATAATTGAAGCCTAGATTATAATTTGATTTTTAAAAATTTTATCCTTTTAAAAAAATTGATTGTTTAATTTTAATTTGATTTTATCTTTAAAACTTTTTGAATAAGAAAAAAACCTATTGTCATTTTTTCTTATTTAATTTTTTTGTTTGTTTGAGACAGAGTCTTGCTCTGTTGCCCAGGCTGGAGTGCAGTGGCGTGATCTTGGCTCATTGTAACCTCTGCCTCCTGGGTTTAAGCCATTCTCATGCTTCAGGAGCCCGAGTAGCCAGGATTACAGGTGCATGCCACCATGCACAGCTAATTTTTGTATTTTTAGTAGAGACAGGGTTTCACCATTTTGGCCAGGCTGGTCTTGAGCTCCTGACCAAGTGATCCGCCCACCCCGGGCTCCCAAAGTGTTGGGATTATAGGCGTGAGCCATCCTGCCCTTCTGTTTTATTTAATTTTGTATTGTGACAATAGCTTCTTCAAATACAAAAGGAGGAATTTTGTAATCCTGTTGTTTAAAAAGTTTGTTCCACTAGTTACTAAAAGAAAAAAATTCAGTTCCGAATTATTTTAAATAGCATCCTTAAAATTCTTCATGGAAACACTTTGTACTTTGAAAGAAATTGAGGATTTTTTAAAGAAATTCCAGTTATGGTAATTTTCCTATTTCTAATTTATTGTACTTTGTCTATGCTAGCCATATCTCTGAACATTTACTGTGGATTCTTGATAAATCATCTTGTGAAACCCGTTTCTAATAGATTTTTAATCCCAGGCACCAGACTCATGTAGTGTATGGCACACCCCACTTGGTTTAATTGATATTTTAGTAAAATTTTTCTGATACTTGGGTATAAGCTAGAATATATAATTCTTGCTCGGTGACACTTTGATTCCAGGGTCTCAATCCAGAGCTTAGCTCAGGGTAAGGAGGTTTGTCAGCATGCCTTGGTATGAAGTAATGAAGTAAGGAGGACTTCCAGCCAGGAGTTTCGAATGTTATTGTCAAGCTCATATGTGCTCTATCTAGAAGAATTTTTACCATTTAAATTGTAAATCACACACACAAAAACTTAATTTTTCTCTCGTTCTTAGAGGATATGTTGAACTGTTTATGTTCTTGTTAGAAAGTTTTGGTCTCAACTGATTTCTTCGCTGAGTTGTGATTTAACAATTATATTGATGTGCAGTATTAGCCTAATTAGTACTTGGGTGTGACTAGTGTCTTTCTCTGAAAATTTTGTCGTTAATGGTTTGCCTTTCCTTTTTTCTTGAGCTGAAATTTATTGTGTGCCCACTGTGTGATAATTACATGCAGCAACCTTATAAGGAGAGTAACATTATTTTCATTTTGCAGATGGGAGGAACAACTTAAGTGACTTGGCCCCCTAAGTGGGAGAGATGGGACTCAGACCCAAATGTGTCTGATCCAGGGCTTACACTCTTGGAATCTGAGCACTAGCTTCTGGTAGAGGATACAAAGGGCCATTTGTACCTTAAGGAGTCTAGTATTTAGGAGACTGTGTTTTAATGGTAGATGCAAGAATTAAAGCCAGACTTCAATTTTAGCCGTGGAGACAAGTATGGTCTTTGAAAATTGCTTGTTTAAAAATCTTGACTTTTTTTTTCCTTAACTGGTCATGATTTTTATTTATTTATTTATTTATTTTTTTGAGACGGAGTTTCGCTCTGTCACCCAGGCTGGAGTGCAGTGGCGCGATCTTGGCTCACTGCAACCTCCGCCTCCTGGGTTCACGCCATTCTCCTGCCTCAGCCTCCCGAGTAGCTGGGACTACAGGCGCCCACCACCACGCCCGGCTAATTTTTTGTATTTTTAGTAGAGACGGGGTTTCACCATATTGGCCAGGCTGGTCTCGTTCTCCTGACCTCGTGATCCGCCTGCCTCGGCCTCCCAAAGGGCTGGGATTACAGGCGTGAGCCACCGCGCCTGGCCTATTTATTTATTTTTTAAAGATGCCTTTATGTATTTCTAAGGAGAAGAGCAAAGTCCAAAGCCAATTTGTGATGTTGGAGAAAGATGCTGTTGTGAGGTTTAGGACAAATCCTTGCCAATGGGGAGACAAGGAAGCAAAGAGACCCTTGCTTAAAAATGCTGGCCCTGGGCATGTGACATGGAAGCAGAACTCCATGTGGAATGGGAGAGACTTTTGATCCTTAATGCCTTTTAGGAAACAAAGCAAAATAGCATTAGGCTCTTAAATACTATTTGATACAAGATGAAGAGTGAATAATATAAACTAGAAACATGAGAGCCTTAACATGGTAGGGACTGAAAGTAACCAATGTGTCTATACAGTCTCAATTTCCAGGTCAGCTTGTATTAAAGTTTGCCTTGCTGACCTTACAAATACGTTCTTCTCATTTGATATCCTTAGTATTTACTTTTTGAATAGTATGGTCACTGTGACTTATTCAGGAATGTGAGGCATATTCAGAGAGAAGATTGTTAAACTCAGAACAGCTGTATACCAAATAATCATCTCTTACTCTGGAAGTCCAGTTGAGCTGTGGGGAAGTAGGGATGCAATTCTAACCTTATGTTTGTGCTAATGTATGTTAATGCTAGAAGAGGAACTTCTAAGCCTGTGGAACTTATAATAGGTATCAAAAACTGTAAAGAAACATGCGTTATGTAAGAGTGTGATTTTAGCGGGGCAGGGTATACTAGTATCTGTAGTGCTTTAACAAGCTGGTGTGATGGTGTGCATCTATAGTTCCAGCTACTGGGAAGGCTGAGGCAGGAGGATTGCTTGAGTCAGAAGTTCGAGGCTGGAGTGCATTATGATTGTTCCTGTGAATGGCCACTGCACTACAGCCTGGGCAACATAGCGAGACCTGTCTCTTAAAAAAAAAATACCGTATTTATTTTATTGATTGGGTGATCTGAGATCTGAATGGTTGACCCAAAGGTCAATTTTCACATGAATACTGCAACCTCATGAAGAAGCTGACCTCTCAGTAATAGCACTGGGTGATGACTTAGTAAAAGGTCCTATTCCCTAAGTGTGTGCAGAATGGAACACTTTCCCTAAAGCTGCTGCAAAGTGGTTTAGATTTTTTAAATTAAGAAGTCTTTTCTGAGTCTGTTTATATTTGTGTTTTGGAGGGTTTCCAATTATAATAATGGGTAACTCTTTTTTTTTTTTTTTGAAATGGAGTTTCACTCTTGTTGCCCAGGTTGGAGTGCAATGGTGCGATTTTGGCTCACTGCAACCTCCGCCTCTCGGGTTCAAGTGATTCTCCTGCCTCGGCCTCCTTAGTAGCTGGGATTACAGACATGCGCCACTACACTCGGCTAATTTTGTATTTTTAGTAGAGATGGAGTTTCTCCATGTTGGTCAGGCTGGTCTCAAACTCCCTACTTCAGGTGATCCGCCCGCCTTGGCCTCCCAAAGTGCTGGGGTTACAGGCGTGAGCCACCGCACCTGGCCAATAATAGGTAACTCTTACTGAACATTTGCTATATGCTAGGTACTGTTTTGAGTACTTATATTTATTTCATTTAATACTTACAACAGCCCTGTTAAGTTCTTTTTTTTTTTTTTTTGAGACAGAGTCTCGCTCTGTCGCCCAGGCTAGAGTGCAGTGGCGCGATCTCAGCTCACTGCAAGCTCCACCTCCCGGGTTCATGCCATTCTCCTGCCTCAGCCTCCCGAATAGCTGGGACTACAGGCGCCTGCCACCGCGCCTGGCTAATTTTTTTTTTTGTATTTTTAATAGAGACGGGGTTTCACCGTGTTAGCCAGGATGGTCTCGATCTCCTGACCTCGTGATCTGCCTGCCTCGGCCTCCCAAAGTGCTGGGATTACAGGCTTGAGCCACTGCGCCCGGCTTAAGTTAAGTTCTTTTGTTCCCATTTTTAGATCGGGGAAATGCCTATGGGACCACAATTAGTGTTTAAATCACAGGAATCCTACAAATGTTATTCCCTTTAAACAATTTCTCCTTTCTGTAAAATGGGGGCTACAGTGGGATGGAAGAGATTAGGAATGATTTATAGTTTATCCTTCTAGTTTTTTTTAAAAAATCTAAGAATCTTGATAACCCCTTAAGGGTTCCTCAAGTGTTAGCATTGTATGATTTGTACCCCCTATTATACACAACTGCAACTTTTGATAAACTCATGGACTTTAGAGCTGAAAAATGATGCTAAGAAAATTGATCTTTCACTGAGGAGAAAATCTAAGTACAGAGGGAGTAGATCACTTAGCCTTATACAAATGGCTTATTAATACTGAAGCAAGGCATCTTGCCTAGTATATCACTTTATTGATATCTTAATATTAGAAACTTGCTTTAACATCAAAGTTGGTATATTTGCATCTCTGTATAAAGAGAGTTTGCAAATAGGAATTTAGGTGTTATCCTTTTCAAGCTTTGGGGTGTTTCGAGGAAATAAGGTTGCAAAAAGTAGCTTTTCAATTGTTGGATTTGTTTATTTCTGTAATTTGGTGCTATTAATGTATGCTAAAAAGTTGAAAAGGGGAATCAAACAGGATTTTTGAGTGGATTAGGAAATTAAATTCCAGGAAGAGAGAGGAGCAGTCATAATAGTCTAGGATTATAGGGTGATTAGATGCCTTGAGCTTGATCTAGGGATATTTGAGAGAGAATGAAAATGTCCTGGTGATTGACTATATTATTCGAGGGGACTGTTGGGAAGGGTGGTAAAGTGGGAGCCCAGGAGGAGTCTTTGGGGATCTCTGGCTTGGGGGATGAGAGTTGGTGGTACCTGGAACCTGAGTGAAGAACACAGGAGAAAGAGGATTCAAAGAGAAAATAATAGGTTCAGTTTGACATGTTGAAATTGATGGAGCCTATGGGTTATTTATCCTGGTAGACATTGACAATAGACATTTGGATAGATGGGTCTGTGGTTCAGGAGAAGAGTCTCATCCAGAATTGAAAGTTTGGGGGAGAGGGGAATCATCAGTTGGGAAGTGTAAGTGAAAGTGTATGTGGATGAGACCATCCAACCTAGGATGAGAAGGTTGTGTGTGTGCTGGGATAGGCCTTTCTTGCCTGTGAGGACATTTAGTAAAGAACATGTCAGGCTGGACGTGGTGGCACATGATTGTAGTCCCAGCTACTCGAGAGGCTGAGGCGGGTTGGGTTGATCCCTTGAGCCTGGGAGGTCGAGGCTGCAGTGAGCCATAATTATGCCATTGCACTGTAGCCTAGGTGACTAAGTGAAACTCTGTCTCAAAAAAAAAAAAAAAAAAAAGTCAGACAAGGTCTGTATAATCATCTGTAAGGATGTGACTGCTTCTAGGGGAAATAGTTGCCAGCAGTGGAAGGACATCCAAAAGATATGTATGGCTGAGTATTATTGATAATGTGTCTGTATTTACATTCTTTCTTTCCTCCCTTACTAGTCTGATTCAAGTGCCATTTTGTCATTAACTTTTTTCTAGTTTTCCCTAAGAAGAAATAAATAGTGTGACCACTGCTGTTAATGTCTCCATTAGGGCATTTACTTCAAAAGTCCTTGTATCCAGTCAGTTTTCTATTTTCTATGCTAGATTTTAAGAATCTAGGGGTAGCCAGCTTTACTCACCTATTTTTCCAATGCAGTCTGGGATAGCAGCCTATACATGGAAAACACTAGGTAAATATTTGTTGAATTTGATTTTAGAATATAGGAAAGTTTAGCATCTAAAAAAAAGGAGTTTTTTCTCCCTTAGTCCTATTTTGTAGAGTATCTTTTGTATTTATGTTGTGCTATAAATACTTGGTTGTTGCTCTTCTGTCTTAACTCACCAGGTTTGAATAGTTTTTAAAAATTTCTTTTGGAATTATTGTTTTTTTTTCTTTTTCCTTTTTTTAGACGGAGTCTCGCTCTGTTGCCCAGGCTGGAGTGCAGTAGGCAATCTTGGCTCACTGCAACCTTTGCCTCCCGGGTTCAAGTGATTCTCCTGTCTCAGCCTACCAGGTAGCTGGGATTATAGGTGCCCACCACCATGCCCAGCTAAGTTTTGTATTTTTAGTAGAGATGGGGTTTCACCGTGGTGACCAGGCTGGTCTTGAACTCCTGACCTCAGGTGATCCACCTACCTGGGCCTCCCAAAGTGCTGGGATTACAGGTGTGAGCCACTGTGCCTGGCACAGAATTATTCATAGGTATGATTAACTAGCTTTGCTTCAGATTTGAAAGATCCTGGGATGAAAGGTTAAAGATGTATTTCTTTGTTGCCACACAATGGATTTCTGAAGCTGGGACGTGGGAGATAGTACTGAGCTTTAAGCATTCATGACTAGTATGTAAGAAAGATTAGTGCCCAGAATTGTGTTTCTAATAAGATAGTAATTTAAAAGTCATTTAGAGAATGGTAGTTTTTTTTTTCCCCTTCAGTTGAAGCTGTTGATTGTAGACAGTTTAGCCAAATCATTTTGTTTTTAGGATTTTTTTTTTTTTTTTTTTTTTGAGACAGAGTCTGGCTCTGTCGCCCAGGCTGGAGTGCAGTGGCGCGATCTTGGCTTACTGCAACCTCTGCCTCCCGGATTCAAGCAGTTCTCCCTGCCTCAGCCTCTTGAGTAGGCAGGGAGAATTGCACAGGCATGCACCACCATGCCTGGCAATTTTTTGTATTTTTTAGTAGAGATGGAGTTTCCTGTGTTGGCCAGGCTGATCTTGAACTCCTGACTTCAGGTGATCTGCCCGCCTTAGCCTCCCAAAGCTAGGATTACAGATGTGAGCCACCGCACCCGGCCTGTTCTTAGGATTTTTTTTTTTTTTTTTTAAGACAGAGTTTCACTCTTGTTGCCCAGGCTGGAGTGCCATGGCACGATCTTGGCTCACTGCAACCTCTGCCTCCCGGGTTCAAGCGATTCTCCTGCCTCAGCCTCCCAAGTAGCTGGGACTACAGGCATGCGCCACCATGCCCGGCTAATTTTGTATTTTTAGTAAAGACGGGGTTTGTCCATGTTGGGCAGGCTGGTCTCAAACTCCCGACCTCAGGTGATCTGCCCGCCTCAGCCTCCCAAAGTGCTGGGATTACAGGCGTGAGCCGCTGTGCCCTGCCAGGATTTTTTTAATGTATGTTTCTGTTTATAAAAACAATATATTTTAATCAGAAAAGTAGAATGGAGGAAGAAAAATTAGTTATACTAAGAGATAATCACTAAGAGAAAATGGACCAAAGTGTTTTTTTTTTCATGTATATATGTATTGGAATATACCTGAGCTCATTCCAAGAATACAGTTTTACATTGTATTTTTAATATGGTATTTGCCCTTTGTAAACTCTTGGAAAACATTTATAGTGTTCGCAAAATATTCCATTGAATAAGTGTACATAATTTAATCATTTTCCTGTGTTTGAATTTTTAGATGGCCTCGAGTTTTGTACTATTTTCTGTATTTCTGATTCTTAGGATAGATTCCTAAGATTGATCCAGAGGGATAAACATTTTCTAGGCCCTCATGCATCCATCTTCCCTTTTTATATGGAGATTTTAAAGAAAATAAGGAAAAAGGTACATTCTGCCACATGTGGGACATCTCTTTGGTGGTATCTGCACCTTACTAATGGATTTCCTGAGCAGAGCTGGCTACTTCTCTTCCATCAAACCATCTGTTGAGGATGGTGTGGGGCACTTTCTGAAATGACTTTGAAAGCTCTCTGACCATGTTCAAACAAACTCCTTGATCAGTAAGACTTTAGTCAGTCTTCACAATGACAATGAACAAATAAAAACATCTTCACTTCCCTCAGTAGCTGCTTCTGACAGGCATCTTGGATTTTTCAGGAGGTGACTTGTAAATGGGCTCAAGTAAGGTGTGGTATTCTTCTTGGACGTTGAGGTCCTGCTGTTATGGGAGCATCAGGGTTGCTCTTTGAGATTATGCTAAGTTCCCATCCATCCGGCTGTTGCAGAACATGCACTGCGCAAAGGTAGGGTTTTATTAGTCAAGATGCTTTCAATAGAAGTTCTCTTGTTTTGACTTTTGTGGCTCTTTCCATGTAATGGAGTACAATGATCTGTTTAGATCTATAAAATGGAGACAATAGTAGCTATTTTTCAGTAAGAATTCATGTAAAGTGTCAAGCTGATGCCTGGTTTATAGTAATAGATTCAATAAATGGCAACTGACAGATTATTGTATACATTTTCTTATATTTTTCTGTATTAAGTATTTTGCATTTTGAAATTTCTTTTCTTTTCTTTTTTTGTTTGAGACAAGGTCTTGCTCTGTCACTCAGGCTGGAGTGCAGTGATCCTGGCTCACTGCGGCCTCAACCTCCCAGGCTCAAGTGGTCCTCCCACCTCAGCCTCCCAAGTAGCTGGGACTATAGGTGCATGCCACCACGCCCAGCTAATTGAAAAAGACAGACATATTTTTGTTGTTGTTGTAGAGGTCTCACTATATTGCCCAGGCTGGTTTTCAATTCCTGAGCTCAAGGGATCCTCCTGCCTTGGCCTCCCAGAGTTCTGAGATTACAGGCGTGAGCCACTGTGCCTGGCCTTGAAATTTCTTAACCTCCAAGACAAATGAAGGATTATCAACAGTCCCTTTTGTTCCTCCAGAGAACCAAAAATTGCAAATGAAAAATGCCAGAGAATCATCAGTACGTGCAGTTTTCTGAGAAATGCCTGTGCTGTAATTCCATAGAAACACTAATGACCTCTGACTCATCAGACTGAATTGCCTTCCTAAACCGTTTTCACCTTTTGATTCTATAGCTACAGCCTTGAAAGCTGTGTACTGTCTTTATTTTTTAAAAATGTTTTAAAATTGAAATGTCATAATCTTGGGCTGGCTTTTCTGCCTTCAGTCTGGTTTCAAGGCTGTAATTGCAAAGCTAGAAGCCGGAAAAACTATATGAAAGGTGATGTAGGTTGATCAGATGGAAGTTATTAATGTTTCCATAGAAATATAGACACTCGTGTACTGCATTTAAGCTGAGCAAATACATGGGCATAGTATCCCCCTAAGATTTCATGTTTAAGAAAATTACATTAGGAAAAGGGTATTGTTTTTGTTGCACTTTTAAAAATGTGACCATGACATTTGTAGGTGGAGAAAAGAGCTACTACTTAAAGCTCTACCAGATAGCTTTTGCTATATGGACTTGTGGTGCTATGTTTCTGCATTCAAAAGCATTTTCTGTTATTCTTTAAGTATGGTTTGTCAAGCTGCCTGTGAGAAACAAAAGCTAATGGCCCAAGTGGCATCCCACTCACTGGATAGAAAAGCAAGAGGCAGGTGTGAATTTAATCAGCCAATCCAAGAAAAGTGTTCCTGTATCTGCCTAGGTCTGGAGCTGCTTGCAGGCTGCAGATATGGCTGTAAGGCAGGCTGTGTAGTTCATGTTTGTTACTTCCCACCACCAAAATAAAGCTGCATTCCTTCTCAGCCTCATGCCAAAGCCATTCATTGTACCAAAAGGAGACTAGAAGATAGAGTGGAGGAAGGGCCCCCCCAAAGGGAAGTTTCTAGAATCTAAAGGAGGTCTATGGATGGCTAGCCATGTGTGTTTTGGCTGCCTCAACAAAGCTCTTTTATTTCTATTTTTAATTTATTTTTTATTTTTGAGACAGAGTCTCGCTCTGTCATCCAGGCTGGAGTGCAGTGGCACCATCTCGGCTCACTGCAACCTCTACTTCCCGGGTTCACGTGATTCTCCTGCCTCAGCCTCTTGAGTAGCTGGGACTACAGGCGCGTACCACCATGCCTGGCTAATTTTTTGTGTTTTTACTAGAGACGGGGTTTCACCGTGTTAGCCAGGATGGTCTCCATCTCCTGACCTCGTGATCCGCCCACCTCAGCCTCCCAAAATGCTGGGATTACAGGCGTGAGCCACAGTGCCCAGCTGCTCTTTTATTTTTTATTTTTATTTTTATTTTTTGAGACGAAGTTTCGCTCTTCCTGCCCAGGCTGGAGTGCAGTGGTGCGATCTCGGCTCACCACAACCTCTGCCTCCTGGTTCAAGCAATTCTCCTGCCTCAGCCTCTCGAGTAGCTGGGATTACAGGCATGCGCCACCACACCCGGCTAATTTTGTATTTTTAGTAGAGACGGGGTTTCTCCATCTTGCCAGGCTGGTCTCAAACTCCTAACCTCAGGTGATCTGCCCACCTCGGCCTTCCAAAGTGCTGGGATTAGAGGCGTGAGCCACCGTGCCCGGCCTCTTTTATTTTTTTAAAACTCCTTGTGCTTTTGGTTTTCTGGTTGAAATTTTAGAGCCCCTGTATTGAAGTAATGAGAGTTGGGCTGTTACTGACAAACTTCCTAGGTGTACATATATTTTCAGTCACTGTTGCCTATAGGATAAAAACCAAAAACTCTTCATGTATGACAGTTGAAGGTCTTTATGATAAGGCCCTGCTGAGATTCCAATCAAGTCAAATTACCAAGTAACATTCTGTTTTTTCTCTCTATTTAGTGCTTTCACATGCTGCTTCCTCTAAATATGTTTCTCAAATAGCCCTGTTTGCCTGGTGAATGCCTGTCTCCTCTCTGTGCTCCTGGCTCCATGATTGCTGCTTCTCTTCTCCCTGATATCGATCATGGCTACCGAGCACTTTCACTGACCTCAGTGCATCATATCATTGAGTACTCATAATCGACAGATGAGGAAATTGGCCCAGAGGGTGAAGTCATTTCCTAAGCTAACACAATTAGTAAGTAATGGTGCCAGGACTCAAACCTATTCTGAAATAAAAATTTATGCTCTTTCTACTCTGCACTGCTTCCCAGTGTATCATGTCCATCTGTCCCATAGTGTTAATTTTTTCGAAAATATTGTTTCAACTTTTTTCTTCAGTAGGCTTTAATCTTTTTAAAAATTGTGGTAAAATATACGTAGCATAAAATTTACCATTTTAACCATTTGAAGTGTACAACTTAGTGGCATTAAGTGCATTTGCATTGTCAGGCTCTACAGTTATTTTTGTCTGCTCTGTACTCCTAGAGACTATTAATTCTCTGTAGTCAGTCTTATTCATATCTCTACCTTCGAGGCCTCTGGCCTGTTACAGTATGGGTAGATACTTAATATTTGAAGGAGTAAGTGACTGCATTTGCAGGCTGATGGACCTATTCTTATAACAGCTGACACAGCTATAAATTGGCTAGTAAATAATACTGGCCTAAACATTTCCATATTTTATTTTTTTAAGCATGTATATCCAAAACATGTGGTGTGACAAATTTACAAAGAGGGACGACAACTATGTTTTCACTGTTTCATAGCCACCAGCCTCATACGGCCATTTAAATTAAGAGTAAAGTTAAAAATTCAGTTCCTCATTCACGCCAGTCACATTCCAAGTACTCATTGGCCACATGTAGCTAGTGGCAACTGTATTGGACAGTGTAGATATATGACATTTTCGTCATTGTAGAAATTTCTATTGGACAGTGCTTATCTAGGCTTTAAAAGTTGAGAATAGTGAAATTGTTCTCTTGAAATTTGTTATTTTGGCAAGAAATTCATTGTAGTGGCATTGTAGCTTACCATTATTGTCTTCTGGTGAAAGAAACAGTTCTTCAAACATTTATTGAGCTGCCTTTCCTGGGACATGTCTCAGGCCCAGGGCTGGGGTTATCTTTGGGGTTGAGACTAGATTTGACTGATCTAGTCAAGAGTTTTATTGGGTGCCAAATCATGATCACGGGAGACAAGGTAGATGGGAAACTGATACAGCTGACTAGAGGGGATTGGTCTAGGAAAGACCAGTGAATGACTGTTGTATATCAATAGAAAACCTGGGTAAAGATTTTTAACTTTTTCTTGGGGATCCTGGAAAAACAGACTTCTCTGAAACCTTGGGTTCTCTGAATTCAGGTTCTAGTGGTCCTGATCATGATATGGTTGTGGTGTGTAAAGCACAGGAACCTGTGGGAGCATAGAAGAGTCACACAGAATTCGTCAGAGCAATTTCAAGACCTATTTTGACCTTTGGCTTTCTTAGTCCTACAAGCCCTGTGTCACTGTATCTCATGTTTAAAACTATATAAGACTTGAATTGCAATTGACTAAGTGAAATAACGTTATCTCATATTTAATTAAAACATTTGAATTTCAAATTTGCAGATGTGTTTGTGTTTTGGATTTTGAAACCAGTCTTTTTCTTCCTCATAGGTCCCTGAAAAACTATAGTTTCAGCCATGTTGTTTGTAGTGCCTAACTCAGACTTGAGTGTTTGCAGGAAAGGGAGGGGGAAATTAGAGGAGACCTGACTTGAGTCCTTATGTCAGTGGTGAGTAAAGGTGGGCTCAGGTGGAGAAAATAGCATGTGTAAAGGAATTGAGGCCAAAGAGCGTGTTGAATTCTGGGAGCCACGATGTACTTCAGTGTGGATGGAGTATACACTGTTGGGTAGGATGCTATGAAAAGCAAGAGATAAAGTGGTTGGCAAATCATGAGAGACACATACAACTTCTGTTTTGTAGAAAGAGATAGTTGATTAGAATTGTAGAATTTTACCTTTTAAGGGCCTTAATCTTACATATGGGTTATTGAGGCTTCAAAAGAGACTGAGTAACTAGCAGAACGTTAACCAGAGTCCATGTCTCTGTTGCACTATATTGTCTTCCTACAGTCAAACTAAAACATTGCTTGAGTAACTCTAACACATTATAGAGTATAATTAGCTAGTGTTTCACACCTTAATTTGCTGACTGGTGATACTCAGAAGTTTATTTAAGTTTCTGTCATGGTAAATTTACAATTTTATAGTCAAAATATCAAAAAGGAAAAAGATCAGTGACATTTTAATCTCTCATGATAGCCAGTCACAATTTGAGGAATCAGTGATCATTTTCTTTTTGTCAAATGCCTTTTTGTCAAATGTGTGGTGGTGCACACCTGTAGTCTCAGCTACTTGGGAGGCTGAAGTAGGAGGGTTGCTTGGGTCCTAGAGGTCAAGGCTGCAGTGAGCCATGATCGTGCCACTGCACCCCAGCCTGGGCTACAGAAGCAAGACCTTGTTTAAAAAGCAAACAAAACGCCTATTTGGAGAAGAGCTTGTCAACTGGAACTTTCTCTTGTATGAAATAAGATTCCTAGACTTAGAGCCATTTGCTGATTACTTGCCATAAAGTAGATGATTTACATATATTCACCAAATCTCATGACAATTGAATGTGATGGTTATTTTTATCCTCATTCCAAGACATGGGTTTGGAGTAGTTAATTTGATAATAGCAAATCTGGGATTTGAATCTAATTCTAATTCATACCCATACCCTCGCCGCCCCCATTTTTTTTTTTTTTTTGAGATGGAGTCTCGCTCTGTTGTCCAGGCTGGAGTGCAGTGATGTGATCTGGGCTCACTGCAACCTCTGCCTCCCAGGTTCAAGCATTTCTCCTGCCTCAGCCTCCTGAGTAGCTGGGCTTATAGGCACCTGCCACCACCAAAATTAGCCCAGCTAATTTTTGTATTTTTGTATTTTTTTTTTTTTTAGATGGAGTCTTGCTTCGTTGTCTGGGCTGGAGTGCAGTGGGGTGATCCTGGCTCACTGCAACCTCCGCCTCCCGGGTTCAAATGATTCTCTTGCCTCAGCCCCCCGAGTAGCTAGGACTACAGCATGCGCCACCACGCCTGGCTAATTTTTGTATTTTTAGTAGAGATGGGGTTTCACTATGTTGGCCAAGCTGGTCTCAAACTCCTGACCTCGTGATCCTCCCGCCTTGGCCTCCCAAAGTGCTGGGATTACAGGTGTGAGCCGCTGCACCCGGCCCAATTTTTGTATTTTTAGTAGGGATGGGGTTTTACCATGTTGGTCAGGGTGGTCTTGAACTCCTGACCTCAGGTGATCCACCTGCCTCAGCCTCCCCAAATGCTGGGATTACAGGCGTGAGCGATTGTGCCCGGCCCCCGTGTCCTTTTTTCAGTACGCATTTATCTTCCTAGTTAAACTGAGGCAAGTGAATATAACCTTTGCAGTAACATTTCAGATTGCTTGTGTGCACACTGACTTGGTGATATCATCTTAGGAACCAATCTGTTTCTTGTCTCTCTTTTCCTTTTGAAAGCAATTTAAGTCACCATACAAAGACCCTGGATTTCTCAGAAAATTTCCTGGATTTCTCAGAAAATTTCCTGATCTGTTTAATATGTTGTATTCTGTGCGACAGGTGGGTTTGGGGGTATGTTTGTTTATTTATGAAGCTTAAGAGCCTGCTTTTCTTTTTGTTTTGTTTTGTTTTGAGACAGAGTCTTGCTCTGTTGCCCAGGCTGGAGTACAGTGGCGCGATCTCCGCTCACTGCAACCTCCGCCTCCCAGGTTAAAGCTATTCTCTTGCCTCAGCCTCCTGAGTAGCTGTGACTACAGGTGTGCACCACCACGCCAGACTAATTTTTGTATTTTTAGTAGAAACGGGGTTTTACTATGTTGGCCAGGCTGGTCTTGAACTCCTGGCCTCGTGATCTGCCCACCTCAGTCTCCCAAAGTGCTGGAATTACAGGCGTGAGCTACCACGCCCCGCCTAATTTTTGTATTTCTAGTAGAGATGGCGTTTTACCATGTTGGTCAGGCTGGTCTAGGACCCCTGACCTCAGGTGATCCACCGCGCCCAGCCTCTTTTTTTTGGTTTTTGAGAAGGAGTCTTGCTCTTTCCCCCAGGCTGGAGTGCAGTGGCATAATCTCGGCTCACTACAACCTCTGCCTCTGTGTTCAAGCGATTCTTCTGCCTCAGCCTCCCAAGTAGCTGGTATTACAGGTGTGCACTGCCATGCCAGGCTAATTTTTGTCTTTTTAGTAGAGATGGGGTTTCACCATTTTTGCCATGCTGGTCTCGAACTCCTGACCTCAAGTGATCCACCCACCTTGGCCTCCCAAAGTGTTGGGATTACAGGTGTGAGCCACTGCGCCCGGCCAAGATTCTGCTTTCTGCTGAACAACTCTGATTGCCTTTGAGTTGAATCTAATTGAATAAATCCAATTTAACGTACATTTGGGGTTACATCTAGCAGTGGTTTGGGTTCTTCTAGCTAAGAATCATTTTGCCAGCTAGATGTGGTTGCTGAGAATCTGGGCAAAACTCTGCTTGACAATAGTAGCTAGCTGTGGCCATTTCATTGCCTTGTGGTCAGTAGGTATGTGGTTTGTAGGTAAGATTAACATTGTTCTCCATATATCTTCAAGGCTCCTGCATTAGTGATGATCTGTAAATCCAGAGACAACATAATAGCAGTGGTCTCAGGACTAGGTCGAGGGAATGTAGATGTAATTACTGAATTTTATAATCAGGATCTTTGTGACCCTTGGAGGATTTTTTTTAGTGTGAATATAGAGTCTTTCCTCAGGAAGTAGCAAACATCTGGAATCACCACATCAAGCACTTTACAGGCTGAAAATGTAAAAGTTCAAGAACCACAGCAAGTAACCAAAGTGACATTAGTGATATTAGGGTTCCATCCCAGGTCTTTGAGGATGATGCCATGAATGGTTTAATAGTAACTCTGCTATAATCTACACTTTGCTTCCATAGACACAGCACTGAATTGGATGGACCCTAGAGATTAGTTAGTAGCAGCTTACATATATAGAGGTCTTACTTTGTCAAGTACTGTGCAAAGCCTTTATATTCACTGTGTCATTTAATTCTTTATTTTTTGAGACCTGGTCTCACTCTGTTGCCCAGGCTGGAGTGTAGTGGCACGATCATGGCTCACTGCATCCTCGACCTCCTAAGCTCAGGTGATCTCTACCTCAGCCTCCCAAGTAGGTGGGATTACAGGCATACACCACCACACCTGGCTAACTTTTGTATTTTTTTGGTAGAGATAGGGTTTCACCATGTTGCCCAGGCTGGTCTCCGACTCCTGGGCTCAAGCGATCCTCCTGCTTCGGCTTCCCAAAGTGCTGGGATTACAGGCATGCACCACTGTACCTGGTCTCATTTAATTCTTTTGACATCCCCATAAGGTAGGTGCTGTTGTTGATCCCAATTTACAACAAAGTTAGGGTCAATTCTCCTTGGATCATGTGGCCTTTGAATAGAAGTCTGCAAAGAAAAATCAGGGTGCCATTAACAGAAGTGGGGAGTGGTTGCTAGGCAGATAAAAGCAATAGATGTCCATCTTAAATATTTTACTTAGTATTTTCTTTGTTTTTGAGTCACCCTCTATTTTTGTTTGATCATTTACTTGAGTTCACAACAATGGGCACTTTCAGAAGGTACATTAGGCTTTGTCCTTTTTTGAGACTTCTAGTATAGTCCGTTCATTTAATGTCCAAAGTAGTCTGAGGCCCAGAATAGGGAGTCATATAACTAAAGGTGGCTTGAGTTAGAACCTAGGAGAGGTCTAACCTTCCCATTGTACCAGCCTGCTTTCCTGTACTTTTGTCCCGTTTTTGAGTCAATTTACATGAAGTGAATGCTTATTCTCAGTTTCACTTCTGGCATGATGTTCAACATTCAATCCGTGTGTAGTGATGAATTATTTTCTCATTGCCTGGTACTATGGTCTGAATGTTTGTGATCCCCCTGAATTCACATATTGAAATCCTAACCTCCAAGGTGATGGTATTAGCATGGGGGCCTTTTGGGAGGTGATTGTTCCATTATAAGAGAGACCCTAAAGAGCTCATTCTACCATGTGAGAACAGTGATAAGGTACCATCTGTGAACCATAAAATGGGCTCTCACTAGACACCAAATCTACCAGCATCTTGATCTTGGACTTCACGGCTCCAGAACTGTGAGACTTACTTTATGATATTTTATTATAGCAGTCTGAATGGACTAAGACACCTGGCATCTCTCCATGGCTTTTCTGATTCCCATTGCCTTTATGTAGAGGGGTTTAAAGCTGGTCTGAGATCAGCCACTTTAAGCAGCTTCTAAATTCTGGTATTTCAGATCCAGTCTCCTCATTTAGACTTTACACACACTATTCAGACTAGACTTAAGATTTCCTGATTCTATGACTTTCTTCCCTAGACTGATCTAGAGGCAGGGTTGTGTGTTCTGTTTAGTTGATCCTGCATTTCAGCACCTTCCATAATGTGTCCACAACTGTTCTGGCCAGAAGCAGCTCTGCAGATGGATAAGGCACAGTCAGTCCCTAGCCTTGAAGATTTCACTGTCTAGTGGAAGAAGCAGGTATTTAAACTATTCCTTTATTGTTTGGTGAATGCTGGTGAGGCCTCTTTTGTTTTCCATATTTCATTGTTGTGATATTGGAACTGAATCTTAAAGGATGAGTCATTTTTACCAAATGGAGGAGGAGGAGGACTCACAGAAAGGCAAGAAAGAATGTGGCATGTTTGGTGTGGTCAGAACAGCCCAGAATTGCAAAGGACTTTAAAAGTTGTGATGTTTAAGCTGGGCTTTCTGTAATCCCAGCACTTTGGGAGGCGAAGGTGGTCAGATCACTTGAGGTCAGGAGTTTGAGACCAGCCTGGCCAACAGGATGAAACCTGTCTCTACTAGAAATACAAAAATTAGCTGGGCATGGTGGCAGGTGCCTGTAATCCCAGCTGCTCAGGAGACTGAGGCAGGAGAATCGCTTGAAACCAGGAGGCGCGGAGGTTGCAGTGAGCTGAGATTGCATCACTGCACTCTAGCCTGGGCGATAGAGCAAAACTCCGTATCAAACAAAAACAAAGTCGTAGTGTTTAAGCAGTTGGCCTGCTGCATGAATCTCATTTCTCCCATATGACGGCTAGTTGTTGGTCTGGCTTTTGGTCACCCAGTTTTGACAGAAGTTACTTTCATACCCCTCTAGTCCTAATTTTGCTTCTTTTTTTTGTTTTATTTTTTGAGACAGCGTCTCGCTCTGTTGCCCAGGCTGGAGTGCAATGGTTCAATCTCGGCTCACTGCAACCTCCACCTCCCAGACTCGAAAGATTCTCCTGCCTCAGCCTCCCGATTAGCTGGGATTGCAGCCAAGCACCATCATGCCTGGCTAATTTTTGTATTTTTAATAGAGACAGGGTTTCACCCTGTTGGCCAGGCTGGTCTTGAATTCCTGGCCTCAAGTGATCAGCTCGTTTTGGCCTCCCAGAGTGCTGGGATTACAGGCATGAGCCACTGCACCCGGCACCAAGATCCGATATTTCTGAATTTACTGGTGAAATACTACAGTTGTTTACTGAACAGCTACTCCGTGCTAGGCTTGTGAGAGGTAATGGGGTTAAAGCTGTAAAACAAGGCAGGTCGGATCCCCGCCCTCATGGAACAGTCTCATTGTGGTCAGACGCTGAACAAGTAGTTCCTTGTTGATGAGTGCTAGAAGCAAGCACAGGTGTTAGAGATAATTATAAACAGGAATTTGACCTTGTGTGTGAGACAAGGGTGAAAGAGGCAAGAGAAAACTTTTCTGAGGAAATATTTAAACTGAGGAAGAGTAGAAAGCAAACAGAAGAAAGTATGCAGCCATTTCAGGAAAAACAAAACCTTTCATCAACGATGTATAGAGGACGTACTATGTTTGCCATTCCTTGTGCTTGATTTATCTCTCCAGTGTGTTAGTTATATACCAGCCAGACAAATATAGCTCATACTTTTTGGGTCTGAGCATATGAAATGTGAAGTGTGCTCTGAGAGGTATTTATTCCAACCTGAATAGCATACTTATTAATGGAAAAATTGCTTTCATTTGTTTGTGTAGGTAAAATTCTTCAGCATTTGTGAAAAATTTACATGATATTACACTGTCTGATATTGTTGTTAATATTTTACATACTTTGCTTTCTTTTGGAAAAGAATTAGCAGTGTTAAATAGAATATGACAGGTATTAAATGAATTGTAATTTTCCTGTGAATTTTTATTCCAACGGACATTGCCATGATAACTCATAATTACTTGTGCTGTTGTATATTGAGCTCCTACTGTGTGGCAAGGCCTATGGTAAGCATTTTATTTTGGTAACTTGTTTAATCCTCATTACAATTCTGTGGTAAATGCTATTATCTGTTTTTATATTGAAGGGATGAAATGGAGGCTCAGAGGGATATGTAGTAGCTAAATGTTAGAGCTAGGATTGAAACCCAAATTGACTTCTGAGTATAGATTTCCCCCCAACTGTATGATACTTCATATTTGGAGTCAGCTTGAAGTAATTCACAAATTGTAATTTTTTTTCCTATTGTTTTCTCTTTAGGTTTCTGTCAGGATGAATTGGCAGAGCTTGACCCAGGCACTAGTAAGTTCTCAATGTTACCCAATATTCTTTGGTAAGAAAAGGATGTGTGTGTACACTTTTAAGTGAATAACTTAAGGTGTCATTGATAAGCCTTACTTTATTGACTCTCAGATTTTATTTCACTTTAATTTGTAATTATAGGAAGGGCACTCTGTCTTTTCTAGTTATGCTTTCTTCTGATATTATTCAGTGGCCAGGATCTATCTGTTTAATAGAAAGTTGGTTTGCTGAAAATTTCTGTTTAACACCAGTCTCCTTGCTTTGTTCTCCATCCTTCCATGAAACCAACAAAAATAAAAATTGTACTTTGAAGCCAGGCGTGGTGGCTGACGCCTGTAATCCCAGCACTTTGGGAGGCTGAGGCGGGTGGATCACCTGAAGTCAGAAGTTCAAGACCAGCTTGGCCAACATAGTGAAACCCTGTCTCTACCAAAAATACAAAAATCAGCCGGGCGTGGTGGCGGGTGCCTGTAGTCCCAGCTACTCGGGAGGCTGAGGCTGAAGAATCGCTTGAACCCGGGAAGTAGAGGTTGCAGTGAGCCAAGAACATGCCATTGCACTCCAGCCTGGGTGACAAGAGCAAAACTCCACCTCAAAAAAAAAAAAAAAATTCGTACTTGCATTTATGCACATGGACAACTGTATACTCACAAACACTTCTAAAGTATTGATAGTTTTGAAATAATTTCTTTAAAAGAAGCATTTTGCTTAGTTTAGAAATTATAATTGATAACCTTTGTAGTACAGTTTAATTTTCATTTACGGTCTTATGGTTAAGATATGAGAGTTACCATTTCAAGGTCTAATTAAATGATGCTTTTCAGGACTATGTGAGTCTTCATCATAGATAATCATTTGCATTTCCAGTTCTTCCTAAATGTGGTGGCGTGCACCATTCTGGGACACATAGTCATAATGGTTAGAAATAGGACATGGGAGTATCCAGTGTATACAGACCTTATTTTGCTATAATGCCGAAAGGTCAAATGATAATTTAGATTGAGATTCCATGAGATGGTCTAGAGTTATTTTTCTGATTGTAGTACTTTGTTACGGCTGGCTCTTTGCCACCAGTCTGCTGTTGAGATCAGTGATAAAGCTTACCTTTCCATCATCGTGAAGCTGATTCAAGCTCTGAGGTGGTGGACCTTCTCACATATTCGCCTCTGCCCTCCTTATTAGTATAAATGTCCATGTTGCAACTAATACTTATTAATTTTTAGGCAAAATAGTTCTCATGATGCTTATCAAACACCAGGGAAATATATTTGTCTTTTTAAAAGTTGTAAATTTCAGAATCAGTTTTGTATTAGATAGTATAGCCCCAGTATACCAGCAGCTATAGGTGTATATAGTACGGTTGACCCTTAAACAATGTGGGGGTTAGGGATGACAACCCCCTGCACAGTTGAAAGTCCACTTATAACTTTTGACTCCTCAAAAACTTTATTAATAACTTACTGTTGACTAGAAGCCTGGCCGATAACATAATCAGTAGATTAACATAATTTTGTATGTTATATGTATTATATTCTATATTGTTACAATAAAGTACACTAGAGAAGAGAACATGTTGTTAAGAAAGTCATAAGGAAGACAAAATATATTTACTCTTCATTAATAGAAGTGAATCATCGTTAAGGTCTTCATCCTCACCACCTTCATGCTGAAGGAGGAGAAAGAGGGGTTGGTCTTGCTCTTGAGTGGCAGAGGTGAAAGAGGTAGAGGAGGTGAAAGGGGAGGCAGGAGAGGCAGGCACACCTGGTATAACTTTTATTGAAAAAAGTCTGCGTAGAAGTGGACCTGTGTAGTTGAAACGTGTTATTCGAGGTCCAGCTGTGTTTTCTGTTCTCTTATGAGTAGCCTTTGCTTAGGGGAGGAAAAGATAAATTCAGTTATTTTTCTGGAGTCATGGTCCTTTCTTTTTTTTTTTTTTTCGAGATGGAGTTTCGCTCTGTCACCCAGGCTGGAGTGCAGTGGCACGATGTCAGCTCACTGCAACCTCTGACTCCCGGGTTCAAGTGATTCTTCTGCATCAGCCTCCGGAGTAGCTGGGACTACAGGCGTGCGCAACCATGGCTGGCTAATTTTTGTATTTTTAGTAGAGACGGGGTTTCACCATATTGGTCAGGTTTGTCTCAAACTCCTGACCTTGTGATCCGCCTGCCTTGGCCTCCCAAAGTGCTAGGATTACAGGCGTGAACCACTGCACCTGGCCATGGTCCTTTCTTAGAAGCATTTTTGAACACTAGGAAGGACATTGAGATGCCCTGTAACCTTTCAGACAACTACACATAAAACATGCTAGATAGTTGATAACTCAGTTTGTTAAGCACTGAGTGTTCTCTCTGCTCCACACCCAGTTCTCTAGACTCTAGGGATACACAGATAAATAAGTATAGCTCTTGTTCTTGTATGTTATCAGTGTGTTAGGAAATATTTGAAAGGACATTTTATAAACCTCTAGTTTAGCATTTAGTACCCAAATGTATTCTCTTTTTCTGCACCTAGTAGCAATTGAAAATGGTTAATGCCCATTTTCTGAGAAAGGTCCTTGATATTCTCAGAAAAATTATTGTTGAATTCTTCTTTCTGGGTTAAGTAATACCAGCTCATTAAACATTTCTTCATAAAATTCCTAGCTAGATATGGCAATTTATAGACCTCTCTATTCCATGAGAATGAACAGACATTGAGACATAATTTTATACATCAGTATAGAATAGGAGTCACCAAAAAAAAAAAAAAAAAAGACTAAAAAATTGTACTTACTGGCAGGGCATGATGGCTCATGCCTGTAATTCCAGCACTTTGGGAGGCCAAAGCGGGAGGATCATTTGAGCCCAGGATCAGGAGTTTGAGACCAGCCTGGGCAACATAGGGAGCCCCGTCTCTGCAAAGAAAATTTAAAAATTATCCAGGTGTGGTGGCATGTGCTTGTGGTCCCACCTACTTGAGAAGGTGAGGTGGGAGGATTGCTTAAGGAGGAGGAGGCTGCAGTTGAGCCATGATCACACCACTGCATTCCAGCCTAGGTGACACAGAGCAAGACCCTGTCTCAAAAACAAACCAAAAAATTTGTACTTAGCGTATGTGGGTAATATTCTCAGTAATTTCTATATTGGGAAGTTAGTAGTAGTTTAATCTTTCTCTTTGAAGAAATACATAAGGATCTGATTATTCTAGAAATAATTAGGCCAGGCGTGGTGGCTCACGCCTGTAATCCCAGCACTTCGGGAGGCTGAGGCAGGCGGATCACCCGAGGTCAGGAGTTCAAGACCAGCCTGACCAATATTGAGAAACCCCATCTCTACTAAAAAAACAAAATTAGCTGGGTTGTGGTGGCGCATGCCTGTAATCCCAGCTACTCGGGAGGCTGAGGCAGGAGAATTGCTTGAACCTGGGAGGTGGAGGTTGCGGTAAGCCGAGATCGTGCCATTGCACTCCAGCCTGGGCAACAAGAGCGAGACTCCGTCTCAAAAAAAAAAAAAAAAAATTAGACAAAATAAAATTTTATTTCAGTTTGTACCAGTTTTGGGGTTCAAATGAGCATGTTCAGCCCTACCAAGTGATAGGAAGCATCAAGACTGAGATGGGCTATGTGTGTTGTGTTAAATTGGCTGTGGTTTTTGATACTGCATATTCTGGGAATTCTGACTGGGAAAGAATAACATCTCCTATGTTAATTCCATTTGACTTTTGTTTATTTAATTTAATTTTTTTTGAGACAGGGTCTTACTCTTTTGTCCAAGCTGTAGTGCAGTGGCATAGTCATGGCTCACTGCAGTCTTGACCTCATGGGCTCAGGTGATCCTTCCACCTCAGTTTCCTGAGTAGCTGTGACTACATGTGCACACCACATGCCTGGCTAACTTTTGTATTTTTTTTCTCTTTCAAATATTTTTTATTGAAATGATAAAAAAAAGAACAGTGATCATTTTAACCGAACTTTTACTTTACAAATATAAAAATATAATCAAAACTTGTTTCTTTCATACATTTTCCATAAACATACCAGAAAAGTTCTCATAGCCAAACTGTAAATGATGCTTATATACTATGATGTGAACACAATAAACAAAAATTTAAATTTCCAAATACGTGACCTTTCCCTCAATAGAACAGCATAATCAATATATCTTCCCAACTTATCTCTATTTTTATGATACGATCCATCACTAAAATAGAAAATACACCTAAACTGGCTTAATCTAGACTTATCTAGGTTTTAGTAAGTTTTTTTCCCACTAAACAAGCTTAATAAATATAATACAAGCTAATATTAAAATGTGTTTTATGGCTCAAGTCAAATTACAATATTAAGTTTCTCATCACGTATTTGAACAACAAAGGCAAACTGCTTGAAATGAGTCCAGTTTAACCCAAATAATCAGTGATGGATAACAAGTGGAGTAAGTATAAGAAAATCAAATCTTATGCTACAGAAAGGTGACTTATACTACAGTCAACAACCACTAAGCCTTCTTTGGCAATGAAACATACAAAATTGCAAACTCTGAAGCAGTCTTAGTGATTGGTGCATACTCTTCCAAACCCTGTGAACTAGTAAAAACATTAAGTTTGAGGATGGAAAAACTACCCCAAGCATTTTCTCTCAAGTGACTGAGCAAGTACTTTATTTATTTATTTATTTATTTATTTATTTATTTTTTGAGGCGGAGTCTCGCTCTGTCACCCAGGCTAGAGTGCAGTGGTGCCATCTCGGCTCACTGCAAACTCTGCCTCCCGGGTTCAAGCGATTCTCCTGCCTCAGCCTCCCGAGTAGCTGGGATTACAGGCGCCTGCCACTGCGCCCAGCTAATTTTTCTGTTTTTTAGTAGAGATGGGGTTTCACCATCTTGGCCACGCTGGTCTTGAACTCCTGACCTCATGATCCACCTGCCTCAGCCTCCCAAAGTGCTTGGATTACAGGCGTGAGCCACCGTGCCTGGCCGCAAGTACTTTAAAAATGAAGTCATGGCTGGGCGCGGTGGCTCATGCCTGTAATCCCAGCATTTTGGGAGGCCAAGGTGGGTGGATCACGAGGTCAGGAGATCCAGACCATCCCAGCTAACACAGTGAAACCCCGTCTCTACTAAAAATACAAAAAAAAATTAGCCAGGTGTGGTGGTAGGCACCTGTAGTCCCAGATACTCGGGAGGCTGAGGCAGGAGAATGGTGTGAACCCGGGAGGCAGAGCTTGCAGTGAGCTGAGATCATGCCACTGCACTCCAGCCTGGGTGACAGAGTGAGACTATGTCTCAAGAAAAAAATAAATAAATACAAAAATAAAAATAAAAATAAAAAATAAAAATGAAGTCATTAGGCCAGGCATGGTGGCTCATACCTGTAATCCTAGTACTGTGGGAGGCTGAGGTGGGCAGATCATGAGGTCAGGAGATCGAGACCATCCTGGCTAACATGGTGAAACCCCGTCTCTACTAAAATGCAAAAAATAAACTGGCCATGGTGGCACATGCCTATAATCTCAGTTACTTGGGAGGCTGAGGCAGGAGAATCGCTTGAACCTGGGAGGCAGAGGTTGCAGTGAACCAAGATCGTGCCACTGCACTCCAGCCTGGGTGACAGAGCGAGACCCTGTATTAAAAATAAATAAATAAATAAAGTCATTAAAAAGCGGAGAGCATAAGAGTCACAATATTTAAGAAAGCGAATTTTAAGCCAATTGCTTGCTGGCCTGCTGAATTTGAAGTACTTCTATCTCTCACTTCTGATTAAACATGGAAGAAAACAGACTGGCTAATTTGGTTATACTTTGTCCAAATACAATGTTAACGTAATGGAACCCTTAAATATCCAAAATAATAACTGAATGCTAGTTATAATACAATAATAAAAAGTTTAAAAATCTTCCAAATGTGCTGTTAACAGTACAAATTCAAGTACAGAATTATTATGCCATTTTAAGTATTATCTACTTTATAAAAAAATCACAGTGGTCTTCATCACATGGCAAAAAAACAAATTTCACTCTTCTCCAAAGGAGTAAGGCCATCCTAAATGTAACTACAAACAATTGTGTAAAACTTTTTGGGTTTTTTCCCACAAGCTACTAAACATTTTCCATTGCACTATACTTGAATTACTCAGGGAAAATAAGATGACATATGTTGTAGTTTTGCAGTGCAAAAAAGAGCTTTCATTTTAGACGAATGGACAACATAGGAGGCACTAAAAAATACAGGTCTATTAATCAAGAGCCCATTTAAAAATGATTCAGCATTTAGTATGTAGATCTGGAATGCAGAGTTTCTGGAAGTATAAGAACTTACATATCAAAAGAGCTTAGTGTTAAACTGTGCCCTTATACCCTCTTCTAATATTGTAGACACCTGCCAGATTTGATTTCCCCTAGTTCTATTATTTCCATCAGAAAACCAAAAACAGATTATTGGGATCCACCTGTAACTGACCAGAGCAAAAAGTTTTTAACACTTGTTGGTGTGTTACGAATTTTACATTCAAAACCAGATCTCTTACATTCCAAGGTTAGTAACCCAGCCATCCTGAATCAAAGGTTTTTCTCAACTAGGCTTTAGTGTATGGATGACTGGCTCATGTATTTACTGTATATTGGGAAGAAGTGAAGAAGTGAGAAGAAGTGAAGAATTTCTTGGTCAAAGCTTAAGTTACAAAGAACATGAGTGGTCTCGAATTAGATGCCTCTTCAACTCAAACACTCCTTACTGAGAGGACTTTATAAAACAAGCAAAAAGTCTACCTCTCTCCACCCTCCCCAAATTGCAAAAGTGAAAATCTGAAATGTGGCCGATGTAGCTTTTCACTAAGAAGCAATCATGGAACGTGAGCTGAATCAATCCATCTTCATCTCCACTTCCTCCAATCTAAAGGTTTTGCTCCCCAATATAAAGGAATAGCTGAAGGATGCAGCTAACCGATGAACTTACCAGCAAAATACATTACATGAGAAATATGCTAATGTAGGCTAGAGGTGCAGGACAGTTAGGGGCAGGAGGGAGAAGGACAATTCACAGAACTAGTGGCTTTTTCAAAGGATTTTAGGGGACATTTTTGGTCATGGAGACTGGTGCTCACCTACCACTAAGGACATACACAGTTACAGTCACTACTTAACAACGATGTGAGGGTTTGACATGACCCCAACTAAAAAAACTTGAGTGTTTATGAATGTAATTACTGAGCTATACTTGGCCTGATTTCCTCAAGTATGATATGCCTTTGACATCACCCAATATTCAGGAAATTTTGCCCTGTGATTGGTACCATAAAAATGTAAGAACTAATCAAAAGTTCATTTCTGTTAAAAACCCTTCTTTTCCCTTAAGTAGCTACATCTGGCAAGATTCTCATTTACATTAAGCCTGTAGTCAACAAGTCTGTTACAAGGCATACACACTATACTTTGATCATTAAATAATGACACAACCAGCAAACTCCTTTGGTCTAACATTTTTTATTCCCTCAAATTTGATCCGAATTTGTCAGTATTTTAAAAAGTTTTTAAAATTTGGTATTTTTCTCTTAAGTTGACTAGAGACGAATTTTTGCCATGCTCTCCAGGCTGGTCTCAAACTCCTGGGCTCAAGTGATCCTCCTGCCTTGGTCTCCCAAAGTGCTGGGATTACCAGGCCGAGCCCCGCATGACTTTTGAGGATATTACAGATTTCCTTGTGTTGTATCTTTGGAATTTGGAGGCCCAAATATTGCCCCCCATTCCCCAGATTCCTGATAGGAAAGCCTGCTCACACTCCCTTATTTTGGAACAGGAAATACTTCGTTGCTAATTTCCAGTTGTGCATGGCAGTGGTTGTAGGCAGCAGGTTTGGGACAGCAGGTGTCATGTGGGAACTAGTTGAGGAAAGACTGACTTTGTCCAATTAAATGGCTTGGCTTTTTTTTTTTCTTTTTTTTTAAATACCTTTAGTGTGATAAAGCAGATGGGCAGCCATGCTCAGAATATGGGCAGCTGTTCACACTCTGGCTGCCTTCCTATGATTCCTGGACTTCCTGGAGTCCAATGTTATGGCACAGGTTCAGGCTAAGTTCATTTCTACAAGAAGTGTCCCTGTACCATGTCCATTAGCATAAGCTAGGGACAAGGGCAGTCAAAGGTCAAGAGAAGTTCAAAACAGCATAACCTTTCTGTGCTTCTGTTTCCAAATAACCCCTGTCTGCCCTGCTCCCCGAGTTTTTTCCTCGGCCGTCGTGTTTACCGTGTAGCTGTAAAACTCAAGAGAACAAGGACCGACTTGATACAAGGGAAGTTAGAGAATAGAAGTCATTGTTGCTTAAAACAGGAGAAATAATTGATTTATGTTTGGGGGCCAGTTAGGCTATAAAACAGGAACAGTAAAGGGACCTGTGACTTCAGGACTTGCTCTGATTTCTGTCCCATAGACAAGGGGCTTCCCAATAAAGGCTGTCAGCTTTCTAGGCTAAATTATTAATTCCTTTCATGCCTCTCAGGGATTGTAAACAGCACATAATAAAGGGAAACAGTTGATAGTGTTCGGTTACTGGCCAGATAGAGGGTCAAAGGGTAAATAGTTGGATTAGCAACAGCTGTTCTTCCTCGCCAAACTTTTTGTCTCTTATTATCTATTTCAGAAATACTGTTCCTGAATTTTTGGCTTACATATAATGAAGTCCATTTCTCCTCTTGTAACATAATCCTACAAGTAATTACACTGAGAGTAAACATTGACCAAAATTGAAAGTACTTACTTTAATTCAGTTTCCAAAGTTGAAGATTGAATTTTTTTTTTTTTTTGGTATGTGCTATGTTGTCTGATGTTCAAAGGATATAATCCCAAGGAAAGTACCTGCTTGAAGTTAGACATATTAGAAGCTTTTTAGCTGTGTGGTTTTTTTTTTTCTCTTTTTTTACCAGCTGGTTGAGGATCTTGGTGTAGCTTGATTAAAAGAAAAAAACATTGTTTTTGTTTAAACTGGTAGTAGAATAATGTATGGTTCACTATGGAAAACACTAAAAGAAAATAGAAGCATCTCTAATCCCACCACCTAGAAATAACCATTGCTTCACGTTTGAGAGTATGTCCTTCCAGGTTGTGTCCGAGCTCATCTTTTACATAATTAGGAATCTATACTATATATGCAATTTTTGTATCCTGTTTGTTTTCCCCCACTCTGTATTACATTGGGAACATTGTCCCAAGTCATGAAACGATTTTCACAAATGTTTTTAACGGAAGGATATTTCATTAAATAAGTAAATAGCTTTATCATGATTTATTTAACCATCCTCCTATTGTTGAGCATTTAGATTTTCAGTTTTTTCTGCATCATAAATAATGCCACAGTGAACACGTTTGTGTATAAATTTTTTGTCTGCATTTCGAATGAGTGCTTTAGTTTTTTTATGCAAGCCAAAGCTGCTCTTATAATTAAGAACATAGACTCTGGCTCAAGATTGCTTGGATTCAACTTGGCTTCACTGTAATCTTGGTTAAATTACTTAAACTCTCTGCCTTCCTTTTCTCATCTATGAAATGAGGACAGTAAAATGTATTTTTATTTTATTGGGTTGCTGTGAGGATTAAGTGAATGTAATATATTTAAAGTTTGGAATAGTGCTTGACAAATGGTAAATACTATTAAGTGTATACTGTTCTAGGCTATGTAGTATAATGTTGAAATTCTCAGTCTTTCTGCACTAATGGGCTGTTGAAACTGTTTTATTCAATTAAGCTGGCCTGTGTTTCTTAATGACACAAAGGTGTTGGCAGGTGTAAGTTACTGCTTCAAGTAAATAGTTCAGATGAGATTGGGCGTGTTCAGAGTGTATGACCATAGACTCAATTAAATAGTTCAGTCACAGGAATAGAAGAGCTCATATGCTGCTGACTCTTTTGGTCGGGACTTCTTTACCATCTCAGTGACTGTTAGGGTGTTTTGGTCCTCTTCCCCAGCCAATAGCAGGTAACCTCCCAAATGACCATCTGCCAACACATTTAACCTCTTAGGAGACTGAACATGTTAACCTTCTGCTTATTTAAAACAGATACTCGAATTACACACTTTCTTTTTGGTCAATAGCAAGGTCTTACAGAAAGCATACTGAAGAAAAAGTTTGTAGAATTTAAAATCTGACTATTACCATGGATTCCTGTTTACTCAGACTTTAAAAAATAAAGTATATTCTAATGATCAAGGACCTATATAAATGATATAGCATATATATAATGTGTATAATAAATAGTATGTATTAATATATAGTATATGTCACTATATGTAATATAGTGTGTATGTATATATATTTATATGAGTATTTTAAAAGAGACTTGAAAGTTAAGTGCTGGGTGTGGTGGGTCACACCTGTAATCCTAGCACTTTGGGAGGCCAAGGTGGACAGATTATTTTGAGCCTAGGAGTTTGAGACCAGCCTGGACAACATGATGAAACCCCGACTCTAGGCGTGTACCTGTAGTCCCAGTTACTTGGGAGGCTGAGGTGGGAGGATCACCTGAGGCCCTGGAGGTTGAGGCTGCACTGAACCAAGAGATTGCACCACTGCATTCTAGCCTGGGTGTCGGGAGTGAGACCCTGTCTCAGAAAAAACGTAAATTAAATTTTGGTATATCTTGCCATATTGGTAGATGCCCACCAAGGAGAGTTCTACATGTGTTGGTGGGATGAACAGGCAAGATGAAAAAAACAAGATAAAAAATAGGCAAGATAAAAAGAAAGCCTGGCACCACGAACTTGCTCTGGCTTTGCATTCAACTGTCACGTGACTTGGGATCCCAAAGATATTTTTTTGTGGATTCTTCCAGCTACAAAAGAGAAATGTGTACATCTCAGCTAGCGTACCCTAAAATTCCAGTATTCTGTCACATGTTCTAATGGATTTATTCCTAGTTGTCAAACTATGTGTCACAATTTTTGGTCTCAGAAAGTAGTTTATATAAGCCCAAATGTCTGCAGAGAGTGAACTTAAGACTGAATGTTACAGATGAAGGAAGAAAAGGAAATTACCATTTACTTGTGTATTTGGTATTCCTTGTGTGCCAGGCACTTTGCGTATATTCAGTAAGTGTGAGAAGGATTATAGCATATAAAATGATCTGATTTTAAGTTTGACTTGGTAATACTTAGTTCATTTAACGCACTTATTGTTCTTTTCTCCCTCCCTACTTTGGGTGCCAAGCTGAGACATAGTTCTTGCCCAGAAAGGACTCTGGTTTAATCAGGAAGGCAGACACAAAATATGATGTGGCTTTTACCACATAATAGTAAGGATAGCTAATATTTACTATGCACAGAATGTTTCACATGCATTTTTTATTAAGCATTCATAAGATTTGTTTAAAAAGATACAATCCCCATCTTACAGATGAGAACTATGAGGCCTGAAGAGATTAAATGACTCACCCCAAAGTACCTAGTGAAGTATCTGAGACTTCAGAGCCCCTGCTTTATTAAATAATTAATTTCTATCCTGTCTCTAGCTGTCTTGATTGTGACAGATCTCAAATGCTGATGGTGGAAGACTTTAAGGCAGTGTAATGATTTATAACATATATAATCAGGGTTTTTGTGTAAAAGAATGAAGACTATTTTTGAAGTGTCATCTGGGCCTCTTCTGCGTGTATTAGGGTGGTTTTGGACACAAAGTAGAATGATTCATTGTGGAATAGGTTCCCGAGTTGTCTTCTGTGGCTCAGATTCAGGATTATTCCACTATTTTTCAAGTGAGTTCTTTCCTGAAGCAACTTAAGATAGTTCACAAATCTCCCTTGTTTCCTCCCTTTATGTCCCTTTTTCTCTGCAACACTGTTAGTGATTTTGCTATGTCACATTCATAACAGTTCCGAGTGCCTGCTTCCAAAGCTTCAGTTGATTCTGTGGCATTGCTGCTAGATCAAGCCTTCTGAATGTGGCCTTTTGCTGAGGAGTTCCCTTCTGATAAGGATTGTTTTGATCAGGGTAGGGGTGGTATGAGATCCAGAGCTTAGGGTGAACTCTCATCCCCTTGACCTCTGCCCCTATTTGAGTTTATACTGACTTGGTAGGGACTCCCTATGGAGCCGAGAGTTTAGCACTTGTTTACAGTTGATGAAAAGATAGTTGCATTCAAAGGCGGTTGTTGGGTCCTTGGATAGTCTTGGATGTCTGCCACTATCTCTGGTGGGTGAAGGGATTGCTTGAATATCTAAGTCTGGAGATTTTAATGAATGACTAAGAAGGAATGAGAAGAAATTCTGAGGCTAGTTAGGTTCTGCAGTTGTTCTTTCCATGGGAGCAATATTGCAGTAACATTTTCAGATGAGACAAAGACTTTTAATAAACATTTGTTTTATTTTATTAAAAAAAAGCTGAAAGGGGTTGCTTAAATTCAGTGCTTGATAACAAGGGAATACATGGGAATTCTTCTCTTCCTTTTTTGAACTCTTGCCAAAGAGAAAACCTTCTGTGTTAGGCAAACGTATCAGTAGTGGGGGGATACCCTAGATTAAAGTCACTGTCTTCAAAGTTGTACATAGTTTTACAAATTAACTTTTTTTTTCTAAATATCTCACATATTCTTAGCATGCTGAGGCTATAATAACTCAGTTCTAACTGAGGCCCTTTCTGGGTACTCTTTGGTCAACCGGGACCACTCTTTGCCTCTTTACCTGAAGCTACTTTGTTTTTGTTTTATTTTGGTCCAGTATTTGTCATAGATATGATCTGAAAGAAAAGATAAGCCTCTCTCTTTGAAGAGAGCCGACAGTCATTGTGAACCAAAATTGAATGTGCTTTGTTGGTAAGCATAAGAAAATCAAAACTGCAAAATAAGATTCAAAGTGAAAATACAGTGTTAAAGATCTTTTTCATCTGTTAGTACAAAATTCCATGTCCTAAGTGTAGTCTGCCCTATAGATGTATTTTGTTTGACTTCCAGGATGTTTAAATAAAATCATGTTAGTTGTCAACATTTAAAATGTTCAAGATGGCCGGGCGTGGTGGCTCGCGCCTGTAATCCTAGCACTTTGGGAGGCTGAGGTGGGTGGATCACCTGAGGTCAGGAGTTCGAGACCAGCCTGGCCAACATGGTGAAACCCCATCTCCACTAAAAATACAAAATTACCTGGACGTGGTGGCGCATGCTTGTAATCCCAGCTACTTGGGAGGCTGATGGAGGCAGGAGAATTGCTTGAACCCTGGAGGTGGAGGCCGCAGTGAGCTGAGATTGCGTCATTGCACTCTAGCCTGGGTGACAAGAGCAAAACTGCATTTCAAAAAAACCCAAAAACGTTCAAGAGTTTCAAAAAACTTTGGATTTCTGGCTTTCTTGATAAATTGTAATATCTAACATTGAGCTCAGATTTTTATATGGCATCTCTTGGCTGGAACAGAGTAGTGGCTGCCTTCTTTATATGGATTGGGGACACGGTCTTTTGTCACCCAGGCTGGAGTGCAATGGTGCGATCATGGCTCACTGCAGCCTCGACCTCCTGGGCTCAAGCAGTTCTTCTCACCTCAGTCTCCCGAGTGGCTGGGACTATAGGCGCGCATTACCGCGGTGGGCTAATCTTTGTGTTTTTTTGTAGAGGTGGGGTTTCACCAGGTTGCTCAGGCTGGTTTCCAACTCCTAGACTCAAGCAATCCGCGCACCTCGGCTTCCCAGAGTGCTGAGATTACAGGTGTGAGCCACTGTGCTCAGCCTGCTGCCTTCTTTAAATGAGCGTATACTCTTAGGTTTTCACAGAACCTTGGTGGCCTCCTTTACCCATTTACGTTTCCTGCTAGTCTTCTGTAGGCATTTGAGTTTTCAGCTCCTACATTAAATAATTTTTAGGGATGATGAGAGTGTGGGAAAATGGGAACTCTTAAAAATGTAATCTGATACCTATTAAAACTGATAATGTGCAGGTTAATTTTTCAGACTTGGCAGTTTAAAATTTAAAAATATAAAATTTAAAATTACAGGCCAGGTGAGAGGTAGCTCACTCCTGTCATCCCAGCACTTTGTGGATCCCTTGAGCTCAGGTGTTTGAGACCAGCCTGGGCAACATGGCAAAACCTCATCTCTACAAAATATACAAAAATTAGCTGGGTGTGGCGGCACATGTCTGTAGTCCCAGCTACTTGGGAGGATCACTTGGTCCTGGGAGGTCGAGGCTACAGTGAGTTGTGATCGCACCACTGCACTCCAGCCTGGGCAACAGAGTGAGACCCTGTCTCCACCCTCCCCGCCACAAAAGAAAACTTAGATTGAACAATTCATACGTCTAGGAATTTATCCTAAATACTTGACAGTTATGAAAAATGTATGTTTACAGATGCTTCTTTTAGCATTTATAATAGTAAAAAAAATTGGATAACCAGGCGTGCTGGTGCATGCCTGTCATCCCAGCTACTGGGGATGCTGAGGTGGGAGGATCGCTTGAGCCCAGGAGGTGGAGGCTGCAGTGAGCCAAGATCGCGCCACTGTACTCCAGCCTGGGCAGCAGAACGAGACCCTGTCTTTAAAAAAAAAAAAAAAAAAAAAAAAAAAAGGTAACAATTTAAGTTTAATAGGGGACTCGATAAATGGATTGTGGTTATTCATGCAGTAGGATGCTGTAGACTTAAGGAGAAGGCAAATTTTTAGTCTGGAAGGTGATCCAATTTTAATAGTGGTGTTTTTGGGAAAATGAGATTACAGGGTATCTTTCATTATCTCTGAGTTTTCTGTTTTTAAGAACATCACATTATTAAGAAAAAAGACATGCATTTAAAAAATTCTCTCTCATTTTAGCTGCCAGATTTCCATGGCTATTCTGCCAAATTGAGCCAATAGGTTCTAGCTTCCACTTAAAGCACAGATTTTACATTCAGAATTCTGTTATCTTGAAATTGTTCTAAGGAAGGGGGAATCAGAGTCCTCAAGTAGCAGGAACCATCTTTGAAGTCTGAGAATAAAGTAAAAGACTTCTACAGCATTTTCAGGCTTCTACTTGCAACCCTGCTTCCATTCACTAGTAAAGCCATCAGAATTTGCCTCCTTTTCAGTGTCAGGCTTGAGGCTTGAGCCAGCACTATTGATAATGGAGGGAGCTTCTTATATAAATTGGGCTATCCTGACAGTTGCAGGGATACCTGCTGAAAGCGACCCTAATGAAATGCATGGGTGCATGGTACAGTGGAAAAAACATGAGTGAAAGTTAGCATCCTGGCCTTCCTGCTTTCTTGCTGAGTAGCATAGGCAACGTGTGAAGCTCAGTTTGTTCATCTTTGAAACAGTAGTAATTCTTGTTAAATGTTGTTTTAAAAAATAATGAGATAATATACATGAATTGCCCAGCAGTTAGCTGCTCTAGTCCTGCATGTTTCTCTTTTGTGGAAATACAAGACAAAAGGTTTCTAATTTCTTTTTGTTAATATTTGATGAGCATTTACTGTATGTTAATGACTTTAAAACATTTATCTCATTTACTCTTCCTGGCAGCTCTACAAGGTTATTCTCAACTCTTGTTCTGCCCCATTTTACAGATGAGGAAACTGACAGTTTAACACTTGGCCAAGGTCACACAGCTGGTAAGTGGCAGAGATGAACCCTGTGTGATCCCAAAGTCCATGTCCTTATCTTTTTAAAATTGAGGCGTGACTTACATGCAATGAAACGCATAGATCTAAAGTGTTAAGGTTAAGCATTTTTATAAATGTGTGCACCCTAGTAATCCACATTCTATCAAGATACAGAACATTTCCATCCCTTCAGAAAATTCCCTTTTACTTTTCCCAGTCCATCCCACTACTTACCCCAAAAAGCAATAACTTCTGGTTTCCATCATGATAGATTAGTTTTGCCTGTTTTCTAAAATGTCATGTATATATGGTCATACAATATGTGCTCTTTCGTGCTTGTTTCAGCATGATGTTTGAGACTCATCTATGTGTTGCTGGTGTTAGTAGTTCATTTCTTTTTATTGTTGAGGAGTATTCCTTTGACCGTACCATAGTTTATTTACCTGTTGATACCTGGGCTGCTTCTAATTTTTGGTTATTATGAATAAAGCAGCTATAAAATTTCTTGTATAAGGTTTTTATGGACCTGTGTTTTTATTTCTCTTAGTCATACATCTAGGAATTACTGGGTGATATGGTATATGTTAAACTTTTTATGAAATTTCCGAACAGATTTCCCAGATGTTCATACATCTTAGTTCCAGTAGTATATGAGTTTCAGTTTCACATCTTTGCAAGCATTTGTTATTGCTAGTTTTTAAAATTTTAGTCACTCTAGTGAGCATTGTAATAGGATTGATGTGGTTTAAACTTGCATTTCTTGATGACTAATAATATTGGTCACGTTTTCATGTACTTATTGGTCATTCATGTGTCATCTCTTAAAAGTGTTCAAATCTTTTGGTAAATTCATGTGGCTGAGTGCAGTGGCTCACGCCTGTAATATCAACACTTGGAGAGGCCAAGGCAGGTGGATTGCTTGAGCCCAGGAGTTCGAGACCAGTGTGGGCAAGGCAACATGGCGAAACCCCGTCTCTACTAAAAATACAAAAATTAGCTGGGTGTGGTGGTGCCTGCCTGTAATCCCAGCTACTCAGGAGGCTGTGGCACAAGAATTGCTTGAACCTGAAAGGTGGAGGTTGCAGTGAGCCAAGATTGCACCACTGCATTGCAGCCTGGATGACAGAACGGGACTTGGTCTCAAAAAACATAAATAAATAAAAAAGAAATTCATGTGTTTTGTTCAACTGTCGAGTGGTGGGTGTTTGTTATTCTACATATAACATATAAGTCCGTCAGATATGTGTTGTAAATATTTTCTCCTAGTCTGTGGCTCCTTTTTACTTTTTAACATGTTTTGTGAGGAACAGAACTTTAAAATTTTTATGAAGTCCAATTTATTAATTTATGATTAACATTTTCTGTGCCCTCTCTACAAATCTTGGCCTAACCTGAGATTGCAGAGATATGCTATATTTTCTACTAGAAACAGTATTATTTTAGCTTTTACATCTATGTCTATAATAATGGATCTCAAATTTGTTTTTTCTGTATTATGAGGTAGGAATGAAAGTCTTTTTAATATGAATATTCATTTGTTTGGCACCATTTGTTGAAAAGGCTTTCTTCATTACATTTTATTTTTTTGAGACAGGGCCTCACTCTGCTGCCCAGGCTGGAGTACAGTAGCATGACCATGGCCCACTGCAGCCTCCTCTTCCTGGGGCCCAAGCAATCCTCCTGCCTCAGCCTCCCAAGTAGCTGGGACCACAGGTGCACAACCACCATGCCAGGCTAATTTTTAAATTTTTGGTAGAGACAGGGTTTCACTGTGTTGGTCAGGCTGGTCTCGAACTCCTGGCCTCAAGTAATCCTCCTGCCTCGGCCTCCCAAAGTGTTGGGATTTTAGGCATGAGCCACTGCACCTAGCTGTTGAATATTTTGATGCTCTTGCTGAAAAATAATTGTGAGTCTATTTATAGACCCTATATTCCCTTCTATTAATCTTTTTACCAATACCATAGTGTCTTGATTACTATAACTTTATAACAGATCTTGAAATCAGATAGAAGTAGTCCTCCAACTCCATCCTTCTTTTTCAAAGTTGTTTTGATTATTTGGCTATTGTAGTGTTTTTTTTTCTCCCCACTTCCGTATAAATTTCAGAATTAGCATATCAACTTTCTTTTTTCTTTTTTTAACAAAACTTGCTGAGATTTTGATTGAATTGTATTGACTCTGTCCATTTGGGAAGAGTGGTCAACTTAATAATATTGGGTTGCTTTTAAATTTTTTAAAATTTTATTTTGTTTTTTAGAGACTAGGTCTCACTCTGTTACTGAGGCTGGAGTACAGTGGTGCAATCCATAGCTCACTGCAGCCTCAAACTCCTGGTCTCAAGGGATTCTCTTGGCCTAGCCTCCAGAGTAGCTGGGACTACAGGTACTCACTGCTACATCTGGCCAATTTTCTAAAAATATATATATATTTTTGTAGAGACGGGGTCTCACTATGTTGTCCAGGCTGGTCTTAAATTTAGGGCCACAAGCTACCCTCTCACCTCAGCCTCCCAAAGCACTGAGTTTACAGGTGTGAGCCACCATACCCAGTCAATAATATTGAGTCTTGAGTCTTCTTTTTTTTTTTTTTCTGAGACGAAGTCTCACTCACTCTGTCACCAGGCTGGAATGCAGTGGCATGGTCTCGGCTCACTGCAACCTCTGCCTCCTGGGTTCAAGCGATTCTCCTGCCTCAGCCTCCCGAGTAGCTGGGACTACAGGTGTGCACCACCATGCCAAGCTAGTTTTTTTATTTTTAGTAGTGATGGGGTTTTACCATGTTGGTCAGGATGGTGTCGATCTCTTGACCTTGTGAACTGCCCGCCTCGGCCTCCGAAAGTGCTGGGATTACAGGCATGAGTCACCGTGCCCAGCCAATGTTGAGTCTTCTAATCTACGAAGTCAGTGTATCTTTCTCCTTATTTAGGTCATCTTTCTTTTTTCTTGTTAGTGTTTTAAAAAGTTTAGTGTTGAGATCTTATACATCTTTATCCTTAAGTATTTTGTTTTTTAATGTTATAGTAAATGATATTATTTTTAAATTTTATTTTCCAATTGTTGCTAGTATATATAAATGCAGTTGATTTTTATGTATTTGTATCTTGTGACATTGTTAAATTTGTTAGTTCTAGTAACTTTAAAAAATAAATTTCTTGGGACTTTTTATGTGTACATCTGTGAATAAAGAGAGTTTACTTCTTCCTTTTTGATGTTTATGACTTATTTATTTTTCTTATTGCACTGGCTAAGATTTCCAGTACAATGATAGATAGAAATGGTGAGAGTGATGTTCTCACCTTGTTCTTAATCTTAGGGGGAAGGAGTTCAATTTCAGTATCAAGTATGATGACACCTCTATTGGGCTTTCTTTTATTTTGTAGAGTTCTGGTAAAATATACATGACGTAGCATTTACCATCTTAACCATATTTAAATGTGCTGGTCAGTGGCATTAAGTACATTCACACTGGTTGTGCAGCTATCACCAGCATCCATCCACATAACTCTTCTCATATTGCAAAACTGAAGCTCTGTACCCATTAACAATAACCATTCTCCCCTGCTCCTGGTAACCACCATTCTACTTTTTGTCTCTATGAATTTGTCTACTCTAGGTACCTCATTTAAGTGGAATCATACAGTTTTGTCCTTTTGTAACTGGCTTATTTCCCTTAGCATAATGTGCCTAAAGTTTATCTATGTTGTATAGTGTTAGAATTTCCTTCATTTTTGAGGCTGAATAAGATTGCATTGTATGTATATACCACATTTTGTTGATCCATTCACCTATTGATGGACACTTGGGTTGCTTTCACCATTTGGTTATTGTGAATAATGCTGCTGTAAACATGAGTATACATGGATGTCTCTCTTCAAGTCCCTACTTTCAATTCTTTGGGGTGTATACCTGGAAGTGGAATTGCTGGACCCTATGGTAATTCTGTTTTTAATTTTTCAGGAATCACCATACTGTTTTCCATAGCTGCCGCCCCACTTTACGTTCTCATCAGCAGTGCTCTAGGGTTCCAATTTCTCCACATCCTCACCAACACTTATTTACTGTGTTTTTGATAGTAGCTCTCCTAATGGTTGTGAGACAATATCTCATTGTGGCTTTGATTTGCATTTCCCTAATGATTAGTGATATTGAGCATCTTTTCATGTGCTTATTGACCATTTGTGTGTCTTCTTTGGAGAAATGTTTATTGAGGTCTTTTGCCTATTTAATTGGATTCTTTATGGGTTTTTGTTTCAGTTATACGAGTTCTTTCTGTGTTCTGTATATTAATCTCTTAACAGATACATGATTTGCAAATATTTTCATCCATTCTGCAGGTTGCTTTTTCATTCTGTTGTGTCCGTCGATGCACAAAAGTTTTACATTTTCATGTTATCGAGCAGTTTTTTCTTTTGTTGCCTATGCTTTTTGTATCATATCCAATAAACCATTGCCAAACCCATTGTCATGAAGCTATCTCCTGTTTTTTTTTTCTAAAAGTTTTATAGTTTAGGGCTTATGTTTAAGTCTTTGATCGATTTTGAGTTAATTTTTGTGTATGGTATAAAGGTAAAGGCCAGCTTCATTTTTTTCTCATGTGGATATTATTTTATCAGTACCATGTGATTATTCTTTCTCCATTGAGTGGTCTTGGTAACCTTGACAAAAATTGTTTGACCATATATATGAGGGTTTAGTACTGGGCTCCCTATTTTATTCCATTGGTCTATGTCTGTCATTATGGTAATACCAGACTGTTTTGATTACTGTAGCTTTGTAGTAAATTTTGAAATCAGGAAGCTGTAGGGTTTTTGTAGATGCCCTTTATCAACTTGAGAAAATGCTGTTGCTAGTTTGCTAAGAGTTTTTTTTATCATGAGTGGTGTTGTTTTCAGATTAATAATTAATTACTAATCTGTAAATCAGTTATGTTTTCATACCAATTCTCCATCTAGATTGTTTAGACTTAATATGGTGAATTACACTGATTGAATTTTGAAACTCAGGCTAGCCTTTTAATGCTGAAATAGACCTCATGTGGTCAGTGATGTATTATAATTTTCCAGTGTTGCTGAATTCAACTTGGTAATATTTTGTTAATGGATTTTTGTGATTATGTGTAGAAGAGCCAAAACCTATGTTTTAATCTTGGTGCCATACTGCCTTCAAAAGACTTTTTTTTTTTTTTGAGACAGGGTCTTGTTCTGTCGCCCAGGCTGGAGTGCAGTGGCGTGATCTTGGCTCACTGCATCCTTCGCCTCCCAGGTTCAGGCGATTCTTGTGCCTTAGCCTCCTGAGTAGCTGGGACTACAGGCGTGTGTCACCTACCTGGCTAATTTTTGTATTTTTAGTAGAGAAGGGGTTTCGCCCTGTTGACCAGTCCGGTCTCCAGCTCCTGGCCTCAAGTGGTCCCCTTGCCTCGGCCTCCCAAAGTGCTGGGATTACAGGTGTGAGCCATTACACCCAGCCTCCAGAAGACTTTTATTTTTCCTTAATTTCTCATTTTGGGCATATTCCCTTTTATTTGTTGAATCTGCATTAGTTTAATTTTTCGTGTAGTCATAAACCAACTAATAGGCTTTCTAGATGGGCATAAGCGCTCTCTCCTCCTCCTTCAGTTTTTAAGTCTCCATCTAGTGGTCTATTCTGGAAGCACAGAGGTGAGAACCTGTGTTAATGTATTGGTGGGTATGCCAGTTTTGTCCATTAGGTGGCAACAGGCCCTAACCAAAGAGGGAAGAGCACTCAGACTGAAAAATAGAAAACCTGTGCTTGCAAAACTCGGAACAAGATTTTCTGGTACAGCTAGGCTTCAAAATCTTGGAGAAGGGAGTTGTATACCCTTAGGTCATTCTAAGAGCATGTACAAAAACTCTAAAAATATATGGGGCCTATAGTCCCAGCTCCTCAGGAGGCTGAGGCAAGAGGATTTTTTGAGCTGCAGAGTTCAAGACCAGCCTGGGCAGCATAGTGAGACTCTGTATCTTAACAATAAAGACACATGGGAATTCATTTCCCTGTCTCACTTCTCTTGCCTCTCAAGCTTGAAAATCTTGACTTACTCAGTGGGTATCCAGTGGTCACTTTTCTTTGAATATTGGCAGTAGGAGGTAATAGGGACAGAAGGTTAAAGTAATAGAGTAGACCCTTAATGCAAGGGGATCTGAGTTTGGGGATGGGGTGAGAAGGATGTGCCTGAAACCTACTTTATTAATGATAAAAAGAAGAAATCTACTTGCAGAGAGATTTCAGGGAGAGGCATTAATGGCTCCTCGCCATTTTTGGGTCTGACACTCCATTCCTTGGGCATGGATAAAGGAGTGTTTGTGAATGTTGTCTAAGATGTGGCTTTTTTTTTTTTTAAATGGAAATAGGAGAACAGATTTTCTTTGGCAAGGAATTGTTTAAGGCAGTGGTGAAGGAAGAAGATCAGTTAAGGGGGTGTGAGATTCCATGAAGTGGTGGATAGAATTTATAGGGCTGTGAAAATTAAGATAATGTTTGGGGAAGACCACTAGGGTGTAAACAGTGTGACCTGGCAGGCTAGAATAGATTGCTTGGTTATGGCAAAGATGCCAGCTTTTTTTTTTTTTTTTTTTTTTTTTTTTAAACCTTAGCTGACTTAGGCATGTAAAAATCTACTTAACTTGCATGTTCCTGCTTTCCGGTTCATAATTATTCATTGGCAGTGGACTATTATGTACAAATAGGCTTGGAGTAAGGATGATAGATGCGCTTTAACAATTGGGTATGGTTCATATTTGAAACATGACATATGCATGTCAAGATTTAATTACTGGAAAATTTCAAAATAAGGATACTGTTAATGTAATACCTATCATTATACACCACATGAATCAAACTAACTTGAAAATGATGATGCTGAATGAACTGTAATTGAAGAGTAAAGCAAAAATAGCAGCAATTGAAAACTACCACTAATTTCCTCAACAGTGATAATGGAGTTCTTCTGAGAACTGTAAGATTTCCAGCTGATCTTACGTGTGCAATTGCGGAAGGATCTTTGCAACTTTTCCACCCATTTTTGGCAACTAGGCTTAGTAGAATACTAGAGTCTCATTCGTTTATAAACATTGAATTGTATTAATAGTCACTTAACAAGTTACTTGCATGTAGCTTTTAATCACAGGCAGAAATAAACTGAACACCAGTCACTCATAAGATGGATGAATGTTGGATTAATTCACCAGGAAGATCCTTTATACCTTGAGAATCATGGGGCTAAGAGGTTGGGAAGGAGGAGGATAAGGTAGAAAAATAGCCTTAGGCTGAGGCTCATTGCAATGAACCTTTGATGCTAAATGTGAAATAGAAAGGGGGTGTTTTTTCTGTGACTTAAAGCAAAACCTCAACATTGTGTGTGTATGTGTGTGTGTGTGTTTCATTGTGTATTCACAGGTGTTTATAATAGTTCTGATACAGTTGGTAGGATTACTACATGTGGTCAGTTCTGTTGACAGAATTATTATTTGTGACTTTTAATAACCAAATGATTTTTTTAAGGAATTGTTTTTCTGTTACGTTGAATGGAGAAGTTCTATGTCATCGAGAAGGAAATAAAGTCCTTCATGTAATGATTTTGTGCGGAGACTTTTGTTGACTTGTCTCGTGTCTGATCATTTGGCCCCTCAGTTGTCCAGCATAACTAAGATGCAGTAAAAAACCAAGCCCTAAACATTTTCCATTTTCATCAAAATAATATTAATTATGGGATTGAGTGATTCTCTTTTCTCTGGAGTAGTTCAATGGCAAGGAACAGAAACACTCTCAAGCTAGTTTAAAATAGGGACATTGTTAGAAAGTACTGGGTTTCTTTTTTTTTTTTTTTCGAGATGGAATCTCACTTTGTTGCTCAGGCTGGAGTGCAGTGGCATGATCTTGGCTCACTGCAACCTCTGCCTCCTGGGTTCAGGCAAGGTTCAAGCGATTCTCCTGCCTCAGCCTCCCGAGTAGCTGGGGTTATAGGTGCCTGCCACCTTTCCCAGCTAATTTTTTGTATTTTTAGTAGAGACAGGGTTTCACCGTGTTGGTCAGGCTGGTCTCGAACTCCTGACCTCAAGTGATCTGCCCGCCTTGGCCTCCCAAAGTGCTGAGATTACAGGTGTGCGCCAACCCACCTGGTGCAAAAGTATTTGTTTTCTCTTGGGGCTCAATGGCAGAGCATGCAATTGAATTTCATGAAGAACCAAGGCCAGGATTTCTTTTCCATCTCTCTGTGGCTATGTGGAGTCTCATTTCTGCTTTTTCTAGTGCCTCTGGTTGATAACTTCTTTAGACTGATACTCCTCGCTTCTGTGTCCATGATGGAAAATGGCTGCCCCTCCCCTCCCCTGGCATGTCACATAGCCTTCTAGCACCCATGCTTGACACAGACTAACTAAAGTATTTGTGTTCAAATTGTAAACACTTAGGAAGGAGTATAAGCCCAGATTGGATCAGGGTCCATTTGTCCTTTCAGGAGCTATGGTAAATTGACTATTCAGTAGAAGCTGTAGAAGTATTCTAAGGAGAATATAAATAGAACAGAGAAATTATCTGACATGATTACTTCAGTCAGGAAATAGGCAGGATGGAGATTCTGGAAACTGACTATGGAATCTGGTATTTGAGCCAGGACAATGAGCAGACAGGGAAAACTCAGGGGCATAGATTAATGGATTAATTAGGAATTATTTGCTGGGCCTGAGATGAGAGAGGATGGGGATCTGAGAAATGCAGTGAGAATCCAGGTATTAATTGATGCTTGACATTTGGCAAGTAGAAGAGAGATATATTCAGGTCACGCAGTTACTGGCTGTGGGTATAAGCTTTAAGACCCAGAGCTCTTGGTCTTGGAATGCTAATGACCAGATGGGCTGAGAGTTAAGACCTGGGCCAGTGGGAAAGGGACCCATGATAGCCATCAAGGCATGCTGATGGGCTTAATCATAGTGACCAAGGCCAGCTGTAACACTCAGTGTACTACTTTGCCTGGGACCTATTTGAGTACCTAACTGGTGATAAAGTCTGAGATTGTGTACTTTTGCCCTAGTCATCATTGGCCCTGGGGCTTGTCCAGCTTATATATACACATGGAAGGCACTAAAGACTCCAGTAGTTATGGCTTTTGGGAAGAGAGAATTGAAAATAACTCTTTACAGTTTTGGGCTGTTGCTTTCTGGAACTGAAAATGATTCCATAATCCCAAGATGAGTTTATACCTCTGCCTTCCTCTGGAAGTTTTCCCTCCTAAGTGAAATTTTGAGATTAAGTTGTATTTAAGCAGTTTGGGTGCCAAAGACATTTATATCTGGCATGAGTGAATGAGGAGGTCAAAAAATTCTCTCTCCCCAAATTTTCAAAAACAGCAAAGGCTTAAAACAAATTGAGAAGCATTTATTCATGAAAACCACTGTACTTGGGGTAAGAACAGCAGGAGTTTTGTCGTGTTGCCTGGGCCTGTTCCTATTTCTCCCAGCCCTGACAGTGCAGTAGTTCAACCAGGGTGGGGCTGGCGGTGAAAACCAGTAGCTTTATGACTGCTGCAGGAGGGAGCTTTCTTGATTTGGAATGTTGTCAGTTAAATTTGATGATCTTTGTGGCAAGTGAAACAGGGCCAGCAAATCTGCTACTCTGAGGTTGCAGTTCTGTTTAGGATAAACAGTGGGCCAGTAGACTAGCCAGGGCTTTAACAAGGAGGTCTGGTAGGTGAGACAGTTTCAAGGGGCTTGATAAGCTCTCCGAATATCCTGGGTTGGAGTATTTATGCACATCAGACACCTGTGTGAGCCCAGACTACCACACATCCCTGACCAATGCAAAGATGTGTGGGAAAGCCAAGCAAAAAGTAACTGGAACAGACGTGAAGGCCTGAAGTGTGAGTGTGCTCCCCTTATCCTGACCATAGTTGCAGCAGCAGGTAGTGAAAGAGCTCAAGGTGGTTGATTACCATCTCTGACTAATCTTTAATGGAGTAGGAAGCTATACAGTTAGAGGGGTATCTCCTGCAAGTCAGGCTTCAAAATAAAAAGGTGGGGGGAAAAACCGGAGCCATCAGGAACTACACATTGCAGAGGAGACAGACTTGGTGGTTTAGTGCAGGAAAGTTAGTAAACAAAACAAAAAACAACTCATCATCACCACCAACCTTAGTGGGGGAAAAGTCAGAATCCAGAGTTGCCAAAAGCACATTGTTTTAAATGTTTAGTATCACAACAAAAATTAAAAGACATGTAGAGAAACAAAGTTTGACCCATACTAAGGAAAGAAAAAAAAAAAAACAGTAGAAACTGTCTCTGAGTGATCCTAAATGTTGGATCTAGCACACATAAGACTTCAATGCAACTATTACAGATATTCCAGAGAAATAAAGGGACAACTTTTAAAGAATTAAAAGAGGAAGTGTGATGACAGTGATCTAGTACATAGAGAATTTCAATAGAGAAATTATAAGAAAATAAAAATGGAAGCACTGGACTGGAGTTGAAAAGTATAACTAAAATGAAAAGTAGGGACTCAGCAGCCGGTTTGAGGTGATGAAAGAATTGGTGAACTTGTAGATAGATGAATTAAAAATATTCAATATGAAGAACAGAGAAAAAAGATTGAGGAAAAAGGAACAGAACCTCTGAGATCTGTGGGACATCAAGTGTGTATGTAATGAGACTCATGGGAGGAGAAGAATGAGAGAAAGGGGCAGGAAAATATTAGAAGAAATAATGGCAAAAACTTTCTGAATCTGATGATAAACATTAATCTACAGATTTAAGCCTAATAAACGCCAAGTATGATAAACACACATCAGAGTCAAAATGTGGAAAGATAAGGACAAGGAGAAAATCTTGAAAGCAACGAGAAAAAAAATGATCCATTATAGATAAGGAAAAACAATAGGCTTTGTGGCTGACTTCTCATCAAAAGCAATGGATGCCTGAAGGCAATGGGATGACATTCTAAGTGTGGAAAGGGAACAAAATTGTTGGCCGGGCGAGGTGGCTCACGCCTGTAATATCAGCACTTTGGGAGGCTGAGGTGGGTGGATCACGAGGTCGGGAGATTGAGACCATCCTGGACAACATGGTGAAACCCCCTCTCCACTAAAAATACAAAAATTAGCTGGTGTGGTGGCGCATGTCAGTAATCCCAGCTACTCATGTCAGGAGAGGCTGAGGCAGGAGAATCGCTTGAACCAGGGAATTGGAGGTTGCAATGAGCCAAGATTGCGCCACTGCACTCCAGCCTGGCGACAGGGCGAGACTATCTCAAAAAAAAAAAAATTGTTAAATGTTCTGTATCTAGCAAAACTGTTCTTCAAAAATGAAGACAAAGAGTTCCACATTAAAAAGACAGAATTTATTGTGAGTGGACCTGCTTTAAAATACTAAAGGAAATTCTTCAAGCTGAAAGGGAGTGATACCAGATGGTAACTCAAATCCATAAGAAGAAATGATGAACAGTGGAAATAGTAAATATGTCTGTATGTTTTTTCTTCTCAATTTTTTAAAAAGACAAGATTATATAGAGCAAGGATTATACCATTTTATTACTAAGTTATAACATATATGGCAATAATAGGAGGGGATGGATAGGAGGTATGTTGGATAAAGTTTCTGTATTTCCTGGAACTAAATTAGACTGTCATAAGTAAAGATGCATGTTGTGAGGCCTAGAGCAACCACTAAGTAAACAACAAAATATGTATAGTTTAAAAAAATAAAATCAGGCTGGCGTGGTGGCTTACGCCTGTAATCCCGGCACTTTGGGAGGCCGAGGCAGGTGGATCACCTGAGTTCGGGAGTTCAAGACCAACCTGGCCAACATGATGAAACCTTGTCTCTACTAAAAATACAAAAATTAGACGGGCATGGTCACGAGCACCTGTAATCGCAGCTACTTGGGAGGCTGAGGCAGGAGAATCACTTGAACTTGGGAGGCAGAGGTTGCAGTGAGCCAAGATCACACCACTGCACTCCAGCCTGGGCAACAGAGTGAGACTCTGTCAAAAAAAAAAAAAGGGGGGATTGAAATGGTGTACCCTAAAACATACTTCACACAAAAGATGATACAATAGAAGCAGAGGTTAAAAAAAAGACAAAAATAGCAAAATAGCATAAAGTCCAGCTATATCAGTAGTTATATTAAATGTGAATGTACCATCTATTCAAAAGGTAGAGATGGTTAGCCTGAATAAAAAGGCAAAACACAGCTCTATGCTGTCAGTTCAATAATGGACATACCTTAGATTTAAAGACACAAATAGGTTGAAAGTAAAAGTGAGATCATGCAAATAGGAGAGCTGGAGTAACTATATTAATGTCAGACAGTTTAAGCAAGAAATATTACTAGAGACAGGGACATACTGTAATGACAAAAGGGGCAATACATGAGAAAAAGATAATTATTAAAATATATCTAACAGGAGACCACCAAAATACACGAAGCAAAAACTGACAGAAATTAAAGGAGAAATGGACTATTAAACAATAGTAATTGTAGATTTTAATTTCCAACTTTCAATAATTAATAGAATAATTAGCAATAATTGATAGGAAATTAGCAAGAATATAAAAGACTTCATCAGCACTATCAGTGAACTTGACAGAACTCATTTATTGAACACTTTATGCAAAATATACAAGGGAGTTAAATTAGAGATTCATAACAAATCTGGTATCTCCAAATATTTGAAATTAAACAACATACGTATAAATAATAGAGCAAAGAAGAAATTCCAAGGCAAATTTTAAAATACTTTTAACTAGGCCAGGCACAGTGGCTCATGCCTATAATCCCAGCACTTTGGGAGGCCAAGGTGGGCGGATCACTTGAACCCAGGAGTTCTAGACCAGCCTGGGCAACATGGTGAAACCCTATCTCCAAAAACATACCAGAAATTCGCCAGTTGTGGCATGCGCTTCTGGTCCCAGCTACTCGGGAGGTTGGGGTGGGTGTATCTCCTGGGCCTGGGAGTTCGAGGCTGCAGTGAGCCTTAATTGTGCCACTGCACTCAGCCTGGGTGATAGAGTGAGACCCTGTCTTCCCCCCCACACACAAAAATTTTTTTTAACTAAATGAAAACGTAACATATCAAAATTTATGAAATGTAGCTGAAGCTGTGCTTAGAGGAAGATTTACAGCTTTTATAATGCCTGGATATTTGAAAAGGAGAGGCTTAAAGCACTAACGTAAGCGTCCATTGTAAGAAACTAGATAAAACACAAACTAATCCGAAGTAGCTGGATGTAGAGGTGTGTGTTTCTTGGGAGGCTGAGGTGGGAGGATTGCTTGAGCCCAGCAGTTTGAGGCTGCGGTGAGCTATGATTGCATCACTGTATTCCAGCCTGGGCAACAGAGTGAGACCCTGTCTCTGAAAAAACAACAGCAACAAACATCTGAAGCAAGTATAAGGAAGAAAACAATAAAGATTAGAATGGAAAACAACGAAATGGAAAGCACAAAACCAGTTGAGAAAAATCAGTGAAACTAAAGTTGGTCCTCTGAAAAGATCGACAAATTTGATAAACCCCTACCAAGACTAAGGAAATAAAGACAACACAAATTACCAAAGTCAGGAATGAAAGGACATTATTACCCACAGAAATTGAAAGGATTATAAGGGATTTGCCATGATCAACTTTATCTCACCAAATTAGACAACTTAGATGAAATGGACAAATTCCTAGATACAGATGATCAAAACTGACTCTAGAGGAAATAGAAAATGAGACCTTATAACAGTTAAAATGAATTAGTAATTAAAAATCTTCCTACAAAGAGAAGCCTAGGCCCAGGTGTCTCCATTGGTGAATTCTGTCAAACACTTAAAAGAAGCATGCTGGGTGCAGTGGCTTACTTGGTGATGAACACCTTTAGTCCCAGCTACTTGGGAGGCTCAGGTGGCATGAGGCCAGGAGTTGAAGGCTAGCCTGAGCAACATAGCAAGACTACCATCTTAAAAAAAAAAAATCAAGGAAGCAATAATACTAATCCTTAACAAATTCTTTTAGAAAACAGAAGAGGAAGGAACACTTGACAACTCATTCTACGAGCATGGTATTATCCTGGTAACCCAACAAGGATACCACAGGGAACCTGCAGATCAGTAGCCCTTTACGAACACAGGTGTAAAAATCTTTTAACAAAACATTAGCAAACCAAATTCAACAATATAGAATAATGTATTATATACCATGACCAAATGGGATTTAATTTGGGAATACAGGCTTGTATTAACACATAAAAATGCAGTATACCAAGTGTCGACAAACATTCCACTAAAAGGTAGGATGGGCTGGGCACAGTGGCTCACGCTGGTAATACCAGCACTTTGGGAGGCTGAGGTGGGAGGATTGCATGAGGCCAGGAGTTCAAGACCAGCCTGGGTAACATAGAGCCTGTTACAAGAAAAGAAAAAAAAAACCCTGGACATGGTGGCATGTGCCTGTAGTCCTTGCTACTTAGGAGGTCGAGGTGGGATGATCACCTGAGCCCAGGAGTTTGAGAATGCAGTACGCTATGATTGTGCCACTATACTCCAGGCTGGGTGACAGAGCGAGATCCTGTCTCAAAAAAAAAAAAAAAAAAAAAAATGTGGCCGTGTGTGGTGGCTCACGCCTGTAATCTCAGCACTTTGGGAGGCTGAGGTGGGCAGATCAGTTGAGGTCAGGAGTTCGAGACCAGCTTGACCAACATGGTGAAACCCTGTTTCTACTAAGAATACAAAAATTAGTTGGGCATGTTTGTGTTTGTCTGTAATTTCAGCTACTCAGGAGGCTGAGGCTGAGGCAGGAGAATCGCTTGAGCCCAGGAGGTGGAGTGCAGTGAACTGAGACTGTACCACTGCACTCCAGCCTGGGTGACAGAGTGAGACTCCATCTCAAGAGAAAAAAAAAAAATTTGCCTATTCGTAGAATAGGCAAAATTCTGTTTTGCATTGCTCTAAGGGAATGCCTGAGACTGGGTAATTTATGAAGAGGTTTATTTGACTTACGGTTCTGGAGACAAGGTATGGTACCAACATTTTGTTGGCTTCTGATGAGGCCGCAGGAAGCTTTTACTCATGGCAGAAGATGAGGGGGGAAAAGGCACATCACATGGCAAGAGAAAGAGCAAGAGAGGAGGAGGTGCCAGGCTCTGTAAACAACCAGCTGTTGTGTGAACTAATAAAACAAGAACTCATTACTGAGGGGAGGGCACCAGGCCATTCATGAGGGATCTACCCTCATGACCCAACTACCTCCCATTAGGCCCCACCTCCAACATTGAGGGTCACATTTCAACATGATTTGGAGGGAACAGACATCCAAACTGTATCAGTGATAATTGCTGTAAGGATAGGCACTGGAACTGAATTGAGAATTCAGTCATAAATCCTTATGTATGTGGTCCTTTGATTTTTGACCAAGATACCAAGGCAATTCAGTGGAGGAAATCATAGTTTTTTTCCAGAAATGATGCTGGGAAAAGTGGATATCTACATGCCAAAAATTTATCTAAGACTCTATTTTACACTAGACACAAAAAGTAACTCAGAGTGCACCATACACCTAAATGTAAGAGCTAAAACTACCAAATGTATCAAGCATATCTTTGTGACCTTGGGTTAGGCAAAGACCTCTTAGATGTGACACCAGTGGCACAAGCCATAAAAGAAATTCATTGATGAATTGGCTTCATTAAAATGTAAAACTTTTGCATTTCAAAATACGTTATTAAGAAAATGGGAAAACTTCAGATTGTGGGAATATATTTGCAAATTAAATATCTGGTAAAGGCCGGGTGCGGTGGCTCACACCTGTAATCCTAGCACTTTGGGAGGCCGAGATGGGTGGATTACTTGAGGCCAGGAGTTCAAAACCAGCCTGGCCAACATAGTGAAACCCCATCTCTACTAAAAATACAAAAAACTACCTGGGCGTGGTGGCAGGCGCCTGTAATCCCAGCTACTCGGGAGGCTGAAGCAGGAGAATCGCATGAACCCGGGAGGTGGAGGTTGCAGTGAGCCGAGATTGTGCCACTGCATTGCAGCCTGGGCAACAAGAGCGAAACTCCGACTCAAAAGAAAAAAAAATCTGATAAAGGAGTTGCATCTAAAATACGTAAAGAACTCTTACAACTCAATAAGAAGACAACTCAATTTTTAGAAATTAACAAAAAATATAATGATTCCACTTATGTGAGATTCCTAGAATAGGCAAAATTCATTGAGGCAAAAAGTAAACAAGTTGCTAGGGGAAATGGAGGATAAGTAGTTATTGTTTAATGGGTACAGAGTTCTTGTTTAGGATTATGAAAATGTTCTGGAAATGGATAGTGATGCTGGTTGCACAGCATTGTGAATTTAATGCCATTGAATTATATACTTAAGTGATTAAAATGGTAAATTTTATGTATATTTTACTACAATAAAAATTAAAAATATGAAAACATGGGTAAAAGAACATTTCATCACATGCAAAGGTGCTCTAAATTAGTCATTAGGGAGATGCAAATTAAAATTGGAATGTCCACTGTACACCCTCAGGAATAGCTGTAATCGAAAAGACTGTCAAAATGTTCTAGAAAGTGTTAGGATGTGTAGAAACTAGAAATCTTGCGTGTTACAATGGTAATGTAAATCAGTTGGAAATCAGTTTGGCAGTTCATTAAAAAGTTAAACTTACCATATGATCCAGCAATTCCACTCCTGGATATCCAAGAGAATTAAAAACTTATGTCCATACAAAGACTGTATGTAGGCCAGGTGTGGTGGCTCATGCCTGTAATCTCAGCACTTTGGGAGGCCAAGGCGGGTGGGTCACCTGAGGTCAGGAGTTTGAGACCCGCCTGGCCAACATGGAGAAACCCCTTCTCTACTAAAAATACAAAAATTAGCTGGGTGCGTTGGCATGTGCCTGTAATCCTTGCTACTCAGGAGGCTGACACAGGAGAATCGCTTGAGCCTGGGAGGTAGAGGTTGCAGTGAGCTGAGATTGCACCATTGCACTCCAGCCTGAGCCACAGGGCGAGAACTTGTCTCAAAAAAAAAAAAAAAAAAAAAAAAGGCTATGTAAATGTTTATTGATAGCATTATTATAAATGTTCATTAATAGCCCAAACCTGGAAACAATTCAAATATCCAGCAGCTGGTGAATGGATAAACAAAATGTGGAATACCTATATAATGCAATACTATCAACAATATTTATTTATTCAACAATAAAAAGGAATGAATTACCAGTACATGCTACAACATGGATAAACCTAAAACTCATAATAAATGAAAAAAGCCAAACTTCACTGGGCGTGGTGGCTCATGTCTGTAATCCCAGCACTTTGGGAGGCTGAGGCAGGTGGATCACTTGAGGTCAGCAGTTCGAGACCAGCCTTGCCAACATGGTGAAACCCCATCTTTACTAAAAAAATAAAAATTAAAAAATTTAAAAAAATGCAAAAATTAGCCGGGCATGGTGGTGTATGCCTGTAGTCCCAGCTACTCTAGAGGCTGAGGTGGGAGAATCACTTGAACCTGGGAGACGGAGATTGCAGTGAGCCAAGATCACGCCACTGCACTCCAGCCTGGGTGACAGAGTGAGACCCCATTTCAAAAAAAAAGCCAAACTCAAGCGAGTACATGTTATATGATTTCTCCTATATGAAATGTCCAGAGGCTGGGCGTGGTGACTCACACCTGTAATCCTAGCACTTTGGGAGGCTGAGGTGGGCAGATTACTTGAGGCCAGGAGTTTGAGACCAGCCAGGCCAACATGGCGAAACTCCATCTCTACTAAAAAAAAAGGCGGGTGTGGTGGCGCATGCCTGTAATCAAAGCTACTCAGGTGACTGAGGCATGAGAGTTACTTGAACCCGGGAGGTAGAGGTTGCAGTGAGCTGAGATCATACCACTGCACTCCAGTCTGGGCGAAGACTGGAAGAAGAGCAAGACTGTCTCAAAACAAAAACCAGAACAAAATGTCCAGAGAAGTCAAATGTATAGAGACAGATCAGTGGTTGTCTGGGGGCTAAGTTGGGAGTGGAAACAGGAACAAAGGGAGTTTTATGGGTGATGCAAAGGTTCGAAATTAGATTTTGGTGATGCTTGCACAAGTCTATAAATGAATGAATAAAAGTCATTGAATTATACACTTACAACAGGCGAATTTAATTGCATGTGAATTATACCTAAACAAAGCTGTTTAAAGAAATATTTAAGATTGGCTGGAAGCAGGAAAAGGAAGGGACGTCTTGACAAAATGATTTAAGTTCATTGATCAGATGGGGCCCCACTGATTATTTGCTATGTCATTATTCTTCACCTTGGAAGCTTATAATCCCAAAGCCTTACCCTGTGTCCTACCCCACTACAGAGTATAATAGCAACTTCTTGTTTGGGAGGTGACTCAAGTGTTTGGAGTTGCTACTGATGGACCTAGAGTGAATGATATTTCCCATCCAGTCTGATGACACTTACATGCAGAAAAGGCCTTCTTTTAACCCTGGGTTATGGGTTAACTTTATCCAGACATCTTGCACACATATACTGCTGGTTGACAAGTAGGCAAGAGTTTGGGTAGTGAGAGGATCTTGTCTGAACTACTTGTCTGTACCTGTGGAGCAGCACCATCAGAGACTAGGATACTTTGGCCTATACCTTGTGCTGTTTGCAGAGCGCTTTTTCACATCTGAGATGGAGAGGGTATATTTAGTCGTCCTTTTACAGAGAAGTAAGACTTAAACAGGGTGACTGGCTTGACCACGAATACATAATCAGGGCAGAGCTGAACTTAGCTGAACTTAAATTCAGATTTTCTGACTCTTGTATTTCAAGCGATTTCTTCTATACCTACCGTTTTTTGCCCCAACTACTTACTGGGAAGAGGAGAGAAAAGGGCATACGATTTTGATTGGTTGTGTGTTTTTCAGTAGATTTAGTCTGAAGAACAGGAAGGGAAGTTGGGCTACAGTGTAAGTTCATGGGTTCTGTGGCAAGTATAGCCAGGATAATTTTATCCTGATATTTGGTAGCTATTAAAATTATATATAGGCTGAAACTGCAATGTGTGGGACAGATAGATAGCTGAAGGTATCCTGTGCTTGGTTCAAGGAGAAGATTACTTCCTAAGTTATAAATATAATTGTGCTAGAAATTACAAGAAAATTCGTTTGATAAAAAAAGTTAAAAATTCATTTGATTAAAAAAAACATTTATTATCTACTCCATGCCAGGCCCCTTGACAGGTTATGAGATCACAAAGTCCAGTTGGATCTTGTTGAGGTACAGCCTGAGAGGAGAACATGAATAGGCTGGAATTTCCTTCATTGTGTTCGTTCTCTGAGGATGACTTATCTGTCCTCCAAAGTGACCACCTCCCACGGATCGAGAGCCTGTTACTTTCTACTATCCCTGCAGCTGTGCTTTCCACAGGACAGTTCGCCTTTCCTTCCTTTCCTCTGTGGATTCTTCCATCTGATTTTCAGCCGAATGTAGGTAGATTCTGCATCTAAAAGAAATCTTTGTTTTTCCTTTTTCTTTTTTTTTAATACATGATTTAAAAGGCGAAAGATTTATATGATCTGAAGAGAAACCAGAGTAGAAAGACATGATTTAAAATTAACTTTTTCTTAATTGTTGAAATAGTTTATGCTTATTGGTAAATACTTGGAAGATCTATAAGAGTATAAATAATAAACATAAAAATTACCTATAATTCTACAACTTTGAGATCACAGTTGTTAACGTCTTTGCTTCTAGTCTGTTTGAACTTCCTGTCTGCTTTTTGTCTCCTATCAGCCAGTCATGCTTGGCAGCGCTTACAAAACACACACACAACACATGCACATACACTAAGATCTTAATATTTTGTGTGTCAGATCTTGTGTGAAATTCTTTACATGTATTCTTAATCTTCAAGCAGCCCTGTGAAGCAAATACTATTGTTGTATCTCCTATTTACAGATGACACAGATTTAAAGGTTAAGTAATTTGCTCAAGTTCATATAGTTGCTAAGTAACAGCTGAGATTTTTACCCTCATTTAGCCCAAGCTCTTCATCACTACCTTTCCAGAAATCTATTTCCACAATGACTAGAACGCCAAAATTGTTCTTTCCAAAACTATTAGTAATCTGTTTTTTTTTTTTTTAAATCCTACCTTCTTTTCTGGCCTTGTCTCATGACTTTTTCACCATCTTTTTATGTGCTTTAGTCACAATTTCTGTTTTGTAAAAACACTGCTTCTTTGGCCTACACAACATACCATCCATTCTCTATGCTTGGAATGCTTACTCTATTTCACCAAGGTAGTTACACATACCCTTGAAGTCTTTACTTATACATCACTTCCTCAAGGAAGTTCCCTGACCCTTCTTACCACCAAGACTGGATTGGTCCCTCCTATTATTTGCTCTCATAGTACCTTACTTTTATCTTCTGCAGAGCTCTTCACACTTGCAATTAGCTATTTGTTCGTTAGAATTAGTTCTGCCTTTTACGTTATATACTTTTGTTTCTTCCATGTCTCCTGGCTCCTGTTGCAGTCCAGGTATACACTAGGTGTCCAATAAGTATTTGTTACCTTTTTCTTTCTGCACTTAGATCATTCTTTCTCAGATCCATGCTTATGAATCATAAATGTGCATTCCTTGTTCTGATATCTGTTCCAAAAGTGGAATCCTCTTTCTTCCATTGTGAAATTGCCCATTTCTTTCTTAGTACACTCCAGGCTCCTAATCTAGTCAGGAAAGTTTGGCATCATTCTTGACTCTTTGCTTTCTTTTCTGTTTGAGCCAGTTCTTTGGAAGGTGGTTCTGATATATCGATATGGAAAGATGGCCACAATATTTTAAGTGAAGAAAGATTTCAGGCCGGGTGCGGTGGCTCACGCCTATAATCCCAACACTTTGGGAGGCTGAGGCGGGTGGATCACTTGAGGTCAGGAGTTTGAGACCAGCCTGGGCCACATGGCAAAATCCTGTCTCTACTAAAAATACAAAAAATTATCCAGGCATGGTGGTACGTGCCTGTGGTCCCAGCTACTTGGGAGGCTGAGGTGGGCGGATCACTTGAGGTCAGGAATTCGAGACAGCTTGGCCAACATGTCAAAACCACATCTCTACTAGAAATACAAAAATTAGCCAGGCGTGGTGGTGAGTGCCTGTTGTTCCAGCTACTTTGGAGGCTGAGGTGAGAGGATCAGTTGAACCCAGGAGGCAGAGGTTGCAGTGAGCCGAGATCACACCACTGCACTCCAGCCTGGGTGACAGAGCGAGACTCCATCTCAAAAAAAAAAAAAAAAAAAAGCTAGAGAACATTATGTATAATTTGTGATGTTATTTTCTCTAAGTATAAATACATGCATTTTAAGTATCTTGAAATATCTGTGAGGCTATACACCGAACAGGATGATGGAAGGGGGTCAGCCAGTAGGCTTTTATTTTGAAAAACAAAAGCCAAAGTATGCCTTTTTGAGATAACCTTTCCTTTCATTCCATTCCTGTTGACTCAGTTCTACCCCTGCTAACTTGTGCAAGAAAGTTCTCTTTTTTCTCTTTTCTTCCCCTCACTTCATCTGCTTAGTGACTCTTCCCAGTCTTGCTTTCATTGTCTCCTTGCTGAGTTTAGCATTTAAAACGGCTCTCTGTTGGACTAATTGACTTTGCGCCTTGCTCACAAGTCCTTCTGTAATATGTCCTTTTACCTTTTCAGTGCCATTCCTTATGACTCCCTAATACAGTCTCTGGACTATTCTCTTCCTGTCCCCTATACATGCCATGTAATTTTTCTGTTACAGGTATTTATTTTGAGGCCTATCTGCAGAAAACACCCTTTAACTTACATAATTGTCTCCCTTCTTGTAGTACTTAGTTTTATCCAAGAGAAAACTTGGATTTGGTTTAATGAAATATATAATTGTTTCATTGGCATATTTAAAGACTATGTAATAGTCTGTAAATAAATAGCATGCTTGTTCAAGTGTACATTTTTCAAAGTACGTGTCAGACATTCTTTTCTAATGTTTTCAGAAATTTTGGAAATAATTGGTTAAAAATAAATGCCTAGAATGCACAGCATCTTGAAAAACAAGACTGCGTGGAGTACCTTCTGTGTGTCTACCAGTCTCACAAAAAACTCTTCTATAAAGACCCCCTCGGGCCGGGCGCGGTGACTCATGCCTATAATCCCAGCAATTTGGGCGGCCGAGGCGGGCGGATCACTTGAGGTCAGGAGTCTGAGACCAGCCTGGCCAACATGGCTCTACTAAAAACACATTTCTTCTAAAAACACAAAAATTGACTGGGTGTGGTGGCGGGCCAGCTACTTGAGAGGCTGAGGCACGAGAATCACTTGAACCCAGGAAGCAGAGGTTGCAGTGAGCCGAGATCGCATCACTGTACTCCAGCCTGGGAAACAGAGCAAGACTGTCTCAAAAAAACAAACAAACGAAAGAAAAACACACACAAAAAAACCTTTTGGTAATTTCTTTGGGTAGGTTTTAGTTTTTTAGATAGCGTAAATCCAAATCCATTCATTTCCATAAAACATCAGACACAATTTGATGTATATTTGGCCACCAAACATGGTGCAAAATTTTATGTAGTCTGGAGATACTTAAAAGCAGCACAAATGTGACTCTACCTGTCTGCACTCAGCAGAATAGTGGCGATTTCAGGTGGTGACACAAAAGGTTGGGCAATAGTTGAAAAGTGGATGACATGAAATGTGGTGGTGGGATGGGGGCAGGAAGCCGATGTTAAGCTAGTGAACTTTATTTACTTTGCTTCCAGCTTCCAGTGACCCAAAATCACCTCGTCTAGAGTAGGGCTCAGGAATTTGCCATTTTAAAAGCAACTCTAGATGATTCTGGTGTACAAGAAGTTTGGGAAACACTGGCTTGAACCTGATATTTTCTCTGAACTCTCATAGTTTTCTTTAGATTTTTCTTTTGGCTTTGATTTCTCTTTCTGGTTCTTGTCTCATTACCCCATCACTTCTCCTTCCTAATTTGACAGGAAAGCCTTGTCAAATTAAGGCTTGCTTAATTGTCAAGGCTAATTTGACAAGACTCTTCTCTTACTGTCTTATTTGACTTTTGCTATGAGAATCTGCTTCTTCTTAGACTTAAGTGTATGATAAATTATTCATGACCAAGGGCCTTGTTTTTCTTTCTTTAACATGGGATTTAGTGGCTTATCTCATGTTACAGGATTTAGAGAGTTGATACTACATTTAAATTTTTTGTTAAGAAAAATGTACATCTTCTATCTCACTTAGGTGTTTTTCCTGTTTGAGGGACATGGTTTGCAAAGGTTAGAATGAATGAGCCTCATAGTTTTTGTCAAAAGAGAATATTGATGTACATCTGAATAATAACCAGAACATTCATATTAAGTCATACTATATAGCCATTTAAAAGAATGACGAGTACATAAAAGACTGTTGTGGAAGTCTATGATATATAGCTGAATAACAAAATAGATTATAGAACAATAGGTAAAAATGAGCTTATTTTTGTCTAAGCCACTCTCCCCCCAAAACATGCAAAATTACAGCTATTTATCTGTGTATGTATGGATAAAGGTCTTCAAGGATATAAAATAAATTCTAGTTATGATATTTATTATCTTAATAAGTTTATTATAATTATACATGTTTTCCTCCGAGGAAATGGATTGCAGATGATGATTGAAGGGATTTTCAATTTTTACTTTGTATATTTTTGTATTTGAATTTCTAAATAATAAGCATATGATTCTGTTTAGAAATTCTGAATGTACTGATTTTTAAAATGTGATGTGATATCCAGATATGTATTTAATTCTTCCTATAAAATATCATTTCCTTAAATCTAGACTATTGAAAAAGGAGAAAAGTACTAGGAATTTAGAGAACTTACTCCATGTTAGAACCAAGGAGAACAAGAAAAGCTTTAGCTAGTGTTTTGGAAATAGTAGCAGCTCCCACTCACAGCAGTAGCTGCTGCACTCAGGCGACTCTCTGCACATGCTTTTGCTTCCTTTGGGTTGTTTGGTCCGCAGTTTGCATTCATTGATCAGTGAGTTGATTCAGACTCAAACCCACCGACAGCAATGAATGTTGAGTGCAGCCATCAGTGTTTTCAGTTGGTGGGGTTGCCTTTGCCCTCCCTGGCTGACTCCTGGCTCTTCTTTTCCATCTCAGTTCTTTGAAGTCTGTGTGTCTGGCTTCTCCCTTAGTAACCAGCCATCTGCATGATTGAGGGCCCACACAGGTGTCCATAACATTGACATTGGAGCTGGGAGGTTATTGCAGATGAGGAAGCTGTGGTTCAGAGAAGGAAGGAGTGCTTGGAGAACCTCACAGGTAGCACTGCGCCACACAGGCAGTGCTTGCATATTAGTACCTGTAAACCACAGCTGAGGGACCTGCTTTTCCTCTTTGTTTTGAACTGAGAAGTATGAGTGCTTTTTTGAGGTAAATTAGCAGATTATGTTGGAGTTTAATAATAACAGCTTACATATATTGAGCATTTGCTGTGGGCTAGTAATGGTACAAAGCACCTTATATATTATCTCATTGAGTCTCAAAACTCCATGATAGGTACTCTTAGCCTCTGTTTTATATGTGAGAAAACTGAGACACTTGCTTAGGGGGTCAAATAACTAGTTAAGGGCTTGAGCCAAGATTCATCCCAGATCTGACTGACTCCAGGGCTAAGTTTTTGCTTGAATTTAGCAAACATTTAAATAAGCATATGTGGGGATATGTGGGCACTAGTAAGGCAATAGCTCATGCTCTAACTGGGATATCAAAAATTAACCATATTAACTATAATTCAAAGTGAAATGTGATAAGAACTGTCACAATTGGATAATTTTGTGCTATTTTTGCTTATTAAATCCTCCCCTTGCCCCTAATTAAAAATTTTGAGAGGATGTGGGAGAAATGGGAGTAATTATTTAACTGGATTTTATTCCAAAACAAAATACGTATTTTTAATAAATTTTTACTTGCTACGTCCTGTTTCTCACCAGAATGGTGCATATCTAGGAGACATGTAGGTACATTAGATATCATCATGGACTGCTCCTTACCTTGTTGAAATGAAACACTTTTTTTGTAAAAACAAACAAATAATAATAAAACACACAACAGAAAGCAAGGAACAGTGAGCAGTAGGAATAAAATTCACTGGACCACATTTGGGGGATTGCAGGACCATTTCTGGTGAACTCATGTGACATGTGAAGGTACAGCTTGCTCTTTTGCTTCAGGAAATGTAGTGTCGTCTGTAAGGACCCCAAGGTACAGTCAACGGTCAGTGGTTTTTTCAAATCCCAAACTCACCGACAGCGTTGAATGTTCCTTGGAGTCCTCTGAAGGCTGGCCTGATAGCCCTTCTTCATTCTCCCATCCACATCCCAAGAACCAGTGAGCAGTGAGACCACCGCTGATGGATGCTCTTACATTCCTCTCTGGGTTTCAAGTCGAGAGTATTTAAATTATAAAATCAATTTGTGTGCAGCAGAGAACTAATGAACTGTGGGATAGACTGTGCAGTAATTTGTACAAGCAGACTCAAATGAATGTCTGAGAAAATGTCTTTGAATGGTATTATTTTGTGATTCTAAAAATGTAAAATACCTGATTTTGCAGTAGTATTTTAATTGTTAACAAGGGTAAGAGATTAACATATATTGGGGATCTGCTATATACTAGGATTTGTATATTTTATCTCATTAAATTCTCAACAACCCACATTTTCCTGATGAAAAAACTTGAAGTGATTTGCCTAAAGTTACATTGCCAGGAGCCAAGGTTATAAGCCAGAATTTGAATACTGGACTTCATGTTTCCAGTGCTCACTCATCATACTGCTTCTGTTGTCTACTACAGAACTTACTGTTGATATCTAGGAGTAGACCCATCACTGCAGAGCCAAAGTCAAACATGTAAATTTCTTCTACTTGTTTGCCTATAATAATAGCAGGTAGGTCTATAGGTGAGGTCATAGGGGAAGATGAAAAACCTCGACCTCCATGATTGATGATCTCCTTTGCTGAGATCCTGCATTACTAAGTTACCACAGAGGTGTTAGTGATAGTCCACAAGCTATTTTCCATATTGAAAAAGCAAAAAATAAACCAAAAACCCACCACCTAATGTAAAGCTTGCATTTCTTCTTAGTTGAGAACACAGAGTGTAACTAAAATGTCAGATGTCATTTGTTCTGGCTGAAACGATACCAGTACATTATAGGACATAGTGGTTATTTTTGATTCTGTTGAATGTCTGTGATGAAAAATTTGAAAAATGAATTAATAATATGAATCTTCAGAATATGTGATTTACAATGGGACAGATCTAGGAATACTTAATAGGAAAAGGGCTTACAGAACTGCCTGCTGAATTGAAGTTAATCTCTAAATGGGGATAGTTATTACTATTTGCTTTAGGTTTAAATACTAAAGGCTGACTGGTCTCAAATTCATTTTTAAAGCAGCCAAATGGTACACGTTAAAAGAAAAAATATCAACCACTGAGATTTAGGTTTGAATGTAAACTGTTTACCTTCTATATCAGTTTAATTCACCCTCTGTCAAAACTCTGCATTAGCCAGCTTTGTTGAGTTTTCAGTGTTATGACAGTAAATTGTATACACACACAAAAAATCAGGCAACTGTAACTGTGTAATATGTTTAAAACTTTTTAATGGGTTTATTTTAAAAAGTCTTCCTCTTGGTCCAATAATATAAAGCGATGTCAAGCCTTATACTATTTGGATAAATATTTAGACTTTAAAAAAAATACTGATTTTGACTTCACCAAACCTTTAGATGCTTACAAAATATTATTCCTTAAATTCATAGCATTCTAAAAAGAATGCTTTTCACAGACTTGAAAAACTACAGAAAGGTAGGTTTCTGGAATGACATGGGGTGTTGCCCACTGTATTTGAAATAATTGTGTATCATGGCATAATGGCCTTCATCATCCTCATTCCTTTAAGTTCTTTAGTTTTTATCATCAAGCAAGTTTGAGCACACATTTGGGTTTTTTAAGTGAGTTTGGCTAAGGGGTTTATATACTCGGTGCAAGGATAAAGTCTAAGGGTTAAAAAAAGTTAAGGGTTAAATTAGCTAAGAGTGACCAGGCAGGGTGGCACATGTAATCCCAGCACTTTCGGAGGCTGAGGAGGGAGGATTCCTTAAGCCCAAGAGTTTGAGGTTACAGTGAGTTGTGATCCACCACTGCACTCCAGCCTGGGTGACAGAGTGAGAATCTGTCTCTAAAAAAAAAAATTATAGGCTGACATTTAACAAGCCAATCCAACTATTTAACTCTTGATTTAGATTGGTTTTGAGTTTGTTAGAACTCACCATGCCATTCCTTAATTTCACATACCTCCTTTCTTTTCCAGAGAAACCACGAAATATTGGTGGTTTCCAATATTCCAGAGAAACCATGAAATATTGAAACCCACATGTCTCCAACATGGGGATGTAAATGTTTTCATAGTCTTCCTGGGACTTCTTGATATACTTGGAAGAAATAAGCATAAACTCAATAAAACAATGTATCTGGATGATTAGTAGCATGTTTGCTTCAGCAGCACATAACTAAAATTGAGTGATTAGTAGCTAATAGAAGAGGAGTCATCGTCTCAGGTGCCGTCTGCCTAGGTGTTTCCCAAGCACCATGCAGGAAGCATCACTATAAGTGTTTGGGGGTAATGCTGCTAGCCGTGAGGATAAATTCTTAAGTTATGAAGATAACAACAGCATGTCAGTGTGAATTCATGTTTCTTTTTGCCAAACTGTGCTAGTTTTCTGATTCATCCTTTTACTGATTCGGCAGTAGAATCCTAGGGATTGTTTTTCCTGTATATAAAACCCTTGCCATCCTGGAGCCCACTATCTGACTAGGGAGCTACACGTAAATATAACTGATGACAAAGAGGATGCCTGGTGGATTGGTGTGAACTATATTAAGGGAGAACAGAGAAAAGAGGGGTTAATTCTGCCTACAAGTGCCAGGAAAGGTATATCTAAGTAGGTTAACCTGGTTTGAGCTTTAAAAGGTTAGTTGAATTTTTACTAGACAGAGAAAGGGGGCTAATTCCAATGGAAAACCATGTACAGGAAATCTTAGAGGCAGAAATGTTTAGGTAATGGTGAGTAGTGAGATTAATGTCTCAGAGTGTCAGTTAACTCATCTTTAAAATGTGAGACAAATAGCACTTGCCCTTCCTGCACACACAGCCATGAAAATCCAATAAGGTTATGTATCTGAAAGAGCATGCAAATGTAATTGCTTCTCTTGTCTCCCATTGCTTTTGTTTCATATGTGCGAGAATAGAATAAATGAAATACCTTATTATAATAAACTTTTCCAAATTGGATGATTCTTTGGCCTTCTTGCTTTTTTTCCCTTTAAAATGACCATAGTTAAAAAATTTCATGTATTAAATGTTTGGAGAAGCAGTATTTACAGCATAGTAAAGAGCAGATTTTGGAGCCAGAATCGTGACTTTGAATTTTACTAGCTATGTGATCTTTGACAAATTACTTAACCTCTCCATTTCTTTGCTTCCTTATCTATAAAATGGAGATTTATATGTTATTTTAAAGGTATTTAAGTTGTTAAGATAATTTACAACTATTATTTCTATGTTAATAAATAAAATTGCTTGTTTTCCCCAGTATTTGGCTTCCAGGCCATATATGCTAATAAAAAACCTGTTCTTTTATAGTTAAAACAATCTCTGACTAGCTGTTGTATTGTATGTGTACATATATGTGTTTTAAGGACATATTTGGAATTAATGCTCTACCACTTTTTTGGTAAGGTTTTCATTTCCCATAACGTTTTAGTTTCCTGAGTCTATAAAATGAGAATATTAGTACCTTCTTCATTGATTGTGAGGATTAAATTAGATAACATTATTTAAAACTCTCCCTATCTAATTAAATTAGATGATAATATTTAAAAATCCGCTATGGATTCTCTCCCTAAATACATGTACATAAACACATTTTGAAAGCAGTTTCAATTATGGAATCCAGGAACTCATTTATCACCTCCTTGGTGGGTTTGTCTGTGAACTTCAGATTAGGAAATTCTGACCATAGCTATAGAGCAGGATTTCTCAATCTAGTCTTGTCACTGATACGATGTTGCTTTTTTTGGAAGCTTTGATCTCCATCTTGTTACGAGTGGCTACTTGGCCAGTAGCAGTGAATACTCTTGCCATCACCTTTCCCTGAAGCATAATGTATAACCCAGTAGCAGTGGTTCCAGGAAAAGTAATTATTTAGACTTCACCAAGTTCTGTACCAATTGCAGATACCAACCATTAATTGGTAACTCTGTGCTTACACAATTATAGTAGTCCCTCATTATATGCGTTTTCGCTTTCTGTGGTTTCAGTTACTTTCAAAAATAGGTGAGTACGGTACAATAAGATATTCTGAGAGAGAGACCACATTCACATAACTTTTTTTTTTTTCTTTTTTAAAGACAGGGTCTCTTGCTGTGTTGCCCAGGCTGAGGTGCAGTGGTGCAGTCACAGCTCACTGTATCCTGAAACTCCTGGGCTCAAGTAATCCTCCCGCCTCAGCCTCCTGAGTAGCTAGAACTGCAGGTGCATGCCACCATGCCTGGCTGATTTAGAAATTTTTTTTTGTACAGACAGGGTCTCACTATGTTCCCCAGGCTGGTCTCAAACTCCATGCCTCAAACAGTCCTCCCACCTAGGCCTCCCAAAGTGGTGAGATTCCAGGCATGAGCCACTGTGCCCAGCCAACTTATACCATATTGTTTTAATTGTTCCATTTTATTATCAGTTATTGTTACTGTCTTACTGTGCCTAATTTATAAATTAAACTTTGCCATAGGTATGTATGTATAGGCAGAAACATAATATATATGGAGTTGTGTACTATTCGAAGTTTCAGGCGTCTGCTGGGAGTCTTGGAACAGATCCTCTTCTAAAAGAAATTGTCAAATGAGAAGTTATACAAATATTTGAATGCATTTAGCTATCTTATTTTGCAAGTTTCCCATCTGCCCCCACTTTCCCAGCAACCATTTGGTTTGCATCTGATCCCAGCACTTTGACTACTAATTCTGGTTTTAAGTTAGGCCAAAATAATGTGTTGTTTTAAGGTACTGGTCATAAAGGAGCCTGCTGAATCTAGAGTGTTTACTTGAGTGTTAGGAAGGAGAAAAAAAGAATCTCAAAGGTTAAGTTGTATATGGGATAATGGTCATTCTTATATTTAGTCTGCCTAAGGTTTTACCAAGGAGTTGAGAGGTAGAATTAGAAATTTAAACTCAGTAGCTTGGAACATTTTAAAATTTTACATGGCAACTTTATATCAGGTTACTTTAGCTGTTTGGGATGTTGGGGGCATGGTGGCTGATGTATAATGCCAGCACTTTGGGAGCTGAGATAGGGGTATCACTTGAGGCCAGGAGTTTGAGACCAGCCTGGGCAACATAGCAAGACCTTGTCTCTACCAATAAATAAATAAATAAATAAATAAATAATTAATTAGCTGGCTGTGGTGGCATGTGCCTGTAGTCCCAGCTATTTAGGAGGCTGAGGTGGAGGATTGCTTGAGTTCAGGAGTTTGAGGCTACAGTGAGCTCTAATTGTGCCGCCACTTCACTCTAGCCTGAGTGACAGAGTGTGACCTGACCTGATCTCTTAAAAGGAAAGAAAAAAAAAAAAGGATGTGGACAGGCCAAGTAACTGAGATAGCAAATTGGCCTAGTGCTAGGGCAGTATTTCTCTTCAAATGGGACACATACTTCAAAGCCTTTCAAAATATTTTGGCCTGGCACAGTGGCTCATGCCTGTAATCCCAGCACTTTAGGTGGCCGAGGAGGGAGGTATTGCTTGAGCCCAGGATTTCAAGACCAGCCTGGGCAACATGGCAAGAACCCCATCTCTACAAAAAATAAAAAATTAGCTGAGCGTGGCGGTGTGTGCCTGTGGCTCCAGCTACTCAGGAGGCTGAGGCAGGAGGATCAGTTGAACCCAGGAGGTTGAGGCTGCAGTCAGCCGTGTTTGTGCCACTGCACTCCAGCCTGGGGAACACAGAGTGACCCTGTCACAAAAAAAAAAAAAAAAAGACTTTTAAAGAAGCACATGATTTCTCCATCCCCTTGTTGCAGTGACTTCACGTGTTTGAGGTATTACTATTTTAGATTATTTTGCAAACCCACAGGAAGCAGGACTCGTTTTTTTTCATGGTAAATCAGGATATTTGTAATCAGTGAAAAACTCTTCTGAGTTACTCTACCAGCGATTATTGTTCAAGTTAAGCTGAAATAATAAGTTGGGAATATAAAGCTGTAAAAGCAATAGGAACCAATATCATGCAGTAGGTGATATTCATGGAAATTGAAGAATGAACTGGAGAGAATCTTGGTTTGTATTGTAGTGTGTGAAAAGTGTTGGCCGAGATTTTAAAAGTTCTTTAAAGCCAATAGGCGTGTGTTTTGCAACAACCAGTTAATGAAATAAACAAGAACAGTTACCAAAGAACTCAATCTTTCCTTTTTTACAATTATGAAGCGCAGATGATGTATCAGTGATATAAGACTATTTCTTCCTCTGACTTATTTTTGTTTATTGGGTTAATTTTAGTCTTATAGTAATTTATACTTTAAAAACTTGAGCTCTGTTCTTAGAAAGTTTATTATTGCCTCAGGTAGAGTATAGATTTGTGTTAAGGCTTTGTAAGTTATTGGTAAGTAGACATATTCATTTCATAACTATTTTGAGTTATTCATAACAGGGAAAATGCTTTTTAATGTTGCCTTTCTTGGTTATTTCCAGCAGATAGTTGAGTTTTTCCAAAATATGATGTCTTAAAACTTTTATTTAAAAATGTGTGTTCTGTAGAAAAGCTATGCTTAGATCTACCTCATACTTTCATAAATGAAATAATACTGTACTAGTTTGGGCAAACTATTGATACTTGGTTTATTGTTTTTGGACCTATCTCTCCATTGCTAACCTGAAATTGACAATGCCGATGTTTGAGTGGGAATGCTAATCATGAATGGGGAAATAATTCTGGGTTGAATAAATAGAAAATAAGTTTCAACCTACAATTTTGTAACTTTCAGACTATCAGGAGTGTTAGAGGTCATTTAGTCTCATGGTTTCCAAACCTGCTTTGCATCAGAATTAAAAGTGTAGGCTGGGCACAGTGGCTTACACCTGTAATCTCAGTACTTTGGGAGTCCACAGCAAGAGGATCACTTGGGCCCAGGAGTTTGAGACCAGCCAGGGCAACATAAGGAGACCCCATCTCTACTAAAAATTGAAAAAATTAGCCCGGCATTGTGATGTCTGCCAGTAGTTCTAGCTACATAGGAGGCTGAGGTGGCAATATTGGCTTGAGCCCAAGACTTGGTCAAGGCTGCAGTGAGCCGTGCTTGTGCAACTGCACTCCAGCCTGGGCGACGGAGTGAGACCCTGTCTCCCCCAACTCCTCCCAGAAAAAGTGGTAGCGATGGGAAATGTAGCCTGCTAAAAGTGCAGATTCCTAGGCATCATCCCAGACTTAGTAAATCAGCTTTTCTAGGAGTAAATTCTGTATTTTTCAAAAGCGTTCATATTATTCTGGTGCAGTAATTTAAAAAGTGGACATTTGGGAATCTCTTATTTAGGCTAAATATCTTAATTTAACAGATGAAGAAACAGATTTAGAAGGGAAATGAAGATTCTAAGTCACACAGCAGGGTCAGAATTGAAATCTTTGACTACATGTATGTGTGTTTATCATAATTATACCACTCTGTCTCTTCATCATGAAAAAGAATTTTTTTTTTTTTGCAGAAGTTTCCTATTGGCCATCTGCAAGATAGATGATATAGCCTTCAAGTCAAAATCTGCCTGATGAGTCAAACATCTTAGCCTCAGGGATGCACCCAAAACTATTGTAAATGGACCATTGACTTGGATTTGGGAGGCTTTCCTGAAGCATTTAACTAAGTAAGCAGTACTGAGTGGTGTTGGGTTAAAATCCGTCCATGGTATGAAATGAGAAATAGCTGTAAAGTGATCTAAACTCTGTGATGGTCCTCCAGGGTCTGACATTTATCAGCTGCTGCTACACTTTACCGCTTTTCTTTAATCAAAGATGACTACCACTGGATGGAAGAGGCTCGAGGAACCCCTGGCTGCTCTCTGGGGAGGAATTTATTTTAATTGCCAGTAAGAAGGTAGGAATGATTTTAATAAAGATCAAGAACCTCCTAATCCACTTCAGCTTGGGCTCCTGGCCAAGTGTCCATCCTCAGGAGAGAGTTGGTGTCAGCTGCTGCCTTGTGTCTTGAAGGTATTTCAGAAAAGCCAAAGGCATTACAGAAGCCTTTCCTGAGTTGACAGGCAAGAGTGGCACCAGGAATCAAGGGCTGACACATGTCATCAGCCTGGAAAAAGTGGAGCTTGGACATTAATGATGGCTCTTGTGAACACTCAGTGTGATAAAGCCAAGAGGACTTGGCTTGGGGTTTAGTTTGCATAGGCAGGGAGTTAGAGCTTAGAGAACACCTGCCAAGAGTTTTCACTGTCCCGGCTGTTGGTGATGCATCCTTCATCCTTGACTTCTGTCACTCCTTTTTAGTGGGTGATGGTAGAAATGCTGGATGGGTAAGGAAGAGAGGCAGCTTGGTCATACCTAGCACATCTCCCTATTTGCTTGTTTTCTTGCTGTTGTCTGTGTAGAACTAAATTTGTATGGCGATACTCGAGGCTAGTGTTTTGTTCTGTCTATATTTGAAGGCACACTGGGCAAGAGTCATAGGTGCTCTGTTTCCAAAAATGCCACTTTGCTAGTATCCACACAAATGTTTTGATTGGCAGTTGTGAGACTTTTTTGCTAATACATCTATTAGAAGTATTGTTTTCAAATCCTGGTTCTGCCATTTAGTAGCCGTGTGACTTTTGGCAAGTGGTTTAACCTCAGGTTTTCATCTGTAAAATGAAGGTTAGTGAGTAATTGTATTTATTTATATTTTTTTATTTTTGAGATGGAGTTTCACTCTTGTTGCCCAAGCTGGAGTGCAATGGTGCGATCTTGGCTCACTGCAACCTCCACCTCCTGGGTTCAAGTGATTCTCCTGCCTCAGCCTCCTGAGTAGTTGGGATTACAGGTGGTGCCACCATGCCCAGATAATTTTTGTATCTTTAGTAGAGATGGGATTTCACCATGTTGACCAGGCTGGTCTTGAACTCCTGACCTCAGGTGATCCACCTGCCTTGGCCTCCCAAAGTGCTGGGATTACAGGCATGAGCCACCACACCCGGCAGCAATTGTATTTATATCAGAGTGGTGAGAATTAAGTGAGAGCAGGAATGAAAAACACCTGGCATATAATATTCAAATTTGTTACTATTATTGTAATTACTTGACCAAACTTCCAGCTTGCTGTAAAGAATGGAACGAGGGGTTTCTAAATTATCATCTTAGTAAGCAGAGGAATTGTGGTGTAGAAAGAACATAAAATTGAAGTCAGGAGATCCAAATTCAAGTCTTGTTTTGTCTTGTCTTTTCCTTTTCCTTTTCCTTTTCCTTTTCCTTTTCCCTTTCCCTTTCCCTTCCTTTCTTTTCTTTTCTGTCTTGGAGGGTCTCACTCTATGCCCCAGGCTGGAGTGTAGTGGCGTGATCCCAGCTCACTGCAGCCTCAACCTCCTGAGCTCAAGTGATCCTCCCACCTCAGCTTCCCAAGTTACTGGGATCGCAAGTATGCACCACCATGTCTAATTTTTAAATTTTTTGCAGAGATAGGGTCTCATTGTGTTGCCTAGGCTGGTCTTGAGCTCCTGGACTCAAGCGATCCTCCCACCTTAGCTTCCCAGAATGCTGGGATTACAGGCATGAGCCACTGTGCCAGTCCTTGGATTCAAGTCTTGACTGTGCTATATGTTACTTCAATTTCCATACTTTTTCATAAAAAATTATACCAGCCCAAACCAAACAGAATCAGGACCCCTAAGATCTCTTGCCAAACAAAGAAAGAATTATTGTCCATAGAGCAATGTTTTTCAAACTTTCTGGTCCCAGTGACCCCCTTACATTCATAAAAATCATTGAGATTCCCAAGAGCTTTTATTTATATGGGCTATAGCTACTTTCTAGAAATTAAACAGAGAAACTTAAAAGTATTTTAATTCATTTAAAGATTAAATAAAAATGATAAACCATTATATATTAACATAAGTAACATTTTAAAATAAAGCTGTAAAAATAGCTATTTTTTTAAAAATTGGTGAGAAGAATGACATTGTTTTACATTTTTGCAGATCTCTTTAATGTCTGACTTCATAAAGGATAGCTGAATTCTCATATCTGCATATGTCTGTTACAATATACTGTTTGGGTTAAAGTATATGAAGAAAATCTGGTTTTACGTAGATATATAAAAAAAGATTTTTTAATAGTCAGTTCAGACAATTTTGCATATTCTTCTTTTGATACCGTACTAGATCTTAATACTTGGTAGTTTTAAGGTTAGTTGCGGCCAGGCGCGATGGCTGATGCCTGTATTCCCAGCACTCTGGGAGGCCGAGGTGGGTGGATCATCTGAGGTCAGGAGTTCGAGACCAGCCTGGCCGACATGGTGAAACCCTGTCTCTACTAAAAATACAAAAAGAAAAAATTAGCTGGGCATGGTGGTGGGCGCCTGTAGTCCCAGCTACTCGGGAGGCTGAGGCAGGAGAATCGCTTGAACCAAGGAGGTGGAGGTTGCAGTGAGCCAAGATCATGTCATTGCACTCCAGCCTGGGCAACAAGAGCAAAACTCCCTCTCAAAACAAAACAAAAAACAAAACAAAACAAAACAAAAAAACAAAGGTTAGTTGCGGTATGGAATCAGAAACTGTATCAATGAACTTTTCATACTCGATTTTATTAAAATTCATTTGTCTATCTTGCATTTTTCATGGATCTTTTACCCAAGCATGATTTTGTGACATCATACATTGGTCATTTGGAAAATACTTGTTCACTGAGTTATGCGGATTTTCTAAATATTGACACATTTCATAATATCAAAAAATTAAGTTTGTAAATATCATTGAACTCATCAGATACATCTTTAAATATTTGGAACCTGTGAAGCTCACAGTGACAGATAAAAATATCCCAAAATTCTAATTTTGGCTTAAAAGCTCAAATGTTGGGCTGAGTGTGGTGGCTCACGCCTGTAATCCCAGCACTTTGGGAGACCGAGGTGGGCAGATCACGAGGTCAGTAGTTCAAGACCAGCCTGACCAACATAACGAAAACCTATCTCTACTAAAAATACAAAAATTAGCTAGGTGTGGTGGCATGCACCTGTAGTCCCAGCTACTCAGGAGGCTGAAGCAGGAGAATCGCCTGAACCCGGAAGGTGGAGGTTGCAGTGAGCCGAGACCATACCATTGCACTCCAGCCTGGGTGACAGAGTGAGACTCCATCTCAAAAAAAAAAAAAAAAAAAAAGCTCAAATGTTATCATTGGCAACAAATACTGTCACTTGTTTTCCTTGAAGTGACATACTCACTTTGTTCATTTTCAAGAAAATATCCATCAGATACCCAAGTGTGAATAACCACAATTTGTTTAGTAAGTAAAATGATAGTCAATGAAAAAAATGGGCTAGTTCAGCTTACAACGTAACAATAACTCCAGTGCTGCTTCTTGAAGCAGCCACTGTGCAGAAGTGCTTTATGTGTACCTACTGTTTTGTCACACAGAATATTTTAAAAGATGTTTGCTCAGGGTCAAGATTGAATAAAATCACTAAATCTTACTGCTTCATCAAGGACATTATTAAGTTAAAATGGCTTTCCCTCCTTTTTTCTGTAGTGTGTGACAGTGACAAATACAGTGACTACTGGTACATTTTGGTGACACTACTAAATTACTGCCAAGGGCAGCAGTTTAACCCAGCATTGACTTTGTACCATCATTACAAATGTCAACATAGTGAAAAAGGCAAATAATGTCTTAGAGTTAGTATAGAAATAGTTTTGACTTTTCAGACTCCCAGGAAGAGTCTGGGAAACATATGTGGGCCATACTTTGAGAACCACTGCTTTGGAGTTCATATGTTAGGAAACTCTAGGCAAATGGTGGGAAACTCTCGTAGTCCCTTCAGAGCTAACATTTATGGCTGCAGTGGGCTATAGCAGAGGAGACAAACCGTGTATTATTTTGGCATCCCCCTGGAGCTTTACCATAGTATTTAAGGGCTCGTTTGTACAGTGGAGCTCAATAAAGGTTGATCTATCAATGCTTATTGCCTAAATATTTAGCGACTTCATTTTTCCTCTGTACTTTGTACACTCCGTTTTTTTTGTGTGTGTTCATACTGTAAACACTATGTATTTTCTGAGTCTCACTGATCCCTCTGCTCAAGGTTATCTTTTTATAATTAAGTCAGTTCAGTTTATTTAATAGATATTGATTGGACAATATTGTTACTATGTGGGTTTTATTCTGGTTGTGGGGGAATAAGAAGTAAATCACATGGCATTTGCTTTTTTATGGTTTTGGGAAAATGAGCAGTTATACAGCATGCCAAACAGTGTCCAGATGCAGAGGTTAATAGTGCCTGGTGCAGGGTTCAGCATTTAGTAGCTATTTGTAAGAAATAGCTCCTTTTTTGGAACATTCTTTCAATGTCACACATCACGATTTACATATACATACATAAACACACACACACACACACACACACACACACATACATACACACAGACACATAAACACATTTGACTGTATGTATAATTACATATAATGTATAACTCATAATTTCCTTTTGAGATATAAATAATCACCCTATAATCTTGTCTGTTTTGGAAGTTGCAATAGGCATCCATAATTTTGGTGGGTGTTAGGTCTTTTTTTAAACTCTTACTTTTTTTTTTTTTTTCTCTTTGAGATGGAACCTCTCTCCGTTGTCCAGGCTGGAGTGCAGTGGTATGAGCTTGGTTCACTGCAACCACCACCTCCCTGGTTCAAGCTATCCTCCTACCTTAGCCACCCATGAAGCTGAGATTAAAGGCATTCGCCACCATGACCGGCTAATTTTTTTTTTTTGTATTTTTAGTAGAGATGGGGTTTTACCATGTTGGCCAGGCTGGTCTCGAACTCCTGACCTCAAGTGATCCACTGCCTTGGCCTCTCAAAGTGCTGGAATTACAGGCATCAGCCACTGTGCCCAGCCTTTTTTCAAACTCTTAAGATTTGAAAAGCAATGAAAAATGCTTTTGTTTATACTGCTAATGTTATACTGCAAGCAATTGTGTCATTGTTAAATAGTACCCTCTTTGGCTCCCTACGGATGGTTTTATGACAAGATAATCAGGGGGCAGGTGCGGATCTGCTGAGTTGAGTTGATACTACATTTAGTTTTTAGATTAAGGCAGATAGAAAAAGTTGTACAGGTCTAGCTTGCTAGTCGTTTTAACATAGGAAGTAGTCAGTTTACAGCTTAACAAATCAGTTTGGAGAACAAAGCATCCATAAGATGTCAGTCACAATATAGCCAGTAATTGGCAGGTGATTATCGATGTCTCCAAAATGAACACTGATCAGAAGCAACCAGTTATGGAAATTGCTCTATTTTTGTACAGTCTCTGTGAGATTAACTTCAAGAGTAACATGTATATATAAGGAACTAACTATAAATACCTAGCTAGTATCTTGAATGGGAACTTGAGGTGAGGATAGAGGACAGAGAATTGTAAGTTCTTTATAAGCCACATGCAAAATGGGGGCCTTTTCTTTTATTTTTAGAGACAGGGGTCTTGCTGTGTTGCTTAGGCTAGTTTCCAAGCAAACCTCCTACCTCAGCCTCCTGAGTAGCTGGGATTATAGGCACGAACCACCGGGGCCAGCTGCTTTTCTTCCTAGAATGCCCTCAGCATAACTTTTTTGCTTCTAGAAAGTTATTAGGACTGGGTCGCTCCCTTTTGGGGCTTTCTTACTACTTTCTTAAAATTTTATTTCCTGAGTGAGGTCTTAACTAGGCTATATGAAAGCAAACTGATTAAAAGAATTTATCCAAATATCCCCTTTGTAACTCGTCCAGGGATATTCAGTTATATAAATGAACTAGAGAGAGTTTGACTGTTAGAAGCAGATCCTTATTTGTGCTGCTCCAGGATTTGGAAGTGAGGGGAGGGGGAGCATTTCTCTCAAGTCATAACTTAGTCCAGGTAAGTCTGAGGAGGTGAGGTAAGAACAGTAACAGCCTTTCTTTGTATTATCTTAGTAAATGCTTCCAACAACCTTTCTGATAAGGTGGTGGTTGTTGCATTTGTTATTACACTTACATCTTCTGTCTCACTCCATTGTTCTCCAGTTGTCCCCAGAAGTGCTTGGTTTGCATGAGCATATCAACAGTGGTGCACATTGCTAAATATGTCACATCAGCTAGGTTGTGTCATTTGATTGAAATACTAAGTTCTACAGTTAACGAAGGGTGATGATATGTACATTATTCAGACTTAGGACGTTACTCCAAGAGAAAGTGGTGATTAGGGTTCTCTTTTAATTTGTATGTATATACTGGGGCTAAGACCGTGTAGGAATCTAGCTCTTTTAGGAAGGTTGTCAGCCTCTAGGCATGGGAGCATGGCCTTAAGATGGTTGTGAACTTTAAGGAAAATGCAATTGGAATGGGATTTACTCAGATACCTACTGACAGCCAATAAAAACATTTAGGTTTAAATATTCAGCCAAATATTCTCTCAAAACTGATTTAGAAATCTATACTCATTACAGGCTTTTTTCAAGAAACAGTCTAGTGTATTTTCTTTAGGATTTAAGTCAAAATGAATTCCATGTTTCCCTTTGTTCTCTTTTACGGTAGCATTCTGAGTCTTCTGTCCCTTTAAAAATGTTGGGAAGCTTGTATGCATTCTAAATTGTAAGGTCTTTTGCATGTTACATAGACTTTCTCTGTTTCATGGGGTCACTGTAGCCAAAATACTTATGATTGAAATAGACATTGGCAAACTATAAAGAAAACAGGAAAGTAAAGGCTGGATTTGATTATTAGTGGTGAAAGGAATACTATCTGAGATTAGAATGATAAGTATGTTTTGGAGAGAAAGGTCACGAGGGAATCCTGTGGGCTGCAATAAATGTGTGCTCATATTTTGATCTGGATAGTAGTTAACATATATAATACATATGAGAAAACTTTATCAGACTTAAGATTTGTTTACCTTACCATATGTAAATTATATCTCAAAAGGTAAAATAAGGCTGGGCATAGTGGCTCATGCTTGTAATCCTAGCACTTTGGGAGGCTGAAGCAAGCAGATAGATGGCTTGAGCTCAGGAGTTTGAGACTAGCCTGGGCAACATGATGAAACCCCGTCTCTACAAAAAAATACAAAAATTAGCTAGTATGGTGGTGCCCACCTGTAGTCCCAGCTACTTGTGGGGCTGAGGCAGGAGGATCACTTGAACATGAGAGGTTGAGGCTGCAGTGAGCTGAGATCAAGCCACTACACTCCAACCTGCGTGACAAAGTGAGACTCTGTCTCCAGAAGAAAGGAAATAGTAATAATAATTTGGAAGTAAAGCTTGGTAGTTACTATACTATTTTGACCATATATGAAAATTTGAAATATTTCATGATAGGAAACATAATCCTATCACTCTAAACATGTCAAATTATATATCTAGTTTATGAGCACTAAGGCCTTTTTTTTTCTTCTTTAACCTGTTATTTTTGAGATTTGGAATTTTTATGTTTTTCTTGGATGCCACTGGAGGGAAATAGAGAATGAAGTCTTGTTTGTGTGGTATCAGTTGTTGAAAGGGACAAACGCAGTTTTGATCTTGAAACTAGCTTATGTGTAAATTCTTTTCAGTCTTGAATATGAGTGAAGTAAAGGTAACCACTTAGCTCTGTTAAGTATATGATTGCTCTAGTCACGAATTTTAAAGGTTCTATCGTTCATAAGTTTGTCTAGTACTTACTGAGGACTTGCCATATATCTGATATTGTGAGAAGAACTGTCCCAAACGGTGACATTACTATTTCATTTTGCATTTGAGGTTACTGAGGATCTGGATACTTAAACTTCCAATGTCAGAATATAAACAAGAAAGTAATCATCACTCTATAAACTGATTCTTTATTGCCACAAATGGATTATCACTACTTTAGGAGAGATCCTGTTTTTGAAGTCTACTGTTTTAGAAGTCTTTTTAGAGCTTGTACTAAGTGGCCTTTAAAAATCTCATAATAATTTCTAACACTTTCTTAATAACTTGGCAGTATGGCTTTGTCATTTAAAACAAAATCTGGAGGAAAGGAAAATATTTATTTCCCTGTGGCATGAAAAGAGGCTATATGTAGGTCATTTTTTTTTTTAAATAAAAGGCAAGAAAGTCTCCCTCCAGACCACATCAGAACTATGCCAGCTTGGTACGGGGCCCTTACCAGAGTAATGATGTAAGAATCTGAGAGTACATAGTGCAGCTGCCAAAGCTCATAATGTTTAATTTCAGCACTGTCTGTTTGCCAGAGTTTGCAGCTCAATATTTTTTTCTGTATGGATCAAATTATAATCACATATATTTATCTTATTGGGGTAGGAGAAGTAAAGAGTTATTGTTTGATAAATTTGCCGTTTTCCTAGGGAATGGTGCTGTTTTGCCTGTCACATGCTTCTGAGCATTATTCCCCCACTGATTCCTAAGAACTTATTCTCCTGGGTGAATTCTTCTAACTTGTGACACAGAGGGGCAATTCACACCTTGCCTGTTTATATTTTGCAAGAAAACCCTTCTCTTAGCGTGGGTATCTATTCAGGCAGTTCCATGTGCTACATTCCATCCATTTGCCAAGTCTTGGACTCTTATCCAAAGTACAATATTTGAGTATACAATTACACCTACACGTACCGGCAAGAGCGTACTTTTTCCTAGCCTCTCTTGGAGAACGCTTGAAGCCAGAGGAGCAAATCCAGATGTTCTGGATTGAGTTTGGCACCTTCAATTGAGAATTCTAGATGGAAAGATTTCATTTGGAAGTGTACCAGGCTTGCCCAGCAGTTGCTTCCTGTTGCTAACCATCATATTTTTATGACCAAAGATTCTAGACTGCCTCCTTTGTTGAGCAGAAAGAATTACACACTAGGGCCACATGGGAAGTGGCTTCTCATCATTTGAGAGAAATATCAGCAGGCATGCAGAAGAGGGTAGCCTTGCTATTGGGAATAAATCTGGGTTGAGAGCAGGTACAACTACAGCTGCAGCTCTTTAGCCAGACCTGGCTTTATTTAAATTTCAAACAGAAATCTTTGACATCAACCTAAGTGAACCATTATTGGCTGTCTGCCACCTAACAGTACCTTGTACAAGGAGGAGGTGCTCTCTGACTGTATTCAGTCAACACTTATTGAACACCTTCTGTGTGTGCCAGGCAATGTGCTAGATGCTGGTGATGAATAAAGTATTTTTTCGAGAAGTTACAGTCTGGTAGGAGGCACAGACTCTTAGACAGATAAATTACAATTCACTGATTTTATTTGTTGCTTATACAATTTAGTATTTTGTTTGCTTTGTAAGTCAGCAACATAAGCCAGTCCACAGGATTAACTCCATAACTTTCTAAGTAAGAACAAGCATAGGATTTCCTTTCAGTTCTAAAGAATGTTTACTTGCTTGCATTTTTGCGTCTTTAGATACCTCTTCTGACTTGCCCAGGGATGAAGTTTGTGGAGTATGGGAAGAAAAGACTAGTATAAGGCAGGAAGGCATTTCTAAGAAAGCTTCCAGAATTGATTATTTTGTCCTAAGAGATGTTTTCTTCACTTAAAAATTATGTGAGAACGCACAAAGGTTAGCTGTGTTGGTTATCAGTTTGTTGTAAGGTAAGAGCAAGAAAAATCATTTTCCTCTATCTCTCTGGAATGTAGGACTCCTTTATCTGAGTGATTACATGGTTAAGGCGGAGCTAGAAAATACATTTCCTTCATACCTGTTTCTGGATGGATGAGGTCACATTTACTTAGTAGTTATATAGTTCCTGTGTTGTAATTTGCTATTCCTTCAGCCTTTTTTCCTCCCATTTTTGAAGATGGGTATATGAATATTTCCATTGGGCCTCTCTTAAATACAAGAAAAATATTAAGTTGCTTATGTCCAAATTCATTTCTTTGATGTGCAGCAGCCTCAAAGCATGTGTACCTCTGTTATTAAGATAATAATAGTTAATATTTATATAGCACTTATGTTCCAGGTTTTATTTTTAGGACTTTATATGTAAAGCACTTAAAAGAGGGCTTGTCTTATCCCCATAACAACCCAGTAAGATAGATACTTATTATTTTTCCCATTTTACAGATGAAAATAGAAAGACACAGTAAGGGAAATAAATTGCCCAAGATCACACAGGTATTAAGTGGCAGAGCCAGGATTTGAACTCAGGAAATCCAGCTTCATAGCGTTAATTGCTGCACTGTACCATTTCATACTCAGTTTGATACTGAATGATATGGAGTTCCCAAAGAGTGTAAGGGGTAACATCTACCATTTGAGTGCCTCCTGTGTACCTAGGCATTGTATGTGTCATTTTACTTCTTTTCAATCTTAAGGGTGTGTGAATTGGTCTCCATTTTACAGATGATAATATGATAATATCAGCTAACATTTATGGAGCACTTACTATGGGTCAGGCATTGTACTAAGTGGTTTACTTATATTACCTCATTTAATGTTGACAGTAGTTATGTGGATGATTATTCTCATTTTGGAAATGAGAAAACTGAAGCTAGAGAAAAGTCGTTTGCTGAGGGTCACATAGCTAAGAAGGGACAGAGCTGAGATTTGAAGACAGATGCCAAGATCTTAATTACCACCTAATATGTGATGGAAAATAGTAATTAGCTAGAAATTCCAACAATGAGGTGAATCTCAGAGGACAGAGCCTAGTTCCAAATCTTGTTCCTCATCCTTAATCCTCGTATATTTGTTGATTAATTATTGCCCTTGCTTATCTTCTTTAGGCGCTCACAATAGAGAAATTTGATAGGTGTCGGAGATGACCTTCTTGTCTGAAAATAGGAGATTTTTGTCTAACTGATGTCTTCATGAAACCATGCAGTTAGTGAACTTGTCTTTTATGAAAGCTTTAACTTTTTTCTTTAATTATATTTGCCTAGGATTCATTACTCTATAGATTTCTTTTTTATATCTTCACAGGCATTCCTAAAAGTCATAGTGGGGCATTTTTAAGCATCTATGATATTTATTTCTGCCTCAGCCTCCCAAGTAGCTAGGACTGCAGGCACATGCCACCGTACCCAGGTTGAGATTCTGGTTTTGAGGTATTGTACTTTAGTTTATTTTTCCTCCTTAGGATTGTAAATTTATTTTCTTTACCACCTGAGATATGGCGGTATTGTGTTGAAGTTTTTTTGTCTTTTAAATTATGGGAGTTTTATGGGAGAACCTTCATATGTCTCACTGAGTCTTCAGTAGTTGTGGTTAACTTTTTCTTGTCACTCAGCTGGTGTGCAGTGGTATAATCAAAGCTCACTGTAACCACAACCTCAACTTCCTGGGCTCAAGTGATCCTCCCACATCAGCCTCCCAAGTAGATGGGACTACAGGCACATGCCACCATGCCTGGCTACTTTTTGTATTTTTTCTGGAGATGGAGTTTTGCCATGTTGCCGAGGCTGATCTCAAACTCCTGGGCTCAAGCAATCCGCTAGCCTTGGCCTCTCAAAGTGCTAAGATTACAGGCATGAGCTACCGCGCCTGGCTCAGTTGTAGTTAACTCTTGAATCTTACATGTCACTCACTCTTGGGCAAACACAACCTAATCATTTCAGAAATGAATGTGTTTTCTGTTCCCTCCCTTTCCCCAAATGTCTTTTATTTTTCTGTCATTCTAGATTTTTCCTCTTCTTTCTCTCCAACCAATTGGTTACTAAGATTCATTAAGTCTGCCCCTCAAATATCTATCAGAATCTAGCCCAAGGTACTCAGCATCACTAGATATCAGAGAAATGAAATTTTAAAAAAGGATATACCACTGCATACCCACCACACTGACATACAAATTGTTGGTGAAAACAAATGGAACACTCAAATTCTGTTGGCAGAAGTGGTATATAAATTGATACAAACCTTTGAAACCTCTAGTAGCATCTGGGAAACTTGAACTTAAGCAATTCTTTTTTTTTTTTGAAACGGAGTCTCGCTCTGTCGCCCAGGCTGGAGTGCAGTGGCATGATCTCGGCTCACTGCAACCTCTGCCTCCCAGGGTCAAGCGATTCTCCTGCCTCAGCCTCCCGAGTTGCTGGGACTACAGGCTTGTGCCATCACACTCGGCTAATTTTTGTGTTTTTAGTAGAGACGGGATTTCACTATGTTGGCCAGGCTGGTCTAGAACTCCTGACCTCATGATCCGCCCGCCTCGGCCTCCCAAAGTGCTGGGATTACAGGTGTCAGCCACTGTGTCCAGCCAAGCAATTCCATTTCTAGGCATATACCCAACAAAAATGCATAATGTGTGCACTGAAAGATATGTACAAGAATGTATATCATAGCATTATCTGTAATAGTCCCAAACTAGAAACAACTAAATATCCATCAATAGTAGAATGGACAAATAAGTGTGGGAGAATACATATAACGGAATACTGCACAGTAGTAATAAGGGCACACCATCACAACATGCCGCAGCATGGTTGCGTCTCCCAGACAGGATGTTGAGGAAACGAAGTCAGGCACAAAATATTCCATAGTATGGAATTCTCTTTATATAAGTTCAAAAATAGACAAAACTAGATGATAGAGATCAGAATAGTGGTTACCTTTATTGAGACGATAAAATAGCTGGAGGGCACAAGGTTCTGAGGTGTTAGTAATGTTTTACATCTTGATTTAGATGTTGGTTTCCTAGGTATGTTCACTTTGTAAAAGTTCGTTGAACTGTTTGAGATGTGTGCACTTTACTGTATTTTTACACTTGAATAAAAAAGTTTCTTTTAAGAAAAAGCTAGACAGCAACTGGGTTTAAAAGTTTGAGGTAAAACATAGGACTCAAGTACTTGTGTTAAAATACCATCTCTAGTTAATGACTTTGTGTTAGTCACTTAAGAGTGGCCTTAAAGAATGACTTTTTCCTTTATATTTATATTTTCCTGTGTATTTACATTAGGTAAACTTAGTTGATCTAATTAATAATACTTTTAGGCCAGGAGTAGGGTTGTGAGAAGGTTGATGAGGTTCCACTTTTTATTCTATAATACTTCTTATATTTGAGTTATTTTTCAGTTAATATTTTAAGCGTGTTCCTTTTTAAAAAAGAATAAATGTCTTTGGAGGAAATATTAAGTACCATGACAAAGTAATACAGTAAGATATTTGGGGTCGTGTGAAACCTTATGGTGCCTTGCAAATCAGATACCATTTGGTGATAACTCATTTTACAGCTCAGGAAAATAGCAGTAGATGTTTTTCAGAGGTTGAATAGAGCAAAATGTAAAACACACACACAAAAGCACTCCAGTTTGCATCTTTTTAAAAAAGTTGTGGATTAAGACTGTAAGAAATTTACCATCTTAACCCTTTTAAAATATACAGTTCAGTAGTATATATTCACTTTGTTGTGCAACAGATCTCCAGATCTTTTTCACCTTGCAAAACTGAAATTCTGTACCCATTAAAACAACTCCCATTTCCCCTCGTTCCAGTTCCTGGTAATCACCATTCTACTTTGTTTCTATGTATTTGACTACTTTAGATATCTTATATAAGTAGAATCATACAGTATGTGTCGTTTTGTGATTTCATTTAGCATAATGTCCTCAAAATTCACTTATGTTGTAGTATGTGACAGCCCTTTGCATCTCTACTGCCACCACTGTGGTCAAAACCATTTTTTTTCATCTGAATAACTGCAACGGCCCAAGTGGTCTCCTTGCTTCCAGTCTTCCCAATTCTTATCTATCTTCTATCCAGTTGCTAAATGCAAATTTAACTTTGCTTGACAACCTGATACCCTGACAATCTTTAGATAAAAATCTAAATGCTTTAACCTGACATGGGCTTTTATTTTTGGGCCCCCAATATCCTACTGCTAGGCCACATCTTTTCCTCACTGCTCTTAAACACACCCTTTGTTTCATCCACTCTGAATTTCTTCCCTGATCATGCTGTTTCATGTCCCCGGTCACTATTTGTTGACAGTGAACCATAAATGGATCATGACTTTTGCTGAAGCTGTGTTTGTCAGCTGCCTCTGCGTGGAGCTAACCTGGAGACATAATGTCAGAATATAATAATTTAATACTAAGACTTTTCATTTCCTAGCTTTTTAGACCTTTTCTCAACAACTAAAAATAATCTGATCTGAAAATAGACAAATAAAAGAAATTCGAGAAGTATGTGTTTTTGTTTTTTGTTCTTTGAAAGTGTCTCACTTGGTCTTTTAGGTTGGAGTACAATGGCCTGATAGCCCACTGCAGCCTCCAACTCCTGGGCTTGAGCCATCCTCCTGCCTCAGCCTCTCAAGTAGCTGGGACGGTAGGCATGTGCCATCACAGCTGGCTAATTTTTTGATTTTTTTTTTTTTTTTTTGCAGAGATGAGGTCTTGCTATGTTGGCTGGGCTGGTCTCAAACTCCTGGCTTCAAGCAGTCCTCCTGCCTCAGTTTCCCAAAGTGCTGGGATTACAGGCATGAACCGCTCTGCCAGGCTAAGAAGTATGTTGACCAAATTTATGTGAGGGGAAGGGTAGGGGGAAAAATGGTATGTAAGTTTCTTATTTTAAAGTCTTTATTCTACTTGGCCCTTTAACAAATAAGACATCAAGTTTCTCTAACTTGCTGTAATCTTAATTCAGTAAGTATTTATCGAGGGCCTACTAGACATATTTATTCCTATGAGTCAAGAAAATAAGGCTGGGCACGGTGGCTCACCCCTGTAATTCCAGCACTTTGGGAGGCCAAGGTGGGTGGATCACCTGAGGTCAGGAGTTCAAGACTAGCCTGGTCAACATAGTGAAACCCCATCTCTACTAAAAATACAAAAATTAGCCGGGCATGGTGGTATGCACCTGTAATCTTAGCTACTCGAATTCCTCTTGACTATAGGTACTTGGGTAAACATTCCTGTGTGCTGGTAAGAGGCCATGCTAATGGAATCTATCCCGTTGGATTGTATTGCCTCTTTTCCTCCTCCCAAGAAATTTTGATATTTAAGTTGATTATTCATTGTCTTGAAATGTTTTCCTTTTTCTAGCCACAGTCTGAGACATGTGATATTTCAACAGGTAGGCAGGGCAAATGTTCTGTGATATAAGAGGGCCACATTGTGAAGGTACTGAAGGCAGGATTTTTGAAGAAAGAACTCTTTCTGACAACTTTGAGTCTCTTATATATAAAAGTACCCAAAACAAAGTTGTTCAGTAAGTATTTGTTGAATAAATGCCATTTTTGGTTATTTGTTTACCTTGATAAGAATTTATAGAATTTTCTGTTATATTTGGGAAACCAAAGTATATATCCATATTTAATACTGTTTGCTGACAAAAATTTGAAATAATTCAGACATAAAAACATTGATTTTTATGCATCTTAATTTATGAACAGTGTTTTCGATGTCAGTTTTTTTCTCCAATGGTGAGAGTGATTCTTGATTCATTTCATCAGTTCCAACTAATGAAATACATCTATGAGAAGAATGTTTTGATTTGTTTTTACTTCTGAGATTTCTAGAACCTAATATTATACTGTGTCCTGTTAGAGGGTTTTCAATATTGCTATCAACTGCCTGGTATTTGTTAGGGATGTATAATTTGTCTTCTTAGGGAGATCCCTACTTATGTTTATTTCATTTTGAGTTTTCCTTTAAAACTCCCTTTTTTTCTCTTTATTGAGTAAACAGAAACTGTATTATATTTGGGTAGCAGCTAATTATGTATAGCACATTCTCAGTGTTTGCGAGCTTAGGATGAGACAGATACTGTCAGTCCCTGCTGGCAGGGATGTACATTGGTCAGACCAAAAAAAATTGTCAGAAATATGGACAGTGATTTCTGTATAAGTGTGTTCATTGAATTAATATTTATATTAGAGAATAATTGGAAACCATCCAGATATCTACAAAAACCATTTTTAATGACTTGAAAATATGCTTGTAAGTGAACAAATGATTGTGAAAAATCGGTGTTGAGAATGGATTCCATTGTGTATGAACTACACTAAGATATTAGTAAGAATTTTTTCTGTGAGTGAGATTATAGGTGACAAATTTTCCTTTTTATGTTTTTCTGTATTATCTAAGTTTTCTACATATTAATATATCAGTGTCATTTGTATAGTGGCAGAAAAACTCCTAGTACAGTTGACCCTTGAACAACATGAATTTGAATCACGCAGGTCCACTTATATGTGGATATTTTTCAATAAAAGTTACACTAAGTATGGCTGCCTCTTCTGCCTCCCCTTCCACCTCTTCTGCCACCCTTGTGACAGCAAGACCAACCCCTTCTCTTCCTCCTCCTCTTTGGCCTACTCAGTGTGAAGGCAGTGAGGATGAAGGCCTTTGTGACAATATACTTCCCCTTAATGAATAGTAAATATATTTTGTGTTCCTTATGATTTTCTTAATAACATTTTCTTTTCTCTAGTTTATTATAGTAATACAATATATAACACATATAACATATAAAATATGTATTAACCAACTTATCAGTAAGGCTTCTGGTCAACAGTAGGCTATTAGTAAAGTTTTGGGGGAGTCAAAAATTATACATGGATTTTTGACTGCATGGGAGGTTGGTCCCCCTAACCCCTTGTGATGTTTAAGGATCAAGTGTATTTTAAAAGTCACTCATAATTAAAATGAATGAGACTAGAAGGAAATTTCTCAAATGTTGACAGCAGGTATCTTTAGCTTGTGAGATTATAAATAACTTAAAAAGTTATGATTAAATTTTTGTCTTTATATTTTTGTTCTCAGTTCATCTGTAGTAAGCATACTGCTACGATAAGATGAAAAAGTAAGTTATTTTACAAGGTATATCACTACAGTCAGCCTAAGAATATTCCTTCAGAGAACATTTTTATGAGGCTTTTATAATAGTCTTCAGAGGAAAGACATGCTTTCTATGCCCTTCTTGATGGCTGTGGTAGGACATGAGACTCCAAATCTTTTAGATATTTTTCTTCTATACAATTTCTGATTAAATTTGTTGAAATAGTAATACTACTAGAGAGAAATTGCCCTACCCTTTGAAATCTGTGTGAGGACAGTGATCTACTTCACCATTAATATCCCAACTTTAAAGTAGTTTTGTGTTTGGGATATACAGTAGCATTTCATTCATTAATGGTTCTGCTTGGCTCTTAACACCTGTAGCACGTATTTTAGATATACTTATGCCTTTGAAACCTGTTATTTTTTAAAACTATATTCATGTATATTCTCATATACATGAATATGAAAGTAGGGTGGATAAGCCAGGCGGACGCAGTGGCTCACACCTGTAATCCCAGCACTTTGGGACGCTGGGGTGGGTGGATCATGAGGTCAGGAGTTCAAGACCAGCCTGGCCAAGATGGCGAAACCCTGTATCTACTGAAAATACAAAAATTTAGCCAGGCGTGGCGGGTGCCTGTAATCCCAGCTACTCAGGAGGCTGAGGCAAAGAATTGCTTGAACCCAGGAGGCAGAGGTTGCAGTGAGCCGACATTGCGCCACTGCACTCCAGCCTGGGTGACAGAGTGAGATTCTGTCTCAAAAAAAAAAAAAAGTAGGGTGGATAATAGTAATATTCGCAATTTGTAAAACCATAGCTACTACATACGAAGCATCTGTGGTGTTCTAGGTGCTATGCTAGACACAGGCAAACATATAATTCTTACAACAGCCCTATAAAGTGGTATTATTTCCCCCGCCCCCGCCAGGGAAGGAACCTGAGATTCAGAGAGGCACATTTCACAATGTCAGTAAGTGCTCAAGCTGATACAGAGTCAAGTCTCTGTGACTATAGTGCCCGAGTACAACACCTTTGTCTTGTTTATTGCTGTGTGCCTGGTGCCTAGAACAGGGTTTGGGATATACTAAGCTGTCAACAGATATCCTTTGAATGATTAAACTATACCTAGAAGCTCTTAAATGGCCAGGCAAAAGGAATTTTTCTGTTCTAGTAATAGAGGATTATACAGAGAAATGAGCCTGACAAAATGTAATGGTATTAGAAAGCCAAATGGTGGCCGGGCATGGTTGCTCATGCTTGTAATCCCAGCACTTTGGAAGGCCAAGGCGGGTGGATTGCTTGAGCCCAGGCGTTCGAGACTAGCCTGGGCAACATGGCAAAACCCTGTTTCTACAAAAAATACACAAATTAGGTGGGCATGGTGGTGCATGCCTGTGGTCCCAGCTACTTGGGAGGTTGAGGCAGGAGAATTGCTTGTCTCTGGGAGGTGGAGGTTACAGTGAGCCAAGATTGCACTACTACACTCCAGCCTGGGCAACAAAGTGAGACCCTGTCTCAAAAAAAAAAAAAAAAAAAAAGAACCACATAGAGGTAATTCCGCCAAAATCTAGGTCACAATAACAGATAACCAAATTGGGGTCTTCTTTTTTTTTGGTGTAACTGTCTAATTTGCTCTGAATACATTTGCCAGACCTCTTTTCCACTTGACTTTGATATTCAGTGAACAAAGAAAAAGAAAAAGCCACATGATATTGAGTCTACTAGTGAGAAAAATCTAGGTGGAAATCCAACATCTTTAATATCAGGTAACTGGAATATAAATTTCTTAATTGGAACTTTTGGATCTTGGGAGCTTCCTGCTCTGTGGAGATAATATTGCTTCATTGTGGCAAATGCGTGTACTTTACCCCATTGGTAACAACAACTTCATTGTATTAGTCCTAGGACAACAAAGAGTAAATTCCAATTGGAAGAGGGGTTAATATTTAGACACTCTGTAGGCGTCTTTCTGGTTCGTAAGATTAATTGCCACAGAAACCCAATAGTGACTCTGGTCTCTCATTCTGTTCATAGTTATCGTCCATGTCTCAAATATTCTTGGTTGTTAAGAGCCCAGATTAGTCATGGGTTGAGTACTACCTAGCTGTGTAATCATGATCATTATAGCATGTGTCATTAAAGGAAATGGTAACTGCTGAGAACATAGTCTTCAGGAAGGAGATGAAGGAAACATGCTTTACATTTAATGCTCCTGTGTATCATGATCTGCTCCTGCAACATCATTTCATACCCAGACTCGCTTTATTTCATCCTCTCCAGAAATTATCTTGTTCTTAAACATCTATTAAAAGGTGACTCAGTTTTTATATGAGAGAGTGGTTTACCATAGATCTGACTAATGGTCATTATGGAACCAGCCTGTGTATTTGAAGGTATTTTATTTTCTTAATGGCTTGATGACTCCATTGAAAGTCTGTTAAGATCTTATAGTTTAGCATAATTCTTTGGTTGAATGAAATGGAGCTGAGCGTATTTTTCCATTATTTTATGAATTATGTTAGTTTGACTTCAACAAATGGCAAGGCAGTTTCCCAAATCATTGGACCATTCCCAAAATTTCTGAACTCAGCTCACTGCCGTTTATTTATTTTATTCTTTTTTTTTTTTTTGAGAAAGGTTCTTGTTGTCACCCTGGCTGTAGTGCAGTGGGGTGAACATGGCTCCCTGCAGCCTCAACCTCAAGTGATCCTCCTGCCTTAGCCTCCTGTGTAGCTGGGACCAGAGGCACACACCACCAAGTCTGGCTAATTTTTACCTTTTTTTTTTTTTTTTTTTTTTTTTTGGAGATACAAGGATCTTATTATATTGCCCAGCCTGGTCTTGAACTCCTGGGCTCTAGTGATCCTCCCAGCTTTGCCTCCCAAAGTGCTGGGATTACAGGTGTGAGCTACCGTCGCTGGCCCCTGCCATTTCTTGAATGATAGGGCTTCTGGCCCATGGTTATCCCAGTTTATAGCTTGTTAGCTCCATGAAGGCAGGTAATATATTTGGTCAACCTGTGTCTAATACTGTACATGATACATATTAGAAGCTTAATATTGATTAGATGAATGACTGGAAAAAAGGTTCTGCTTGATTAGCATTCAGTAAGAACCCAGTACCATCTGCTGAGGTTCTTGAGGAACCTTTCCTCTGGAGAGCTTTTGTGATTTATCAGAATCATTCATTCATCCATTCATTCATTATCTATTTATTTATCTGTCTAATCCGTCTGTCTGCTTCAGCAGTCCTGTAAAACATTTTGTGGTGGTGAGGTATTGGAGAGACAGGATGGAGAACCCTCTGGCATATCCAGATTCTTACCTTTAAGTGCTGTCTGTTCTTTAGCTTTTAGTATGAATGTGTTCTTTGGACCACCAGTGGTAATAGAGACTCAGAGAGAAGCAACTTGTTAAAAGTCATCTAGCTCAACAGTGGCAGAGCTAAGATATGACATCATATCTAGTTCAGCCAATTTCTGGGAGAAAACCCTCCTTCTAAACTACATCGCACAATCTCCCTTACACTTCCGCTGTTTGCTTTAGAGAATCTACTGCCTTATGTCCTCCAAAAGGTTATGTGGTATATCCAGCATTTTTCACTTATTTGGCATCATTAAGAAACACTGATTTCTCATTCCTGCTGGATTATTATCAACTTTAAAATGAATCCACAGATGTAGTAGGAAAATACCTTGCCCAGGAATTCCTTCTTAAATCTTTGATTTTAAGACATGAATTTTCTGTGTTTTCAAATTATTTTAATTTCTCATTCTTGGACAGTATTTTAGGACTTTGATGTTGTTGTTTTAATCACCAAGAGGAGGTCGTAGAAATCTTACTCAGAAGAGTCTCTAGGAAATATTAATTCTTATTTTAAGAAAAGGGTTCTTTTTTTTTATACTTAATGGTACTAACTTTGTATCAGCATTAAATTATACCTTACATTATTGAAGTCTGACATTCCACCTCACTTTTCAAATAATACTTTTTCTGTATTCATTCAGTTCATTCAATATTTATGTTTCTAAGATTTCAAGTTATTTGTGCAGTGTTGACAGTTTTTACATTCATATGTTTGTTTTAATTTAAAATTTAAATGGAGAATGGCCTGTGCTATGAACCAGCCTGGAACCCTTCTATTTCCATTCTTTGTGGTCTCAGACGATGAACAGAACCTCAAGCCCTTACTGAGTGTTCACAGAATTGGCATTTCCAGAGTGTTTTCCATGTACCAGAAACACTGGTCAGTGTTTATATACATATCCTTGACTCTGAAAACAGCCTGGCAGGAAGGGATTGATATTTGTATTTTATGAATGAAGAGTCTGAGACAAAGAGGGGAAGTGACTTGTACAAGATCCTGTAGTAAATAAGGGGCAGAGCCAGGATTCCAGCCCCTGTTCACTTGACCCTAAGACTCATGTTTCTTGCACCAAGCAGGCATAAGATAGGCTGAGAATGGCATCCGAATTTAAGAATCTCACATGCATGTTTATCACGTCCAATTTATTTGATGGTAGATTTGGGGGTTAAGACGTGGTCATCATAGAAGTCCTTTGGCTTTCTAAATTTTTTTTTAAAACCACAGAAGCTTGTGGGTAGTACCATTTGTTGCACTCGGTCTTGACCATAAACCAAGTTCACAGTAATCGAAGGCTATGATGCACTGGGTGTTTTGCCAATTCATTACTACTGTTACTATTATACAATCTAGATTGTTTAAAATGTTTCTTGGAAAAAAGACCTAATTCATCATTTCTTTAAGGATTTTCATTTAAAGTTTTTCTGTATGCTTCTGTCATCTCAGCAAGGGAGAATAAGGCTTCTTATCATTGTATTTCTAATATAGCTTTTTAAGTTTTCCTGAACAGATATCAGCTTCCCAGTATTTGGAGATCATTGCTTTGTACTCAGATAAAAATTTGCTTTCTGTTTATAGACCTTTGTCGTCTTATCTAAAATCTAACCCTACATCCCTAAGTATAAGACTGAACACAAGAGAACATGCTGATTATGTAAGCCAAATATGACATGAGATTTTTTTTGACAAAGCAGCCTGCATGGGACAGCATGGTCACACATCGGCTGGTAAAGCAATCTCCTGTCCAAATGTTTCATTTTATTCCAGTTGAATTGCTGACATGGCCAGCATTAATATTTTAGGATACTTGTTTATGAAGGCTTGCCTTGTGTTTTGAATAGTATCTATCTGATAGTCTACAAGGAGTCACATTGTGAGTATTTAAGGGGAAAAATGTAATAATAATAGCTACTCTTTTTTGGAATCTCTACCATGTGCCTGGCACCTTACTAGATACTTTACATACTTCACTGCGAGCCGTTCTATATAAATCCTGCAGGGTGTCTATTTCCCCATTTTGCAGGTAAGGATACTAAGTTTCAGAGGGGTAAATTAATTTGCCTAATATCATCTAGCTAGCAAAGTTGATACTCATAAACCTACTCAAGACCAAGTGACTTCTAGGTCCTGGTTTTTTGTTACACATATTGTCCATTGCTGTGATACCATGAAACTATTGAATTAATTGTCTCATATGTTTAGGAAGAAGTTTTTGACACTAAATTAGTACCATTCTGGAGCATTTCACGTACTCTGGCCATGACTACCTGTCTTCCAGTACTATCTAATATTCTTTGTAACTTCTTCATTGCAACCAAGGGGGAAAAAAATGGACCTGGACCTCTTTTCTCATCCTTGGTTTCAAATGCTTTTTTTTTTTTTAAAGGTATTTCTCAAGTATTATGGCACTAGCTATCTTGTCATACTTGTCATTGTATTTTTTACTTAAATTTTTTCATGTCCAGCTGGATGTGTAGTTGAAGATGGGTATGCTGGATATAAGCATAGCCCAGATCAGCACTGTCCAGTAGAACTTTCTGCAGTGATAGAAATGTCTTATATCTGGGCTATCCCATATGATAGTCACATGAGGCTATTGAGTGCTTGAAATGTGGTGTGTATAACTAAAGAACTGAGTTTTCTGTTTTATTTAATTTTGATTAATTTAAATCAAAATAGCCACATAGAGCTAGTTGCTACTGTATTGGACAACGCACTTTGGGATAGTAACTGATGTTTGTGTTTGGTGAGTAATAATAGTATTTGAGGAAGCCCAATTGTTGGTAGCTTAAAGGTTGCTATTATGTTTACCAGCACCATTAAATCTGGCACGTGTTCAGCTTCACACCGTATTATCATGGGACCAAATAGATTAGAATAATTGATGTTTCCAAAGCCTTTTTTGACCATTCATGGTCTCATTTGATAAATCTTTCAGATATGATATCATTTCGAACTTGTGTTTACTAATGGATCACAGAAGAAGGGCAGAAGAGCAAAACCATTTATAGCTTCCTTGTGCAGGGTCTCCTCCTCCTGTTGAAATGGACACCAGTCTGGCCTGTTGGTGCTCAGGTTGCAGCATGAGGGCCTGGACAAGAATCCATGTACTGTTTCCCCCTGCTCGTTTCTTGAGATTGGAGAAGTATCTCTCCCTCATTCACTTAGAATATCCATTAAATTTATTTTTTAGGTCTTAAGGAAGTAGAGGCAATTTCTGATTTAGCCAGGGAGCTACACTAATTTGATAATAAAGTGTAGTTTTTTTTTCTAGTATTCCAGAATAAATTCTTGGGGCTTTGATTTTAATTCTTTGTTTTGGAAAATACAACCCAGAACTCGGAAGTTTTCTGTATAATGCTAGCCTCTAAATTGGTATATATATTCTAAAGAAACTTTTGATGGAATTAAATAATAGATTTTATGTGATATTTTGGAGAGAAATTAATGTCCCTCGAGTTTTGATGTATTTAATTATTTTCTTTTGGAATTTTAAAAAGATACTAATTTTATTACATGTCACTTGTGTTACTAAGCGTATTTTTTTCCTGACATTTTATTTATAAAATGCTCTCCTTTCTACCAGAGTGTACAGCTAATCAACTCTGGATGCTTTTGATATTTCTTACTGTGCCAAGGGCATTGAATGAAGTTCCCTGTAGTGAGAAAAGCGAGCACATGGGACTCGTGACTTTATGTACTCCAACAATAGAGCTTTTATGACATTGGAGGTGGTTAAAAAAGCTAGAAGTAGCTCTTAAACATGGCATCTCTGTGTTGCCTTTTTTTTTTTTTTTTTTTTGTATTCTCAGAGCTGCCAGGAGTGCATCGAGCCTGTAATTTCCTGTTCTCTGAATCCCCCATCTTTCTGCAGCTCCAAGCTTTGTGTCCCACAGCCTGTGACTCTGTGCTAACAAATCGCTATTGTCCAGTGGGGCGAATGGTGGCTGGAACTAAAGAATTGCTGTCTGGTTTCTATTCAAATCCAGGTAGCGAGATATATGAATGGACTTTTCGAATCGTCATGTGAATAACGTCTGCTCGGCATGAAGGCTCAGAGCCATGCTAGGAAGGATTAACTCGTAGGCTGACCACTAACATCCTTTGTGGTACGAGGGAGAAACATTCCCAAGTATCATTTTATTCACACTTAATTTTCTATCCCATACCCCCAAAATAAGGCTAGCTATTTAATTAGTTGGCTGCTTTTCTCTTAATTTTTAGTGTTTCTGTTGATAATGTGTAAGTTTGGGAAAATGCTAAGTAGCTTTTCACTTAGAACACTGTTATTTTCTCTTTAAAGTTTTCTACCTTACATTTATTATAGCATAGTTATCTTTATAGCATAGATGCAGAAAGTAAGAGAGAGCTTGTTTTTTCAAGAAAACAACCCTTTAAAATACTTTCCAACCCATGAAGGGAAAAATCCTCCTTTTTTCCCCCAAGTGCATTCTACTTATTACTTTGCATTTTTCTCCCAAAGTCCAAATTTATGCAAAGAAAATAGAAACAAGTTCAAATGCAATGCATTAACCAAATAAAACAAGTCTGCTTCAAATTAGGAACCAACCTAAGCATTTGTAAAGTGTAGCAGAATCAGAATTCTTTTAAAAATTAGATTTGGAACCTGAACTATATAATTCATAATTCTCATTTTTCTGTGGAAAATTATTTTATCTTTCTCCTGTATACCTGAAAAAATGTCCATAGGCTTAAAGGGTCATGCTTTTACATTCCTTCCATATCACAGGTACTATGAAGTAAGGAGACTTTTAGGTTTCTTTTTGTCTTAAACTCAGACAGCTTTGTAAGCAGTAGTGTGTAGATTACAAGAGTTAGACAAAAGCAGGCGCGACTGAGAAGAGTTGGTGGGGGAGAAGCTTGGGGCACTTCCTGTCACTCAACACATTCCAGATCACTAAAAAATTTCCACACCCTCTGCATTCCCCCTTGCCCACTCCAGTTCCCGGTATTTTCTGATTCCATATGTTGTGGTATTTACCATACTTCTCTCCCTCACTAGGCTCTGGCAAGACTGCTTCAGAGGGGATGCATTCCTTTAGATTGCACAAAGCGGAGCTGGGAAAATGGCTGGCAGTTTCAGAATCTAGTCACGATCGCACGCATGAGCACCTCACACATCCATGTCCCTACCCGCCCCCCCGCTCCCGCCCCTGCAGCTGGCTGACCTGTCTCACCCACTGCTGGCCTATCGAACGGCCAGGACTGTCTGGTTTTGGCTCGTGCCTTTGTCCATGTCTGGCTTAGTTCCTCTCTGTCTATGCTTGCCTCTACCCCCACCGCCCCAGGCGGCACAAGTGTTTGGCCACACAAAACTAGAGATAGAAAAGGTGGTAAAAACTTCAAACTTTTCTAAATTCTCCAACAGTTTATTTCTTGTGAATTTCTTCCTTCTTTAAATACTCCATTTTAAGAAAACAAAAAAATTAATTATCTAAAGGCAAAGAATGGAAAGCAACCTTTGTGTTCCTTATAATAACTGACTTCATAACTCTCTCCAGCTGCGTTATGGGATGTGTATAAAAAGCTTCTGTTCTGAGAACAAAGGAGCACGTGCAGAAATGAGACGAAAAAATCCACTGACAGTATTCCATTACACAAATTACTTAAAAGATTTTAGTCAAGCCCCTCAACAGATTCAATTTTAAAATGGCTTTTAGTTAAAAAAAAAAAATTGAAAGTGCTTACCCAGTAAAAGAACCGAAGTAGTCCTGAACTGTTACGTAAGACTTTTTACAGTTGGATCTTTGTCAAAAGGGGATGGGGGTGATGGGAGAAAGCAGCAACGACAATCAAAAAAGTTCGAGCTGCTGTGGCTAGAGGACAACTTCTGTGTTTCCAGATAGGATTCTTGCTGTAGAAATGGAACTTCCAGCCAGCACAGCATCCTGTCCCAGTAGAGAAATGAGTTTGTCAGTTAAAACAAAAAAAAAATTAGATACTGGAACCCAGGCTAGACGAGGTATTGAACCGCGCCAGATTTCCTTGCAGCCCTGTCTGCTCAGCTCGCATTGAACTATATATGACCCAGATGATGGACAGAAGCACATTTAGTCATGTGCACACTGGAAGAAAGCGGATTTGCTGGTCCCTGGCAGTGCAGGGGTTTGTCTTCTGATTGGGCTGTGCCCTGATCGGTGAAATGTGAAGCCCTCACCATTCAGAGGCCGTAATTCAGGACTGGCAGTTTGAGTGTCTGGCTGCCTCTAGTCACTGAGAGACTTTGAAGGTGTTGCTTTTGTTTGGTGGCATTACCCACCCAGAGGTTGCTTACACCTCTCTACTTGTGTCAGAAGAAATACTAGTCTTTCTGAAATACAAATAGGCAGCCGATTTTTCCTGAATCCTAAATCACCCTATTGTTGATAAACTTGGCTCTAACTGAAACCAATTATTTGATTTGAAAATTTATTGTGATCCTAACCAAGCTTCATATCCAGACCAACCCTTGGTCTTGATTTTATAGGTTTGATAAGGTAAAAATAAAAGTGGCATATTTGACTTTGAAGCCTCTATATGATATAAATTGCTCTTAATGAAAATTGGATAGATGGACAACAGAGAAGTGAAGTTTTAGATTCTGGAGTGTTTGGATGTATGAGGAAGAAGCTTTATGTCTTTTTATCCCCTTTGTGAGACTGTCACTCTTGTCCCAGTCCTAGTCACATTAGGGGTTGCTGGGGGGGGGAAGCTATGAAAGCATGGACCCTACTGAGCTGTGACATAGCCTTTAATCATGCAAGACAGCCACGGTCTGCTCTCTTCAGTCTGTCTGAACTAGGGTCCTTGGGGTTTATTTTCCATCTTTCTGAGCCACTGGGAAACCAGGTCATTATACAGGACTGTCATTTGTGACATTTTTGTTTAGTACATGGCAGTTGCTTTGTTTATTTAATGCAAGTTGACACTTCTTTAAAGTTTCAAAACAGTAAAGTTGTTTTGTGAGACCTTGACTCTGATATATGAAATCTACTCTACATGGACCAATCATTTTTTTCCGTGGACTTTCTTGTCTCTTTAGAAATTAGCTTATAGAGTCCTAAATTGATACTTAAACATACCAATAGTTCTGTTTATTTCTTGCCTTTCTCACAGTTGTTGAAATAATTCCATCTGTCTCTTTTGCTGTAAATTTTGGGTTTGGATGTTTGTACTTGGAATTTTTTAGATGTTGACTATATTATGCAGCACCTTCCATATGAGGACTACCCCAGAATTATTCTCTTGTCTTAACCCGAGAAAAGCTGTTTTGATGCACTATTAGATATAAGAATGTTCGAAAGAAGAGGAGATGAGCACTCTCTTGCTTTTTGTAAGCCACAAGACAATCTTTTTTTTTTCTAAGTTGTGGTAAGGTATATGTAACATAAAATTGACTGTTGTAATAATTTTTAAGTGTATAGTTCTGTGGTGTTAAGTGCATTCACGTTGTTTTGCAGCCTTCACCACCATCCATCCACCACAGAACTCTTCTCCTCTTGCAAAACTGAAATTCTCTACCTACCTGTTAAACACTAACTTGCCATTCTTCCCTCCCCCAGGCCCTGGGGACAACCATCATTCTACTTTCTCTTTGATTTTTTGTTTTTTGTTTTTGGAGACGGAATTTTACTCTTGTTGCCCAAGCTGGGATGCAATGGCACTGTCTTGGCTCACTGCAACTTCCGCCTCCTGGGTTCAAGCAATTCTCCTTCCTCAGCCTCCTGAGTAGCTGGGACTACAGGTGCCCACCACCACGCCTGGCTAGTTTTTGTATTTTTAGTAGACACGGGGTTTCACCATGTTGGCCAGGCTGGTCTCGAACTCGTGATCTCAAGTGATCCACCCACCTTGGCCTCCCAAAATCCTAGAATTACAGGCATGAGCCCACCGTGCCTAGCCTCTGTCTGTTTGCTTTTTGACTACTCTAGATACCTCATATAAGTGGAATAATACAAGATGTGTTCCCTTTTGACAGGCTTATTTCACTTAGCATGGTGTCCTCAAGGTTCATGCATGTTGTCGCATGTCAGAATTTCCTTACGTTTTAAGGCTGAATAATATACCATTGCATGTGTATACTACTGTCTTAGTCCCTTTAGTGTTGCTGTAAAGGAATACCTGAGGCTGGGTAATTTATAAAGAAAAGAGGTTTATTTGGCTCATGGTTCTGCAAGCTGTACAAGAAGCATGGCACCAGCTTCTGGTGAGGGCCTCAAGCTGCCTCCATTCATGGCACAAGGTGAAAGGGAGCTGGTGTGTGCAGAGATCACATGGTAGGAGAGGAGGAGGCAAGAGAGAGAAGAAGGAGGTGCCAGACTACTTTAAAACCATCAGCTTTTGCAGGGAGTTATAGAGCCAGCACTCACTGACTACTGCAAGAATGGCACCAAGACATTCATGAGGGATCTGCCTTCATGACCCAGACACCTCCCACCAGGCCCCACCACCAACATAAGGGGTTAGATTTCAGCATGAGACTCAATGAGGGGGGAGCAAACAAATTACATCCAAACTGTAGCAACCACATTTTGTTTATCCATTCATCTGTCAATGGACACTTAAGTAGCTTCCACTTTTTTGCTATCAAGACAGTTTTTCTTGACTATTCTTAAAATCATGTGAGGGCTTCTTTACAGAGCTGTTCTGACCCATCTCAGAAGCTCTTTTCACTTTATAAGTTGTAAGGGTTTTGATGGGCCTTTTAACTCTAGAGACCAGCTAGTCCCTAACATCAGGTTTGCTAGAGAAGGGAAGATTCTTTCCAGCCTTCCTGGATGACACCTAATACATACTATATTCCTAGTAATTCTGTTATACTTAAGATTTATGGGTTCATCTTTCCTGTTACACTGTGAGCCCTTCCTGGGCTGGGACGATGGCCAGTTTCTCTTGAGTTGTGCCTTGTGCCTCTGTATAGGCACAGGGCCTATTATGAAGTAGATATCAATAAATATTAGTTGGAAAAAATGTGAATTAGTAAATAATAATTTGTATTGGGTTTTTATGTGCCAGATGTTTTGAATACATTTAGCTAATTTAATCTTCAAAACAGTCCTTTCAGATACATATTGTTATCTTCATTTAATAGATGAGGGAACTTGTCAAAGGCCTCAGAGATGTAAAATGTATAACTGGGATTTGAACCTTTGTTCAAATTGCTTGTTCTCGCTTGACTCAAGAGCCATTATGTTAGAGGCAGACTTCATAGTCAGTTGATGATCAGTGGGTTTGGAAACATGAAATTTAGCTCAGGCATCGGCTCCAAATTAAATACTCTTTCATTGGGCATTAGGAACTATACCCTTCTGATATGGCTCATGAATGGATGCTCAGAGGAAAGCTTGGCTCGTTAGTTACTTGGACCTTTTATAGGGACTTTAGCTGAACAACTAATTGCTGAACTCAGTTGGCAAAGGCTCTTCTGTGGGTAAATCCTCTTTCACATGTTATTTTGAAAGTGCAGTTAAATTCTAACATACATGATGTGGCCCTGGAATGGATGCATCAGTTTTCTTTATTCTGTTTGTTTGGCAGGTGTGTGTGTGTGTGTGTGTGTGTGTGTGTGTGTGTGTACAAAAAAAAAAAATGTATGTATAAAAGCAACCAGTATCTAGGTATCAGGAACAAAACAAAGGTTTTTATGGAGCTTACATTCTAATGGGGAGACAGAAAAATGAATTCTCAAAGTACTATGAAGTGAAACATGAAGCTACACTGTGAAGAAAATAGGGTAGTGTGGTGATGGAGAATGACTGACTGGTGGGATGTGGTGGATTGGGAGACATCTTGAATGAGGAAGTATCGGGCTATGCCTCTCTGAGGAACCAAAGTATGCAAGCTGAGAGCCAAGTCATGACATGAAGAACCTCAGCCTACAAAGAGCCAGAAGAATGAACTGGGTAGTGGCAACAAGAAATGCAAGAGCTCTCATGTGGGATTGAGCTTAGTGTGCTTGAGGAGCCAAAAGGGTAGTATGGCTAAAATGGAGTGAATGCAAGTAGGGGTGATGTTGGAGAGGTGGGATGGGGCCCTATCACATAGGACCTTGTAAGCTATAGTAAGAAATTTGGGTTTTTTCCAAGTGTATTTTTTCCCAAATTTGTTTTTTTCCCCCCAAATAGTAGGACATTGGAAGGTTTTAAGCAGAATGGTAACTTGTTCTGCAGGCCGAAGAAGTCCTTGTGTGCAGTTCTTGTCTATGTTTAGTCCTCTGAGGCCCCCTTGACACTATCTTTAACTGGGGTTCCTCCCAAGCTGAGAATCTTGCCAAGGTTCTCACATGTCAGTGGCCACCTTTGAGTGTCCTAGAAGAATCATATTTCTTTTATAACCATTTTGGGGCTAACATTGGTTTCATTGCCCTTTCCACAACAGAGAGGGTTTGTTCAACGAGAGCTTCTTCCAGCATTTTCATACATCACTGTTGCCTGGGTAGGGTTTTGCAGCCTGATTCTCTGTATTAATTTAGGATAAAATTCAGTTATTAATTAGACCTGATCTTTCTTTGTCAATAATTTAGAAGCATATGTCCTCGGCACATAATGTTGGCTGACTGTTTGGTTAATAATATGTTCTTGAAGACATACTTCTGGAAATCTGAAATTGATAAGTGAAGAGGAACTTTCTTACTATTCATAAATAAGGTTGTATTCAGCTATTCTGACTCTAGTAGGGTTAATTGCTAACATTTGACCTACATTATTTTATTTTTTCAATTTCTCAAAAACTCTGAAAAGTATAGGCCAGGGGCCTTGGCTCATGCCTGTAATGCCAGTGCTTTGGGACGCCATGGTGGAAGGATTGCTTGAGGCCAGGAGTTCGAGACCAGCCTTAGCAACATAGTAAGACCCCCATATCTACAAAAAATAAATTTGCCTGGCTTGATGATATGTGCCTGTAGTTCTAGTTACTTGTGAGGGTGAGGAGAGAGGGTCACTTGAGTGCAGGAGTTCAAGGCTGCAGTGAGCTATGATGATGCCACCATACTCCAGGATGGTGACAGAGACTCTGTCTCTTAAAAAACAACAACAAAACAAACCTCTGACAAATACAGAAAATAACAGCATACACCTGATAGTCCCATTTTATAGGCAAGTGACATCTAGTATTTTCATAGTAAAATATCATGTAGTGTCATCTGATACTTTCTTCTTTTTACTAAAAAAAAAAAAAAGTTACTTGCAAGCTACTCAGTTGATTTCACAGCTTACTGAAGGGGCAGCCAGAACTTTGGAAAGCACAAAAGGTGAGAAAACTGAGGCTCTGGTGGTTAAATGACTTGTCCAGTGTCACATAGCAAGGAAGAGGCAGAGCTGAGACTTGAACCAGAGCTTGATTCCAAAGTTCTTGCTCGTACTATGTTATATAGATTCTCTATTAATGAAACTGAAGGGAAAAAAAAGCACAAATAACCTTTAATAATGATTATACAAAATGTAAATTTCCCAAAGCAGAGGCTGTAGGAAGGGGCAGAAATATTCTTCCTCTGATCATTGCCTCAGCATTTTTCAGAGTTGTTGGCCATCTGGAGTTGTTGGTCCCTCTCTGGGGCAGAATACAACTGACGCTACTCATTAGTTATGCTGGGAATGGACAGATTCCCAGAGCACTTACATCTCATTACTCACCTAGCCTTGAGCTAATCTTGGCTTTTTAAAGTAATAGCTGGGTGTGAGACCTAGCTTCTGCGTGAGTGTGTGGCCTCTCAAAAGTGTGCTGTTGCAATGTGACTTGGAGTTCATGCTCAGATATGGGAAGGGCTGTATCTAGAGTCTGGCTCCAGCCCTGGCATTTCTGACCTGGTCATGGTACTGAGTTAATTTTATGGAAAGAAGGAATGATGTCCCTTTTTCTTCTTGGAGGATAAGGCTGTGTCAAAGGGAAAGGAAGGAAATTAATTCCCGTTGTTGTCTGCTATGAGCCATGCACTGTACTAGGCACATTTGACATTGGTTTTTGAATTAATTCTCATAACAGTGCTGTCAGGGGAACAGTATTATCCTCATTTTGCAGAGAAGTAATATTGAGGCTCAGAGAGAGGAAATGATTCATAAGCAGTCACACAGCCAGGTAGTAATGAGATTAGGAGAGAAACTTCATTACACCTTAATTTTAAAAGTCATACCCTTCTCCTTAGAGCTGGGTTGTAACCCCAAGCTGATAAGACAGTTGAGGAGGGGACATTCCTAGGCCTTGGAAATAATAGGTTATATCAGAGGAAGCCCATGAAAATCCAACAGTGTGGAAATAGAGCTGCTTCTTTACTCTTGTGCATTGAGGGATTTGCCTGGAATACCTACCTCCACCACTTTAAATCAATCCAGACTTAGGGGTTGGGGCTAGTTTTTTAGTCTTCATGCAGTCGCTTTTCAATAAAAAACAGGAGGTTAGTCTTCTGCTGGTTTCCTTTTTTAACTAGCTCAGATTTGTTTGTTTTTTTCCTTTATTCTGCCGTTACTTGGACATCGTTTTCTTCTCCTTTGGACTTAAATTAGATTGGCTGTCAAGCTTTTGGGCCTCTTTGTTTCTTGGGAGAGGCAGAAATGGTCAGGTGCCAATGTCTACTTGGGAAGAGGATCAAATTGTGTGGGTAGGATTGGGGTGGAGGCACAGATCTTAAACTATTACTCTATGGCTGCCAGGAAAATGCATATTTTCTTTGCAAAAGAGACTAGTCCGGTGTTAATGCTTTGATTGTATAATTAAAGCCATGGATTTTGGATAATTTCTTTAGATATGTAATGAGGCCTATTTTAGTGTAAACCGTATATATAGTAGAACTTCGTATTTTTACTTTGTATTTTTGTCCCCAGTTTTATCATCTGGGCAAAGATGGCAAAGTAGATTGGGCAAAAAGAAAGGGAGAAGGGAACCACTGTGGGGCCAACCCCTATGGTAGGTACTTTGTAAAATTGTTACTTTGAATTCTTACAGCATTCTTATTAAGTTGGTATTGTCATTTCCTCTTCCATAAGTATTTGGAAATTGAGATGTGACATGGTTAACTAACTTCTCCAAGGTTCATAAGACAAAGCCAGTAATCAAATTCAATTTTTGGCTGAGATAAAAGATTAGTAAGACAGAGCCAGTGGCTGGGCGCAGTGGCTCATGCCTGTAATTCCAGCACTTTGGGAGGCCGAGGTGGACGGATCACTTGAGCCCAGCAGTTTGAGACCAGCCTGGGCGACGTGGCAAAACCCCATCTCTAAAAAAAAAATACAAAAATTAACCAGGCATAGTGGCACACACTTGTAGTCCTAGCTACTTGGGAGGCTGAGGCAGGGGGATCACTTGTGCCTGGGAAGCTGGAGGTTGCAGTGAGCTGAGATGGAACCACTGCACTCCAGTGTGGGCAGCAGAGTGAGACTCTGTCTCAAAAAGAAAAACAAAAAGAGCTAGTAACCCAATTCAGATTGTTGTTTGCTTGTTTTTTGGTCTCCAAAGTCCTTTCTTTCTATTACCTATTTATAGTCTTCACTAAAGCATTGCCAGTGCCTTTTGGGGGCATTGCCAGGGTTTGGAGAGTGGTGGTGGTGATTATACCCCTTAGGACAGACTTTTTTCTAAAGTGACAGACTATTCCTGAATGTTTCAAGTTTAAAAAGAGATGGTAGAGAATTGGTATAATTTCTTCCTTAAGTGTTTACTAGAATTCACCAGTGAGCCCATCTGGGCCTACTGCTTTCTGTTTTGGAAAGTTATTTGTTGTTGTTGTTACTTCAATTGATATATAATTGTATATATTTATAGGGTACATGTGATATTTTGATACATGCATACAATGTGTAATGATCAAATTGGGGTAATAGGGAAATCACCTACAACATTTATCAGCTGTTTGTCTTGGAACATTCCAAATACTCTCTTCTATCCATTTTGAAATATGCGGTAAATTGTTGTGAACCACAGTTGCCCTACTGTGCTATCAAATACTAGAACTTATTCCTTCTCTCTAACTGTATTTTTGTACCTATTAACCAACCTCTCTTCATCCCCCACTGTCCCTCTACCCTTCCCAGCCTCTGGTGATCACCATTCTATTCATTACTTCCATGAGATCAGTTGTTTTTTTTTAAGCTCCCATGTATGAGTGGGAACATGTGATATTTGTCTTTCGGTGCCCAGCTTATTCACTTAACAGTTCCATCCATGTTGCTGCAAATGATGGGATTTTATTCTTTTTTATGGCTGAATAATACTCCATTGTGTACTTATGCACATTTTATTTATCCGCTCATTTGGTGATGGACCCTTAGGTTGATTTCATGTCTGATATCTTGGCTGTTGTGAATAGTGGTGCAATAAACATGAGAGTGCAGATATCTCTTTGATATACGGATTTCCTTTCTTTTGGAAATATAGCCAGCAGTAGGATTGCTGGATCATATGGTAGTTCTATTTTTAGTTATTTGAGGAACTTCCATACTGTTTTCCATAATGGGTGAACTAATTTACATTCCCATCAACAGTGTAGAAGTGTTCCCCTTTTCTCTGCATCCTCACCAGCACCAGTCTTTTTTATAATAGCCATTTTAATGGGGTGAGATAATATCTTGTAGTTTTGATTTTTATTCCTTCAATGATTAATGATGTTGAGTATTTTTAAAAATATATCTGTTAGCCATTTGTGTGTCTGCTTTTGAGAAATGTCTCTTCATCTTTTTTTCCCATTTTAAAATTGGATTATTTGGAGCTTTTTGCTATTGAGTTCCGTGTATATTTAGTTATTCATCTCTTGTCAGTGGGATAATTTGCAAATATTTTCTCCCATTCTTTAGGTTATCTCTTTATTTTGTCGGTTGTTTTCTTTGCTATGCAGAAGCTTTTTAGCTTGATATAACCCCATTTGTCAATTTCTGCTTTTGTTGCCTGTGCTTTTGAGGTCTAACTCAAAGAATCTTTGCCAGACCCGTGTCCTGAAGCATTTCCCCAGTGTTTTCTTGTAGTAGTAGTGTAGTCTCAGGTCTTACATATAAGTCTTCAACCCATTTTGATTTGATTTTTTTATGTAGTAAGAGAACAGGATCTAGTTTCTTTCTTCTGCATATGGACATCTCGCTTTCCCAGTGCCATTTATTGGAGTGACTGTCCTTTTGCCAATGAATGTTCTTGATGCCTTTATTGAAAATGATTTGACTGTAAATGTGTGGATTTATTCTGGGTTCTCTATTCTGTTCCATCGGTCTATGTGTCTTTTTTTTTTTTTTTTTTTTTTGTGCCAGTACCACACTTTCTTACTATAGCTTTGGTAGTATATTTTGAAGTCAGGTAGTGTGATACCTCCACCTGTGTTCTTTTAGTTCAGGATTGCTTTGGCTATTTGGGGTCTTTTGAGGTTTCATATGAATTTTAGGATTTTTCTATTTCTGCGAAGAATGTCATTGGTATTTTGATAGGAATTGCATTTTATCTGTAGATCTCTTTGGATAGTGTGGATATTTTAACAATATCCTTTCACTTTATGAACATGGGATGTCTTTCCTTTTTTGTGTGTAATCCCACAATTTCATCAGTGTTTTATAGTTTTCATTGTCGAGATCTTTCACTTTTTTGGTTAATTCTATTTCTAGGTATTTTATTTTTTATTTTTTAGAGCTTTTGTAAGTGGGATTGCTTTCCTGATTTTGTTTTCTTATTGTTTGCTGTTGGCATATAGAAATGCTACCGATTTTTGTATGTTGATTTTGTATCCTACAGCATTACTTATTTTGTTTCTGAGTTCTAATGCCTTTTTTTTTTTTAGCAGTATCTTTAGGTTTTCCAAATAAAAGATCATGTCTGCAAACAAGGACAGTTTGACTTCTTCTTTTACAGTTTGGCTGCCCTTTATTTCTTTCTCTTGTCTAATTTTAATTGCTCTGGCTTATACATTCAGTACTATTTGAATAAAAGGATGAAAGTCGGCATTCATGTTCCAGGCTTTCAGTTTACCCCCATCCAGTATGATGCCAGCTGTGAGTTTGTCATGGATATGTGGTCTTTATTGTATTTTAAGGTATGTTCCTTCTATACACAGTTTTTGAGTTTTTATTATGAAGTGGTATTGAATTTTATTAAATACTTTTTAGCATCTTTTAAAATGATCACATGTATTTTATTTATTTATTTATTTTGGTAGAGATGGGGTCTCGCTATGTTGCCCAGGCTGGTCTCGAACTCCTGGACTCGAGCAGTCCTCCTGTGTTGGCCACCCAAAGTGCTGGATTACAGGCGTGTGGTGGATTACAACCACTATGTCTCACCTGGTTTTTGTTCTTGATTCTGTTAATGTAACATATCCTGTTTATGGATTTGTATATGTTGAATTATCCTTGCATCCCTGGGATGAATCCCACTTGATCATGGTGAATGATTTTTTTTAATGTGTTGCTGAATTCAGTTTGCCTAGTATTCTATTGAGGATTTTTGCATCTGTGTTCATCAGAGATACTAGCCTGTAGTTTCTGTTGTTGTTGTGTCTTTGGCTTTGGTATCAGGGTAAGGATGGCCTTTTAGAATGAGTTTGGAAGTGTTCCTCTTCAATTTTTTGGAATAGTTTTGCATACCATTGGTATTAGTTCTTTAAGTGTTTCATATAATTCAGCAGCAAAACCATCATGTCCTGGGCTTTTCTTTGATGGGAAACTTTTTATTACTGCCTCTTTCTTGCTACTCATTATTGTTCTGTTAAGGTTTTCTATTTCTTTTTTCTTTTCTTTCTTTCTTTCTTTTTTTTTTTTTTTTTGAGACGGTCTCACTCTGTTGCCCAGGCTGGAGTGTAGTGGCATGATCTCGGCTCACTGCAACCTCCGATTCCCAGGTTCAAGTGATTCCCCTGCCTCAGCTTCTGAGTAGCTGGGATTACAGGCATGTGCCACCACGCCCAGCTAATTTTTGTATTTTTAGTACAGATGGGGTTTCACCATGTTGGCCAGGCTGGTCTCGAACTCCTGACCTCACGTGATGCACCCACCTCAGCCTCCCAGTGTATTGGGATTACAGGCGTGAACCACTGCGGCCGGCCCCCATTTCTTTATGTTTTAATCTTGGTAGGTTGTGTATGTCCATTTCTTTTAGATTTTCCAAGTTATTGGCATGTAGTTAGTTGTTCATAATAGTCTCTAATGATGCTTTGTATTTCTGAAATGTCTCCCTTTTCATCTCTGATTTGGGTCTTTATTTGAAACTTCTCTCTTTTTTTTCTTAGTCTAGCTAACAATTGGTCAATTTTGTTTATCTATTTAAAAAACCAGGGCCAGGCACTGTGGCTCATGCCTGTAATCTCAATGCTTTGGGAGGCCAAGGTAGGAGGATCACTTGAGACCAGGAGTTTGGGACCAGTCTGGGCTACAACATAGTGAGACCTTGTCTCTACAAAAATAAAATAATTAGCCAGTTCTGGTGGTGTGAGCCTGTAGTCCTAGCTACTGGGAAGACAGAGGCAGGAAGATCATTTGAGCCCAGGAGTTTGAGGTTACGGTGAGCTATGATCACAGCACTGCACTTCAGCCTGGGCAACAGAGTGAGATTCTATCTGTTAAAAAATTTAAAAACTCCACACCCACAACTTTTTGTTTTGGTAAGTTATTAATTGTTAATTCAATTTCTTTAATACCTGTAGGCCTATTTAGATTGTCTCTATTTTTTTGTATGTGTTTTGGCAGATTGTGCCTTTCAAAGAATTGGTTTGTTTCATCTAGGTCAAGCCTGTCCAACCCACAACCCAGGATGGCTTTGAATGTGGCCCAACACAAGTTCGTAAACTTTCTTAAAACATGAAATTTTTTGCATTTTTTTTAAAGCTCATTAGCTATTGTTAGTGTTAGTGTTAGTGTTAGGTATTTTATGTGTGGCCTAAGACACTTATTCTTCCAATGTGGCCCAGGGAAGCTTAAAGATTGGACACCTCTGATCTAGGTTATCAAATTTGTGGACATAGACTTATTCATTCATTATATTCCTTTATTTTCCTTTTAATGTCTATAGGATCCATAGTGAGGTCCCCTATTTCATTTTTTTGAGCTTTATTGAGGTACGATTGACAGACACTGTTTTATTTCTGATACTAGTAATTTGTGTCCTCTTTCTTTTTTCGTTAGTTAGCCTTGCTAGAGGCTTATGGATTTTATTGATCTTTTCAAAGAACCAGCTTTTGTTGATTTTTGGTTTTGTTAATTTTCTTTATTGCTTCCCTGTTCTTAATTTCATCGATTTCTGCTCTAATTTTTATTATTTCTTTTCTTCTGCCTACTTTGGGTTTAATTTTGTCTTTTTCTAGCTTCCTAAGGTGGAAGCTTGGTTTTAGGTTGTCTTTTCTAACATATGCATTCAGTGCTGTAACTTTCCTCCAAGCACTACTTTCATTGCATCCCACAAATTTTGATGAATTATATTTTTATTTTTATTTAGTTCAAAATATTTTTCTCTTGAGATGACTTCTTTGACCCATGTTTTTATTTAGAATTGTATTGTTTAATCTTTATGTATTTGAGATGTTCCAGATATCTTTCTGTTATGCTAGTTTAATTCCATTGTGGTCTGAGAGCAAACATTGTACGATTTCTATTATTCTAAATTTGTTAAGATGTGGTTTATGGGCCAGAATGTGGTCTGTTTTGGTAAATGTTTCATGTCAACTTGAGAAGAATGTGAAATCTGCTGCTATTGAATTGGATGAAGTATTCTATAGGTGTCAGTTATATCCAAAAGATTGGTAGTGCTGTTGAGTTCAACATGTTTTTAATGAATTTCTGCCTTCTGGATCTGTCCATTTTTGATAGAGGGTGGATTTATCTGTTTTTTTCTTGTAGTTCTATCAGGTTTTGCTTCAGGTATTTTGACATTCTGTTACTAGGTGCATACACATTAGGATTGTTATGTCTTCTTAGAGTATTGACTCCTTTATCATTAGTAATGCCCCTCTTTCTCCTGATAACTTTCCTCACTCTAAAGTCTGCTCTGTCTGAAATTAGCATAGCTGCTTCCACTTTCTTTCAGTTGGTGTTAGGATGGTATGTATTTCTCCATCCCTTCATTTTTATTCTTTATGTGTCTTTCTACTTAAAGTAGGTTTCTTGTAGACAACATATAGTTGGGTCTTGTTTCCTGATTCACTCTAACAATCTGCCTTTTAATTGGTACATTTAAACCATTGATGTTCAAAGTGATTACTGATGTAGTTGATTAATACCTGCTATATATTTATTGTTTTTTGTTGTCCTTGTTCTCTTTTTCTCTTCTACACATTTCCTGTGTTTTGTGTTTTTTTGTTTCTTTTGTGGTTTTAATTGAGCATTTTATGTGTTTCCATTTTCTCTCATTTCTTAGTATAACAATTGTACTTTTAAAAGTTTTTTAGTTGTTTCACTAGAGATTGCAGTATATATTTATAACCAATCCAAGTCTATTTTGCTGTCATTCATTTTGTTTCCGTTAGGATTTGCACTTGATGTTGTACGTTCAATGTGTTTTGGCAAATGTGTAATGACATGACTTGGAATTTTTATGTGGAGGTTTAGTGTGCATTCCTGAATATTGGAATTTGGAGAACATCGGTTTCATGAATACCACAAAACAGAATATTCCTGGAAAATCTGAAGTACAGTCGTTGTATGTAGATGCCTCAGGTCAGTTCCAATGCTAATTTGCTTTGGCTAGTGCTTGGAGGGTCCTTGGGGTACACACTGTTTCATAGGTAAAGGGCAGGGATGCAGTCTTATTTGTTCAGGTAGCTTGACAAAGGCTGTAAAAACTGTCATAGAGACCAGTAGGGGCTGGAGAATGTAGAATCAGGTAGATCTGGCTTCTCCGTTGTGCAGCTGGAATTTAGACACTATCAGTTTGGATACAACTTTTTCCCTTTTACCAATGTCTCTAAAATATGTGGCACATATTAAAAGCTTAGAAAGTGACTTAATTGGCTGGGCACAGTGGCTCACACCTGTAATTCCAGCACTTTGGGAAGCTGAGGCGGGCGGATCACCTGAGGTCAGGAGTTCGAGACCAGCCTGGCCAACATGGTGAAACCCTGTCTCTACTAAAAATACAAAAAGTTAGCCGGGGTAGTGGCGCATGCCTGTAATCCCAGCTACTTGGGAGGCTGAGGCAGGAAAATTGCTTGAACCCAGGAGACGTAGGTTGACTGCACTCCAGCATGGCAATAGAGCGAAACCATGTCTCAAAAAAAAAAAAAAAAAAAGAAGACTTAATCTTCAAGAGGATCAGTATACACCTCTTCTTCAGTTGTCTGGTGAAAGGATGGAAAATTAGGCCAGGCGCGGTGGCTCACGCCTGTAATCCCAGCACTTTGGGAGGCCGAGGTGGGTGGATCACAACGAGGTCAAGAGATCAAGGCCATCCTGGCCAATATAGTGAAACCCTGTCTCTACCAAAAATACAAAAATTAGCAGGGCATGGTGGCGCGTGCCTGTAATCCCAGCTACTTGGGAGGTTGAAGCTGGAGAATCGCTTGAACCCAGGAGGTGGAGGTTGTAGTGAGCCAGTATCGCGCCACTGCACCCCAGCCTGGTGACAGAGTGAGACTCCGTCTCAAAAAACAAAAACAAAAAAACCCAGAAAGGATGGAAAATTAAAAGCATCTTTTACTATGTACAAATTTATAGTGATTTTTAAAATATATTTAATTTTTTCTGATTTTAAAAAAATGAAAAGAGTACCCTTTCTCTCTCTCTCTCTTTTTTTTTTTTTTTGTTTTTTTGAGATGGGATCTCACTCTTTGCCCAGGCCAGGGTGCAGTGGTGCCTCAGACTCCTGGGCTCATGGGCTCAAGCAATCCTTCCATGTCAGCCTCCTAAGTAGCTAGAACTTAACAGATGTGTACCACCACACCTGGCTTTTTTTTTTTTTTTTGAGATTGGGTCTCGCTCTGTTGCCAGGCTAGCATGCAGTGGTGCGGAATCTTGGCTCACTGCTCCCTTCGTCTCTTGGGCTCCAGCAATCCTCCCACCTCAACCTCCCGAGTACCTGGGACTACAGGTGCACGTCATCAGCCTGGCTAATTTTTGTATTTTTGGTAGAAATGGGGTTTCATCATGTTGCCCAGGCTGGTCTTGAACTCCTGGGCTCAAGTGATCCACCCGCCTCAGCCTCTCAGAGTGCTGGGATTACAGGTGTGAGACACCATGCCTGGCCTGGCAAAATTTTAAAATATTTCATAGAGACAGGGTCTCACTATGTTGCCCAGGCTGGTCTTGGCTCCTGGCCTCAAGTATCTTCCCGCCTCAGCCTCTGAAAGTGATGGTATTACAGGTGTGAGCCACTGTGCCCAGCCCCGTTTTCTTTGATTTTTAAAGGTAATATATATTCATTGTCAGTCATGTCTTTTAGCTTGTTTTTGTTCCCCCCCCCCACCCGAGGGCTTTATAGTTAAGGCATGTAACTGGTACTCACTTGAGAGGTGCTAGATAAAGCTAAAATCATAAAAAGCTCAAGAGACATGAAGAATGATTTTGGCCTTTGAGACCTACACCAATCGTTCTTTCTGGATCCAGGCCACAATTCTTAATATCTTTCAAATATTTCCATCCACCTGACCCTCTGGTTCTTCAAGCCTGCCCACTTTCTTATCTTTCTTATTTCTTTAGTAGGACTAGACACACAGAATTAAAGCTGTGGTCTCCCCTGCTACCTCCCTCTCTCATGGCTTCCACATCTAACCAGCCAATTTGGTCATCTCACTCTACACGTTGTCTTTTATATTTCTGTCTTCATCACCAAATGACCACCTTCTCCCTCCACCACCCTGCCCCACAGTTATTTTTTAAAGCTTGCCTCCATTGGTCACTTTATATGCCAGAAACAGTGTTACATGGCTCTCAACTGGGGTTGATTTGGCAATATGAAGACATTTTTTGGTTGTCACGACAGGGGATAGAAAAGAATTGTTATTGGTGTCTAGTAAGTAGAGGCCAGGGATTCTGCTAAATATTTTATAATGCATAAAACAGTTGCCCATTAAAAAAAATTATTTCACCTGAAAGGTGAATAGTGTAGAAGTTGAGAAATTATGTTAAGCATTTCATATGTTATTTTGTTCTGACAGCAACCATTTACATGGGTCTTACCATCCCCATTTTATAGATAATAAATAAAAGACAAAGTTTCTGGGCGCAGTGCCTCACGCCTGTAATCCCAGCACTTTGGGAGGCCAAGGTGGGCGGATCACCCGAGGTCAGGAGTTCGAGACCAGCCTGGCCAACATGGCAAAACCCCATCTCTACTAAAAATACAAAAATTAGCTGGGCGTGGTGGTGTGCGCTTGTAATCCCAGCTACCCGGGAGGCTGAGGCAGGAGAATTGGCTTGAACCCAGGAGGCAGAGGTTGCAGTGAGCTGAGATCGCGCCACTGCAGTCCGGCCTAGGTGACAGAGCAAGACTTGACTGTCTCAAAAGAAAAAAAAAAGAAGCACACAAACTCACTCAGCTGTTAAGTGGTAGTGATAGAGCCAAGTTCAAACTTAGAGCCTGAGCTTATATTGGGCCATGATAGGCAACCTAAACGTAACTCAGGCCTGTATGTTTTACCTGTACTATTACAGTGAGCTCCTATCTGATCCCTTTGCCTCTTGTCTCTCCATTTAACCCTGTCTTAAGCACAGAATAAGGCTCTAATTATGCTGCATAATATGTTAACAATCTTTTACTGCATATAGAGCGTAGCTTTAGTTTCCCAGCCTGGCATTTATTTAAGCCAAGGACACTGCAGTCAGTTCCTGACCTACCTTCCCAACTAATTTCCCACAGCTCTCCCCTCTCTCTTTTTTTGAAACAGGGTCTCACTGTGTTGCACAGGCTGGAGCAGTCATAGCTCACTGCAGCCTCGAACTCCAGGGCTGAAGCAATCCTCCTGCCTCAGCCTCCCAAGCTGGGACTACAGGCATGCAACACCATGCTTGGCTAGTTTTTATTTTTTGTAGAGATGGAGTCTTACTATGTTTCCCAGGCTGGTCTCAAACTCCTGAGCTCAAGCAGTCTTCCTGCCTTGGCCTCCTAAGTGCTAGGATTAAAGGTATGATCCACCATTCCTGGCCTCTTCTTTTCAAAGTTCCTAACACATACTTTCTTTTCCTTCTTTTCTTTTTTTTTTTTTTTGAGACAGATTTTCACTCTTTTTGCCCAGGCTGGAGTGCAATGGGGTGATCTCGGCTCACGGCAACCTCTGCCTCCTGGGTTCAAGCAATTCTCCTGCCTCATCCTCCCAAGTAGCTGGGATTACAGGCATGCACCACCATGCTCAGCTAATTTTTTTATTTTTATTTTTTAGTAGAGACAGGGTTTTGCCATGTTGGCCAGGCTGGTCTCGAACTCCTGACCTCAGGTGATCTGTCTGCCTTGGCCTCCCAAAGTGCTGGGATTACAGGTGTGAGACACTGCACCCGGCGACTTTGTGTTTTATTTATTATCTATAAAATGGGGGTGGTAAGACCCATGTAAATGGTTGCTGTCAGAACAAAATAACATATGAAATGCTTAACATAATTCAGTTTCTTAACTTCTTATTTTAGCTTGTCTATAGGGACTGCTGTTGTAATTTAAAAGGTTATTTTGAATGAAGGCAAAAGGGTAATCAAGCCCATTTATAGAATTAGGGATCACAAAGTAAAGTGATCTTACATTTTTATTTAAAATACTCTGTGTGTATTGCTACAAAAAATACAAAAATTAGCTGGGTGTGGTGGTGCATGCCTGTAATCCTGCTTGGGTGCTGGCAAGGAGAGAGAGATGTATATGTGTGTAAAAAAGATTGGACTGGGGGTGGTAAACTCTAGCTCATGCTTTGTAATCCTAGTGCTTTGGGAGGCCAAAGCAGGATTGCTTGAGGCCAGTAATTCAAGACTAGCCTGGGCAACACAGCGAGACCCCATGGCTACAAAAAATTTTAAAAGTAGTCAGGCATAGTGGCATACTCCTGTAGCCCTAGCCACTTGGGAGGCTGAGGTAGGAACATTGCTTGAGCCCATGAGTTCATGGTTACAGTGAGCTACGATCACTCCACTGCATTCTAGCCTGGGTGACATGAGAACCTTCCTCTAAAAACAAAACCAAAATAACACAGAATAAAAGTTAGCATCCTTCAGTACCAAACATTTGTGGAAAATACCATATACAAACATCCCTTTTATTCAAAAGATCTTAAGGTAAAGCATTTGATGAAAGAAAGGAATGTTCTAAGGTTATCTTTCCTGAGTAATAGGTAGCAGAATCTGAAGAGCATTAGGAGATTCCCTCTAAATCCTAAAAATATCTTTCTTAAACCTAGTTTGCAACTGGCTGAATTCCATCTCAGAATTTCATTCCTCTGGATTAAGATAATTGTTTTCAAAGTGTGTTCTGCAGGACCCTAGGACGCCATGGATGTTCTTCAGCGCTTCCATATGTTTTTTCTCAAATTTCCACTTAATTTCTTTTTATGCATTTTAAAAATGGAAATAAACTGAACACCCAGAGGTGTTACATATCAAATTTTAAAACATGGGTTCATCAACACATTACCCTGTATGACAGGGTGTTTTGTACAGCCCTGCTATCTAAGTGAAAAATGTTCTAATGTTGTATATACTAATTGTTTCTGCTGCTGCTTCCTTTCTCTCTTTAACACACTCCAGTGAGGCTTCTGAACTCACCATACTATTGAAACAACTTGGTCAAGGTGACCACAGACCTCTGCATTGCTAAAATGTGTTTAAATTCTCAGTGCTCATCTTACTCAGCCTCTCAGCAGCATTTGATAATTGATCCATTTGCCCTCCTCCTTGAAAGACTCTTCCCTTGCCTTTCAGAATGTTGCTCTCTGTTGGTCCTCTTCTTACCTCACTGGCTACTCCTTTGCTAATTCTTTCTGAGGTTAGCTCTCCTACTGTCCCTGTCTACACTGAACCAGACAGTAGAGAGGTTAAGAACATTTACTTGACATACTTGATAGGGCTAAGTTTGAGATTTGGTTCTTTTGGTAACTAGCCATGAGACCTTGAGCAAAGTAAACCAGCCTCATTTAGTCTTTGGCCTCATTTGTAAAATCGGGATGCTGTCTATGTCTAGCTCACAGAGGATTGCTGGGCTTCAGTAAGAGTTTACATGTAAAGTGCTTAGCATAGGACCTGGCACACTGTGAGTGCTCAGTAAACGTTAGTGACCTCGTTATTGTTGGCATGTTCTTTCTCCATTTTAAAAATACACACCCCTGCATTTTTAATTGTATGAGCTATGGAGTCAGAATTCTTGGATTTAAATCCTTAGCTCCACCACTAACTAGTTGTATTAACTTAAGCAGATTACCTATCCAGCATGTACTTACTTCAGTTTCGGTTATCTAGAAATATAATAGTACTTGTTCCATAGAGTTTGTTTAAGGATTAAATAAGAATATAGGTAAAACACCTAGACTAGGTCCGGCCCATAAGTGCTCAATTGTGTTAACTATTATGGCTACTCTTCTAGCACTTTCTGCTTACCTGTGTTATACTTACCTATGTACTTGTAGCTCCCTTTTTAGAAAATCAGCTTCCCGTAAAGACAAGGATTATACTATATTCATTCTTGTATCTTGAATAGTATGGCAAAACTTAGTTGGATAATTATATTTCACTTAAGGGCTTTCACAAGCATCACCTTATTTGAGCCTCACAAAAATCCTATGAGGTAAACAGTGCTAGTAATTGTCTGCATAAGTAGGAAAGGTAGGTTGCATGCCTATCATGTTGTAGTCATTGGGTCTTCCTTCTCATTATTTATTCCATTTTAACTTTCATAACTATTGTGAAAGGTGGTACTTAGCATTTCATTTTAAATGTAAGAAACCTGAGGCTCAGAAAGCTTAAGTAATATGACCAAATTCAAGCAGCCCATGATCTTCAGAGCCTGAATGCATATTTTTACAAAGCATTGCACTAGTGAATTTTGGTCAGGTGTCAGATTTGATGATACACAAGCCACAATCTTGTTCTGTTCCTGTCTTTGCTTTGGGAACTCTGTCTACCTTGTCTCCTGAAATAGCTATTGATGTCAAATGCTGTAGTAATGTCAGGAGAGAGAAAACCGTCAGTAAAAGACCATAGGAAAAATTGGTCTTAGATTTCTTATTATTTCTGTGTTTTAGAGACTGCTAAGAAAAAGTAAGTAGATGAGCCTATCCAGTCTGATGCCTATGCCAGCGATTTCAAAGGGTCCTTGAACTTTTTTTTTTTTTTTAAACACCAAAGAGACAGATGTCTCACTCTACCCAGGTTGGAGTGCAGTGGTGTGATCATAGCTCACTGTAACATCAAACTCCTAGGCTCAAGCAATCCTTCTGCTTTAGCCTCCTGAGTAGCTAGGACTACAGGTACACAAGCCACCACACCCAGCTAATTTTTAAATTTTAATTTTTTGTAGAGATGGGATCTCACTGTATTGTCCAGGCTGGTCCAGAACTCCTGGACTCAGGCTATCCTCCTCCTGCCTAAGCCTCCCACAGTGCTGGGATTACAAGCATGAGCTATCATGCGCAGCCCCATTTAACATTTTTATACCACCCAATTAGTTTGGAGTTCCCTTTTTTTCTTTTTTTTTTTTTTTTTTTTGGAGAGGGAGTCTCACTCTGTCGCCCAGGCTGGAGTGCAGTGGCACAGTCTCAGCTCACTGCAACTTCTGCCTCCCAGGTTCAAGCAATTATCGTGCCTCAGCCTCCTGAGTAGCTGGGACTACAGGCGTGTGCCAACACACCCGGCTAATTTTTCATACTTTTAATAGAGATGGGGTTTCACCATGTTGGCTAGGCTGGTGTCGAACTCCTGGACTCAAGTGATCTGCCCGCTTTGACCTTCCAAAGTGCTGGGATTACAGGCACAAGCCACTGCACCTGGCCAGTTGGAGTTCTTTTTCTGGGAGATGGTGTAGAGTTTGGAGTCAGACTTGATTTGAGAAAGTTACCTAACCTCTCTTGAGTCTTTTTTTCTTGCATGTACAATGAGGAGAAAATACCTATATGGCAGAGTTTTGAGCGTTAAGTGCAGTAAAGTATGTACAACACCTTGCCTAGTATGTAATAGATATTTAATAAATGGTAGCTACAGTAAGTATGTGTTATTCCCACCTATAGGAAGAATTCCAGCTTTTTAGCCTGGTATATAAGACCTTTCCCAATCTGGCCTTCTTCAACATTCCTGTCTCCTCCTGACATTCAGTGTCATGTACTTAAACTCTAGCTACACACAATTACTAATGTTTTTAGAAAACCCATGCTTTTATGCTACCATGTCTTTGTACATGCTACTGTGTCGGTCTAGAATGCACTTTCTACTCCTGCCTTTTCTCTGCCTGTCGGTAGCCTACCACTTCAAAACGGAGCTCAAATGCTACTTTTGATTGTGAAGTTTTCATCATACCCCTAGAGAGATGTATCACTCCTGCCTCCGGGTTCCCATTAGCACCTTGTTGATGCTTTTCTCTAATGTAGTAAGTACATTAGTTTATTTCCTGATCTGTCTCCCTCCAGATTCTAGAGGAAAGTGACCCTGTCTTAGTGTTTTTTTTGTAATTCTGTGTCAGCAGAGTACATTACTTTATCTCATTTGGGGCATCCTTTTCAATTTGAGTTGTACATATGGAAAAATGTAATGGCAGATCTCATCATGTTAAACAAATCTCTGTGAGGGTACCATAATCAAGACAGTGTGGTATTGGCCAAAGAACAGACAAGTAGATCAGTAGGACCGAATAGACAGCCTAGAATTAGATCCTTGTAAATGCCGTCAACTGATCTTTGACATAGGAGAAAAGGCAGTAAGATGCAGGAAACAGTCTTTTCTTTCAACAGGTGGTGCTGGAACAACTAGACATCAATATGCAAAAAAATGAATCAAGACAGGGACCTTATATCCGTCACAAAGATTAACTTGAAATGGATCACAGACCTAAATGTGAAATGAAAAACTATAAAACTCCTAAAAGATAACAAAGGAGAAAACATAGATGACCTTGGGTATGATGGCATGATGTTTTAGATACAACACCAAAGGCACAATCTGTGAAACAATGAATTAATAAGCTGGACTTCATCAAAATTAAAACTTCTCTTCTGTTAAAAACACTGTCAATGGAATGAAAAAACAAGCCACAGACTGGGGGAAAACATCTGAAAAAAAACATACCTGATGGAGTACTGTTACTTAAAATGTCTAAAGAACCTTTAAAACTCAATAAAACATACCTGATGGAGGACTGTTACTTAAAAATGTCTAAAGAACCTTTAAAACTCAATAATAAAGACATAATTTGATTAAAAGATTGGCCAAAGGCCTTAACAGATACCTCACCAAAGACAATAATATAAGTGGTGAAAAAGCATAAGAAAAGATGCTCCATGTCATATGTCATCAGGGAAGTGCAAATTAAAACAACAATCAGAAACCACTACACAACTATTAGAATGGCCAAAATTCAGAATACTGACGACAACAAATGTTAGGATGTGGAAGGGCAAGAACTTTTATTCATTGCTGGTGGGAATGCAAAATGATACAGCTACTTTGAAAGACAGTTTGTCTTACAAAATTAAACATACTCTTACCATATGATCTAGCAGTTTTCTCCTTGATTAACCCAAGTTAATTGAAAACTAATGTCTACACAGAAACCTGCATATGGATGATTATAGCAGCTTTATTCATAATTGCCAAAACATGGGAGCAACCAAGATATCCTTCAGTAGGAGAGTAGATAACAGTGGCATATCCTGACAATGGAAAATCATTCAGTTCTAAAAAGAAATATGCTGTCATGTCACGAAGAGACATAGAGGAGACTTAGATGCATATTACTAAGTGAAAGAAGCCAGTCTTAAAAGGCTACATACTATATGAGTCTGTTCTCACCCTGCTGTGAAGAAATACCTGAGACTGGGTAATTTATAAAGAAAAGAGATTTAATTGACTCACAGTTCTGCATAGGTGGGGAGGCCACAGGAAGCTTACAGTCATGGTGGAAGGCATCTCTTCACAGCGGGGCAGGAGACAGAATGAATGCAGAGTGAAAGGGGAAGCCCCTTATAGAATCATCAGATCTCGTGAGAAACTAATTCACCCTCACGAGAACAGCATGGGGAAAACCAACACCATGATGCAGTTATCTCTACCTGGTCCCGCCCTTGACACTTGGGGATTATTACAATTCAAGGTGAGATTTCGGTGGGGACACAGAGCTAAACCATATCACTGTATGAGTCCAACTATATGACATTCTGGAGAAGGAAAAACTAGAGATAGTAAAAAGTCGGTGGTTTCCAAGGGTTAATGGGGAGGGAGGGATGAACAGGATAGTCAGAGCACAGAGGATTTTTAGGACAGTAAAGCTATTCTTTGTAATACTATTCCACTGTAATAGTGGATACATGTCATTATATATTTGTTAAAACCCATTTAATATACAACACCCAAGAGTGAACCCTATTGTAAGTTACGGACTTAGGTGATAATGATGTGTCAATGTAGTTTCATCATTTGTATCAAATATACCCCTCTGGTGTGAGATTTTGATAGCAGGGGAGGTCATGCATATGTGGGGGTGGGGAATATGGGAAATCTCTAAACCTTTAATTTTGGTGTGAATGTAAAACTGCTCTGAGAAATAAAGTCTCTCTCTCTCTCTCTTTTTTTTGAGAGAGTCTTGCTCTGTCGCCCAGGCTGGAGTGCAGTGGCGCGATCTCGGCTCATTGCAAACTCCGCCTCCTGAGTTCACGCCATTCTCCTGCCTCAGCCTCCTGAGTAGCTGGGACTACAGGCGCCCGCCACCATGCCCAGCTAATTGTTTTGTATTTTTAGTAGAGACGGGGTTTCACCGTGTTAGCCAGAATGGTCTTGATCTCCTGACCTCGTGATCCACCTGCCTTGGCCTCCCAAAGTGCTGGGATTACAGGCGTGAGCTACCGTGCCCGGCAGAAATAAAGTCTCTTAAAAAAAATAAAAGCAAGAAAACTAAGGAAGTTAATGAAGGAAAACTTTGATGGAAAAGTAGGCAGAGAAGAAACAAGAGACAGAAAATGGAAGGCTGGGGAATATGGAATTGTGTTTTTAAAAGGGGCATTGACTTTTTAAATTGCAAGATCACACATGTTAATTGTGGAAAAATAAAAATTTAAAAGAAAACATTTCTTAAATCACATATAGTTTCACTATCCAAAGAAGACTAATGTTAAACTTTTTTGTTATGTACCTGACATTTAACAAAGTTGGCTTAAACTTTGCTACTGTAACCTGCCTTGGGTATTTTCTATAGGCCAGCTTTTCCTTATTAAAAATCTATATCTGTTTTTTCTTTTCCTTTGTTATCTTATAAAAATATTGTGTAGCGTTTACAGTGACTATATAATTATTTATCATGACAGGCTGACTATACAAATACAATTCGGATTATCATCCTCTGAATAATCAACTTAATTCATTCCAAAAACATATATTAAGTCAAGAGGCTATCATCATATTCCAAAAACATTCTGAATCTATAAAGTACTGTATTGTCTGTTCCTTTAACAGTACATTGTGAAAACAAATATTCTTAAATTGTATATGGCTGCAATGAAAATAAATTCTGGAAGTGTTTAAAAAACAACCAACTCTCTCTGAGGTATAGGCAGTCCACATGGAGGTTAATCTCATTGCTCAGATTTGGACATCACCATGCGTGCAGTTTCTTTAATCCTCCTCTAGCTATCAAAATGGATTTAGCAGTTGGCATCTTCTTTTTTCTGTCTGGGGCAATTGGAGCTTTGTAGAATTTGGCCCGATGGAGCAGTGACCTTGCCTCCACAATTTAGGATGATCCTGGGGCTTAGAATTGGATGTCATTGAGGACCTAGAATGGCTCCACTGTGGCTGGTGACAGTACCAGGGGCCCTGCTTATCTTTATTCAGGAGACCAGGAATTACATTCAACTTTTGATTTAATTTTCTGTGACACATTGAGTCTATGTTTTAGCCTGCAGAACACTACAGCTGTGTCCTAGTTCTCTTTACCCTACCCCTTCCCTACCTTGTGATCTTCATATCACTAACTTTTTTTTTTTTTTTTTTTTTTTGAGACGGAGTTTCGCTCTGTCGCCCAGGCTGGAGTGCAGTGGCGCGATCTCGACTCACTGCAAGCTCCGCCTCCCGGGTTCACGCCATTCTCCTGCCTCAGCCTCCCGTGTAGCTGGGACTACAGGCGCGCGCCACCATGCCCGGCTAATTTTTGTATTTTTAGTAGAGACGGGGTTTCACCGTGTTAGCCAGGATGGTCTCGATCTCCTGACCTGGTGATCCGCTCGCCTTGGCCTCCCAAAGAGCTGGGATTACAAGTGTGAGCCACTGCGCCCGGCCTGAAGTGTCTTCCATTCATCTTTTTAGGGGCACTGCATCCTTGATTCGGTGGAAAGATTACCTAAGAAATTGGCACTGAAGCACCTCAAAACATAGCTTAGAAGTAAAAGGTTGTTTCTTTTCTTTTCAGCTTGTGTGGAAATTTTGAGGCTCAGATAATCTAGAGCATTGTAGCTGAAACACATCCTTACATGGCTGTCTCCCACAACTTTCTCATTATCCAGATGGGAAAACTGAGGTCCATAGAGGGGTTATAGTTTACCTAAGTTTATGTAGCATATTAATGGCAGGGTCTGGACTAGAACACAGTCCCCATCACATTGCATCTTTTTATTTTAAAAGGTTAAATAACTTGGAAGGGAGAGTTCACAAAAAAGCAAAACATTTTTATAAATGGGGTTGTATTGAACCAATAATTTCAGATCATGCATGATACTTTTGTTATAAGCCTTTTAGGAACAGCACATTGCAGATTTGGGGAGATTTCACAAGAACCTTACAAATCTTGGCATTCCAATCCTTTCTCCTAAATCTAAAAGAAAGCAGTAATCTGACAAAGGTCTAATATCCAGCATCTGTAAGAACTTAAACAAATTTACAAGAAACAAAACAACCCCGTTAAAAAGTGGACAAAGGACAGGAACAGATCCTTCTGAAAAGACATACATGTGGCCAAGAAGCATATGAAAAACAGCTCAACATTACTGATCCTTAGAGAAATGTTAGTCAAAACCACAATGAGATACAATCTCACACCAGTCAGAATGGCTGTTATTAAAAAGTCAAAAAATAACAGACGCTGGCAAGATTGTCGAGAAAAAGGAAAGCTTTTACACTGTTGGTGGGAGTGTATGTTAGTTCAACTATTGTGGAAGAGTGTGGCAATTCCTCAAAGACCTAGATACAGTAACACCATTCGACCCAGAAATCCCATTACTGGGCATATTTCCAAAGGAATATAAATCATTCTATTTATAAAGACACATGCACATGTACATTCATTACAGCGCTATTCACAATAGCAAAGACACAGAATCAATCTAAATGCCCACCAATGATAGGCTAGGTAAAGAAAATGTACATATACATCATGGAATACTATGCAGCCATAAGAAAAAAATACAAGATCATGTCTTTTGCAGGGACATACATGGAGCTGGAGGCCATTATCCTTAGTAAACTAGTGCAGGAACAGAAAGCCAAATACCGCATGTTCTCACTTATAAGTAGGAGCTAAATGATGAGAACACACGGCCACATAGAGGGGAACAACACATACTGGGGCTTACCAGAGGGCAGAGGGTGGGAGGAGGGAGAGGATCAGGAAAAATAACTAATGGATACTAGGCTTAATACCTGGGTGATGAAATGATCTGTACAACAAACTTCCATGAGACATGTTTACCTGTGTAACAAACCAGCACATTCTGCACAGGTACCCCTGAACTTAAAAGTTAAAAAAAAAATGCAGGTAGCTGCTGGAATTGAATAGATTTTAGTTTTTTGTCTTTGTGGGAGCAAATGCCAGAAGAGTTCCAGTGGTGTTTGGGGAAAGATTCTTGGCCCCATTCTCCCTACAATGTATATGTCTGACAGCTGGCCTATCATTCTATTTTTAGACATAATCTGTGAGATTACAGAGTGGTTTCATTTAAAGCTATGCTGCAGAAATGCAAGCTGTGTAGAAAATGTTTTCTCTTTGTAGCAATTTGGGTACCATTTTGTATATAGATTAAAAAGAAAATCATTTTATTTAATTACCAATGATCCTTGTATCTTAATATTTCACCTTAAAGTCATCTTCCAGTTGTGGCCATATTCTATGTAATTCAGGGAGAAACAAACGCTAAAATGCAGAAATTCTAGAAGTATAAATAAATCTTCACTACTTAATGTCATATCACTGATCTTCATTTCCCTCTCGCTGGTCATGGGAGGTACAGCACGCATATTCCTTATAGGGCTTTTAAAACTGTTCATAACAAACATCTATTGAGTACTTATTGGTATTTATTGAACATCATTTATATCCCAGAAACTGAGCTTGCCTGAAATATTCATTCATTTACTTTATACCTCACAATAACTGTAAAAGATAAGGGATGGTATTCTTATTTTATGTGAGAAAACTGAGACTTCAAGAAATGTAGGGCCCGGCATAGTGGCTCACGCCTGTAATCCCAGCACTTTGGGAGGCCAAGGCAGGTGGATCACCTGAGGTCAGGAGTTCGAGCCTGACCAACGTGGAAAAACTCCGTCTCTACTAAAAATACAAAATCAGCAGGATGTGGTGGCCCATACCTGTAATCCCAGCCACTCGGGAGGCTGAGGCAGGAGAATCGCTTGAACCCGGGAAGCAGAGGTTGCGGTGAGCTGAGATCGTGCCATTGCACTCTAGCCTGGGCAACAAGAGCGAAACTCTGTCTCAAAAAAAAAAAAAAAAAAAAAAAAAGAAATGTAGTAACTTGCCCAGGGGTCAAAAGTATAAAATAGTAGAACAAGAATAGGAACCCAGGTGTGTCGGATTTCAGAACCCATGCTCTTCCCCCTAGGATAGCCAGCCTCCACTGGTTTTAAGCCGAGTTGGGGCTGGGTGCAGTGGCTCACACCTGTAATCCCAGCACTTTGGAGGCCAAAGCAGGCGGATCACCTGAGGTCAGGAGTTGGAGACCAGCCTGACCAATATAATGAAACCCCGTCTCTACTAAAAATACAAAAAAAAAAAAATTAGCCAGGCGTGGTGTCATGCGCCTGCTACTAGCTACTCAGCTACTAGCTACTCAGGAGGCTGAGACAGGATAATCACTTGAACCTGGGAGGCAGAGGTTGCAGTGAGCCAAGATCATGCCATTGCACTCCAGCCTGGGCAACAAGAGCAAAACTCCGTCTCAAAAAAAAAAAAAAAAAAAAAACTGATTTGGAGGAACTGGAGTTCAGAAAGGTGTAGCCATTCTAAATATAATTTTCTAGGAGTTTAATTCTAGATATTGTATGATAAAATATAATTCACATATAGCTCTGTATTTGTAGGTATTTGCTTTGATCTGGAACTGTCATTTTGAGGTTTTATTACTTTCTCTCTTGATAACATGTATGAAAAAATTTGGGCAACGTGGTTTATTACTACTTTAGTATCTCAAAATGTTCATTTCAAAAAGATTCTTGCCTTTTGGCCACAGACTGTTTACACTTTAATGAAAAATTAATGAAATAAAGTTGCCCTAAAATTTGGAGGAAAAAATCAGTATCACTGGAGTCAGTTCCTCCCTTGTGCTGGTGACTATTTTAAAAAAACCACATGAGTGACTTAGAACTTGGCAGGCATAGTTGTTCTTCAAACTGAAATGACTAAGAAGCTATAGCTACAGTAGTGCCTATCCAACACTGTACATAGAACGATGTGCTAAGATGACAGGAAGAAACAGTATTCTTCTAGGAAGGCAAAGGAAGGTAAAACAATCAGGACACCTCAAGAAAGTGAGAGGCCTAACAGGGAAGACCTTGCACGCTCTGGGAAATGGCCTCGAGAAAGGAAAAAACACTCAAAACTTGGAGTCAGGTTCTAGCTCTGCCCACTTGGATATTTGATTCCCATCTTCTGGAGCCTCAGTTTCTTCACTGGTAAAATGGAGGTGATGATACTTTCTCACAGAGTTATTCTAAAGTCATGATTATAAGTGGATTTACTATTAAGTGATCAAGATGAAGAAGAAATGTGTTTTGAAACTAATTCAATTGCAGCATTTTACAAGTGTCATAATTATATTTAAATAACTTGCTGTCACACTTTGTTGCAGGAAAATACAGTCTCACTTTACAGCTGGTTTCTACTTGGCCTGTTTTAATGAGTTAAAATCGAATTTAATTGGCCTGATAACAAACAATTCTTGTTTCATTACTTATCGTTCTGTAGGTTCCTGCCCTTGATTGTTAGGCTCTGCACACCAGTAGAAAATGCAGGATAAGTTTCCCTTTTTAACTCCATTCACTTGTGGCAGGAAGAATGTGAATTAAGGATGAATCCTAAAAAGCCATCTGAGATGGTAAAAGGGAGGCATTGCAGGAGGCAGAGGCCTCTTTGGCCTGTCTTTGGCTTGACGTGTCACTTGCAGCTTAGGTGGTCATCATGGTGAGGATGTGTTGACATTAAAAGCAAAGGCCAGGGCCGGGGGCGGTGGCTCGCGCCTGTAATCCTAGCACTTTGGGAGGCCGAGGTGGGCAGATTGCCTGAACTCGGGAGTTCGAGACCAGCCTGGGAAACATGGTGAAACCCCGTCTCTACTAAAATCCAAAAACAAAGACAAAAACAAAAAAATTAGCCGGGCGTGGTGGTGTGTGCCTCTAGTCCCAGCTACTCAGGAGACTGAGGCAGGAGAATTGCTTGAACCCGGGAGGCGGAGGTTGCAGTGAGCCAAGATCACGCCATTGTACTCCAACCTGGGCAACGGAGCAAGACTCCATCTCTTTAAAAAAAAAAAAATAGGCTGGACGTGGTGGCTCATGCCTGTAATCCCAGCACTTTGGGAGCCAAGGCGGACGGATCACAAGGTCAGGAGATTGAGACCATCCTGGTCAACATGGTGAAACACCATCTCTATTAAAATACAAAAAATTAGCCGGGTGTGGTAGTATGTGCCTGAAGTTCCAGCTACTTGGGAGGCTGAAGCAGGGGAATTGCTTGAACCTGCGAGGCCCAGATTGCAGTGAGCCAAGATTGTGCCACTGCACTGCAGCCTGGTGACGGAGCAAGACTCCATCTCAAAAAAAATTAATAATTATTAGAAAATCAAAGGCAGGCCAGGTGCGGTGGCTCACGCCTGTAATCCCGGCACTTTTGGAGGCCGAGGCGGGCGGATCACCTGAGGTCAGGAGTTCAAGACCATTCTGGCCAACGTGGTTAAACCCCGTCTCTACTAATAATACAAAAATTACCTGGGTGTGGTGGCGTGCGCCTGTAGTCCCAGCTACTCGGGAGGCTGAGGCAGGAGAATCACTTAAATCCAGGAGGCGGAGGTTGCAGTGAGCTGAGATTGCACCGCTGCATTCCAGCCTGGCGGCAGAGCGAGACTCCGTCTCAAAAACAACAACAACAATAACAACAACAAAAGCAAAGGCCAAACAAAGTCCCCTTCACTCTCTACACACACCGTATTTTCTTCCATCTACATTTATAGTTCCTTGGGACCACTGTACTTTCTGTTGCTTTGTTTTGAAAAAAAAAAAAAAAAAAAAAAAAAAAAGAAAATCTCAGACCAGGCATGGTGGCTTATGCCTGTAATCCTAGCACTTTGGGAGGCCAAGGCAGGCAGATGGCTTGAGTCCAGGAGTTCGAGACCAGCTTGGGTAAGATGACAAGGCCCCGTTTGTACAAAAAAATTTGAAAATTAGCAGGTTGTGGTGGCACATGCCTGTAGTCTGAGCTACTTAGGAGGCTGAGGCAGGAGGATTGCCAGAGTCCAGGAATTCAAGACTGCAGTGAGCTGTGATTGCATCACTGTGCTCCATCCTGGGTGACAAAGGGACAGCAACTCTAAAAAATTTTTAAAAAAGAAATTCTCACTCTCATTTGCTAAGATGTTCTTTACATCCAAACTTTTGCTAGAATCAAGTTGCTTACTTTGTCATCCTGCTGAAAACCCCTCAGCCTGTGGATTTCCATAATCTCCTGTGGTCCAGTGCTTTTTGTTTTCTTAGAGTTTTTTGCCATCCTTCATTTAGGAGTGAGTGGAGGAAGGGAAAAAATGGTATGGAAATAAAGGTACATCTTAGTTAATCACTGCCACTTTTCTGTTTGTTTGTTTTTTAAGGCGGGGCTAGATTATTTAATATGGCTATCCTGTAGTTAGAGGCAAGGCACTGGAATCATCTGGGTTCTGATCTCAGTTACACTACATTCTAGGTACATGACCTAGGCCAAAACATCTGTCAGAGCTCAGTTTTGTCATTTTAAGAAATAGGAAACATTGTCTTACAGATGTTAAGTGTTGAATGAAACAATATATGTGAAACATCTAGTGCAGTGCATAGTACTCTGGAAGTGCTCAAGAAATGTTGTATTCTTCCAAAAGCATTTTCTAAATAGAACAACATTCATTTGTGTACTTATCCAATAAATATGTATCAGTCAATTCCTGTAATGGTAGCTTCTCAGTAGTCTTTTGTCCTGAAGCTCCATTATTTTTATTATTTTGAGATGGAGTCTCACTCTGCCACCAGGCTGGAGTGCAGTGGTGCCCTCTTGGCTCACTGCAAACTCCACCTCCCGGGTTCAAGCGATTCTCCTGCCTCAGCCTCCTGAGTAGCTGGGATTACAGGCGTGTGCCCCTACGCCCGGCTAATTTTTGTATTTTTAGTAGAGACGGGGTTTCACCATCTTGGCCAGGCTGGTCTCAAATTCCTGACCCCGTGATCCACCCACCTCGGCCTCCCAAAGTGCTGGGATTACAGGCGTGAGCCACCACGCCCCGCCTGAAGCTCCAGTATTATTAGGGATAGCCTTTTAAGTTCCAGGCAGCAGGCCAAAAAGTGACTTTTGGAAATATATATAATTTGTAAGTCAGTATCTGTCATGCTGGAGGCTCTGGAAGATACACTTCTGGATTTAATTTATCTCTGATATTTCTGCCCCTAATTTTTAGTGCATAGTATGATCATTTGAATTCTAAACAAAACTAGATCCTAGATGTATGAGTCATTATTCTCCAGAGAAACAGAACCAATATGCTTTGAGGCTGGCTGGCTGGATGGATGGAGATTCATTTTAAGGAATTGGCTCACGTGATTATGAAGACTGGCAAATCCAAAATCTGTAGGATATGGCTGGGTGTGGTGGCTCAAGCCTGTAATCCCAGCACTTTGGGAGGCCAAGGCGGGCAGATCACTTGAGGTCAGGAGTTCAAGACCAGCCTGGCCAGCATGGTGAAACCCTGTCTCTACGGAAAATACAAAAATTAGCTGGGCATGGTGGCGTGCGCCTGTAGTCCCAGCTGCTCGGAAGGCTGACGCAGGAGAATTGCTTGAGCCCGCAGGCAGAGGTTGCAGTAAGCTGAGATCGTACCACTGCACTCCAGCCTGTGTGACAGTGAAATTGTGTCTCAAAAAATAAATAAATGAATAAAGACACAGAATCTGCAGGATGGCTCAGTCAGTTGGAGACCCAAGAAAGCCATGCTGCATTTGCAGTCTGAAGGTCTGCAGGCCAGACACCTACGGTAGCCAATGTTCCAGTTCAAGTCCAAAGGCAGGCTGCTGGAGAGTTCTCTCTTGTAGGAGGGAGGCTGGTCTTTTTGTTCTGTTCAGGCCTTCACCTAATTTGATGAGGCACACTCACATTATGGAGGGCAATCTGCTTTACTCAGAGTTTGCAGACGTAAATGTTAATCTCATCCAAAAATAGCCCCCCCCAGACACACCCAGAATATTGTTTGACCAAACAGTCTGGGCACCCTGTGGCCCAGCCAAGCAAGTTGGCATAAAAATAACTATCACACTCTAGAATTAATGAAGAACACACTAGAATTAATGAAGAACAGAAAACCTAGAGAGCCTTGCAATATTGGTCATCATTTTATGCCTCTTAATAAAATGAGCCTGGGCAGCATAAGGAGACCCCACCTCTACAAAAAAGAATTAGCCAGACATGGTGGCGCATACCTTTGGTCCCAGCTACTTGAGAGGATGAGCAGGAGGCTCGCTTGAGCCTGTGAGGTTGAGGCTGCCGTGAGCTGTGATCATGCCACTGCACTTCAGCCTGGGTGGCAAAGCGAGACACTATCTCAATAATAATAACACTATTGCTCTTTCTAAAGTATTTTCACATGCATTATCTCAACCGATCTTCACAGCAGCTCTTGTGAGGTTACCAGAGTAAAGAGATGACTCCATTTGTCAAAAGAGGAAACTAAAACTAGACAGATTCGGAGACTTGCTCCAAGGTCTCACAGCTAGTGAGTGGTAGAGCTACAACTTGCCCAGGTCCTATAACTTCAAACCCTGGCATTTTGTCCTTGGCTATACTCTCTGTGACATCTGGGGAATTCTGGAAATAGTTATGAGTGCCTTGTGGCTTTTCTTATAACTACTATCATACTGCTCTTTGGAACCATTTTGTGCTAGAAAGTTATCCAAATATATATTGGCAGAACCTAAAGATTTTGTTTTCAGATGACTCTAATGATGCCCTGAGGTTGGTAGAAAAAAAAAAAAAAAAACAAGCTAGCAACAGAAAAAGTAATGTCAAAAAGTAATTAGAGCAGGACAAATGGATTGTGCTGCCATGTTCAAGGCTGTTATTTTTGTTGGCAGTGAGGAGGAAGGGCACTAATGCAATGTGACAGATCTGGAGCAAAACCCAGAGCACTGCGCAAGCTGCAGAGCCTCCACCAATGGCAAGCTCAAATCACAAAGTCTGACTGAATAATATTTGATATCTCAAAGAGCTGTTTCATGTTTTTTAGAAACACTAATTGTTTTAGGGGACCTATTTTCTTGATTTCAGCTTTTGGGAAATAGCCTCATGGTCCTATGAAAGTAGTCAGTGTGTCCTAGGATAACTCCCGTCCCAGCGTTCTGTCTCTGCACATTCTCAGGCTAAGCAGGGACATGATGCCAACAGAGATTTTAAGAAAAGATACCTAATATGAAACTAATTGGAGTGGCTGGATATTACCCATTCAGAGGGAGAATGAAATAGAAAAGGTGTCTTTTCAGTATTCAGCTTAGTATTCGAAAATTGACCTGAAGAAGTTCAGATGGTAACATTCTCATCTGTCTGAGGACAGGATGCTTTGGTTTGCTAGCCTAGCTTACCCACGGCTGTGATCCCACTGCTGCCACCATGTACCGGGAAACTGCCACAGCCCTCAAGAACGATAGAACTTATCATCATTTGCCTGGAAGGAAATCTTTGCAAAGAGAAGAGTACATTAACTCTTGCCCCTGTGAGTCACCATACCTTTGAAGTCTTGGTAATTACTAATTGTTGCCACCAGTATGGCATGGTAGTTAAGAGCTTGTAGTACTCCGACATTCCTGGGTTCATATTCTAGCTCTGCCCTTTACTAGCTGTTTGACTTTGGGCAACTTAACCTCTGAGCCTTAGTTTATCTCTGAAATGGGAATAATAAACTTACATTCAGACTTAAAAGACTCTGGTGAGGTGATACATGTAAAACAGTTAACACTGGTGCCAGGCACAAAGTAAGGGCTTAATAAAGGTAGAAGAAAAAGTGTGGAGAAAGGGGAGGAGGCTTATGTTGTCTGTCAAACAGATGTTAGTGGGTGGTTAGACATCCATTCTTCTTTAACTTTCTGGTCTAAGCAGAGATAAGTAGTTTTTCCTTCAAGACCCCATATAGTACAGCTGAGGTAGGGCTAGAACAGCTAAAACAGGCTTCCCTCACTAAATATTCAGGGGGTAGGGAGGAGAAATTAAGACAGGATATTATGATTCTAAGTAATTGGACTCAGGCTGGGTGTGGTGGCCCATGCCTGTAATCCCAGCACTTTGGGAGGCCTAGGTAGGAGCATCACACGAGCCCAGAAGACCAGCCTGGGAAACAGAGTGAGACCCCATCTCTTAAAAAAAAAAAAAAAAATTAGCCAGGCATGGTAGCTCATGCCTGTAGTCCTAGCTAGTTGGGAATCTGAGGTGGGAGGATCTTGAGCCCGCGAGGTCAAGGCTGCAGTGAACTGTGATCATGTCACTACACTTCAGCCTGGGTGACAGAACAAGACCTTGTCTCAAATAAATAAATAAATAATAATAATAATAATTGGACTCATGAGACATACACTATCCTCTCAGTCCTCTGAAAGGAATCTCCTTTCCTTCCTAGCTCTTTGCTTGCCTGAATGGCCTCCTTTCCCCCAAACTCTTTGAAAACTCAGAACTGTCCAAAGATCAAGTCTTGACACCTTGCCATCATATCCCTACCTTCCTTCAAGTCACTTCATTTTGACAGTTTCCCTTTCTTGTCCTGCCATGACCTCTGCAGAGGGCTGGCTGATAAGAGAGGCAGAGACAATCCTGCCAACCTCTACAGGGATAGACCTCTTATTTGGCACACTGTGGAGGGAAATATACTTCTGGATTTTTAGTAGTATTGCCTGGCCCTGAGTTCATCATAGCCTCCTTGTTATGCTTCTGTAGTTTTATTACATTGTGAGTCTTCTGAGGGACCCCAACAACCATTGGTTTATAGACCATTTTCCAAGGTCCATTTCTCTCTGCAAAATCCCTTTTTCAAATTGAACCCGTTCAGACATTGTGCCCTGCTTGTGCAGGATCTACACCTCTGTGAGAAGTTCATTCCTCCACCCCCATTGAAGCCAGAATTGAGCTCAATTTCCTACTCTTTTTTTTTTAAGGTTTTCCAGTGTTTTTGTTGCTCTACCCCATTCCCAAAACCTGTTTCTTTATGGCTTGTGACTTTTCCTGATAGTCTTTATCCTCTGTAGGTGCCCAAATCCTGAAAAAATATATCAAGTATCAAAACAAAAGTCCCAAATACGTTATAGTGGTTCAGTATTTGTAGTTTGCTTAACTTTTATTTTATTTAACAGCTATTTCTAAGACATTTCTCCTCAGAGAATGTGATTAAGTAAAGTTATCTCAACTAGGCATCAGGATTTGACACACAGTGTTTCAATTAACAGCTGAAAAGCCATAATCTTTTTAGCAGTGAGCAACAGAAAATGTCAAAGAAACTTTGCTGTTTTGCCGGTCTGAACCTAGTTTTCCATCTGGAAAACGGGACTTAGGGAGATCACCGACATTGTCAACCCAGTTTAGTGTGAAGGACATGGGATATTACACACAGAACCAATTCTTGTTGCAGTTCTGTAAACCCTAGTCAGTGTAAACTGGAGAAGAGCGTGGGAAAATACTGGTTGGTCATGCCAGACTTTTGTTTTCTTCTCACTCTGTCACCCAAGCTGGAGTGTGGTGGTGTGATCTCAGCTCAGTGCAACCTCTGCCTCCCAGGCTCAAGCGATCCTCTCACCTCAGCCTGCGAAGTAGCTGGGACCACAGCTGCATGCCACCATGCCCGGCTAATTTTTTTGTATTTTTGTTAGAGACGGGGTTTCACCATGTTTCCCAGGCTGGTTTCAAACTCCTGGGCTCAAGAGATCAGCCCGCCTCGGCCTCTCAAAGTGCTGAGATTATAGGCACGAGCCACCATGCTCGGCTGTTATTTTCTTGGTTGCTTGCCTGGTGCTGGGAATGCCTGTGGCTTTTTAGCACAATGATTGCCAAAAATTAACCACCTTCCTCCCCTGCCCCCTCAAAAACATTTCTGTGTGGCTTATGGTTTAGGTTTTATCTCTTGTCATTTCTCTTCAGTTTTTCTGTACAAAATGAAATGCTAGATTCATTTACAGTATGTTCAAATTAAACTTTTAAAAAATTTGCTATTATTTTTCATATTAGTAAGAAGCATTTCCTTTTTTTCCTTTTTCTTTTTTTTTGAGACAAGGTCTTACTCTGTCACCCAGGCTCCAGTGCAGTGGTATGGTCACAGCTCACTGCAACTTCAACCTCCTTGGCTGAAGTGATACTCCCACCGTATCCTCCTAAGTTACTGGGACTGCAGGCTTGCACCACCACCACACCCCACTCATTCTTTTTTTTTTTTTTTAAAGATATTGGGTCTCACTGTGTTTCCTAGGCTAGTCTCAAACTCAAGGACTTAAGTGATCCATCTCGGCCTCCCAAAGTGCTGGGATTATAGGTGTGAGCCACCACTTCCAGCCTAATAAGCATTTCTTGAATCCCCAATGTATGCTAAGCATTTTTTGAGCTACTGAAAAGGAAGTTTCTTCTTGTGTCAGGGAATCTATGCATATCCATAATGATGTGACTTTTAGCCAGACTGTGTAAGGAACAAAAAGCATGTTTTATGTCAGATTTCTTAAGTGCACATTTATTCAAAAAGTTAAAGAATTTTAAAAAGGAGTATACTTTGCAGGCAAAGCCCCTGGTCATCACTGTACTTGTGATCACTGTTTGGTTATTACTCCTGGAATCTTGAAGTCTTGGTACATTTTTACCACTGTATCTATTGAGTTAGTTGTGTTTCGATCTGGGCTCTGGGTGCTTTATTTGCTAGCAGTAGCTGTGGCCTAATCTGAACATCATTTTTCTTTTTTCTCCAAAGAGCATGGTCCCTACTCTGTCTGCCTCACATGATAGTTAGGAGGATGAAATAGAGAAATGCAAGTTAAAGCCCCTCCCAAGGGCAGAGCATTATATAAGTGTAAAATAGGCATGGTTTTGTAAGGATGTATCTTTTTAAACCTTTTTTTTTTTTTTAAACAATGAGACATGTTTCACATATCATAATTTACTCTGTACAGTTGAGCGATGTTTGGTATATTTACCAAGTTTTGCAACCATTACCACAAATCAGTTTTAGAACATTTTCATCATCTTAATAAGGACCTTTCTGCCCTTTTACTGTTAAACCCAGCAATCCTTAATCCTACTGTCTCTATAGATTTGTCTTTTCTGGACATGTCATATAAATTGAATTATACCATATGTATTATCTGTGTCTTGCTGCTTTCACGTAGCATGGTGGTTTTGAAGTTTGTCCGTGCCATAGCACTTGAGTAGTCAGTTCCTTTTTGTGCTGAATATATTCCAGTGTATGGATATGCCATACATTTTATCTATCCATTCACCAGTTGATGAGCATTTGTGAATAATGCTACTATGAACATTCACATGCAAGTCTTTGGACATATGTTTTCATTTCTCTTGGGAATAAGGGTATATCTTTTAATTATAAAAGTACTTCATGCCTATTCTGAAAAATTATTTATTTACGGAAGTATAAAACTTGGTAAATCAAAGTTACCTCCTTAATTCAACTTCTCAGAGGTAGTGATGTTAATAATAATCATTATCATCTTCTATATCTTCTGAGCATTTGCTATATGGCAGGTACCTTATTTATATATATTCATTTATATTGTGCTACCTTATTTGTGTGTAATCAGTTATATTTATATATGTATATAAAACAATAAAACAAATTAATTGAATTTTCTTTTTTTTGGAGATGAAGTTTCGCTCTTGTTGCCCAGGCTGGAGTGCAATGGCGCAATCTTGGCTCACTGCAACCTCTGCCTCCCAAGTTCAAACGATTCTTCTGCCTCAGCCTCCCAAGTAGCTGGGATTACAGGCATGCACCACCATGCTTGGCTAATTTTGTATTTTTAGTAGAGACGGGGTTTCACCATATTGGTCAGGCTGGTCTCGAACTCCTGGCCTCAGGTGATCCACCTGCCTCGGCCTCCCAAAGTGCTGGGATTACAGGCGTGAGCCACCTCAGCCAGCCAATAAAATAAATGAATTGAATTTTCATCATAATCCTTTGAAGGCAATATGTGCCCCCCTCCCTATTTTACAGATAAGGAAACTGAAGTTTGAGGATGAAGTGTAAAGTCACACTTCTAGTAAGCAGCAGGCCAAAACTGAAACCTGGGCAGTCTGATGTATACTCTGGTTCTAGACTTTCCAAACATGCAGTTTTTTTAAAAAAAGTAAAAATTATAGTCCAGGTATGGTGGCTCATGCCTGTAACCCCAGCGCTTTGGGAGGCCAAGGCAGGCAGATTGCTTGAGCTCAGGAGTTTCAGACCAGCCTGGGAAACGTGGTGAAACACTATCTCTACAGAGATACAAAAATTAGTCAGGTGTGGTGGCAGGCGCTTGTAGTCCCAACTACTTGGTAGGCCAAGGCAGGAGGATCACTTTAGCCCAGGAGGCGGAGGTTGCATTGAGCCAAGATTGCGCCACTGCACTCCAGCCTGGGCGACAGAGGGAGACCCTGTCTCAAAAAAAATTTTTTTTTTAATTAAAATTACATACTTAATTGTGTAGCTTGTTTTATTTCACTTAATTTGTGTTAGAGATTGTTCCATGATATGATTCATGGATCTGTCTCATTGTTTTAACGAATGGTTGCGTTAATAGATATGCCAGGATTTATTTCATTCATCTTTTGTTGGTGGGAATTAGATTGTTTTTATTTGTTCTCTATTATGAATAGGGCTGCAGTGAATATCCTTGTATAATACTTTGCTTACTTATGGCATTACTTTTGTAGCGTAAAACCCTGGAAGTGGAATTTCTAGGTGAAAGAGTTTATCCATTTGAATCTTGGTGCTGCTAAATTCGTCCTCCCCCAAATGGTGGTAAATACTGCTCCCACCCCTACTCTCCTACCACCTCAACTCTGCAATCAGGGTGTAAGAGAGCCTGCTTTCCTATTCTCACCAATGCTGTATTATTTATTATGACTGTAGTGTGGGCTGTGATACAGATCATATAAATGTTCCAGGGAGAAGTTAGCATATCAGTGGCAGTGAACAAATGGCAAATAATAGTTGTTGTGTCTCGCCTCTTGATAGGTAAGGATGTGGTATTTCCCTAGACCTTCAAGAGCTGAAATATCGAGTGGCCCAAACTTTAGTTCAGATTAATTTAGGATGACTCACTTGGTTAATGATCTAAAGTGAACACTGTTGGAGACATTTCAACCATAGTGATTTCTGTTTTCTTTGACCTGTAACCTAACTGCTCTGGGCTCGTGGTTACCTTTCTTTTTCCTTTATTCTATTTTTTTTATTTTTTGAGATAGAGTCTCACTCTGTTGCCCAGGCTGGAGTGCAGTGGTGCAATCTCGGCTCAATGCAACCTCCGCCTCCCGGGTTCAAGTGATTCTCCTGCCGCAGCCTCCTGAGTAGCTGGGATTACAGGCACATGCCACCACGCCCATCTAATTTTTTGCATTTTTAGTAGAGATGGGGTTTCATTATGTTGTCCAGGGTGGTCTCGAACTTTTGTCCTCAAGTGATCCGCCTACCTCAGCCTCCCAAAGTGCTGGGATAACAAGTGTGAGCCACCGTACCTGGCCATGGTTACCTTTCAACTCATTGCTGCTTACAGTATCCTTCCCTTGCCCCCAGCTCAGTTTAAAATGAAGCCAAGTAAAGGGAATGAGAAACCAGACATTTGTGATGGATATGTAGGTTTGCCCTTTCCATTCTTTCTTTCAACAGAAACTGCCAAAATGAGGCCAGCAGCATAATGCATCGCCTGTTTAGTCTCCCCAGGGGTTGGGCTTCAGTAATCTTTGTTGCTTGGCAAGATTCTAGTTGATAAAGGTTTGGCATGGCCAGTATATATACCTGTTTAAGAGGAGGTGACTTTTTTTTATCTTGGTGCCAGTTAAGGAATCAAGGACACTGAGTGTTAGGTGTTGCTAGTTGTGGATAATCCCAGTTATCTTGCAGGTACGAGGGTCTGCCATACCTCCCAAATTTTGGAAGCCCTGGTTAGCATGTTCTGTGGATTTTGCCTTTGTCTTCTGATCACTTTTCTTCACTCCCCAGGCTTAATGTCTGCATCCTGAGGCCTTGTTGGTCTGGGGGATGCTGCCCTCTGCTGGTGGACTCTAGGACACCCACAGCGGTTTGGATGGGTCCAATCACTAGGGGAACTGACAAAGCTGTAGGGAGCCACTCATAAAGCTTTCTATAGTTTCCAACTTCATAACCCAGCCCTAAGACTTTTTCCTTTGAAAATAGCTCATCAGACACTAGAAAAGATACAAGTACAGAAACTTTCCCTGTAGCATTATTTGTAGTGGCCAAATAATAACACCTAGGTGCCCTGCGCTAGCTAATTGTGTTTCCATTCAGTTGACTGGCTTACAGCTGCTGAAATTGACTATATAAAAGACAAAAATAGAATGAAAATATTTACCACAAAACAAAAACCAGGCAGAATATACCAATTGCAGCCATTGAAGAAATGCCTTATGTAGGATAAGGGCCACCCGGGAATCTTCAAAATTGGCTCTCAAAGCTGGAGTGATTTCCTTTTATGTTAGTGGTGCTAATAAACAACGGGAGGGAGGAATTAGCTGAATGATTGGCAGCCTGGCTGAAATCTAGAATGAGTGACTTGCAGATTGACTGGGTGAAGTCTAAAAGTCTGGTTTCTAATCTCCTTACCCATCTCTCCATCTTGGCTCTTCCTCTACTGATCAGTATTTAGGTTTCTTCTGACTTTTTAAAATTGTAATAAATGTGCCTTATACGTATATTTTTGTGAACATGTGTATTTCTCTAAGATGGAGAGAAGTGGTATTTTTGGGTCACAGGGTGTGTGTAGTTTAAATGTTGGTAGATCCTGTAAGCTGTTTTCAAGTTGTACATCAACCACCAGCATTGTATGAGCATACCCATTTCTTCAAAACTTCACCACTGAAATATACCACTATTTTTAATTTTTTGCCAATCTGATGAGAAATGGTTTATAATGGTTGCTTTACTTTTGAGTTTTTATTAGTGACCTTTTCACTGTTACTCATTCTAATCATATTAGGGCATCTTTGCCTGGTCATATTCTTTGTCCATTGGGTGGTTTGCTTGTCTTTTTCCTACTGATTTTTAGGAACTCTTTATGTTTTGTAAATACTAATATATGTGTGTGTATAAGTATGTATATATATTTTGGGATCTTTGCCTTTTAGAAGTTAGACCTTTATATAGATGCAGATCTGATCATCATTTCTTTAATGATATCTGGATTTCATGTTATGCTTAGAAAGACACCCCCTCAGTATATTATAATATATATGTTTTTGTTTATGTGGTTGTGGGATTGTGATTAGTTCTAGTTCTTTTCTTTTTTTTTTTTTTTTTTTGAGATGGAGTCCCGCTTTGTCGCCCAGGCTGGAGTGCATTGGCGCGATCTTGGCTCACTGCAATCTCCGCTTCCCGAGTTCAAGCGATTCTCCTGCTTCAGCCAGTGGAGTAGCTTGGGATTACAGGCATGCGCCACCATGCCTGGCTAATTTTTGTATTTTCAGTAGAGTTGGGGTTTCACCATGTTGGTTGGCGAGGCTGGTCTTGAACTCCTGGCCTCAGGTGATCTGCTCACCTCGGCCTCCCAAAGTGCTGGGATTACAGATGTGAGCCACTGCGCCTGTCCAATTAGTTCTTTTCTATCTCAGGAAATTTCTGTTTCATGAGCTGCCAACAAGTTTTATGGCCAAATAAAACTTGGTTTTAAAACAGAAATGAGCTGGGCGTGGTGACTCACGCCTGTAATCCCAGCTTTGTGAGGCTGAGGCAGGCAGATCACCTGAGGTCAGGAGTTCAAGACCAGCCTGACCAACATGGTCATGGAGGTTGCAGTGAGCGGAGATTGTGCCACTGCACTGCAGCCTGGGCTACAGAGCGAGACTCTGTCTCAAAATAAATAAATAAATAAATAAATAAAACCTAAGATTGTACAAGTACTAAGTGGCAAAGTTTTTCTGGCTCCAAACATTCTAGCTACTGCTCATTTTAATTGTCTGAATTCCAGGAACATGTAAATTTTAACCTATAATCAGTCTTCTCTTGTTCAGCTCTTTGACAAAAGCCTTGTGACTCAGTGTCTGCTTACCAAGTTTTGTATCATTCTGGGAAAAAAAAAAAGGCAAAAACCCTTATATTTCACAAGGATTTGTTAGGTGCTTTGTGGGGGAATGGAGAAAGTTGGAAGGTTGGGATAATTAGGATTACGAAATAGTTGAAATAAATATTGTGTTGCTACTGATTATAATAACCTTTGCTAGTTTCCAGTGTTTGACCTCTATAGAATTCACCATATACACATGCAGGATTTTAAAGGTGCTATATGGGCCTTTAAGAGACCAGGATTTTACTTCTCAGTTTTGTACCTGGTGCCCACGCTGGAACCCCAACTATATGTGCCTACTCCAGTTTCCTCTCAGAGGCCTATTATCATTTTGCTGAGTGTTGATTTTCAAATCATTATGACTAGTTGTGAAACACTTACTGTAAAAAGCATCCTACCCATTTTGCTTAATTTATCTTTCTAATTAGGGCATTGTAATGATGGAATTACATTCTATGCAGTTTTTAATGCATTAGCCTGGAAGTTCAGCAATTTCTTTTTATGCTGCATTCATCTGAGCATTCTCAAAGTTACATGATAAAGAATCTAAGCTCTCCAACTTTGTATTAACTTGATCTGAATAGAAACATTCAGTGGAATCCAACTATCTTATTTGTGTGAAAAGTGAACCTCACCAGGACTGAGTAAACACCATTAAAAGAGCAATACCAGGCTTTGAATCCAGTTATATCACTGGGACCACAAGGGCAAATAAGATTGTGAAGAGCCATTTTTCCAGGAATAGGCTTGCAAGGATTGTCTTTAATGCATTTGAGTGTCTCTTGCAAAGAAGAAGGACATGGTAAATGGGAAGGTCTGTTTGGGCAGAGTTGCAGAGACTTGAAAAGCACCAACAAAAAAAGAAAATTTCAGTGTGGTAGCCAGTTCATTGAGGAGGGGTTATGATGATATTATCTTTACAGTCATTTTTGTGCCAAGCTGATTTACAAAGGGAATTTTTGCATATAGTGGCGGACTTTTGTCTATGTCAAGAGGAGCCTAAGGCAGAGTATATTTTTAGGATCTATTCTCTCAACCCGTTGGAGTTGCCTCTCTGGCTCCTGCTGACTTATCCATCTCTCATGCCACAAACCTGCCATCACCACCTGTCTTAGATTCTATCATTTATAGATTGAATAGGACAAACAGCTAATCTGATAAGTGAATCAGTGCTCTTAGAATACCCGAGGGCCAGTTGTTGGGGGATATATAAATGCTAATTAGGACTTTCAGGAAATAAATTCTCTAACTTTGAAAGTTTTTCATTCTGGCTGGTGGAGACAGAAACTATTCTTGGCCCTATGGAGCCCCAGAATTGTTCCCTCTACTCCTTTGGGATGATTTTTTCCCTGGCTTTGGGTAATTTTTCTCGTATATGTGCACTGATCAGTCCTCAGCTGAAGACTTGGAGGACCCCTCTGCAGATCTCAGCTGTGCTCTCTCTGCATAGCCCTCTCCCTCCTAGCCCTCTTCTTTGTGAACTCCAGCTGCCCTGCCTCCTGGACTCCCAGCTTCTAATCCTCAACTCTTGGGACTGTTGAGCTCTACCTGGGTTCTCCCTTCCTGTGCTCTAGGCTGGAAACTCAGGGCTTCGGTGGGTATTTGTAGGACTTCCCTTATTTGTTTCCTCTTTCTCTGGAGTCACTGTCTTTGGCCGCCTGAGGTCCAGTACCTGAAAATCATTGTTTTATATGGTTTGTCCAGCTCTGTAGTTGCCCCAGCCAGGTGACCAAATCTGGTCCCCATTACTCCATCTTGGCTAGGGTGGCAGAAGTCCATCTGTAAACTTTTATATACTTTTAAATATATGTTTTTGTAAATGAGATCAAACTGATTCTTTTCATTAACAAGATATTATAGACTTCTTTATGCCAGTAATGTTCTTTGTATTATACAGATTTATTAGCCATCCCCCTATTGATTGCAAAGTTTGAGCTTTTCTTTTAATTTTTATTTACTTATTTATTTTTTGTTTTGTTTGAGATAGAGTCTTGCCCTGTCACCCAGGCTGGAGTGAAAGTGGCTTGCTCACGCCTCAGTGCAGCCTCAACCTCCCAGGCTCAAGCGATCCTCCCACCTCAGCCTCCCTAGTAGCTTGGACTACAGGTGTGTGGCACCATGCCTGGCTAATTTTTGTGTTTTTTATTTTTATTTATTTTTTTAGAGACGGTCTTGTCATGTTGCCCAGGCTGGTCTCAAACTCCTGGGCTCAAGCAATCTGCCCACCTTGGCCTTCAAAAGTGGTGGTATTATAGGTGTGAGCCACCACACCAGGCCTTAATTTTAATTTTAATTTTAATTTTATTTTAGAGACAGGGTTGCTCTCTTGCCCATGCTGGAGTGCAGTAGCACCTTCTTAGCTCACTGCAGCATCAAACTTCTGGGCTTAATTGGTCCTTCCGTGTCAGCTCCCAAATAGATGGGACTACAGGTATGTGCCACCACATCCAGCTAAATTTTAAATTTTTTGTAGAGATAGGGTCTCACCATGTTGGCCAGGCTGGTCTCAAACTCCCGGCCTCAAGCGATCCTTCCTCTTCAGCCTCCCAAAGGCTGGGATTACAGGTATAAGCCACCACTCCTGGCTTTGAATTTTAAAATTTATTTAGCTACTATATACAGTACTGCCATGAATATCTTCTCACTCCTGCACAAGTACTTCTGTAAGGTACATTCCTAGAATTAGAACTGCTATATTAAATGGCATGGGCATTTTAAAGCATGGGCTTGGCTTTAATAAATAATGCCAAAAATAACCTCTCAAAATGTTGTACCAATTTGTATAATGGTTGTGTGATGGAAGATGTGAAAGAAAGAAAGAAAAGAAAGAAAGAAAGAAAGAAAGAAAAGAAAGAAAGAAAAACCCAAACTACTACTTTGCATTGACATTGATAGGATATATGGGGGTTTACCTTACCCACAGTACAAGAGTTGTAACTGAAATTGGATCATTTTTAAGGGTATAATTCCTTGGCAGGCAAATTCTTAGATTGGTGTGATTTGCAACTGGCCCATCTGCTAACCCAGTTAAGTAACTGAGAAGAGGGGAGTATCTATGAGGTTCCTTTGCATAGTGCTCAGATGTGAGCTCCCCCTGCTTATGTTCCTGGTACTCTTCCCTTTAGGTGCAGTGCTATTTTAAGTCCTGAAGAGATGCTGGGGTATCTGTCCAAGCAGGCTTGTCAAGAAGGGATGCTTGAAGAAGTCCCAGGAAAGCATTTTCTAGAAGTCATTGGTCTCCTCTCAGTCCTGGAACTGTTTTTTTCTCTGCTTTCCACACTGATTTGTCCTTACACATCTGAGCCCGGGGTCAGTTCTATGGAGGGTCTGCATAAGTCTTGTCTTTTGTTCCAAATGAAGGTTGCTCCTGGGAATCTGGGTGGACTATGAGAGTGAGGGGCAGAAGAGAAGAGTGGTTCAAGTCAGCAGTGGAAACCTATCCTTTGTTACTTGACATCTGCTTTAAATTCCTTGTTTAGTTTTGTTTGGAAACCTTATCAAAAAGCACAAGGTTCTGGGACACAAGGAGCTAAACAGTATAGCTGCACAGCTCAGCTATCACTTTCTCTGGGAAACCCTTCCAGATATTCATCAGATACATATTAGGTTCCAAGAAAATAGTGGTGAGCTACTGGCACCCCAGCTAAGACAAGCACCTCTTCTCTGAGCACACCTTGTATTTTGCCCCTCTTCTAAGATAGATATCATTATCCCTTACACTGGCTTGCTGGCTTGAGCTCTTCAAGGATAAGATCTTGACTCATTCATCTTGACCTACCCATCCCCAGCTTAGCACAGAATGGGAATTGCTCAGTGTTGACCTGCTCTGAATGCTGAATTCTCTCTCATTCTCTCTCATTCTCTCTCTCTCTCTCTCTCTCTCTCTCTCTCTAAGACAGGGTCTCACTCTGTTGTGCAGGCCTGGAGCACAGTGGTGTAATCACGGCTCACTGGAGCCTCGACCTCCTAGGCTCAAGTGATCCTCCCACCTCAGCCCCCCACATAGCTAGGATTACAGGCATGTGCCACCATGCCCAGCTGATTTTTTTTCTTTTAATTTTTAATTTTGTAGAAGTGAGTGTCTCACTATATTGCCCAGGCTGGTCTCAAACTTCTGGCCTCAAGCAATCCTCTTGCCTTAGCCTCCCAAAGTGTTAGGATCAGAGGTGTGAACCACTGTGCCCAGCCTTAAATTGTCTCTAATTTTGGAGCAAAGACTGGAGAGTAGTCTTTGGTGGCTACTCTGGGGGATCTCTTCCCTACGGATGTCTGAGCAAGCACTCTGTCTCACTAATGGGCTTGAAAACAGAGATTCTTGTAGAGAACGTGACTCATGGTTCTGGAAGTAAGGAAAATAATAACTACTGCTAGGTTTGCTGGGCCTATGATAAGTACTTTAGTGATAATGAGAAGTATTTTACATACATTCTCAACCAAAATGGCCTGATCCCAATTTTGTTTTTTTTTTGGTAAGGGAAGTGAAGGCTCACAGAGATAAAAGAAAGTTATTGTATCTTACTGTGGGACACTGAACATGTTTAACTCCAAAGCCCACTATACCTGCCTCCTCCTTCCGCACAGTAAGTTTTGAAGAAGGCTAAACTACTGAATGGGTCAGGAAAAGGATACTTCCAGGTAGTATCCTCAAATAGCACTCCAACCTGAGATTCAGAAAGGAAAGTTATTTGGGGTCAAAAGCACCTCTCCGCTCAGCTTGGTGTATTGAACTCTTGAAAAATACAATTATAAACACCTCTATGCAAGTAAACTAGAAAATCTAGAAATGGATAAATTCCTGGACACATACACCCTCCCAAGAATGAGCCAGGAAGAAGTTGAATCCCTGAATAGACCGATAATGAGTTCTGAAATTCAGGCAGTAATAAATAGCCTTCCAACCAAAAAAAGCCGAGGACCAGACGGATTTACAGCTGAATTCTACCAGAGGTACAAAGAGGAGCTGGTACCATTTCTTCTGAAACTATTCCAAACAATTGAAAAGTAGGAACTCCTCCCTAACTCATTTTATGAGGCCAGCATCATCCTGATACCAAAACCTGGCAGAGATACAACAAAAAAAGAAAACTTCAGGCCAGTATCCCTGATGAACATCAATGCAAAAATCCTCAATAAAATACTGGCAAACTGAATCTAGAAGTACATCAAAAAGCTTATCCATCACGAGCACTTTGGCTTCATCCCCAGGATGCAAGGCTAGTTTAACCTACACAAATCAATAAACGTAATTCATCACATAAACAAAACTAAAGACAGAAACCACAGATTATCTCAAAAGATGCAGAAAAGGCCTTCTATAAAATTCAACATCCCTTCATGTTAAAAACTCTCAATAAACTAGGCATTGAAGGAATATATCTCAAAATAATAAGAGCCATATACGAGAAACCCACAGCCAATATCATATACTGAATGGGCAAAAGCTGGAAATATTTCCCTTGAAAACTGACAAAAGACCGGGATGCCTTCTCTCACCACTCCTTTTCAATGTGGTATTGGAAGGTCTGGCCAGGAAATCAGTCAAGAGAAAGAAATAAAGGTATTCAAATAGGAAGAGAGGAAGTCAAATTGTCTGTTTGCAGATGACATGATCCTATAAAAAACCCATCATTTCTGCCCAAAAGCTTCTTAAGCTGATAAGCAACTTCAGCAGTCTCAGGATACAAAATCAATGTGCAAAAATCACAAGCATTCCTATACACCAACAACAGATAACCAGAGAGCCAAGTCATGAATGAGTTCCCATTCACAATTACTATGAAGAGAATAAAATACCTAGGAATACAGCTAACAAGGGAAGTGAAGGACCTCTTCAAGGAGAGCTACAAACCACTGCTCAAGTAAATCAGAGAGGACACAAACAAATGGAAAAACATCCCTTGCTCATGGATAGGAAGAATCAATATTGTCAAAATGGCCATACCACCTAAAGTTATTTATAGATGCAATGCTATTCCCATTAAACTACCATTGACATTCTTCAAAGAATTAGGAAAAACTATTTTAAAATTCATATGGAACCAAGAAAGAGCCAATATACCCAAGACAATCCTAAGCAAAAAGAACAAAGTTGGTGTCATCAGGCTACCTGACTTCAAACTAGACTATAAGGCCACAGTAAGCAAAACAGCATGGTACTGGTACAAAAACAGACACATAGACCAATGGAACAGGATAGAGAACTCAGAAATAAGGCTGCACATCTACAACCATCTGATCTTCAATAAACCTGAGAAAATCAAGCAGTGGGGAAAGGTTTCCCTATTTAATAAATGATGCTGGGAGAACTGACCAGTCATATGCAGAAAATTGAAACTGGACCCCTTCCTTACATCATAGACAAAAATCAACTCAAGATGGACTAAAGACTTAAATGTAAAATCCAAAACCATAAAAACCCTAGGTGAAAACGTAGGCAGGACCATTCAGGACATAGGCACAGACAGAGATTCCATGATGAAGACACCAAAGGCAATTGCAACAAAAGCAAAAATTGACAAATAGGACAGCAATAGAAACTATCATCAGAGTGAACAGACAACCTATAGAATGGGAGAAAATTTTCGCAATCCATCTGACAAAGATGTAATATCCAGAATCTACAAGGAACTTAATCAAATTTAAAAGGAAAAAAACACATTAAAAAAGTGGGCAAAGGACATGAACAGACACTTCTCAAAATAAGACATTTATGTAGCCAACAAACATAGGAGAAAAAGCTCAACATCACTGATCATTAGAGAAATGCAAATCAAATCCATAATGAGATACCATCTCACACCAGTCAGAATGGTGATTCTTAAAAAGTCAAGAAACAACATATGCTGGTGAGGCTGCAGAGAAATAGGAATGCTTTTATACTGTTGGTGGGAATGTCAGTTAGTTCAACCGTTGTGGAAGACAGTGTGTGGATTCCTCAAAGACCTAGAACCAGAAATACCATTTGACCCAGCAATTCCATTACTGGGTATATACCCAAAGGAATATAAATGATTCTGTTATAAAGTTACATGCACACATTTGTTCATTGCAGCACTATTCACAATAACAAAGACATAGAATCAACCCAAATGCCCATGAATGATAGACTGGATAAAGAAAATGTGGTATATATACACCATGGAATACTCTGCAGCCATAAAAAAGAATAGGATTATGTCCTTTGCCGCTCCTTTGGATGGAGCTGGAAACCATTATCCTCAGCAAACTAACATAGGAACAGAAAACCAAACACTGCATGTTCTCATTTATAAGTAGGAGCTAAACAACGTGAACACACAGACACAGGGAGGGGAACAACACACACTGGGGCCTGTTGGGGGTGGGGGAGGGAGAGCATCAGGAAAAATAGCTAAGATATGCTGGGCTTAATACCTGGGTGATGGGTTGATACATGCAGCAAATCACCATGGCACACATTTACCTGTGTAACAAACCTGCACATGTACCCTGAAACGTAAAATAAAAATAAAATCTAAAAAGTGCTTTTTTCTTTTTTAAATTTTGTTTTCTGGTTGTCATTTTTCCTCCTAAGCACGAAATTATTTTTTTTATTTATTTTTTTGAGACTGTCTCCTAGGCTGGAGTACGATGGCGTGATCACGGCTCACTGTAGCCTCAACCTCCTGGGCTCAAGCAATCCTCATGCTTCAGCCTCCCAAGTAACTGGGACTACAGTTGTCTGCCACCATGGCTGACTGGCTTGCTTGCTTGCTTATTTATTTATTTACTTGTTTATTTTTGTAGAGACAGGGTTACGCTATGTTGCCCAGGTTGGTCTTGAACTCCTGGCCTCAAGCGATCATCCTAACTTAGACTGCCAAAGTGCTGGGATTGTAGGTGTTGGCCACCGTGCCCACCCAGGTATTATTTCATGAAAAACATTATTCTAAGTAATATTAACTAAGTTTATTGAAAATTTACTGTTTGCCAGGCATTGTGTTGAACATTTTTCATAAGATTATCTCTTTCAGTTCTCACAGAGACTCCATGGGGTAGGTAATGCTAACAACCTATTTTATAGATGAGGAAATTGAGACAAGTTATGCAATTTACCTAAAGTCACATAGCTAGTAAATTTACAGGATCCAAAATTTGAATCTCGATTTAACCCTAGAATTTCTTTGCTGAACCTCTCTTTTATTCTATCTTCCTATTAATTTTAAAGAGATGGGGTCTCACTGTGTTGCCCAGGCTGGAATCCAGTGGCTACGGACAGGCACAGTCCCACTTCTGATCAGTATGGGAGTTTTGACCTGCTCCATTTCTGACCTAGGCCAGTTCATCCCGCCTTAGGCAACCTGGTGGTCCCCTGCTACTGGGAGATCACCATATTGAAGCTGAACTTAGTGTGGAACACCGGATTGGCGTAGTGTACTATAGCCCAGAACTCCTAGGCTCAAGTGACCTTTCTGCCTCAGCCTCGTGAGTGGCTGGGACCGTAGGGATATGCCACCATGCCCAGCTTATTCTATCTTTCTATAAAAGAAAAAATAAAAAGTCCTGAGCTTGAGAGAATGGGGCCTGAGTTGCAGTTCCAGGATGTCCAGGAGCAGCATCAAGTTTTATTGTCCCTTGTGCTGGAGTATGTATCCCAATCTCTGATACCTGTTCCCTTTACTCAACATATTTAAAGGTTAAACTAACAAAAACCTGAGTTCCAAAGCCCAGGATTGAATAATATTTCAGGATTCACCAAAGAGAAAGATGAGTGAATATACACAGAAAGGGAGCAGGAACTTAGAAAGTAGCAGGGAAGCAATATCCCCTTTCCTCAGTTTATCAAGTTCCTATTGACAGGGAGGTGCCCATGGCCTTTGGGGTCAGACAAGCTGCCAGCGGGTGATGGCACATACCCTGTGTTCTTGGAGTTTGTTAAATTACCTCACTGTCACGTGAACATAGAGTTGTGTTATTAAAGATAATTTTAGTTAGTTTGAACTGTATACTTATTTAATCAATAACCCTGAAGAATCACTGTTCCCATTTAACAGACTTAGGAGAATTGAAGTGCCTTGCCCAAGTTTACAAAATTAATGCATGTTGTATAGTTGCTATTTGATACCAAGTTTGTCTGACTCCAAAGTATATAATTCCAGGCTGCCCCTTATTTTATTTAGCTCTTTCTATAGAATTATGGATTTCTTGGAAGCCTAGGCCTTTTTTTTTTAATCCATCAGACATATATCAAGTACCCATTTTTGCTATGTTCTGTGATAGATTCCAGGAATACAGAAATGAATCAAACCCTGGTCCCTTGTTCTTGGAATATTCACAGACCCATAGACACATGGAGGCAGGCACACAAAGGGATGAAATGGTGGACATTCATAGAATTGGAACCTTTAGGGCAGGGAAGAGTAGGAGAATATTTCATAGAAGATGTCATGCCTGAATTTGCTGATCATTAAATAATTCATGGAAACTAGCTAGGCAGAAGTAACACTACATGCAAAGGCGCATTTGGGAAACTGCAAATAGCACTATTTGCTGAGAGCATTGGGAATATGAGAAGGGAGAAGGGAGAGGAAGGCTCTTATGAGGTTGGGAAGGTGCTTTATTCTGAAGGCCGTGAAAGGTTTTAAGTAGAACTGGCATGGTTTTGAGTCTTAGCAGCCAGGATGGAGAATGGATTGCAGGAAGGTGATGCAGAAAAAGAGAAAGGAAAAAGCAAGGAGCAAGCAAGACATACCCATAAAGGAAGCTACTAAAATAAGCCAGATGGGAGATAGTGGTGGTCAAGACTGTGAGAGTGATGACAGAAACAAATAGATGGATTCAAGATTTGTTTGTGTGCTTTAATTTTTATAAAACAAAAATAGAAATACAAAGTAGTATAATGAGGCCATGTACCCAGCCTCAACAACCATCATCGAAGGGCTAACCCTGTCCTACTCATAGTTCCACCCATTCATTTTCCATTTTATTTTGAAGCAAATCTTAAGTATCATTATTTCATTTGTTAATATTCCAGTATGTATCCTTATCCTTTAAAAGTGTGGGGTTTGTTTGTTTATTTGGTGTTCTTTTGTTTTTGTTTTTTGAGGCAGAGTCGTGCTCTGTTGCCCAGGCTGGAGTGCAGTGATGCGAGGGTTTTTTGTTTTTAAGAGACAGACTCTCACTCTTGCTCTGTCACCCAAGCTGGAGTGGCTGGAATGCAGTGGCATGATCACAGCTCAGTGTAGCCTAGAACTCCTGGCTCAAGTGATACTCACGCCTCTCAAGTAGCTAGGACTACAGGCACATGCATCACCACACCTGGCAAATTTTTTGTAAAGATGGATCTCACTTTGTTGCCCAGGTTAGTTTTCCTAATCTGTAGATTTTCTCCTCCATCTTTTTTCCCCCTCTAAGTTGAGACGTTGGTGGTTTGTCTTGCTGAATTTACCACACCCAGATATTGCCGATTACATCCTTGTAATGTAGATGAATGTGTTATTCTGAACTTTGTAGTTCTTTTATTTTAGAAGATGGATATAGAGACTTAGTCAACTTCAAGCCTTCAGATCCAACATTTTTGGCAAGACTACTTCATGGGGGTGTTGAGTTCTTCCATCAGAAGATATGTACTGTCTTGTTCTTTCTTTTTGTAATGGTTAGCAGCGTTTGATGATTGGTATCTAGGATCTATTATTTCACGGTGTTATTCTAATTCCAGTATTTCTTGTTTGTTTATCCTCTGGAATGCTTCTATAAAGAAATTTGTCCATAGCTGTTTATTACCCTGTGGTATAATTCATCTAGGAAAGGCAAGATAAATACTGATTTTTCCCCTTAATATTTTTTTCATTTTAAAAATTATTTTTTTTTTGAGACAGGGTCTTGCTCTGTCACTCAGGCTGGAATGCAGTGACACGATCTCTGCTCACTGCAACCTCTGCCTCCCGGGGCTCAAGAAGCAATCCTCCCATCTCAGCCTCCTTAATTGCTGGGACCACAGGCGTGCACCACCACACCCAGCTAATTTTTTGTATTTTTGGTAGAAACGGGGTTTTGCCATATTGCCCAGGCTGGTCTTGAACTCCTGGACTCAAACGATCTACCCGCCTCAGCGTCCCAAAGTGCGGGGATTACAGGTGTGAGCCACTGTGCCCTATTTAATAATTTTTAAGTGATGCTCAAATTATCCCATCTTTGTTTAGTAAATACCTCTTCAGGGTAGCTGATTCAGCTACTTTTGAGGGGGTAGAAAAGACAGGATTTATGACAGGTTGTATGTGGGTATAGTCAAAGAGGAGGAAGGAGCCATGGAAAGAGTGCCAGGTTTTTGGCTTGGGTGGTTGATGCCTTTCACTGAACAGGGGGGCCAGAGAGAGGAACAGAGTTTTAAAGGAAGACAAGTTTGGACTTGTCTGAGGTGCTTATGATGGATACATCTAGGTGGAGGTGCCCAGGAGGCAGTTGGATATCAGGATGTGAGATTCAGGGGAGCAGTTCCTGACTCCAGGACCTAGGATAAGGCTCAGTTGCTGAGTGTAGTTGACTCAGATTGGGATTATGTGCGTTATTTCTTGTTGGATAAAAATGGATTCCTTTGCCATCAGGAGCCAAGTTCTACCCTAAAGAAAGACTGCGTAAGCCCTCATTGTCCTTTCTTTTACCTATGCCTATCCTTAGAGAGTTCAATTTTTAGTAGAGTGGAAAGGGATAGAACTGGTGCAGGTAGGATTGCCACTTGCTGATTTGCAACTGATCTTGTCAGATTTATTACAGCCAATCCCTCAATTAGAGGAGAGCTCTGTGTATGGGTAAGATTTGCTGGAGTTGGAATTGGGACTGGGAAAACTGGTTTTGGCTTTGCGGGAATGGCTGGCCTAAGGTGGTCTATTTGTATTCCTGAAGGTTTTTTTTCCCCCTTTCCTATGTTGCTGCTTTCTGAAGCAGCTCCTTTCCTTCCTTTCTTCAGTCAACAAATATTCAAGCACTGGAGATACACTGGTTGGCAAAAATATGGGGCACAGTCCTTGGTCTCATATTTCGGAATCCAGTGACGGATACATATGTTATATATGTTAATCAAAAGATCGTCAGCAACAGGTGGTTCTACACTGATGCAGGAACCCAGCAAATGACATATTGATCAGGAACCTTTGACTACCAGTACCAGCCCTTCATTGTTGGAAGATTTAGTCTCAGGTAGGCTTCTAAATCAGAAAATGTATATTTAACACAGGGCCTGAAACATGGGAGACTCTGAAGTAGAGTTTGTCTAGGGGAAAAAACCTGTCGTGAGGTAAGATGAAAGAGTTAGAAAATGTGAAAATGAAGAAGAATATGAATGCACTATTAAGAAATTCAACAGAAGAACTGTACCCCACCCACACAACACACACACCTCTCGAGGAGCCATCTAATTGCTTTAATGTATTATGAAAGCCTTTTAAATACTAAACTGAAGACAGCCCTGGGCTTGACTCTTTGGAGTACATGAGATTAATAAGAAAGGATAGAATTGTAAAATAAAAATACTACGTGATGAGTAATGTCGTAGTATATTTTAGGGATCCAGGCAGAAGGGAAGAAGGGTGCGATTTGACTTTGAGTTTAAGTCTGGGAGAATGGAGTCTTAAAATATTTTACAGAGGAGGTGATTTTTAAATTGAGTCCAGTAAGATTAGTAAGTGGGAGTGGAAACTATAAGGAAATAGTGAAAAGAGTTATTCCAGGCAAATGGAATAGCTTAGTATAATATTTGCACTATAAGTAAGTGGGTCAGCATGGCTGGAGTAATGGGTACTTAAGAGGAGTGGTGGGAAATGAAGCTGGAGAAGTCAGGAAGAGCTGGGTTATAGAGGGAGGGCCTTAGGAGTGTGGGCCTTTATACCATAGGTTCCTGGGAACCACTGATGGGACTCAATGAGATCATGCCACACTTAATGGGGGCATTTTATCTTGCCTTTTCCCAGAATTCTCACGTAGAACTGAGTTCTTTTTAGATAGAAGTCTTTTCCTATATCATCTGACGTTGTCTCTAGGTCAGGTAGATGGATGTATGAACAAATGAAACAACCAGAGAAGTGAGGGCTGAAACCAGAGTTGGCTTGGAAAAACTAACCTTCAAGTGGTCTACCTTTATAGGAGCACCAAAGGAGAAAGCCTGTCACTTTACTCTGCCCCCAAGTTTGAGACTTGCTTTGTACAACTTTGATCTTTTTTTACTTCAGCTTCACATGTTGCTTAACAGCAGTTTGAGCTGTTGCTGTGTTCAGGGCTAGAGTATTTATTTGCATTAATCTCTGGGCCAATCTGGGTCTTGAGAAGAAGGTAAACAGTCACGGGTGCCAAATGTGATGAATAAGTCCCAACTTGTTTAGACCTCTCAGGAGACAAAATAGTTGACTGCGTTTATATTTATATGCTCTGTATCTGATTCCTTTGTTTTCATTCAAAAAGGACTTATTTATTCATGTTATAATCTGTTCTTGATTGGGATACTTTAAAAATTCATGGATAAAATCTTGACTGGGGAATTGTGAGAAATTTTAAATGGAGGAAAAGCTCACCTTTTCCAGGTTCCTCAGTTCGCAGGTAGGAAACTTACCTAATTAAATGTCTTACACATATTTAAATTTCCTGGATTGTCCCAAAAATGTCTTTTTACAATTATTTGGTTCAAATCAGGATCTAAAAGTACATATATTGCATTTGGTTGTTAACACAAGGCTGTTCTTTTTTTTGAGACAGGGTCTTGCTCTGTCACCCAGGCTGGAGTGCAGTGGCGTGATCACAGTTCACTGCAACCTCCCAGGCTCAAGCAACCCTCCCACCTCAGCTAGGATAGCTTGGGCTTCAGGCGTGTGCCACCATAATGGCTAATTTTTTTTTTATAGAGACGGGTCTCCCTATGTTTCCAAAGCTGGCCTTGAACTCCTGAGCTCAAACGATCCACACACCTCTGCCTCCCAAAGTACTGGGATTACAGGTGTGAGCCACCTTGCTGAGCCTATGTAAGCATACTCTATATATGCTTTATATATATAGTCTATATATAGTCTTTTTTTTTCTTTTCTTTTCTTTTTTCTTTCTTTTTTTTTTTTTTTTGACACAGAGTCTCCCTCTGTCGCCCAGGCTGGAGTGCAGTGGCACCATCTAGGCTCACTGCAAGCTCCGCCTCCCAGGTTCACGCCATTCTCCTGCCTCAGCCCCCCGAGTAGCTGGGACTACAGGCGCCCGCCATGACGCCCGGCTAATCTTTTGTATTTTTAGTAGAGATGGGGTTTCACTGTGTTCGCCAGGATGGTCTCGATCTCCTGACCTTGTGATCCACCCACCTTGGCCTCCCGAAGTGTTGGGATTACAGGTGTGAGCCACCACACCTGGCCAGTCTTTTTTGTTTGTTTATTTGTTTTGAGACAGAGTCTCGCTCTGTCGGCCAGGTTAGAGTGCAGTGGCGTGATCTCTGCTCACTGCAACCTCCGTCTCCGGGGCTCAAGCAATTCTCCTGCCTCAGCCTCCCAAGTAGCTGGAATTACAGGCGTGTGCCACCATGCCTGGCTAATTTTTGTATTTTTAGTAGAGATGGGGTTTCACCATGTTGGCCAGGCTGGTTTTGAACTTCTGACCTCAGGTAATCCACCCGCCTTGGCCTCCCAAAGTGCTGGGATTGCAGGCGTGAGCCACCGCATTTTTTTTTTTTTTCTTAAAGCACACTCTGTAGTCTTTTTTTTTTTTTTCCCCCACAGCCAGTCATATTACTCTTTTACATAGCATTGGCATTACAAAATCTTTTGAGATCGTCTTTATTCCTTCTCCTTCTTCCTTCAGGTCTTGAAATACCTTTCCTACTTGTCTGCCTGTGGAACTTCAAGGTTCAGCCCAAATGTAATGCCCTCTCTGGCACCTCAGTCTGTTCTAATGAATTGCTTCTTCATCTTTGTTTCTCCAACACTTTTCTTACCCACTTTAGTTACAGTACTCATAACATCATACTGTCATTTATCTGTTTAGTGTATGTGCACTGCTTGTGAGTTAGTATGGAGTGGTGAGAAATAAGGTTGGAGGTCAGCAGATGATGAGTACTTCTAGGGCAAGGATCACATAATATTATTTTATGTCATCATAGCCAGCATAGTGCCTAGCTCATAGGAGACACTCCATGAGTGTTTGTAGAATTGGATTTTTAAAACCTGGTTTCTGGAATATTTTATTTTAGTTTCCAATCCTTGAGTTTTTTCCTGAACTATGAATTCTTTCCACCTCCAGGAGTTGAAGGCATAACTGGAAATTGTATCCAAGGATGTTCTTAGTTGCTCTCATTCTTTCTCCACTCTCAGGAACTTTGCTTCTTAGTCCCAGATAATATGGACTTCATTTGACTGTGATTTCATTATTCCTATTTAGTTGAATTAAACTCTTTCCCTTGCCATAGGGAATGTCTGTATCAAGGATCTGACAGATGAGAACCAGAGATCTTGGGCTCTTGTTTTTTGTTTTAACCTCTGTAAGTTTAAAAAGGAATTTGAAACATTTTCTGCATGCTCCTGATTTTCTAAAATGGATACAAGTCCCTCTCCTTGAGAATGGTCACCGGGCTTTCACTTTGCATCAGACATTCATTGAAAGGTTCTTAAAAACAAATAAGGCAGAAATGATTCTAGTGATCATGTGGCCACTAGATTTGCTGTCTTTTGTTTTACACTGAAGAACTAAACTTACCCCTTCAGCCTCAAAATCTGCAGTCATCTTTGAGAGCGTCTATTTGAATAAACATATGGGAAATGGTGTTAAGAACATCTCAAAAGAGGCTTTGCCTTTTCCTGTCCTCAAGATACGTGGTTTAGTGGAAGAAATGGAGGACTAGGATATTTTATTTTCTTCTCTATTGGTCTGATGACTCCTGCCTCTTCCTTTCTTTGAGCTTCATTCAGTTTGTCCATCTTTAAAATGAAAGTGGAAACAATCTCTTGGTGGTTAACTAAGGTTCTGCCATTCATAATTTGGACTTCATGGCCAGACGCAGAGGGAAGGAGCTACGAGTAGTCGCCGAGAGGCCGCGGAGCCGGCGACGACCGACTCAGCCGAGCGGCCGCCGCCGCCGCGCCCTCATGGCGGCTGCCACGGACACTCAGGAAGACCACGATACTTCCATTGAGAATGAAGACGAGTCCAACCATGACCCTCAGTTTAAGCCAGTAGTTTCTCTTCCTGAGCAAGAAATTTTAAAACGCTGGAGGAAGATGAAGAGGAACTTTTTTTTTTTTTTTTTGAGACCATGTATCGCTTTTGTCGCCCAGGCTGGAGTGCAATGGCGCCATCTCGGCTCACTGCAACCTCCGCCTCCCGGGTTCAAGCGGTTCTCCTGCCTCGGGCGCCCGCCGCCACGCCCAGCTATTTTTTGTATTTTTAGTAGAGATGGGGTTTCACCATGTTGACGAGACTGGTCTCAAACTCCTGACCTCAGGTTATCCACCCGCCTCAGTCTCCCAGAGTGCTGGGATTACAGGAGTGAGCCACCGCCCCCGGCCAAAGAGGAACTTTTTAAAATGGGGGCGAAACTGTGATTTGCCGCAGAGAACCGTCTCCTAGAATGGAACGAGCGAGGCACTGGTGACGTCAAGCTCCTGAAGCACAAGGAGAAGGGGACCACCCGCCTCCTCATGAGGAGGGACAAGACCCTGAAGATTTGTGCCAACCACTACACGCCAATGGTGGAGCTGAAACCCAACGTGGGTAATGACCATGCCTGAGTCTGGAACGACGAGTGCCCCAAGCCAGAGCTGCTGGCCATCCGCTTCCTGAATGCTGAGAATGCACAGAAATTCAAAACAAAGTTTGAAGAATGCAGTAAAGAGATTGGAGAGAGAGAAAAGAAAAGATCCGGCAAAAAAGCGATCATGCCGAAAAAGTGGCGGAAAAGCTAGAAGCTCTTTCGGTGAAGGAGAAGGGAGAAGACCAAGGAGGATGCTGAGGAGAAACAATAAATCGTCTTATTTTTTTCCTCTCTTTCCCTTCCTTGTTTTTTTTTTTTTTTTTTTTTTAATTTTACTCTGCCCCTCTTTTTTGGTTTGTTTTTATTTGATTTCATTTTTACAAAAGGCCGTTATATAAAGAACAAAATTTAAAAATAATAATTTGGACCCCATTAGATTTGCAGTATGCAAATGCTACGTATGTTTGGATTTAGAATTTTGTTTATCTACTTTTTTCCCACATTTCAAAGCTAGTATTAGCAAGTAGAAAATGTTGATTTCCTGTTTTCTCTCTCCTTCCCACTTATAAATTCCAGTACTGTTAATCTTAAATGATTTTTCTTCTTCTTCTTTTTTTTTTTTTTAAGTAGGGACGAGGTCACTCTGTTGCCCAAGCTGGAGTGCAGTGACTATTCAGAGGCCACAATCATAGCGCACTGCAGCCTCAAACTCCTGGCTTCAAGCCATCCTCCTGCCTCAGCCTCCTGAACAGCTGGGACTACTGGTGTGCACACCCATCCCCAGCTAAACAATCTTACTTGGAGGCGTAGTTAAAAATTAGTGTTTAGGCCGGGTGTGGTTGCTCATGCCTGTAATCCCAGCACTTTGAGAGGTTAAGGCAGGTGGATCACTTGAGCCGAGGAGTTCAAGACCAGCCTGGGCAACATAGACTCCCATCTCTACCCAAAATTTTTACAAATTAGCCAGGCGTGGTGGTGCGTGCCTGTAGTCCCCTGTAGTCCCAGCTACGTGGGAGGCTCATGCGGGAGGATTGCTTGAGCCCTGGTGGAGGCTGCAGTGAGCCATGATTGCACCACTGCACTCCAGCTTGTGTGACAGAGCGAGGCCCTGTCTCAAATAAAAAAATAAATAAGATTTAGAGTTCATCTTTTGCATTCACATGGGCAGTGTGGTGTCTGTTCATCTTCTCTCGCCTCTTCCAGTAGAGTCTATAAAGTGCTCTCAAAAAACTTGTGGGACTGAGAATGCTGAAGAAATGTGGCTCTATATCCAAAGATGAAACTTAATTGTCTCCTTAAGCTATGTTAAAGATTTGTTCTCAGGCTTATGGGTGCATCAAGGATTGTTAGTTGGACTCACCTTGAAAATCAAGGCGTCTGCTTCAGTCTTGGTAGCAGAAGTTAGACTAATAGCTCCTTATTCATCTTTTCCTCCAAAAGTTGGTGCAGTAAAGCACAGAGGCTTACTACACCTCTGTTGTGTGCAGATATTTAGTTCTAATAAATCCATATCCTTAAGGGAGACAGAGAGCTGCCCTTTGTTTCCAGTTGAGTAGCTTTTTGCTAGTGGACCTTCCCCTTCCATTTTTTCCACCCTCATTCTATTTGTAGTCACTTTACTAAAATCATTTAAGAACTACGTTAAATCCACAGGGACTGAGAAGAAAATATTAATCTATGGGGTTGGGGTGGGGGGTGGGAAAGCTGGTCAGTGTATTTATGATGGGGTAAAGTGTGTCATGGCAGTGGCAGAATATTTATTTTTAGACAAATTACAGCCTTTTTCCTCGTCTAAATCATTGGTCACTTTCTCTTTAGGCTCTACTTTGTAAGATGACCCTAATGCTCTCTGTTGGTTAGAAAAGCCCTCTAGTAATGGTAGTAGCAATATTTGCCATTCAGTTATATGGCTGCTAAGTGACAGATTCCAGTCCTACTCCAAGAAGGGTCTCCTTTTTCTGGAATACAGCTGTAAAGTGTGCATAGCCTTTAAGTTATTCCTAAAGCTAAATTGGCAGGGGAGATTTCATAGAATGAAACATTTTACACAGTTAAAAAGCATTTATCCTCAGAAATCAGTTTCTCTTGGGGACATTCCACCTTCTTAGTGGAGCTTGCCCTTTTATTGTGTCCTGATATTTGAATGTTTAGCTGAATGTTTGACATCATGTGCCATTAGCACGTGGCTCCAATTTGCCAGCCTTTGGGGTACTGTGGTAAGGTATGAGTGTGTATGTGCACACTCGGTGTTATACACTCTGCTGCGTGCTGCTGGTGTGGTTCATGAATCAGGGAAGCTATAGCATGATGATTGTTTAAGATCTTATGAGTTTTAGGGGAATGAAGCAAGAAGCTTAGTTTGAAGGTGTAAACTTTTGGCTGAGGGTAAGGATTGGGGGTGGTGAAATTAGTAACTTTTGCTTTGTAAAAGGATTTTGCAGACCTAGTTTCCTTTCTCCAAACTAATATGTATAACCAGAGCATTCTTGCATTCTTTCAAACTAGTATAGATAACCAGAGCATGGAAATGAAGGGCTAGAGTTAAAGTAAGCCCTGCAAACAACTCTTAGCTCTGTGTATTAATTTTCTTAGAGGAATTTGCCTTGTCATTGTTTATTGTAATGACAGAAAACAGGGAATCCCACTTCTGCACGCCCCCCATACCCCCCAGAAAAACCCTACATACCTAACATTGAGTTTCCGTTTTGTCTTTTCCTTAGACCGAAAGGTTTTGGCTTTAAATTTTCTAACCCAGTCTGGAAGACTATAGCATAGAATAGTTCTTGAAAAAAAAGAAGAAAAGCCCCACATACCAGAACCCTTTTAAATAAATTCTTTTAAAATGCTGCCTTTTAATTTTAGGATCTTAGCTTAAAGAAGACTGGAGGAGAATTTCCCATGAAATGGTTCCCATAATAGTTTTCAGAAAGACGTGCTAGGCAGTATTGTTAACTAAAGAAAATAAGTCTATCAGTTCCACTTAGATAACCTTTGGTAATAAACGAACTCCGTACACGTTGTGACCTTAGAGCCTGAACTTTGCAATCACATGACCAGCTTGTAAACTGACCTGTGAGGATGACTGTCGTAGTCCCGGCTTAGAGGAATTGACCAAGTGTCGGAAGGGTAGTCATCAAGCTGGACTTGTCCTGTAATCTCTGTTTCTTCATGGCTGCAATAGAACTTTTCAGCAGACTACAAGAAGCATGAAATGGAGACATGGGAAGGTAAGGAACAGTCTGGGGCCCAAATCTAAGGGTTAGAAATTTTCTTTGAAGGTTTAGAGCAAATAGCCTTGAGGGAGAAGGGAGGCAGTCCACAGGCAACTGTTTTTTTTGTGTCTTCGCAGAGTTCAGCTAGAAAGTTTTCATGTATGTAGCAAGTGGCTGTAAATGTTTTGGAATGGAGAAAAGTGAGAGAGAACTGCAGTGAATTCATTGTTGTGGTTGATGAAGAGCAGAAGAAAGGGGATTAATTTAAATTTTATAGTGATTTTAAAAAAATTAAATATACGTGTCAGTACATAGATAAAATTTACATTAAAAATTGTTGTTTATTTCTTGACAGATGTTGTTTGTATTTTAAATTCCTTAATCCAGTTCGCTATCTGCCAAAGTCTTATTTACTACTGTTAATTATAGATAGAATTGGGGTCATGAGGCCATTGATAAGGCAACCTCATCCTCTGGTAGGGAGCTTCTATACTTTACAGTTTGGGATATAAGACTAAGCCATTGCTAATTTCTTTTTAAGTGGGTTGCTTTTTAAATGGGTACATTTTCTGCATGTGTGTGTATGTAATGAATAGTCACTAGTGTTATAACTTGTTTATTTGGGATAGTCTCCTAGTTATGTGAGAAACCCCACTTTTCCACAACTTTATTATTTAGGCCAGGAAAGACACATACAGCTGAAGGAACAGATAAAATGGATGAATGTTAGTATTAAAGTTTTGCCATGTTTATGAAGTACAAGCTAAGAGTTTGCAAGAGTTTGGTTTTCTTAAAGGCAAGCACTACTGAGAAGAGTTCCCGACTCTTTGAAGCAGTTGATAAATTTCTAGGACTGGCATTAACCCTACGAAATAGCTGGTCCTGGGAAAGCTTCCCAGCCTCTTGCAGCGTGGCTAACATCTGCCAAAGGCAGCTTTGCAGTTTCATTCTCACTCTGGGGATGCACAAACCAGGGAAGTGGGACCCCCTCTGATAATAGCATTCTTCTTTTTAGTAACCTTGGCTTCATTCCTCCCTTATATGTTGTACCCCAGCACCTTACATGCCAGAATTATTGGTTTTTAGTGCAAGTTAGCAGAAACAAGAGAAAGTTTGTAGAAAATACCAGTTATATATAAGGCCTGTTATTTATCTTGAACAGCCTCCTCCCCCAGTATGCATAGAAATTCTTTGTTAAACTATCCTGGATATACTAGCTTTTCCAGAAAGGAGTAGTTTAAGAAGTAAGATTTGCTTTGGATCTGTTGGACAGGAGTTTAGGAGCTGGCAGAGTCCCAGAGCAGTAATTACATGAGTTTAGAAGGGATGACTCTGGAGAATTTAGATTTTTTTTCGACGAGCTTGAGTCTCTTAGTGATATGTAGTCTGCTAGCTCTGAAAGAGAAAAAAGGTTTGCACAGAAAGTTCTCCCCTGGTTCATATTTAAGTTTTGAAACTTCAGTTCTTCTTAGTCATTCAACTGCAGAAAATAACTTACGGTACCAAAACAAGAACTTTCATAAAATAAGGAAATGAATTTAAAATTGTTCACCTAGATCTTTCATTGAAAATTCTAATAAAGCAAAATGAATGATCCCAGTTGTAGGAGGTTTTGGAATCTTAAGAGGCAAAATCAACTGCTTACAAAAGAGGTCAGTGAAAATGCTACTGTAAAAAAAGCATTGCCTGGTTTTAGATATTGGGCCCTTGTCCATTTAAATTAACCTTTGTCACAGCTGGGCATACAAATGTTTTGTTTTAGTTCACAGAGGGTTAACTCTATTCAAGCTTTCACTGTGGCAGGCCTGATCTGTGGAGTCATACAATCTGGTCTTTCAGCCCTGCCAGTCGCTAGGCAGGAAGTCTTATTTCTTAAGCTATCTTTCAGAATGGGGGTTGGGATTTGGAGAAAGGTGGGGGAAGGGCTTTGGAGCATCTGTAAGGATCAATAACAGAGAGAGAGAGAGAGCCGTAAGAGAGGCCATTGTGCACACTTCAAGATAGATGCAGCCCTTGTGCACAGCCCCTGCCTGGCAGGACAGACACCTAAAACCAAAACAATGACACCGAATGAATTCTCTGTGAAAATTAGATTGCCGCTTAAAGGAGAAAAATACTTGAGTGCCCTTTCAACGTTGGGGAATATTCTCATTCCTCAACTTGCAAAGATTAGGCAACCCCCACTAAAAATAACTCCAAATTGATTTTTAAATGCCTTTTGTCCTCATGCTAATACTGTATTGAATTGGAGAGGGTGATCATTTGGGTCTTGGTCACATGCATCAAAGCATTGAGTAAGTAATCTTTTTTCTTCTCTCTCTCCCCCTCTCTGCTCTCTTCCTCCCTCCCTTTTTCTCTTCTTTTTTATTCTAATGTTTGCTTTACCCTGTTGGTTTTGGAGGCATCATTAAGGGAATGAAAAAACTAAGATTTGGTTAGGATTTGAGTAACACATGTGCGAAATCCCTCCCCGAACAGCTGGTATTGGCTCTCGAAACTTCAACTGAGCTAAACAGATGTTCCTAGTGTGTTATTTTGAGATAATTTAAACCAGACTTATAGTCAAGAACTCTACAAAAATTGTAGATTTGATTTTTAAATGCACTAAAGTTGTGATATCGTGCCACATCTTAATACATGTTATATGGGTGTTAAGCAAAAACACCTGAGCTTGGGAAAGTGAGCAGTTCCGCCAATGAAATTGTGATATTTAAAACACTACCAAGTTTGTTATTCTTTTACTCCAGCCCAGATTTTCATTTTTCAGATTCCCCTTTCCCAAACCCTGTAACATTCCTGTTTTACTGTATCCTTTTCCAGAGGACTAAGGCATTAATTCATTAGGTACTTTCTTGATGCAAATTCTTTATGGCATTTGGAAAGAGTAATGGAGTCATTGCCACCTTTCTTCTACTAAACTTCCAAAGTACTGGTGACAACTGACTGGTAACAGCTGAGAAAAATGGAATCCTAAACAGCCTTAAATAGTCTTCTCCCAACTTGAAATCTTCCAGGAATAAATGCATAAATGAACTGGGGGTCCATAATGTGGCTTGCAGACAGACAAATGGAATAAGGGGAGGCGGGGAGACCTGCGCTTGAAATTAGCAAGTTTAGTTTATTCTAGGCTTCTTGAGTTGAAAACTGACATAATCTGGACAATTTTGAGGCTAGGAAAAATATCTGGATGCCTCACATCATCTGGATATTTTTAACCCATCTCTAATCGGTACCCTTTTGCTGGGGAAAATGATGTACAGGAAGAAAATCTGATTTAATCACCGCAAACAGTACCTCCTTGACACAATTGATTCTGCCCCTCTGATATATTGTAATTCTCCATTAATATTTAAACCAAAGAATCGATTATTTTAATGGACATTTTCCATGGACATACAAATATTACTAACAAAACTTGGAAATTCAGTTACCATTTCCGTTGTGTTAAAATGGGGTATGAAACCTACCATGACCCTTTTGAACAATGTGGTCTTTAATGTGTATTAGGGGGAGGGCCTAGTGAAGGAAAAGCCATAAAAGTCCTCAGGGTTCAAGATGAGGTTGGGATTTTGGCCCATTGCTTTTGTCATTTTCACACACAAACATCGCTGCAATCATGTTTGATTTAGCATCCTTAATACAATGAGGTGGGAGAACAAAAGGATATCAGAGGCACAAATATGGCAACCAAACAATCTCCCACCCCGCGACCACCAATTTTTTCACATCATTCGTTTTTTTCTGTTCCCCTGCTACTGGGGTTTCTTTTTAAGCCGAGGAAATTAATCTATTTGCAAGAATCTTCTTTTTGCATGCCTCAGTAGTTTGCTTGGGCAATTGAAAAGCTACATCTCAAATGGTTTTTAGCTGTGTGAAAAGTCATTTCCTAAAAACTTGGGGAAAACGCTATAATTAGGAAAAATGCATCTACCCATATTTCAAGGTTAAGAGTTGGTCAGGGTGTGTGGTGGGGGGTGGGGGAGGTGTTCACACTGCACAGCTGTTTTACATATTTTGAAAAGCCTGATAGATGTAAAGGTCATTGCTAACTCTAACAGGGTCTTGATGCTCACACTGTGATCCAAGGACCTTGCATTAATTAGGATGAGAAGCATGGAAGGTCAGGAGTCAACCGGCTGGTGAGCCTCGATGGATTGTTAGTGGGACCAATCAGAATTCCTGTAGGATTTTTAAACCATTAAAACAAAAAAACAAAAACTACTGCTGCTTCTGTTGCCTCTGGATGGATCCCTTGGTCTGTGTGGCAAGGACTCGTCCCCTGTTGCCCAGATGGCTCATAAAAACTTGGCTACGTATATGGCTTTGCTACAGGCTTCCTGGTGTTGGAGAAAGAACCTCATCAGCTTGACTCTGTCACTTGGCCAAGTCACTTGACCTCTATGAACCTCAATTTCCTTATATATGCAACAGAGGATAGTAATACCTATCTCACAGGACCGCTATGGGAATTAAATAAGAAAACTGTCAAGAGTGCCCAGAACATGCTTAATGTGGCTTGAATTGAAATGAGTTTCAAAGAGGAGCAAATTTAGGGAAATTAAGAAAAAGAGAATTCTTGGGTGAGCCTATGGCTGGTGGTGTTTATACTCTAAGGTCTCCAGGGAGTGCCTCCATTCGGTAAGCAACAATAAGGGAGGGGCTCTTTGGAAATTTAGCCTTGAAAATGCTGTACAACCAGTGGGGCCAGCTGCTGAGCCTTCTAGAACCAATTGCAGTGTTAATATGCTATTCCTGTGGTAGTGATAATTAGTCATGAATGGGTCCCTGCAAAATTTCTGGCCTTTTCTCTACAGAAAGTCTTTTACAGTTCTGTTGATTGGAAGAAAATGGAGAGGGGGATGGGCTTTAAGGTAACAGAGATGTTAAATCATAACCAGGAAAAGAAGGATAATAAAGTTAGTCTTAATTTCCTGTGTTTTGATAGATAAATAGATGCCAAGACAGTTGCCATGACCATGTTTGATAGCCCTTTCTCAGGAGCTTTACTGTGAAGTAGTGAAGTTGGGAATGTTGTTAGCATGCTAATCATTGCCTTACTAACTTTGGAGTTGTCAACCTCTCTGCCTTCTGGGTTCAGGGGTTATATCAATGGCTTGTTATTCTAATCTCTGTATATAAAATTATTATGCAGCTAACATTCATGAAGTATTTACTATTTTCTAAGCACTAGGAACAGAGGTGAGTTAGAATTCCTCACCTAAACTACAGATCTCCTTTTTGATCTACAAAGAAGGAAAAATAGTTTTAATGTTGCTTAACAGATGTTGAATATTCACCACTTAAAAAGTGGAGCTTTTGAGAGTGACTGGGGGAGAAGATGAGCTAGCAGTGGGATTTGCTCTCACTTTGGGGCCCTGTATTTCTTTGAGGGTTTTTGCTTTTTGGGTTTTTTTTTTAACTACTTTTGCTAGGTATTTCTTGTGACTTATTTGCTCTTCCAAATGTATGGCTGCAAAATAGAATATTTTAATATTTTTCTTAACATGGTAAAATTAGAGGCCTGAATTACAATTGGCAAAAATGTAGAGAGAGTCGAAACCTCATTTTTCTGTTTCTCTGTTAGCATCCTATTTACCATTAGCGAAATGTTTTCCTTTCTATGAAGTTTCAGCATGTGGCTTCAGTGTGATGGCTACAGTAGACTAGCTTTGCTTTTTTTTTTTTTTTTTTTTTTTTTTTTTGACAGAGTCTTGCTCTGTCACCAGGCTGGAGAACAGTGGTGCGATCTCGGCTCACTGCAACCTCCATCTCTTGGGCTCAAGCGATTCTCCTGCCTCAATCTCCTGAGTAGCTGGGACTGCAAGCATGCGCCACCACGCCCAGCTGATTTTTGCATTTTTAGTAGAGACGGGATTTCACCATGTTGCCCAGGATGGTCTCGATCTCTTGACCTCATGATCTGCCTGCCTTGGCCTCCCAAAGTGGTGGGATTACAGGCATGAGCCAAGGTGCCCAGCCAGCTTTGCTTTTTAAAGGAGCTAATAAGTTATGGATAACTTATTAAGTATCAGATATATTTATTTATGGTATATTAAATAACCACTGCACAAGAAAATGTATGTTTTAGATATTTGAAAAAAGAAAAAAGCAGACACCATTCCTGTGAGCATTTAATCTCAAAATGTGCACAAGTCAGTGTGGAAAGAAGAGCAATGCAAATGAAAGGCTTGGCAACCAGTAGGTGGTAGCCATCAAGTCTTGGCCTTGGTCATTATTATAAGAGTATGTGTACATGTACACTATCATATGCATTTATGTTTATTTTTTTTATTTTTTATTTTTTGTTTGTTTGTTTTTGAGACGGAGTCTCGCTCTTTCGCCCAGGCCGGAGTGCAGTGGTGCTATCTCGGCTCACTGCAAGCTCCGCCTCCTTGGTTCACGCCACTCTCCTGCCTCAGCCTCCCGAGTAGCTGGGACTACAGGCGCCCGCCACCGCGCCCGGCTAATTTTTTGTGTTTTTAGTAGAGACGGGGTTTCACCGTGTTAGCCAGAATGGTCTCGATCTCCTGACCTCGTGATCCACCCGCCTCAGCCACCCAAAGTGCTGGGATTACAGGCGTGAGCCACCGGCCTGGCCTGTTTTTGTTTTTAACTTTGCCATGAGGTAGTTGTTAATTGCTGCTGACAAGAAAATCTGCTATCCTCGACTCTTTTATTCGACTGGGAGCAGGAAGAGGGAGAGGTGATGATGTGCCACAGTGAGTGTCTTTTCCTGTCACTGGATATAGTCTGGCCATACCATTGTTTGAACCATGAACCAGTTACCTTAAGAAACTGACCATCACATTATACTGTTTTTTTTTTCTTTCTTTTTTTTTTTTTTGAGACAGAGTCTCGTTCTGTCGCCCAGTCTGGAGTGCAGTGGCACGATCTCGGCTCACTGCAAGCTCTGCTTCCCGGGTTCGCGCCATTCTCCTGCCTCAGCCTCCCGAGTAGCTGGGACTACAGGCGCCCTCCACCATTCCCCGCTAATTTTTTGTATTTTTTAGTAGAGACGGGGTTTCACGTTGTTAGCCAGGATGGTGTCGATCTCCTGACTTTGTGATCCACCTGCTTCGGCCTCCCAAAGTGCTGGGATTACCGGCGTGAGCCACCACGCCGGGCCAGGAACCTAGAATATTAACAGTACGACGTGTTCCTGGGTGCAGTGGCTCACGCCTGTAATCCCAGCACTTGGGAGGCCGAAGCGGGTGGATCACGAGGCCAGGAGATCGACACCATCCTGGCTAACAGGGTGAAACCCCGTCTCTACTAAAAAATACAAAAAATTAGCCGGGCGTGGTGGCGGGCGCCTGTAGTCCCAGCTACTCGGGAGGCTGAGGCAGGAGAATGGCGTGAACCCGGAAGGCAGAGCTTGCAGTGAGTGGAGATCGCGCCACTGTACTCCAGTCTGGGCAACAGAGTGAGACTCCATCATGAAAAATTCTAGATCTAGGTTCCTTTAGGATATGTAGAAATTAATTTTCTCTCAGCACTCCTGCTCTTGTCTCCACATGCCATTTGGAATCATACACTAAAACATTTGCCATAGGTTACCAATCTGATGCGAGAGAAAAACCATCTATCATAGAATAGTTTTAGTATGGAAAGTCCATCATATATCATATGCTGACAAGAACTTAGACTCGATTTATTAGTTAGTTAGTTTCACTAACCATTAGTCTTACCAAAGTGAGCACTTTGGAGAATGATAAATGTCTTGTGAGGAGCTGAGGAGAGAGGAGTTCTAGTTTTGTAAAAGTGTTGACTTGAAAGGCTGAGGCAGGAGGATCACTTGAGCCCAGGAGTTCAAGGCTGCATTGAATTATGATCTTGCCATTGCACTCCAACCTAGGCTACAGAGCAAGTGAGACTGTTGGTAGGGAGGGGGGAATTATTGATCCAGCGCCTTAGGGAAGCAGAACCTTTGGTTCTGATGGCTGCGTTAGTAAAGTCATGTGAATGTAATGTGTAAAAGAGTGCTCATTCGCATTGTTGAAGCTTCATAATTTGCGGTCTTAGTGATGAATGCAGACTCCAGCACTTTCTCTGAACATTGTTACATGTGGAAGAAGTTACAAAAGCACTTTCTGGGCAAATAAGAATGGGAATGGCCAATAATGCACACGTCTGTGTTTGGGGCCCATTATTCTGAATCTGGTGAGAATTTTGGAAAAAGTGGCCTTTGGCAAGGTAGTGGGCAACTACATTTTTTACCCTTTTAGAACATCCGGTTTCACTTAAAGCATACTAATTGGTCCTTCTTTCACGAGGGCCTCAGAACTGTGAAGGGACCTAGGGAGCTGATTACTGAGCTTTGAGCATTGGCACAAGGTCTCTGGGCTGGCTCACCAGTTTGTCATCTGGAGTTTTTATAAACTGTGCTTTGATTTGCAAATAGAGAAGCGATAGGCATACCTCAGAGATATTGCGAGTTTGGTTCCAGACCACTACAATAAAGCAAGTCACTCGAATTTTTTGGTTTCTCAGTGCATATAAAAGTTGTGTTTATACTATAGTCTGTTATGTGTGGAGTAGCATTATGTCAGAAAAAAACCCTACATACCTTAACTTAAAAATATTTTATTGCTAAAAAATGCAAACGACCATCTGAGGCTTCAGTGAATCATTTTGCTGCTGTGAGATCTTGCTGCAGTGTTGATGGCTGCTAACTGATCAGGGTGGTGGTTGCTGAAGGTTGGGGGATGGCTATGGCCGTTTCTTAAAATAAGGCAATGAAGCCGATTTTATTGATTGACTCCTCCTTTCATGAAAAATTTCTCTGTAGCATGCGATGCTGTTTAATAGCATTTTATTCACAGTAGAACCTCTTTCAAAATTCATGTCAATCTTCTCAAACCCTGCTGCTGCTTTATCAATGAAGTTAATGTAATATTCTAAATCTTTTGTTGTCATTTTAACAGTGTTCACCAGGAGTAGATTCCATCTACAAAGAAACCTCTTTCTTTGCTCCTCCATAAGAAGCAACTCCTCATCCATTAAAGTTTTATCATGGGCTGGGTGTGGTGGCTTGCACCTGTAATCCCAGCACTTTGGGAGGCCAATGAAGGAGGATTGCTTGAGCTCAGGACTTGGGGACCAGCCTGGGCAACATAGTGAGACCTCGTCTCTACTGAAATTTTAAAAAAAATTAGCTGGGCATGGTGGCGCATGCCTGTAGTCCCAGCTACTTGGCAGACTGAGGCAGGAGGATTGCTTGAGCCCAGGAGATGGAGGCTACAGTGAGCTGTGATTGCACACCACTGCAGTCCAGCCTGGGTGACAGAGTGAGACCCTGTCTTGAAAAAAAAAAAAAAATTATCATGCAATTGCAGCAATTCAGCCACATCTTTAGGATGCACTTCTAATTCTAGTTTCTAGCTGTTGTTCCCACTTCTACATTTACTTCCTCCACTGAAGCCCCTCAAAGTCATCCATGAGGGTTAGAATCAACTTCTTCCAAACTCCTGTTAATACTGATATTTTGACCTCCTATGAGGTCATAAATGTCCTTAATGGCATCTAGAATAGTGAATCCTTTCCAGAAGGTTTTCAAATTACTTTTCCTAGATCCATCAGAGGAATCACTATCTATGGCAGCTATAGCCTTATGATATGTATTTCTTAAATAATAAGACTTGAAAGTCAAAAATTACTCCATGATTCTTGGGCTACAGAATGGATGTTATGTTAGCAGACATGAAAACAACATTCATCTGCTTGTACATCTCCATCAGAGCTCTTGGGTGACCAGATGCATTGTCAATCAGCAGTATTTTTAAAGTTATCTTTGTTTCTGAGCAGTAGGTCTCAACAGTGAGCTCAAAATATTTAGTAAACCATTCTATAAACATACATGCTGTCATCCAGGCTTTGTTGTTCCATTTATAGAACACAGGTAGAGTAGATTTAACATAATTCTTAAGGGTCCTAGGATTTTCTGAATGGTCAGTGAGCATTGGCATCAACTTAAAGTCACCAGCTGCATTAGCTTCTAGCAAGAGAGTCAGCCTATTTTTTGAAGCCAGGCATTGACTTCTCTCTAGCTATGAAAGCCCGTAGATGGTGTCTTCTTCCAATATAAGGCCCCTTCATCTATACTGAACATCAGTTGTTTAGTGTAGCCACCTTCATCGTTGATCTTCTGGATAACTTGCTGCGGCTTCTACATCAGCACTTGCTGCTTCACCTTGCCCCCCCCCCCCTTTTTTTTTTTTTTTGAGATGGAGTCTCGCTGTGTCACCCAGGCTGGAGTGCAGTGGCGTGATCTCGGCTCACTGCAAGCTTTGCCTCCTGGGTTTACACCATTCTCCTGCCTTAGCCTCCCGAGTAGCTGGGACTACAGGTGCCTGCCACCATACCTGGCTAATTTTGTTTTTGTATTTTTAGTAGAGACGGGGTTTCACCGTGTTAGCCAGGATGGTCTCGATCTCCCGACCTCATGATCTGCCTGCCTTGGCCTCCAAAAGTGCTGGGATTACAGGCATGAGCCACTGCGCCTGGCCCACCTTGCACTTTTAAGTAATGGAGACAGCTTATTTCCTTCAACCTCGTGAGCCAACCTCTGCTAGCTTCAAACCTTTCTTCTGCAGCTTCCTCACCTCTCTCAACCATCATAGAATTGAAGAGAGTTAGGGCCTTGCTCTGCATTAGCTTTGGCTTAACAGAATGTTGTGATTGGTTTGCCTTTCCAGAATGTTGTGATTGGTTTGCCTTTCTATCCAGACTACTAAAACTTTGTCCATGTTAGCAATAAGGCTGTTTTTCTTTCTTATCATTTGTGTGTTCACTGGAGTAGCACTTTTAATTTCCTTCAAGAACTTTTCCTTTGCATTCACAGCTTGGCTCTTTGGAGCAAGAGGCCTAGCTTTCGGCTTATCTTTGCTTTTGACGTGCCTTCCTCATTAAGCTTAACGATTTCTAGCTTTTGATTTAAAGTGAGAGACGTGGCTCTTCCTTTCACTTGAACACATAGAGGCCTTTCTAGGGTTATTAACTGGCCTAATTTCAATGTTGTTGGGTTTCAGAGAATGGAGAGGCCCAAGGGGAGAGAAGGAGAGATGGGGGAATGGCTGGTCAGTGGAGCAGTCAGAACACATACAACATTTTTCGATTAAGTTCACCATCTTATTTCGGTGCGGTTCGTGGCACCCCCAAACAATTACTAACATCAAAGATCACTGATTACAGATGACCATAACAGATATAATAATATGAACAAGTTTGAAATATTACAAGACTTACCAAATGTGACACAGAGACACAAAGTGAGCACATGCTTTTGGAAAAAATGGTACTGATGAGACTTCCTTGATGCAGGGTTGCCACAAACCTTCAATTTGTAAAAAATGCAATAAAGTGGCTGGGCGCGGTGGCTCACACTGTAATCCCAGCACTTTGGGAGGCCGAGGAGGGCAGATCATGACGTCAGGAGATCGAGAGCATCCTGCCAACAAGGTGAAACCTCGTCTCTACTAAAAATTCAAAAATTAGCTGGGTGTGGTGGCATACGCCTGTAATCCCAGCTACTCGGGAGGCTGAGGCAGGAGAATCGCTTGAACGTGGGAGGTGGAGGTTGCAGTGAGCTGAGATGCTGAGATTGCGCCACCCACTGCACTCCAGCCTGGGTGACAGAGTGAGACTCTGTCTCAAAAAAAAAAAAAAAAAGCCAAGTGCAATAAAATGATGTATGCTCATGCACTGTTCTTTCATTCAACTGATGTTCACTAGTGATTGCTCTGTGCTTGGTATTGAGCTATGCATTAGGGATACAGAAAAAATAAGACTCTCTCCCTGCCCTGTGATATACCCAAGTCTAGCAGAGGGAAATAGATCCTCACATAAATAAGTGTAATGAAGTGTTCGGGGCATACTGATAGCAATACTGTAGAGTACAGAAGCTGTGCAGAGGGCAGAGTGCTCATTTGTGAGTACAGAAGTTGTGCAGAGGGCTATCAGGTTAGGCCTCACTCAGGAAGTCATCCTGAGAGACTGATAGATGTTTGCCAGGCTGGTGAAGTGGCAAAGGGTCTCCTAAGCAGAGGAGCAGCATGAGCACATGCCTGACAATGTGAAACAACCTGACCGAGTATGCCGTGAGTTCTAAGACTCATATAGGACAGAAGTATTGTTTGGTTCTAGATACAAGGGAAACCCTAGAGAGAACTTTGATCTGTGAGTGGATGCCCCTGCCCCTAAACAGAAGAGAGCCCCCCTCACATTCCTGTCAGTCTTCTTCTGAATATGTTGAAGAGATTAATGTACCTTGCTAGAAAGGAGCACAAGCACAGTTCTGCCTCAGAACTAGAGGCCTAGATGCTGGAGGTTTAACACTTCAAGAAACTGTCCTGGGATTTAGGGAGAGCATGCTATAGCCTTACTTAACCTTGTTACAAATTGCCAGGTACTACAGAGGGAGAGGCCTCGGTTAAGTGGTTGTAAGAAGTTATACTCTGTGAAGGAGTCATCTGTCCTCTAGGGGAGTGTTCCCAACAGAAAGGGAGTCTGTTGTATTTTCTTAATGAATGGAAAAATAGAGTCTGAATATCTTATCCAAACTTTTCCCACTAATTGAAAGGTTTCTTTTGGTTTTCTAGAGCAAGGGGTGGGTGTGGGTGTGGGTGGGTGGGTGCGTGATTTGCTGAGCAATCATTGTATTTTTACTTACATCTTGTGAAATGTTGATTACCTAATGGCCAAAGCATTATAATGTTTTTGGATAGATAATTTGGGGTGCTTTTGTTTTTAACTTCATTGTACAATTAGCATACAGAAAAATTGAGTGCTTTGGGGGGGAAGGGCGTACTCTTCTGTGAATATAGATTTGTGTAATCTCTGTAACCACCTCCACAGTGATGATACAAAACCATTTTCTTTCTTTTTTTCTTTAGAGAGATGGGGTCTTGTTCTTTTGCAGTATGCAATCTCAGCTCACTGCAACCTTGAACTCTTATGCTCAAACAATCCTTTTGCCTCAGCCTCCTGAGTAGCTGGGACTACAGGCACACACCACCATGCCCAGCTAATTTGTTTTCTTTTTAATAGAGATGAGGTCTCACTGTATTGGCCTGGCTGGTCTCAAATTCCTGGCCTCAAGCAGTCCTTCCACCTTGGCCTCCCAAAGTGCTAGGATTACAGGCATGGGCCACTCCACCTGGCCCAGAACCATTTCTTTTTTTTTTTTTAACTTTTAAGTTCAGGGGTACATGTGCAGGATGTGCTGGTTTGTTACATAGGTAAATGTGTGTCATGGAGGTTTGTTGTACAGATCATTTCATCACCCAGGTATTAAGCCTAGCATCCATTAGTTATTTTTCCTGATCCTCTCCCTCCTCCCACCCTCTGCCCTCTGGTAAGCCCCAGTGTGTGTTGTTCCCCTCTATGTGTCCGTGTGTTCTCATCATTTAGCTCCTCCTTATAAGTGGGAACATGCGGTATTTGGTTTTCTGTTCGCATGTTAGTTTGCTAAGGATAATGGCCCCCAGCTTCATCTGTGTCCTTGCAGATCTTGTTCTTTTTTATGGCTGACTAGTATTCCATGGTGTATATGTATCACATTTTCTTTATCCAGTCTATCACTGATGGACATTTAGTTTGTTTCTGTATCTTTGCTATTGTGAATAGTACTGCAATGAATGTACATGTACATATGTCTTTATAATAGAATGATTTATATTCCTTTGGTTATATACCCAGTAATGGGATTGCTGGGTCGAATGGTATTTCTGGTTCTTGGTCTTTGAGAAATCACCACAACATCTTCTACAATGGTTGAACTAATATTCACTCTCACCAAAAGTATAAAAGCATTCCTATTTCTCCACGGCCTCGCCAGCATCTGTTGTTTCTTCACTCTTTAATAATTGCCATTCTGACTGATGTGAGATGGTATCTCACTGTGGTTTTGATTTGCATTGCTCTAATGATCATTGATGTTGAGCTTTTTTTCATGTTTGTCGGCTCATAAATGTCTTCTTTTGAGAAGCGTCTGTTCATATCCTCGGCCCACTTTTTCAATGTGGTTGGTTTTTTTCTTGTAAATTTGATTAAATTCCTTGTAGATTCTGGATATCAGACCTTTGTCAGATGGATAGATTGCAAAAATTTTCTCCCATTCTGTAGGTTGTCTGTTTACTCTGATGATAGTTTCTTTTTGTTTGTTCGTTTGTTTTTTGAGACGGAGTCTTGCTCTGTCTCCAGGCTGGAGTGCAATGGCGTGATCTCGGCTCACTGCAACCTCCCCCTCCTGGGTTCAAGTGATTCTCCTGTGTCAGCCTCCCGAGTAGCTGGGACTACAGGCATGCACCACCATGCCCAGCTAATTTTTCTATTTTTAGTAGAGACGGGGTTTCACCATGTTGGCCAGATGGTCTCGATCTCTTGACCTCGTGATCCGCCTGCCTCGGCCTACCAAAGTGCTGGGATTACAAGCGTGAGCCACTGTGCCCGGCCTCTGATGATAGTTTCTTTTGCTGTGCAGAAGCTCTTTAGTTTAATTAAATCCCATTTGTCAATTTTTGCTTTTGTTACAATTGTTTTTGGCATCTTCATCATGAAATCTTTGCCTCTTCCCATGTACTGATGGTATTGCCTAGGTTTTCTTCTAGGGTTTTTATAGTTTTGGGTTTTACATTTAAGTCTTTAATCCATCTTGAGTTGATTTTTGTATATGGTATAAGGAAGGGATCCAATTTCAATTTTCTGCATATGGCTAGCCAGTTCTTCCAGCACCATTTCTTGTTTTTGTCAGGTTTGTCAAAGATCAGATGGCTGTAGGCATGCAGTCTTATTTCTGGGTTCTCTATCCTGTTCAATTGGTCTGTGTGTCTGTTCTCATACCAGTACCATACTATTTTGGTTACTGTATCCCTGTAGTATAGTCTGAAGTCAGGTAGCATGATGCATCCAGCTTTATTCTTTATTATTATTATTATTATTATTTTTTGAGTTGGAGTCTCACTCTGTTGCCCAGGCTAGAGTACAGTGGCGCGATCTTGGCTCACAACAACCTCTGCCTCCTGGGTTCAAGCGATTCTCCTGCCTTAGCCCCCTGAGTAACTGGGATTACAGGCGTGAGCCACCATGGCTGGCTACTTCTTATATTTTTAGTAGAGATGGGAATTCACCATGTTGACCAAGCTGGTCTTAAACCCCTGACCTCAAGTGATCCACCCACCTAGGCCTCCCAGAGTGCTGGGATTACAGGTGTGAACCACCACGCCTGGCCCAGCTTTGTTCTTTTTTGCTTAGGATTGCCTTGGCTATTGTGCTTTTGGTTCCATATGAATTTTAAAATAGTATTTTCTAGCCAGAACCATTTCTTTACCTCAAAAAAAAAACCTTCTTTCATGCTGTCATTTTGTGGTCATACCCTCAGCTGACTGCTAACCCACAGCAGCTACAGATCTGTTCCCTGTTCCCTATTACTGTAATTTTATCTTCTGGAGACTGTCATATGAATGAAATAATAGAGTATGTAATCTTTTGAAACTGGCATATTGTTATATGTATTAATAGTTTATTATTCTTTTAATTGCTGGGTAGTATTCTGTTATATGTTTGTTGATCCATTCACCCATTGAAGGATATTTGGTTATTTACAGTTTGGGATGATTATAAATAGAAGTGCTATAAATATTCATGTACTAGTTTGTGTTTGAACCTAATTTTTCATTTTTCTGTGTTAAATAACTAGGAGTAGAATTGCTAGGTCATATGGTAAATCTTTGTTTGTTTGTTTGTTTGTTTATTTATGAGACACAGTTTAGTTCTTGTTGTCCAGGCTGGAGTGCAATGGTGCAATCTCAGCTCACCACCACCTCTGCCTCCCTGGTTCAAGTGATTCTCCTGCCTCAGCCTCCCAAGTAGCTTGGATTACAGGCACGCGCCACCATGCCCAGCTAATTATGTATTTTCAGTAGAGGCGGCATTTCACCATGTTGGTCAGGCTGGTCTCCAACTCCTGACCTCAAGTGATCCACCCGCCTCAGCCTCCCAAAGTGGTAGGATTACAGGTATGAGCTACCGTGCCCGGCTATGTTTAATTTTATAAGAACCTATCAGACTGTTTTCCATAGTGATTATATTATTTTGTATTCTCACTTGCTACATGTATGAGAGTTCTAGTTGCTCCACATTTTCACCATCACTTGATATTGTCATTTTTTTTTTAATTTTAGCCATTCTAACATGTAGTTTTATTATTTTTTATTTTGTGAAATGGGGTCTCACCAGGGCTGGAGTGCAGTGGCATTACCATGACTCACTGTAGCTTCAACCTCCCAGGCTCAAGTGACCCTCCCAGTAGCTACTCAGCCTCCTGAGTAGCTGGGACTACAGGCACATGCCACCACACTTGGCTAAGTTTTAAATTTTTTGTAGGGACAGGATCTTGCTATGTAGCCAGGGCTAGTCTCAAACTCTTGAGCTCAGGCAATCCTCCACCTAAGCCTCCCATGTAGCTGGGACCACAGGTGCATGCCACCACACTTGGCTAAGTTTTAAATTTTTTGTAGGGACAGGATCTTGCTATGTAGCCAGGGCTAGTCTCAAACTCTTGAGCTCAGGCAATCCTCCACCTAAGCCTCCCAGGTAGCTGGGACCACAGGTGCATGCCACCATGCCTGGCTAACTTTTTGAATTATCAGTAGAGATGGAGTCTCCCTATGTTGCCCAGGCTGGTCTTGAACTCCTGGGCTCAAGCAATCCACCTGTCTCAGACTCCCAAAGTGCCGGGATTACAGGTGTGAGCCACTGGCACCTGGCAGTTTCTCACAATTCTATAGCACCTTGTGGGATTTAGGAATGGTAAGCAATTGAATTGATATATTATGATCTAGTCCCCTATAATCCTCTCCCTAGATATAAATTGCCCTTTTAGCAATGAGAAAGGATTATTTCCAGTATGTGGCATAGTGAGTGGGGGAAGGGTAGGATTAAATTGGGCCAGAGATTTAGGCTAGAGCCTCATGATATAGGGCTATATGTAGGCCCTAGGTTTTATTTCATCTTCTAGAGGAAGTAGAGTGTTTTGAACAGAAGAATTTTTAAGGATCCATTTGACTACATTATAGAATAGATTGGAAAATGAATTGTAGGGAGTCTAAGAGAAGGAAGGAGACTACTTAGTAGACTAAATGGTCATGAAATGAGAGATGATGGTGGCATAAGCCAGGGCTTTTAGTAGTGGAGATTGAGAATAGATTTTAGATCTGTTTTGGAGGGAGAATTGATAGGGTTTCCTTATGGTTTGGATGATGAAATGTAAAAGAAAGTAAAGGAATTAGGAATGACTCCTAGATTTTAGTATTTAATAACTAATGGATTTTGGTTTTATTTACTAAGATACAACTTTTCCCAAGAAACATGTTGATATGGGAGGTAGGAATAGAATCTAGAGTTCCGTTTGGCTGTTAAGTTTGAGATACCTATTAGAAAGCTAAATGGAGATGTTAAATGGGCAGTGTAGATACAGGCCTCTGGAGCTCAAGGGGGAGTTTTGGTTTAAGGATCCACTTTTAGGCATTACTACTATATGGCAGTCTAAAGTCACCTAAAGAGAGAATATTGGTAGAAAAGAGGTCCATGGACTAACCCCAGGAGACATTCCAATGTTTGGAAGTCCCAAAGAGTACTCAGTAAAAGAGACTGAAAAACTGTTGATCTGAGAAAGAGGAGGAAAAGCAGAAGACTATTGTCTTGGAAATCAAGGTACAAAAGTGCTTCAAAAAGGGGAGAATTCAGATGTTTGTCCAGTTTCTTCCATTCATTTAGCAAATGTTCTTAGTGCTTTCACTTTGTAAGACTCCATGAATAGATCCAGCAGTCATCAGGACAGAGAAGATATCTGTTCACGTAGAATTTACATATCTGTTTTAAGGATTTCAGTGTGAAGCTATATAGAAATTCTGAGAGCCCATCTATCTTCAGCTTTAATTTATCCTTAAATTTCAGGAAGCTGCCCTTAAACACTGATGATGATCACCAGTTTTCCCAATTTCTGCAATGAGCCATCAATTTACGAGAATAGAAAGTTTGGTAGTCAAATTCATGTGGTCCAGAATAGCAACCACTGAGTGTTACAGATACATAGGTCATTTAAAGGCGAAATGAAATGCAGAGGCAGCTGTAGTATAGAGGTTACTTATACAAACATGTACAAATTACTTTCCTTTTCTGGACTCAGTTTCTCCATCTGTAAAGTGAGGAGGACAAACTAGTTTATTTGTAAAGTCCCCTCTGGCTCTGAAATTTAATGGCTCCATAATCCAGAACTAAGTAATTAGAGAAGTCACAAAGGACTGAGATATATAACAAACACCAACCCTCAGAGTCAGTAATACTCTTATCAGTGAAAAACCTCAGTAGCCAAATCAACTACTAATTCAGTATCTGGTGATGGAATCTCAGGATTTTGACAGTTGGAAATCATGCCAGTGAAAGTTCTGGGATTTTCTTTGGAAGAGACTCAAAGAATTTTTTTGTGTGGGAAAAAGTGTGCATACACTTTCCTAAAGGATGTTATGGCTACTCTGGTTTAGCTGTTTGGTATAATTGCACTGAGTGTATTTTCACCTCTCTAATAGAGGCCTATAAATTAAAACTCAAATTTATGGAAGATATTTCCAGAAAGAACTACGGCCCCTGGCTGGAGAAATAAGCATAGTCATAATAAAATACAATTACATTTGGTGTTTTGGTTTTTTAATAGAGATGAGGTCTCGCTCTGTTCCCCAGGCTGGAATGTGGTGATGCAGTCATGGCTCACCACAGCCTCAACTTCCCAGGCTCAAGTGATCCTCCCACCTCAGCCTCTCGAGTACCTGGGACTACAGGCATACACCACCACGGCTAGCTAATTTTTAATTTTTTATAGAGATGGCGTCTCCCTATGTTGCCCAAGCTGGTCTCAAACTCCTGAGCTCGGATGATCTTCCTGTCTTGGCCTCCCTAATCTCAACTAGGATTCACAGGCATGAGCCATTGAGCCCAGACTAAAGTTATTGATTCACATCTCCATTTACCAGCACTCTACAAGTCTTTTACCTATTCTAATCTCTTAATTCTCACAAAAATCCAGTAAAGTAGATAGGTTTATAGATTAGGAAACCAAAGCTCGGAGACATTAAGTCACACAGCTAAAATAATGACTAACTGGGATACAAAGCTTGTGTTGCTTGGCTGGGCGCGGTGGTTCACGCCTATAATCCCAGCACTTTGGGAGGCCAAGGTGGGCAGATCATGAGGTCAGGAGATCGAGACCATCCTGGCTAACATGGTGAAACCCCGTCTCTACTAAAAATACAAAAAATTAGCTGGGCGTGGTGGCACGCGCCTGTAGTCCCAGCTACTCGGGAGACTGAGGCAGGAGAATCGCTTGAACCCGGGAGGTGGAAGTTGCAGTGAGCCGAGATTGTGCCACTGTGCTCCAGCCTGGTGACAGAGTGAAACTCCGTCTCAGAAACAAAAAACAACAAAACAAAACAAAGCTTGTGTTGCTTTTACTTTTGGCTTCATAGTTACAGTAAAAATAAAACAAGGGGAAAGAAAACTTTAAGGACAACTTACTGTAAAAGCTCAGTAAGTAAATGTTGGTTCTCTAATCCAGGCAGTCATCCTGAACTGCAGGTAGATGTAATGGGGAGCAGTGAGGCTACTGAGGAGAACCAGATAGGTGACACTGCTGTGATAAGATGCTTTTCACTACCTGACTGTACCTGCTAGGTGGGCAAACCCAGTACGCCCCAGGCATGCAAGAATTAGAAGCTCACTCAGATGAATCGCTTGGAGGCACCCTGCACTTTACAATTCCTGGGCGCTCCTTCATACATTCCTATTTGGTTCTCATAGGAGCTTTTTAGGTAAAGTAATGGTCCTCATTTTACTGATGGGTATCCTGAGACAAAGTGGTGACAATATGATATCAATAATAATAATAGCTCACATGTTTGAGCATTTACTATATTCCAAGTACATGTACTTTACATGTATTAACTCTGTTCACATTACATGTAATAACTCAGTCCTCACAGTTACGATGTGATAAAAGTACTATTGTTATCCCCAGTTTATAGCTGAAGAACTGAGGCATGGAGAGACTAAGCAATATAGACTAAGACATGTAGATTAAGCAATATGACACATTCAGTAAATGTTAAAGCTGAGATTTAATTTTTTATTTTTTATTTTTTTGAGACAGAGTCTCGATCTGTCACCCAGGCTGGAAGGCAGTGGTGTGATCTCGGCTCATTGAAACCTCTGCCTCCTGGGTTCAAACGATTCTCCTGTCTCAGCCTCCTGAGTAGCTGGGACTACAGGCGCGTGCCACCATGTCCAGCTAATTGTTTGTCTTTTAGTAGAGGCAGGGTTTCACCATGTTGCCCAGGCTGGTCTCGAACTCCTGAGCTCAGACAGTCTGCCCGCCTTAGCCTCCCAAAGTGCTAGGATTACAGGCATGAGCCACTGCGCCCGGCCAAAGCTCAGGTTTTAATCCAGGCAGTTTGACTTCACAGCCCACGCTCTTAATCACTATATACTGTACTAGGTTTTGATAGAGAAATTAGTGACCAGCCTGAGATCACAGGCCTAGCTTAATCCTCACCAATTTTGTATGAAGGTGGGGAGTACAGATGTGTAATACAGGCGGTAGGCTTCTTTTGATGTCCCAGAGCTAAGAGGGAAAGCCCATATTTCAATAGGCAGGAACATCACAGTGACTCAAGGCAATAAACAAGTCTGTGTTTCGTGCAAAGACCTAGCTTACCATTACAGGATGTGAATCAGCCAGCTTAGCAGTAGAAAATAAAAAGGACTGAGAGGTTTGAGTTACTATACACTCAGGACTGATCAATAATATTAACCCATTATCTTTTATGCAGTTGTAGAGTGTATACTTTATACCCGAAAGGTAATAAATTCTATTGCATTCATTTAAAACGTAGTATCCAAAAGGGAGTGGGAAGAATGATTTCCCTCTCTTTCCTGTACTCATCAAGCCACAGTAGATTCTGAGCATGATATTTTCATGTGGCATTTCCAAGCAAGAATATGTCCAGAGGAAAGGCAGATGGCCACCCACTGTGATGGGGAAATGATATATAAATCAGTTGTGGGACTAGGGGTATTAAACTCCAAAGGTTGTCAAACTCTTGGTGGAAAACGGGAGGGAGCAGGCTTGGGCAGGTTGCTCAGTGTTCACAGATTATATTAAGACCAGGATGTCTTCATTGCAGGGAATTATATTTTAGCATCAAATAAGGAAGTAAGCTCTTTATCACTGGAGATGTTCAAGCTCATGTAGGAAAGTTACTGTAAAAATGCAGTTATGAAATTAGATAAAGGAGTTAAATGACTCTGCTAAGGCTCCTTCAGTAATATTATAGTTAAGACTAAATTCTTACTCCTCATCTAATATTCTTTCTACTACCTCCTGCCTCTGATCAGAGTGGTATCTAGCAAGTGTGACATCTGGGAAGTATCTTGAAACTCTGAAACCAGTGTCATAATTTCTAATATGACAAACATATAGGTGCCATTCATTCATTCATACATATACCCATTCAACAGTATTTCTGAGCACCTACTTTGCTAAGTCTTAGGATATAAGAGTACGCAGGACATAGTCCCTGTCTTTGAAATTTATATTCCTGGTGGAGAGAAAAGGTTAATGTCTGCTTTTTTCATTCAGCAATAAAGAAACATTCCAGTGTCAGTACAAATATTCCAGTGTCAGTACATATTTACATATTGATGTTTTTAGCACAAAAGTAGTACATACTTGTGCTAAAGAGAAAATAGAGTAAAAATGTCCTCTTGTCTGTCCTCTGTGCCCTTCATTCTCCCTCTCTACCCTAATAATCACTGATAATAGTTTGGTAAATTTGCTTCCAAAGTTTTATCCATGTATATACCAAAGCATGCATGTGTATGTTCATATGTATATATGTTACGGCTTTAAAAAACAGTGGTTTTTGAGATGTGTCTTATCCTTTTTAAGTGATTGCTTATTCCATTGTATATGTATGTTAGTTTACTTAATCATTCTCCTCTCCTATAGATTAGTATTTAGGTTGCCCAACTTTTCACTATTACAATGTAGCGGCTGTATTTAAAAAGAACTCGGACATAAAAATGTGGAGGAAGATAATGAAGATAGGTGTCAGAAAGACATGCCCTATGAAATACTTTTAAAGGGAACACGAATGTTGGCTTCCTCAGTAAATAGTTACTGCATGAAAGAGAAAGCTTAGGGGACCATGTTGTTGTCTTCTGTGAAAGATTGTCCCATGGGGCCTCAGAGAGCGGAGTTAGGTCTAGTAGGCAGAAAGTTACAGGGTGAAAGATTTCAAGTTAGAATAAGGAAGAACTTAATAATAGTCCAAGCTGTTATGTAGTTGTGAGGTAGTGAATGCCTTACTTATGGAAGTATGCTAGTGTTCATTCCTTAGGTTGGAGTAGATGATCTCTTGATACCCCTTTAAGCACTGAAGCACTGAAATTTTACCCATGTAGGAGAAATTACAGCGTTCACAGCTCTCTTCAGACAAAAGAGCTGAGGGCTTCGTACTTTGCCCATTTACCATTTTCAGATGAATTACCCAGGGGGGATTCAGAGATGATTTTTCCTCCAAAGACTAGATCCTGTGAGCCTTCTTTTTTCCCACCCCATTGTCGCTGTGAAGATATTAGAAGTTGGCAGCTATTTTTAGTTATAAAAGTTTCAGCTTAATACAACTTTGAACCATGAACTGTTCAGAACAAGTAAATTGCAAAGACCATGAAGTCTCGTGTTGCACAGTTAATCTTCCTAATGCCAAAACCGTACTCAGTATCCTTCAGGCCTCACTTTAATGCTTTTTGATGCTCATTTTTTGGTTGGAAAAACAATTATTTCATAGTTTCCAATACCCAGGATTTCTGGTGACCTTTTCCTCAGACCTTGGAAAAGACCATCATCTCTGTCATGTCCACAGTGCTCTTCCTGTAGCTTCTTAGAGCTCCAGTTTGTCTATAGCTTGCCCTTACGAATTTCTAGAAAATTCACCTTGCCTGTTTTGCCTGTGGAAATGCTTCATTATAGAAGTACTGCTGACACCCAATTAATTTGCTGGAATTCCTTCCACTGACGTGTGCGAACATACCACAGATCTCCTCCACTAAGCTAAGCCCACTGTGGAGTCGAAAAGGGCAAGAAACCAGGTTTGATTCTCACTTTCTTCATGTGTTCTCAATTCGTATGACCTTGGGTAATCATTTCCCTGTGATTCAGTTTCCTCACTTGCAAAATGGAGGTTCTCTCATCAAACATATTGGAAAGAATAGTCTCTAGCAGTTGTTCCTACCTTTTTCTTGACATTTTGAAATCTACCTCCTTCCCTCCATGTTCTTGAAGTTGTCTTTAGATGATTAGTGACAAGATTAGTATGATTGCCATACCAGGCCATTATTGGAGCCTTGAGGCAAAAGGAAAATTCTAGTGATAGTCATCTGTTTAAAACTTTTTCTTGCATTAATTTTGTATTTTGATTTTTAAAGTTTGTATTAAAATATTTATATCGATTGAGTGTTTTGGCACCTGCCTAAATTTTGCACAGAGGCAGTAGTCCCAGCTCTGCCTTTTGCCTCGTCCCTCAGCCTGTTCTCAGTTCATAGCCTCAGTTTCTCCATACTGTTGACTGCTCTCTGTTTAGTACAGCTCTTTGTTTCCTTGACTTCCCTGGCATTGTACTGTCCATATTTTCCTTTGCTCCTAGGGTACCTTTTTTCTATCTCTTCTTGTTCTTCCTGATCTCTAAATATAGGCAGGCTTTCATTAAGGTCTGTCATAGTCAATTTTTTTTTTTTATGGTAAGTAAGAGAAACTCATCAAACTTAACTAGCTCAAGCCCTGAATGGAAGTTATTGGAAAGAAACTGGGTTAGAGCATGGAACACAGAGAAACATGGAAGAGTTGGGATTCAGGAGGGATGGCAGGAGTCATCAGGAGCCACAGGAACTACTCTCAGCCCCTCTGAAGCCATGAAGCATAGTACCTCTGCTTTACTTCATCCCCTAACCCTCATGATCACCACTACCACCTAGACAAATATCCTTTGCTTTTCAGGAACAAAGCCATCTCACTAGTCACCTCACAGCTCACTCTCATCCGAAGTTAGCAAGCCCTGTGAAATCTTGGCAATAGAGAGAATTGCATTAAACCAGTGCCTTTTTCCAGTCCCGTCAGCAGTGGCCATTATCTGTCCCTGGTCCAGTCAACTTGTCTAGCAGTGTAAACATAGTGCCCCACAGGCAGGGCAGTGGCTGCTCTCAAAGAAAAGATTGGTGTGGGCTGAGCAGACAGCCAGAAAGATATCTACTGCAGATTCCAGTCTCTCTTCATATCCTGTCCTCTGCAATCGCATCCATGCCCACAGCCTCCCTACAGAAGGACTCCTCAGGTCAATCTAACTCCAGAATTGCATGTTTGTGTTCATTGTGGCTCTCCTCATCTCCCACTACCTCAACTAACCCACTCCTAAGACACAGTTAAATACCCACAGCCAGCAAGCCCTTTTGTCTGTACTCTTCCCTCTGGCTGAAATTCTTTTTGACATACTTCTACTCTAAGGCTCAGTTCAGGTGATACCTCTTCTAGATAATCTTTCCTTCTGCCTCCCCATCTATCTCCAGAATGACTCATTCACTCTTCAGTGTCCACTACATCGTCTCTTGCTAGTTTAGTATTGACTGCTCTGTATTTAAATTATGGGATTGATGTCCATCTCCTCCACTGCCATGAGATACATAAAGGGCATAGAGGGGCTCTCAAATATTTATTCAGTGAGTAAATGTTGCAATGATTTGAGACAAGAAGTAAGAATTTTAAATAATCAATGTCTGCTTTATACTTCCAACTTCAAAAATACTTATTTGTTTAGATACAGTGCATGGATCCAAGCTATCTATGAATGAAATGCCTGTATATTTTTTCCACTGAGAACGATTTATATTTTTGCCTTAGATTCAAGCAACTGTTTCCCTGCCCCCCCACCCCCCACCAAGTAAACAAGGAATCCTTAAAAGTTTCCAGTGACATAAGACAAATAATAGATTTCTCCAACTAGAAAACCTAAGTTTGCTATGAAAATGAAAACCTTGTATTACAAATAACAGCTTAGTTTCTAATTCAGAGATCCCCACATAGAGGAGATAAGAAGGGAATTAAGGACTGTCTTCTGAATTTTTGTTTTCTTGCCCTCACCTACAGTTGAGAAGTCAGATGATGGAGTAGCCTTTTTCCTGGATTCATTTCAGTTCATTGTAGTTTGTTTCTAGGCCTACACAGTTAATGGCATCAGTAACATTTTCTTTTGTCTTTTTCTCATTTTTTCTTCTAGTGTAAACCAAAAAGTATCAAAGACAGGTCTCAATCAAGTTAGAAGTTTATTTTGCCAAGGTTTAAGGACACGCCTAGTAGACAGGTCTGTGCCTTTCTCCAAAGAGGGTTTTAGAATTGAAACGGGAAAAGCAGGCTGGAGGGGAAAGGGGAAAGGTATGGTCACATTACTGAATCCACATGTTGCAAGAGAAAAGGAGCAGCTAGGGGAATAGTCAATTATGTATTCATCTCAGTAAATCAGCACTTTACTTAAGATAAGGTGAACATAGAGTTGCTGCCCATGGAGATAGGTAACATTTTATCTGTAGCTATCTGCTTAGGAACAAAAGGAAAGGCAGCTTCTTGCATGACTCAACTTTCAGCTTAATTTTTTTTTCCTTTGGCATAGTAAATTGGGCTCCCAGACTTTTATTTTCCTTTCACACTAGTGATCAGTAAGAATAACTCCCAAATAGTCCATCAGTCTTGTAAATTGCTCACTTGTTTTCATTCAGCTGATGTCAATTTTTAGAAATGTCCTCTGAGGAACTCCATGTGTGACCTTGGAAATGGAATTTTATAGTAGTATGTGCGGTGGAATGGACATGGTATGTAAATAGAGGAACAGTGCGATGATTTTTTTATTATTTGTGTTTAAATTCTGTGTTTGCAAATGAAATTTTGAGGGTACCTGTTCCCAATTTCAATTCTGCTGTACAGCCTGAGGCCTTCATTTCAGATAGTGGCAACCTCATGAAACTGATTGGAGTCAGTCCTTAGAATGTACAACTGATCAGAGAGTTGGAACTAGTAATCCAGTTGAAACAGATCCCTTTTGTTTTAAATACCCTTTAGCCAGGCAAGTTCCAGATTGCCTTAGTTGTCAATAAAATTTTGGTCAAGCGAGTGGCTGTATTCTCCATTTCCTAAATCTGGCCTTCATCACAGTCTGAAAAGCAGGTTTTGATAAAAATCGGTTTCCAAATGTAATTTGCGTAACCTGAGCCCTTGGAATGGGTAAAATGCCCTTCCTGGGGTGGAGGAGGTATTTTTGTAACAGCAAGGCTGAGTGAAGGTATGAGAGTATGAAGCCTTTTTGTAACAGGTTTTGTCCTGTGTTTAACCAAATTAAGGTAGAACCGATTGCTAGAAGGGGAGGGTGTGTTGTGCTCACTTACAAGATAGATTGCACGTAGTTCTCTGTTTCACAGATTTTGTTGTGACTCCTGTCATTTCTTTGTTTCCTTAAAGGGGGGGATGGGTGATGCAGCAGCAGCACTGAGGCTCATTTTTTTTTGAGATGGAGTCTTGCTCTGTCACCCAGGCTGGAGTGAGGTGGCGTGATCTTGGCTCACTGCAAGCTCCGCCTCCCGGGTTCATGCCATTCTCCTGCCTCAGCCTCCTGAGTAGCTGGGACTACAGGCGCCCGCCACCATGCCTGGCTAATTTTTTGTATTTTCAGTAGAGACGGTGTTTCACCGTGTTAGCCAGGATGGTCTCGATCTCCTGACCTCGTGACCCGCCCGCCTCGGCCTCCCAAAGTGCTGGGATTACAGGCGTGAGCCACTGTGCCCGGCCTGAGGCTCAGTCTTGATACCTGCCATACCAACCATCCTTCTCTTCCCCCACCTTCACAGGAGGTAGTTTATGTAATGGGAAGTCTATCTTTTGAAGAGTAATAAGGTTAAAACTCAGTTCCATCACTGATTTGCTGTGTCCTTGGGTGAATCACTTTGCTTTTCTAACCCTGGGCAAGTCACTTAATTTTTTTCTTAATAAAAATAAAATACAGAAAAAGATACACAAATGTTTAACTTGTCTTACTTTTCATGCAAGTTTTTATTTGGAAAGCATGGGTTGATTACATGATTACATTTCATTCTCCTCTTAAAAGACTGTTTCTATGTTTCTTTTGTTTTTTTTTTTTGAGACAGAGTCTTGCTGTGTCACCCAGGCTGGAGTGCAGTGGCACAATCTCGGTTCACTGCAACCTCCGCCTCCTGGGTTCAAGCAATTCTGCCTCAGCCTCCCAACTACCTGGGATTACAGGTGCCTGTCACACACCCGGCTCATTTTTTGTATTTTTAGTAGAGACGGGGTTTCACCATATTGGCCAGGCTGGTCTCGAACTCCTGACCTCAGGTGATCTGCCCGCCTCAGCCTCCCAAAGTGCTGGGATTACAGGCATGAGCCACCACGCCCAGCCTCTGTTTCTTTTTTTTTTTTTTTTTTTTTTTTTTGAGATGAAGTATTGCTCTGCCAGGCTAGAGTGCAGTGGCGCCATCTCAGCTCACTGCAACCTCCACCTTCCAAGTTCAAGGGATTCTCCTGCCTCAGCCTCCAGAGTAGCTGGGACTACAGGCACACACCACCATGCCTGGCTAATTTTTGTATTTTTAGTAGAGATGGGGTTTCACCATGTTAGCCAGGATGGTCTCAATCTCTTGACCTCGTGATCCACCCGCCCTGGCCTCCCAAAGTTCTGGGATTACAGGCATGAGCCACCGTGCCCAGCCTGTTTCTCTTTTTTAAATGCGTATGACTCTGTACTAGTTAAAAAAAAAAAAAAAAAAAAAAAGCAAATTTTTAAAAAGCATCTGCTTGAATCTTTGCTGCCTCCTACAAAATGTATTTTCTCTATCACTCCCAATGGATCATGATGTATAGCTAATTATTTTATTTCTTTACCACTCACTTTTAAGTCAGTATGGTTTTTGTCCTAACTAGTTCACCAAAGTGGTTCTCAATAGTGACCTTTGAGCCTTTTTTATTCTGCACACTTTTTTGTTTGTTTGTTTTTCCTTTTTGTGGAGAACAGGGTCTCATTGTCTTGCCCAGGCTGGTCTCCGACTCCCGGGCTCAAGCTATCCTCCTGCTCCTGCCTCCCCTAAGTACTGGGATTGCAGATGTGAGCTACCGCACCTGGCCCTCATATGTTTTGATGTTGCATTTGACAATGCAGTCTTCGTTGTGGAATCCTTTTGTCCCTTATCTTTCTGATAATCATGGATTTATATTCTACCCTTTTCTTCTTTGACCATGTCATCTCACTTTACTTCCCTAAGGTCTCAGCTTCCCCTCTCTGTTTTATCCTGCTGCTGCTTCTCCACATTCTCTGACCCCCTAACCCCCACCCCTTGGAGTTCTGATCTGTTCCCATAGCTTCAACTCTTCTGTGTGTTGAGGACTCCCAGATTCTTCATTTTAGCCCTGACCATTGTCCCCTAAGTAGTTGCCTTTAGAATATTCCCACTTGACTCGCCCGTTGTCCTCTCTTTATTTTTATTTATTTTTTTTTTTTTGAGACGGAGTCTCGCTCTGTCGCCCAGGCTGGAGTGCAGTGGCGGGATCTCGGCTCACTGCAAGCTCCGCCTCCCGGGTTCACGCCATTCTCCTGCCTCAGCCTCCCAAGTAGCTGGGACTACAGGCGCCCGCCACTACGCCCGGCTAATTTTTTGTATTTTTAGTAGAGACGGGGTTTCACCGTTTTAGCCGGGATGGTCTCTATCTCCTGACCTCGTGATCCGCCCGCCTTGGCCTCCCAAAGTGCTGGGATTACAGGCGTGAGCCACCGCGCCCGGCCTGTCCTCTCTTTAAACTAAAGCCATTACTTTTGCCCCGCACTCAGCTTTTGTTTTCCAATTTTCTGTTAGTGTTGCCTCATTTCTCACAGCCACGTGGTTTAGAACCTTGAGTTCCTCTCTGCCACTTTCCTATCCCCTCCTCTCTTCATCTCTCCTCTGTGGTCCAGTCGGTCAGCAAGCCCTTTCTAGGCTCCTGTTCAAACATTTCAGTAGCTTTCTCTCAGCAGGATAATATCGATTGCAGTCTATTCCAAATCAGTTTTCAAGATGTATCTCCCACCATTCCTCCGTAAGATGTCTCTATGCAACATCAATATTCTATGCAATTCTCTCAAACACACCTTGCGTTTGTTTTCCTTCCTTTTGCCGTTGCTGATATCATTTCCCTTTCTTGGAGTGCTCTGCTGTGTTTTATTTTCAGCTTTTTAATTATGAAATATTAATACTTAAAGATAAATAGATAAAATACAAATGTACAGCTTAATGACTTACTGTAAAGCAACCGCCCACGTCAAGATACAGAACACTGCCAGGATCCAGAAGCTTCTCCCTACCACCGTACTCTTAACACTGTATGTCTCTTTCCCTTCTTTGCCTGTTTTAAGCTTAATACAAATGGAATCCTATAGTATTTATTCTTTGCTTTCGCACTTCTTTCGCCCATTGTTTGTACAAGTCATCTGTGTTGTTGCAGTAGTTCAGATATGTTTACTGTTGTATAGTATTTCATTGTTGAACGCATACCATCTGTAGTAATGTCAATGAACATTTGGGTTATTTTAAATTCAGGGCTTTTATAAAGCATGCCGTTGTGAACATCCTTGAACTTGCCTCCTGATAGGCATGTATATGCATTTTGTATTGGGTATATACCTGGGAATGAATCATAGGATAGATGTCTCTTCCACTTTAATAGTGACATGCCGTTTTCCATAGTGATTGTGTAAACAAACAGTCCTACCAACAATATATGAAATTTAGTTTTTCTACATTGCCATCATAACTTGAAGTCTTTTTAAATTTCAGCCATTTTGATGGCTATGTAATATCTCATTGTGGTTTTAATTTGCATGTCCTTGATCACTAGTAAGTTTGAACATCTTTTCATAAGTTTATTGATTATGTGGCTTAACCTCCTTTGTGGCACACCTATTCAAGTCTCACACATTTTTCTACTGGGTTGCCTTTTTCTTATTCTTATATAGGAGTTTTATGTATTTTGGAATATGAGCTCTTTGTAGGTAGTGTATTGCATGTGTCTTCTCCCATGCTGTGGCTTGCCTTTTCACTCTATTAAATTTTGTTACTTTAATGCCATTTTATCAATGTTTTCTTCTATGGTTAGTGCTGCTTCTGACTTTTTTTTTAATTGTTTTTGTTTGTTTGTTTGTTTGTTTTTGAGACGGAGTCTCGTTCTGTTGCCCAGGCTGGAGTGCAGTGGCACGATCTCGGCTCACTGCAACCCCTGCCTCCTGAGTTCAAGCGATTCTCATGCCTCAGCCTCCTGGGTATCTGGGACTACAAGCGCGTGCCACCATGCCCAGCTAATTTTTGTATTGTTAGTAGAGATGGGGTTTCACCGTGTTAGCCAGGATGGTCTTGATCTTCTGACCTCATGATCCGCCCGCCAGAGCCTCCCAAAGTGCTGGGATTACAGGTGTGAGCCTCCACACCTGGCCTTCTGACTTCTTTTTTAAAATCTCTTTATAACTCAAGGTCATGAAGATGTTCTCCTTTATTATCTAATGAGAGATATATTATTTTGCCTTTGATATTTGGGTCTTAAATTATAGTAGAATTGGGTTTCATTTTTTTCCCATATAGATATCAAATTGCCCCATCACAATTCATTGAAAAGCCTTGTCTTTTTCTCAGTGCTCTGCAATGCCATCTTCATAAATTAAATATTCATATATTCATGGCTATGTTGTAGGGTTCTCCATTCCATGCCTTTGGTCTATTTATCTATCTTTGAGCCAGTAAAACATTTTAATTACTATAGCTTTAAAATAAATGTTGATGTATGGTAGATTGTCTTGTCTTTTCTCAAGTGTCTGTACTAGTTTTGTTCTTTTGCATTTCCGTATACATTTCAGAATTAGCTTGTCAAGTTATACACACACACACACACACACACACACACAGAGTGTGGATTTTGAATGGGACCTTACTGAATCTATAGACCTCTACTGTAATGACTCTTCCAATCCATGAGCGTCATATATCCCTCCATTTACTTAAAAACCTTCTTCAGCTTATCTTAGAAGTACTTTATATTAAATAAGTATATTACAGTTTCTCCATAGAGATCTTGTATCTCTTTATTAGATTACACCTTGGGTATTTCATATTTCTTGATGCTATTGTAAACGGCATCTTTTAAAATTTTTCATTTCTGTGCATGGTATAGAAATATGGTTAATTTTTATATATTTCTTATTTTGTCTGCACTGGCTGGGACCTTCCCTACAGTGTTGAATAAAGGTAGAGTACTGATCATAGGCCATCCTTGTGTTATATCCAGTCTCAAAAGAAAAGCACTTTTTTGTTTAAACATTTTATGATTCAGTGTGATTGTTGGTATAGGTTTCTTCAGATAGCCTTTATCATATTAATTTTTTTTCTGTTTCTAGTTTGCTAAAAGTTTTATAATGTTGAATTATATCAAAGACTTTTTTAAATTAAAGCACTATTTATAGCTTTATTTAAGATGAATTTTTCTTTTTGTTGTTGTTGTTGGTTTTTTTAGAGACAGCGTCTTGCTTTGTCATCCAGGCTGGAGTACAGTGCCACAGTCAGAGCTCATTGCAGCTTTAAATTCCTGGGCTCAAGGGATTCTCCCACCTCAGTATCCCAGGTAGCTAGGACCATATAGGTGTGTGCCACCATGCCTGGCTAATTTGTTTATTTTTCGTAGGGATGGGGTCTTGCTATGTTACCCAGGCTGGTCTAGAACTCCTGGCCTCAAATGATTCTCCCACCCCAGCCTGACTGGGAGCTACGGCTTGCTGCTGCCCAGCATTGCAAGAGAGTATCATATCATATATCGCTAGCTTGGGGAAAAGATGAAAATTCAAAATTGGAAGTACTGTTTCTACTGAATACATATCACTTTCATACCATCATAAAGTAGAAAAGTCCTTAAGTTGAACTCTATAAGCAGGGGACTGTCTGTTTAGAGTTGTAAGGAATGAGTGAGTGATTCAGTGTAACAAATTTAGGACAGAACTTGGTACATAGTAAGCACCATGTACATGTTCTTAGCATCTTGTACTGTATCATTTCATCCCTAGCAAATCTGTATGAGGTAAGTACTAATATTATTTGTATTTTACAGTTAATAGTTAGACTAAGAGAACTGAATTATTTACCCACAATTATAAAACTGGCAAGTGGCAGAGCTGGAGTTTATATTAGTATGTCTGAAATGCTAGGCCAATGTGTTTAAAACTTTTTACAGTTCTACATACATTGTGATCCAGTACTCCACTGCACACTTGCACATCACAGACACACAAATGCACACACTTTAATTGAAACTGAAGTTTCACGGAATTTTACCCTTTCTCGGTACATATGATGCACTTGATATTTTTCATTTCATTTTTTTCCAAACATGATGCTGTGGGTTATGACTTGTAATTTGGAAAACATTGCACCAAGCCATACCATTTGTTCATTTATTGATCATTCATTCATTCAACAAATTGTGTATCTTCTCTATAGCATTCATTGTGCCAGATTTTACTGTTAACATCTTTAATCAAAACCTACCTGCAGCAGAACCTTGGTTAGGTGTAACTGAGAAGTCCTGCAGCTGTTGTAAAACAAGACCCCAGATTGTACAATTCTTGTCAGATCGATGACTAGATTCCTTTATAAATCTCTTTATCCTCATTTATTTTTTGTTCTTGCTAAATGATGTGGAGATGGGCATATCCATTTATTTCAGCAGACACATGTCAATGGTGCTCTGAAGAGATGTTGCTAGGGCTCTGTAGCTGGTTCAGATTGTTACTAATCTTCTAGGCCAACCATATCAGCAGCTTTATTTATCATTTTACTTCCTTTGAATTTGACATTTTTGCCTCTGAAAATATGTGTCCACAGAGACCCTAACTGAGCTCTGAATCTGCTCTTATTTATCAGCAGGAGTTTAAGAAATGCAATTTAATATGATAGTTCTTTTACCTTTGCTAGAATAATCTCTGACTTAAAAACAAAAAACTCTTGCCAGGTGCAGTTGCGCATGCCTGTAGTCCCAGCTACTCGGGAGGCGAGGCGTGAGGGTCATTTGAGGTCAGGCGTTCAAGGCTGCAGAGTGGTATGACTGCAACTGTGAATAGCCACTGCACTCCAGCCTAGGCGACATAATGAACCCTGTATCCAAAAAAAAAACAAAAAACATTTTACATTGAACCTAAGGTTTGAAAGTCTATAGCAAAGACCAAGCATGTTACCTTTTTTCTAATAATGTTTGTGTTTAGTTATGGTAACCAGCAATATATAGAATATTTTGCAGGAATAAAATTGTGGGCAGATCATGACTTTTACATACAAAGGGGTAAAACATAGCCTGATATTATATTTGTGGCTACTTCTGTGCAGCTCTTCTTGATAGTCTTGCTGAAACTTAGTGAACTATATCAGCTCTTTTAGAAAGGAATGAGATTCTTCTCAGAGGAAACCCAAGTTGGAGAGGAGTTTTCCAGCACCAAATTTAAGACATGACTTTATATGCCAATTGTTTCTTTGTCTATACCCACTCTTCCACCTTCAGTTGTCTAACTGGTAGTTGTGCTTCAGAATTCACTTCCTCTAGGAAATCTGTCATTACTTTCCCCTGCCACCAGGCTGACTGGTGCTAATAACATTTTTTTAAGTTTTTTGTTTTTATTTATTTATTTATTTTTTGAGACGGAGTCTCACTCTGTCACCCAGGCTGGAGTGCAGTGGTGCAATCTTGGCTCACTGCAACCTCTACCTCCTGGGTTCAAGCAATTTTTCTGCCCCAGCCTCCCGAGTAGCTGGTATTACAGGCGCATACCACCATGCCTGGCTGATTTTTGTATTTTTAGTAGAGACAGGGTTTCACCATGATGGCCAAGCTGGTCTGGAAATCCTGACCTCAAGTAATCTGCCCACCTCGGCCTCCCAAAGTGTTGGGATTACAGGTGTGAACCACCGTGTCCCACCAATTTTTTTGTCTTTTAGATTAAAAAAAGAAAAACTTATTATTAAGCAACAATTTTGTCTAACACTTATACTTTGCAAAGCTACTTTATTCTATTACAGACTATGAGGAAGCTAGAGCTCTGTGTCATTTATGGGTAATCTATTGCCTTATTCATTCTCAAACAGTTGTTTTTGTTTGTTTTGTTTTTAGAAATGGGATCTCATTCCGCCGCCCCGTAGGCTGGAGTGCAGTGGCATGATCACAGCTCACTGCATCTTCGACCACCTGGGCTCAGGTGATACTCCTACCTCAGCCTCCTCCTGGGTAGCTGGGACTATAGGCGCACCACCACGTCTGGCTAATTTTTTGTATTTTTTGTAGAGACAGGGTTTTGCCAGGTTGCCCAGGCTGGTCTTAAACTCCTGGGCTCAAGTGATCCACCCACTTTGGCCTCCTAAAGTGCTGGGATCACAGGCATGAGCCACTGTGCCTGGTCTCACAGCAGTTCTTTTAAAAAATTATTAATATAATTTAATATAATATAATATCCACATTCTATAGAAGAGAAACAGAGGTACATCTAAGTGCTCACTCTTACAAAGTGCTGGGACTACGGTGCTCAGCCTGTCATTTTCTTTTCTATCCACAAGTTGAGGCTTACCTTGCCATGGGCTCTGAGATCAACTCTACATTGCCACCCAAGCCTGTCCCCTTGATTGCAGTGTATGTCTGTTCACCTAATCCCAGTCTCATCAATTAAAGTTTAAAGTTTGTTAAAAATTGTCTTTGGGGCAAGCACAGTGACTCCTGCCTGTAATCCCAGCACTGTGGGAGGCTGAGGCGGGTGGATCATCTGAGGTCAGGAGTTTGAGACCAGCCTGGCCAACATGGTGAAACCCTGTCTCTACTAAAAATACAAAAATTAGCCGGGCATGGTGGCACACACCTGTAATCCCAGCTACTTGGGAGGCTGAGGCAGGAGAATCACTTGAACCTGGGAGGCGGAGGTTGCAGTGAGCCGAGATTGGGCCATTGCACTCCAGCCTGGGCGACAAGAGCGAAACTCCGTCTCAAAAAAGATAAAAGACAAAACCAATTGAATAACTATTTCCAGGATGCTAATGGTTAAGTCAGATTAGAGAAAGGACTTCAGTGTTTTGCTAGAAGGCCACGTTCTGTTTAATACTGTTTTAAGGATAGAAATGAAAATAATGTAACGCCGACCACACATGTAGACAAGAAGGAGATGGAAGAAATAATATACTAGGTGGCAGGACCCAGATCCCCAAATATTTCAATAGACCAGAATGACATGCAGAATTTATTATATAAAGATAAAATGGATCAAGGGCAAATGTAAAGTCCTACCCTTGGGTTCAACATTCTGCTTCCCAAGAATGGAATAAGAAAGATACTGGTTAATGGTATGTGTGGCAAATACTTCAGGTTTTAGGTGCCTGTGAAACAGATGTGAATTAAATATGTGTGTGGTTGAGTAGGAGGTGGCAGGGAGGATTGAAAATACAGCAGTCGTAGAATTGGAAGATCTTGAATTGCAATTCCAGCTCCACTCCTGATTGGTTGTGTAACCAAGATTATTTACTCTTTCAGCACCCGTTTTTCCTGTTATAAAATGTGTGGCATGCCACAGAGATTCAGTCATTGTAAAATGTATGTACTTACTAGTGTTGCCAGCTGCAGAAACATAGAAGCAAAATTAATTCAGTCTTAAATGATATTAAGAAAAATCATTCAGTTCTGGATACTTTGTTTTAAGAGAGATTTTGATACTATATAATTCATTAAGACTAAGAAATGAGAAGGAAAAAAATCACAGTTGGACACTCCATTATTATTATTATTATTTTCTTTTTTGACGGAGTCTTGTTCTGTCGCCCAGGCTGGAGTTCAGTGGCGCAATCTTGGCTCACTGCAACCTCTGTGTTCCAGGTTCAAGTGATTCTCCTGCCTCAGCCTCCCGAGTCGCTGGGATTACAGGCATGTGCCACCATGCCCGGCTAATTTTTTGTATTTTTAGTAGAGATGGGGTTTCGCCATGTTGGCCAGGCGGGTCTCAAACTCCTGACCTCAGGTGATCTACCCTCCTTGGCCTCCCAAAGTGCTGGGATTACAGGTGTGAGCCACTACACCCAGCCTGAAAACTCCATTATTATCTTTAAATCTCTAAATGGTTTATATATGAGCTAGGTTAGATTGTACATTTATTTTTTACCCGTGAACACATTATTCAGGGCAGTGCGGGAAGCTTCAGGTTTGGCTCCATATAAAGAAAAGCCTTTGAACCATTATAACTGTCTAAAAGTAGAATGAATGGAATGAAGTACCTTATTGAGTCACTAGAGATGTGCAAGTAAGAGTATGGGGCAACTCTTTGTCTTGGAACATTGTGGAGGGAATTCATGCCTCAGGTAAAGATCTGTACAGGGCAATTTCTAAGGCCTTTTCTAACTCTTAAGATTCCAGATTCAGTAATATAGGAATAATATGTCTCGAAGTTACTGTGGTAAATAGTGTATGTAAAAACTTCTTGCACATTGCATGGTACACAGTTGGTGCTCATTGACTGTTTTTTGCCTTATCTATAAGATAAGAATAACCCTTGCTTTGGCCTGGTACCAGCAAGATAATGCATGTAAACATGCTATAAATACACTTATACACTTCAAATCCTTTGCAATAGGAAGTGCAGAAATCTGTATCTGACATCTGGCCAGGCACGATTAGGGGCATTTGCTTCAGTTTGTTCATTTACAAAGGGGGGCCCTGGCTTTTTTGGTTGGTTGGTTGGGTGGTTGGTTGGTTGGTTTTCAGTGGGGAAGGGACTGACTTACCTGCATGTAGAATGTGTAGATTTACCTTGCTGTGGCCAAAGAATGTAATGGTTAGGAACATAGACTTTTGAGGCTTCCAGCTTTCCCTTACTAGCTGGATGACTATTAGGGAGTGATAGCACCTCATGGGCCTCCATTTCCTCATCTGTAAAATGTTGAGGGCACCTTGTTTAGGAATAATTGTGATTATTCAGCACAGTAATGTATGTTAAGTGCTTGGCCAGAGCATAGCACCTAAGTGGTCAGTTAACAATAGCTGATTCTGTTGTTATTTTTCACATACTGGGAGAGAAGTTTTCCAAATGCTTCTTTGAAGGGCTACTAGATTGATCTGGAGAGAGCCTTTCTTTTGTACCACTGAGAAACTCCCTTTTGAATTAGTTCCTCATCCATGGCATAGACCATTTTTTGAAGAAACAGAACATGGCAGGCAGTAAGAATAGCTGTAGCCAGACAGAGAAGCAGTCCTAGGGCTTCAGGCTCCTTAAAGAAATATGGCCCTTTAGTCTTTGATCTCAGTGTGGCCTTTTAAAACTATCATGAGAAAAGCAAGCAGTGTTACGAGACATGAGCAGGTTCTTAACAGGTCTATATTTGATTGTCGTTCTGTAGGTTCTTTGCTCTGGCTCCAGATGCTGCACAGAATGCCATAGGAATGCTTTATGCAGAGGTTATTGAACTCCATTTCTGATATTGGTGGTTCAGGGTCAGCCACTTTCTAGGTGGACAAATTGTTTAACCATTTTGGAGCTTCCACTTAATCATTTACAAAAGGGTGATAACAATTGTACTCACCTATGTATGGGGTTTTGAGGATTACATGAGTCAGTGAAGTAAAGCCTACCTAGTTGTGGTGGGTGTTCAGTGAAATCGTATCAGTGAAGAAAGGAAGGTGTGTCCTTGTGGATATATTCATTATAACTGTTTTTAAGTCTATTCTAATAAGGCTCTGGTTTACATTATAGTCATATCTAAAAGAACACTGAAGGTTTTAAAATTAGAAAATTTAGATTCTTCCATAGCCAATCATGGTTTCCCAACAGTGTTCCATGTTCCATTTCCAGGCCTTTTCAGCACTCTAGGAAATCCCATCTCAAACATAGTGGGTGCTATTTTTATGCTATTCATTTTGCCTGTTTGGCCTTACCTGTTTTAATTTTTAAAATTTGCTATTGTAACTTTTCTGTAGTGTTTACCTTGAGCTTTCTTTATGTTTTCAAAAGGAAAATAAAAGGAATACTGATCACACCAGGGCCATTTTTATAGGGTATCTTTTTTTTCTTAATAGGGCTTTTTGTATTTTGTTTGTGTTGCAAACAACAGAAACTCACTTAAGTTAGCTTAAGAAAGAAAAGAAGGAGGATTGGCCGGGCGCGGTGGCCCACTCCTGTCATCCCAGAACTTTGGGAGGCCGAGGTGGGTGGATCACGAGGTCAGGAGTTCAAGACCAGCCTGGCCAACATGGTGAAACCCCATCTCTACTGAAAATACAAAAATTAGCCAGGCATGGTGGCACGTTCCTGTAATCCCAGCTACTCGGGAGGCTGAGGCAGGATCATTACTTGAACCGGGACCTGGGAGGCAGAGGTTGCAGTGAGCCAAGATCGCGCTACTGCACTCCAGCCTGGGCTACAGAGTGAGATCCGTCTCAAAAAAAGAAAAAAGGAGGATTGTATTACAATAACGTGGTTATGTCAATTTGTCACTGTGCTGTTTTCTCAAAGGAAGTGTATCCAAGCCTTAGAAAAGTCTGTAACCAAGAACTGTAGAGTCCTCAAGAACCTAGGCAGTCTTTCCATATCTGTCGTTCTCCATTTCCCTGGTTGTATAATCTCATGTATGTACTTGTCTGTGAGTACCTGCTGTTTGCCAGCTGACTTGAGACAAGTCTTAATATTGCCTGTTTCCCTGTTTGCGAAAAAAAAAAAAAGGTATATTAGTTTCCTGTGCTGCTGTAACAAATTACCACAAACTCAGTGCCTGAAAACAACAAAAATTTACTCTCTTACTGGAAGAGAAGCCATAAATCCAAAATCAGGTCGGGCGTGGTGGCTCACACCTCTAATCCCAGCACTTTGGGAGGCCAAGGTGTGCAGATCACTTGAGGTCAGGAATTCAAGACCAGCCTGGCCAAGATGGTAAAACCCCGTCTCTACTAAAAATACAAAAATTAGCAGGGCATGGTGGCAGGCACCTGTAATCCCAGCTACTTGGGAGGCTGAGGCAGGATAATTGCTTGAACCTAGGAGGCGGAGGTTGCAGTGAACCGAGATTGAACCACTGCACTCCAGCCTGGGTGACAGAGCAAGACTCCCTTTCAAAAAAAAAAAAAAAAAATCAGTATCCCTGGGCTGAAATGAAAGTGTTTGCAGAGCCACACTCCTTTCAGAAGCTCTAGGGGAGAATCGGTTCCTTGCCTCTTCCAACTTCTGGTGACTGCCGTCATTCCTTGGTTGGTGGCCAGTTTCTGCCTCTGTCTTCGTATCACCTTCTCTTTTGCATGTGATGTGTTTCTTCTTCTCTACTATCTTTATCAGATCTTCCTCTGCCTCTGTCTTACGAAGACACTTGTGATTGTATTTCGGGCCCACCCATATAATTCAGAATAACCCCCTACCGCAAGATTCTTAATTCAATCACATCTACAAATACCCTTTTTCCTTTATAAGGTAGCATTTTACAGGTTCCAAGGATTAGGACCTGATATCTATGGGTCGCAGTTATTCTGCTTACTATAGATGGCAATCATAAAGACTCATCTCAAAGTTGGCATATATTAAGGGCTCCAGAAATGCAAGCCACCTCCTTTCTCTGCATCCCTCCTGTATATACTACCATGACCCTCTGCTAACATTGCCTTCGAAAGCTTTTCCTTTCAGGAATGTCATTATCACATTAAATGTGTACCTGCTGGGGTAATAATAATGAAAATAATAGCTGACAGTTATCAAATGTCTATTATAGCCCACACACTGCAATGAGAACTTTATCCATGGGATATAGGTATTATTATAATCACCATTTAACAGATGAGAGAAATTAGAAAAGTAAAGAAGGTCAATTTTTCCCTAGTTCACCCAGCTAGTTTCAGAGCTAGGGTTCAAATTAGAATCTCTCTAATTATAAGCGGTCTCTAATTCATGGTATAATGATGTGCCTTTGTTTTTGTTTATTTGTTTTTTAAGAGATATGGTCTTGCCGTCGCTCAGGCTGGAATGCAGTGGTGCAATCATAGCTCACTGCAGCCTCAAACTCCTAGGCTCAAGCAGTCCTCCTGCTTCAGCCTCCTCAGTAGATGAGACTACAGGTGTGTGCCATCACGCCTGGCTCTATAACGATGTTCTTGATTATTATACCTTCCCTCTTACTCAGGAGTGAGGTTGAAATATCTGATTTCTTGTCTTGGCCTCTGATCGGAACCTTCCCTGGTGATTTCTTGTACCTGCTGGCATAGCTTCACATCACAGTTCACAGGGTGCTTTTTTGTCGTGTGCCTGCTCTTTAGCAGTTGCTTGGTCCTGAGTAAATGCAGTTTAAAGGAAGAGGAAGTGAAGAGCTATATTCTATCCTGAATTTCCTCCTTGAGTAACTTGTTTATTGCTCGTCAGTGAGTTCCATGACTCTGGGGATCATGATGATTTATTTATGTCCTAGCACAGGGCCTGGACACAGAATAGATACTCTGCTAGAGTGTAAGCTTCACCAGGGGCTTCTGTTCACTGCTGTATTTGTGCCTTACAGCAGTTCCCAGGATAGAAGAGTTGCACAGTAAATATTTATTGGCTGGATGTCTGGCTGACCGGCTTAGCTCGGTATGGTTAGAACTCAATTACAGCTGTCATTTATTGGCTGTATATCATGTGTTAGGCCCTTACATATATGGTAAGTAATCCTTACCGTGCTCCTACAGGGTAGAATTGATGGGTTATAGATGAGCAGGGTAAGGGTGATAGAGGAGTCAAAGATTCTTTCTAGGTTTCAGTCTTAGATACTGATCCAAGTGTTGATGAAACCCAGGAGGAAGAGTTTAGGTAGACTGTGTTGTGGTATCTGCAACCACAGATACAGGGACTACTCTTGGGACAAGGATCCGAAGATGGGCCCCCTGTTTGCCCTTTAGCCTGGAGATAGTGGTGGTCTTAATCTACCCAGAGCAGAGTTGCTCACTTTAGGAACTGTAGGCTTAAAGCCATTATTTCCACTGTGTTCTAACTTGAACATGATCAGTTTCTGTTTCAGATGATCGGGCTGAACAACGAACCTGTCTCATTTGTGGGGACCGCGCTACAGGCTTGCACTATGGGATCATCTCCTGTGAGGGCTGCAAAGGGTTTTTCAAGCGGAGCATTTGCAACAAACGGGTATATCGATGCAGTCGTGACAAGAACTGTGTCATGTCTCGGAAGCAGAGGAACAGGTGCCAGTACTGCCGCCTGCTCAAATGCCTCCAGATGGGGATGAACCGGAAGGGTGAGTGGTGCTGATGGCTCTGATGGCCCATCCTTCATTCAAAACTTTACCTTTAGTGTCAGCTGTTTAGTTACTTATTCCTCAAGCTTGCACTACATATCAGGCCTTATAGTTTGTACTCATAACCAAAAATGAACCATTCTTGCCTATAAGACCTTCCTAAACTAGGTGGGGGGAAGAAAACTAGTGAGATGTTAAGGTGGGAATGAGTGCACAGGCCCTGTGTGACCAAGAACCCACTTAACAATCAGGTCTTAACTGGGATTAATATACTTCACTAGTTATTTCAGGAATGATGACAGAAGTAGAAATTTTTGGATGAAAAGGCATGAGGTAGGAGATTGCTGAATGCGGTATCATTTTGTTTGCTAGAACCACGGTGTACTCAGAGGCTAGGCATGCTCAGAAGTCTGTGTCTAGGTTGGTGAGGAGTTTGGAATTTATTGGGAAGCTTTCCAAGAGCCATTAGCCTGAGATAATATGAACAAACTGACGTTCTAGTAGGATGAATATGAAGGGCTGTTTTGGAGGGTGAATTGGGGCAGGGGAAACAGAAAACCACCTAGAAAGTTTTTAGTAGAGTCTAGAAGGAAATCTGAAGGATCTGAAGGAACGGGGGAAATAATGGCACACAGAGATGTTGAAGAAACTCATCTGATAGGAGTTGGTGACATACTGAATATTGAGCAGCACCAGAAGTTGAAATCGAGGATGTGGATTAAGAGTAATGACCTTACCAGGGAGAAAAAAACGAAAAAAAAAAAAAAAAAAAAAAAAAGTCAAGCTAAAAAGCAGGGTGATTTCTCTATAGGACCCTCTGAAAAGAAAAGAAAAAGGGTGGGGCAAAATGTTGGCCTTGGCAATACTGAGTTTGAGATACCTGAGAAGGATGCATAAAGATGTCCACCAAGGAAGTTGGTTATATAGGATTGGAACTGAGATGAAAAGTCCTGCCTGCAAACAGGCTTCATGGAGCTGTTGGCACAGAGGTGGTAGTAAAAGTCTAGTCCATAGGTGAAATCACCCACAGAGAGAGCTTAGATACAGAAGAGAGAAGGGCCGGTGTCAGAAGCCTAGAGTGGTATTCCCATGGAGAGTGGAGAGTAGAATAGAGCAGTGTCATTCAGCAGAAAGAAGAGAGGCTCTAGAGGCAAACAGACTAGCTTTTAGCTCTGTGACCTTAGGAAGTTTGCTTTATATCTCCAATATTCAATTATCTTACCTTTAAGATGGTATGTTACTTACCCTTCAGAGTTCTCTACGGGATTAAGTATGATAACATATAAAATACCCAGCAAGGTATTAGGGGTTCATAGCAGCAGTGTTCAGGGATGGGGGTGTTAGTCAGATATAGTGAACTATTCAAACTGGTTTTATAGCATTATGAATGCAGACATCCAGATATACTCAGACTGGTTTTATTGTGTATGAGATAAGAAGGACCTTTTAAAAACTTGCCCATCATGAAGAAAGGTAAGAGAGATGTGGAAGTGCATTTAGATAAATTTAGGTGGTTTATAATTTATTATAAATACTAATATTGAGCACTTATTTATGTACCCTCCATATATATATTCTACCACTGAATACATACAACAACCCTGTTATTAACTATTATCCCCAGTTTACAGATACAGCTTAGGGAGGTAAAATGAGTTAGCAATAGTTTAGGGGTGGTTATGTTGACAGTTAACAGTTAACTAAATTATAATTTGTTATTAAGCAGAGCTTGTACCTGCTTAATACGGACACGGACAATGTACTGCTTCACATGTCTACCATGTGGCATAGCTGTTTACATGTTGGAATGCCCTGTGTTTACTGGATGATGAATGCCATAGTAGGACATTTGAAGTGTTACCAAGTTTGTCCCCTGCCTGTCTTTCTAACTCATTTCTGAACACTGTGCCTCAGGGATGCCTTACACTGCTGTGCCTGTACTCAGGTTTTTTCCTCTACTTGGAGATCTTTTCCCTTCCCCACTGTCAGTTTCCTCTTATTGAAATCTTTTCCAGCCACCAATACCAAACATGTACTGTCTGAAGAGTCTGTCAACTTCCTGCCCTCACCCTGTTTTGGTTTTGGCCTCCACTTCTCTCATCTCCCTTTGTTGCCCTCACTGTGAGTATCTTATGAAAGCTTAGTTATTATGGGTTGCCTTCTTGACTGCTGTCTCTGATGAATCATCCTGCTTGTTCAGCTGGAGTGTGAGATTCTGAGGCTTCCAGCAAAACTCACCTGTTTTAGGGAAGAAGAAACTTAACCTTATAACCCCTCTGACCATAGTCAGAAGACACACGGAGTATGAGGGACAGGGAGCTAGCTGTCTCCTTAGGACTGTTTGCATGCAGAGCAGGCAGACCCAGTTGCCTGGTGAAGTCTGCGTCAGGGAGAGAAACCCTGCCACCTCCTGGTTGGTGCTGCGAAAGCAGGATTAAAATTGCAGTTGCCGTGGGAGTATTTTGGGGGTAAGGAATGTTCTGTATGGACCTGTGGTGGTTGACACATAATTCTGTGCATTTGTCAAAACCCATAGAACTTTACACCACAAAAAAATAAATGTTACTATATGTGAAAATTTGTTTAATCAGCTAGGATGTTTTGGGGGTTAAAGGGCAGAGAGAAAGAATGCACACTATGACAAATGAATCTAGCTGGTGTTACAAATTAGTCACATAACCACACTTAAGGGGTTGGAGAAAAAAGGAGCTAACCTTTGAAAAGTATTTTGACTGTATACTGTAAGGCTAAAAACAAAAAGAATTACATACAAACAAAGCACTCTAGTTTGTAAAATTTGTTTCTCTCAAGGTTATGTGTTAGGAATTTTTTCACTACTTCATTTGTATAATAGAGTAGAATCAGCAAGTAAATATATTGTGGACAATGAGAGTCAGGTTTCTCACATCAGAGAAAGAAAGAAGTTATAAATCAGCAAAGGAGAAGGCCAGAATGAATCCCCTCGTGCTAGATTGGAATCAGTGTATCAATATGTATTCGTGTTTCAGATAGATTTAAAAATACATAGATACCTTGTGTGGGTAGGTGAGTTAGTGTACATATGTATATTTCCAAGCTCTAGCCACTGAGAGGGGCTAGAAGCAGATACCCCAGGAGCAATGAGTACACCCAGCACCCAGATCTTGGCTTCCAAATATCAATGAAAGGAATGAGGACTCATTGGAAAACTGGTTGATTCCAAGGCTGGGGTAGGGGAAATATAAAATGATCCTGGAGCATCTTAAGGGGCCAGCAAGCTAGGAAGTGCTTTCTAAAAAAAGAAAGGAAGCATATCAAAGGGCACAGAAGCCAACCTGAAAGAACTTCTGATGGCCAACGGTGGAACAACTTGAGGAACAATAACTGTAGGATTAATTTATAACCCAAAGGATAAAAATATCCATGAGTTCATACCGAAAGGAATAAGTGAATAAATAAAGAGAAGTGATCATTTTTCCTTTAAGTGAATTCTGATTAACAAATGTAGAAGGAGGCCAGGCTTAGTGGCTCACACCTGTAATCCCAGCACTTTGGGAGGCCAAGGCAAGAGGATCACTTGAGCCCTGGAGTTCAAGACCAGCCTGGGCAGCATAGTGAGACTCCATCTCTAAAAATATAAATATAAATATAAATGTAGAAGGAATGAGGGAAATAGAAAAATCACCATTAGGGCTGGGCACAGTGGTTCATGCCTGTAATCCCAATACTTTGGGAGGCCGGAGCAGGTGGATTGCTTAAGCTCAGGAGTTCAAGACCAGCCTTGGTATCATGCTGAAACCCCGTCTATACAAAAAAAAAATACAAAAATTAGCTGGCGCGGTGGCATGTGCCTACAGTCCCGGCTACTCTGGAGGCTAAGGTAAACCTGGGAGACGGAGGTTGCAGTAAGCCAAGATCATGCCATTGTACTCCACCCTGGGCAACAAACCAAAAAAAAAAAAAAAAAAAAAAATTCACCATTAGAACATCACAGTAATAATTGCGACAAGCAAAACCTACTAATGGATGCTAAATAAGTGGCATCAGTGTCAACAGAAACAGAATATTTGCATAGTCTGCAAATATATAGTAATTACAAAGGGAAAAATAGTAAGTTTATTTAGAGAATTCTGACAGACATAACTTTAGCCAAGTGATCAAGATTAACAGTACCAATAAAACACACCAACATTGTATATACCCCCTGATATGAAACACTGAGAAGGTCACACATATACACACACAGAGAGGTAAGTTCACTCAATCTAATCCTGAGAAAACAAACAAGCCCATATTGAGGGACATTCTTCAGAATAACTGACATTTGACAAAATACCCATTTGAAAAGTGTCAAAGTCACAAAAAAACAAGGAAAGACTGAGCTGTCACAGATTGGAGAAGACTATGAAGGCATGACAGCTAAATGCAATGTGGGCCCCTGGATTGTGTTCTGGAACAAAAGATATCAGTGAAACAACTGGAGAAATCAAAATAAAGTATGTACTTTGGTTAATAGTATTGTACCAAGGTTAATTTCCTAGTTTTGATGACTAGACATGATTATGTCCATTGTTAAAAGGAGGAGGGTGTATGGGAACTCTCCATACTATTTTTGCAACTCTTGTATAAAGTCTAAACTTACCTCAAAATTTAAAAAATTAACTATTAAAAAAATGCAGCTGCCATTTGTGGCTGGGGCTTTTTCACCTATGTGCAAGACAGCTCTCTGTTGTTCTCCATCTTTGGATATGGAACTGAGTATCTTTTCAGACCTGAAAGTTGGCTGGTCAGAAAACTCCTTAGCAAAGCAATGAGGAAGATCTAAAGAAGGGTGGTGAATGGAGACTGGGCCCTGTCTGTCCATCCCCACTACTGCACTAGTATCCCCCATGTATGTTCCTTACCCATCTTGCAGTCTTCGGGATAAAGTCAGGCTCCTTAAGGTGATTTTCAAGGCCCCTCTGACACTGGCATCAGCCACCTGATCCCTTTCCTTCTCCATTTGGTGTTCCCCACTCACAATCTGCATTCCATCCTAGTTCTTCAAAAACCCAGTGATGTTTCCTGTTTTGCACATGTGGTTTCATCTGCCTGGAAGAAGAGGGGGTTTAAACATCCACCCCTTCTTCTACTCCTGACTTCAAGGTTCAGCGTTTATTTGTAACATCCTCTAAGAAGCCTTCTCTGACACCATCCCCCACCAGATAACCCTCCTGTGCTTCCACAGCTTTTTTGCATGCCTTCTGCCATAACCCTGGTCATCTTGTGTTATCTTTCTCTGTTCACTCATCTGTTTCCCTCATTATTAGACAATGAGCCCCTCAAGGGCCATGATCAAGTCCTACTTTTCTGTTGGTCCTTCAGCAAATAACTCAGTAGTGATAGGATGCTCCCTGGTTAGATGGATTGACTGTGATGGAGGGCCATGGCAGGAAGTGGGATGGGGAAAATATTGTCAGAGGAGAAATGAGGATACAGTCAGCTTCGTGGCGGGTGGTGGGGGTGGGTGTCATGTTAGTTAAGTAACTGTGAAAAAATAAAAAATTTCCTTAACTCTGTGGTCTCATAACTTGCTAACTAGTTCAAAAGTATAAAGGTCAAGGAAAGCTTCTTGGAGGAGGTGATGTTTGCAGAATGGCATTGTGAGGCAGTGATCCTGTGGCATCGCCATATCACTTTACCAGGGTAAAAAGTGCCCCAGGACACAACACAGAGGTCTGCATGAAGCACTGAGAAATCTCAAGGAGGGATAACATTTGAGCAGAATCTTAAAGAAATCAAAGTTCGTGTTCCTTACAAACATTTTTTTTACATTTCTTACATTTTCCTTATGAACTTTTTTTTTTACATTTTATTATACCAAAAAAATTTGTAGAGACAAGTTTTCAGCATGTTGCCCAGGCAGCTCTTGAACTGAGGATCAAGTTCAGCTGAGCTAAACTGAGCTCAAGCAATCCTCCCGCCTCAGTCTCCCAAAGTGCTGGGATTATAGGCATGAGCATATGCCTGCCAAAAGATTGTTTGTTTTTAAATTAAGACTTTAAAATTTTGTTCTGTTTTATTTTTAAATAATTTCAAGCTTACAGAAAAGTTGCAACAGTAGTAATAATTCCCATATGCCCTTTACCTAAATTCACCAATTGTTAACATTTTGCCACATTTGCTTTATCATGCTATTTGTTTTATTATTTTCCCTCCCCCCTCCCCCTTGCTCTTCTTTCTGTCTCTCTCTTCCACCTTCCCCACTTCCCACAGGTAAGTAAGTGTGTGTGTGCCTGCATGTACGCACCTTCTTAGCCATTTGAGAGTGAGGCATAGGCAGTGTTCCTTTTATTTCTAGCAATCACAGTACTGTTATCAAAATCAGGAAATTTAACCTGACACAGTACTATCTTATTAGCAGATCTTATTCAATTTTTGCCAGTCATCTCAGTGTCCTTTATAGCAATTTTATTTTCTCTGATCTAGAAGCCACTTCAGGAAATCACATTACATTTAGTTTTTATGTCTTTTCAGTCTCTTTTAATCTGAAATAGTTCGTCAGTCTTTCTTTGTCTTTATTAACATTGTCGATTTTGAAGCAAATAGGTCATGTATTTTGTAGAATATCCCTTAATTTGGGCTTGTCAGTTTCCTCACGAATACATGCAGGTTATGCATTTTTCGCAAGAATGCCATAGAAATGATGTTGTGTCCTTCTTAGACCATAATATCAAGAGCACATGATGTAAGTGTATACCCATTATTGGTGATATTAACTTGAATCACTTGGTTATGATGATGTCACTTAGGGAAGGTGATGTTGCCAGATTTTTCCACTTTAAGTTTCTTTCTGAGTACAGGCAACATATGCAGAGACAGAACTATGTAAAACAGAATAGCATGTTTAAAGACTAACAAATAGTTATCTACATGTAGGGTATAGCATTTATGGCAAGAGATGAGGATGAGGGGTCCCACCAGAACCAGATGATAGATGGTCTTGAATGCCATGCTAAGGAGCTTAGATTTGGCCCATGAACCAAAGGCACCACCGACAGGTTTTGAGTGGAGCTTTGATGTAGTTAGCTTTGTTATTTATGGTTTCTGGGTTTTGTTGACTGCCTAAGCCCAAGCAAATGAAGAATGGTAGGCATATGAGTTCCAAAGCAGAAAAAGTGTTTGTGGTGCCTTCTGAGAAGATAGAAGAGCCATGGCTAGGGCCATTCTCTTTCTTAGACTTAGATAAGAGTTACAGCAGAACCATTCCTGTAATACTGCACACAGGAGCCATTTGTTCTTTTTAATCAAATCACTGCCAAATAGATTTTAGCCCTGCTGAAAAACTTGTTAGTTCAGTATGGCATCAAGGAACAAGTACAGCTTTAGAATCAGAAGATCTAAATGGAAACTCCAGCTCTGTCAGTTCTTCCCTGAGCAAATCTCTTTACCTCTCTGAGCTCTGTTTCCTCATCTCAAAAATGCGTGGGAGAATAATACACCTTCCAAGGTGGTTGTGAGGATCACATGAGATAACATACATATGTGCAAGAACATTATAAGTTTGAAAATATGGTCCAAGTTTTTGTTTTTAACAGAGGCAGTGTGGCACATTGTATTGATTTCCACACTTCAGGTGGTTTCATGGCATCTTGACCGATTTTATCATCTCTAAATGGGTACTGCTGTTTATATTAGTCTTTCAATAACTTTTAAAAATCAAAGTTAATTTTTAAAGGCAATTCTTTACCACCTCATTAAAACTTTGTTCTGTTTTATTTTGAAGTAATTTCAAGCTTACAGAAAATTTGCAACAGTAGTAAGAATTCTCATCTGCCCTTTACCCAAATTCACCAATTGTTAACATTTTGCCATGTGAGTTGCACATCAGAATAAATGTATAATTTAAGAATAATTAATAATTAAGAATGTATAATTAAGAGTTTATGCACCACCTAAAAGTATCTTATGTTTCTCCACTAGGATGCATACATAGTAGTAGTAGAAAGAAGTCTGGTCTTACAGTCTGATAGTGTGGGTTCCAACCCTGATTCTGCTCTTTAGTTTCTGTCTCTTCCAGCAAAATACTTCATTTCTGTGAGCCTTAGATCCATCTGTTCAATGGGAGTGATACTAATACTTTACTCATGAGTGATTTTACCTCAGAGAACAGTATGTAACACATAGTAGATTTCTATCATATACGTATTTTGTTACTCTGGGTGGGGTCGAGGAAGAAGATGAACATTTTTTTGAGATGGAGTTTTGCTCTTGTTGCCCAGGCTGGAGTGCAATAGCACCATCTCAGTTCACCGCAACCTCCACCTCCCGGGTTCAAGCAATTCTCCTGCCTCAGCCTCCCGAGTAGCTGGGATTACAGGCATGTGCCACCACGCCCGGCTAATTTTGAATTTTTAGTAGAGACATGGTTTCTCCATGTTGGTCAGGCTGGTCTTGAACTCCCAATCTCAGGTGATCTGCCCTCCTCAGCCTTCCAAAGTGCTGGGATTACAAGTGTGAGCCACTGTGCTTGGCCGATGAGCTTTTGAATTTCAGAACAAGAGATTGGCAAGATGTAAATCTTTAAGACATGTGGCCCTTTAAATGAAAAGTAAAGTATGTTGCTTTCTTTTCACACCTCCAGGACAGTGAAAATGAGGTAACAGCCGAACTATTAATACATTTGGTGTTGTATTCCAGTGACAGATCTTTGTTCTCTACCTATGAGCTGAAATAAAGACATGTGAGATGTTATTATTGGAAATAGAAATACCCAAAGACTGTCATTGACCATGGAACAGCAGAGAAGCGATTGTAAAGATTTTAGAACTTGAAATTAGATTGAAAGAGACCTCCCAGCCAACAAGCAGCATACATCTAGCTCTAACATAGGCTATGTATGTTTCTTACTCCAAATTCACAACAGCTTTTTATAAAGCAGACCGACCCTGTTGCCTCCATTTAGCAGATGAAAATATTAAGATTCTAGCAAAGTTGAGAATAGAACCTTGGATTTTTAACTCAAAGAGGCTAGGGAGAGGGAAGGATTAGTTACTAAGTGCTTACTTTACATGCAAGGCCCTAAGGTTGGTGTTTTATCCATACCATTTTATGTAATGTAACATAAAACAAGTACCAGTATTTTCTCTTTTCATTTCAGTAAACTGAAGTCCAGAGAGGCAGAGAAACTTGTTCATAATTATACAGACCAGGAAGAAACAGGATTTGGACCCTAACTTACTTAATTCTGAATTTCCTGTCAGCCTTTTAGTTACCTCAGAAACAGGGTTATATACTTGGAGCTCCCACCTTTTGAGGCAATCAGTCCCTGCCTGGGGAACTTCCTAGATTCCTTATGTTAATTTTTTTAAGTGGCAGGTATATCCTAGCAAGGCCTGCTATTACATAATGTCATTAGCTTATCTTCTGTCATTGTTAACATTAACCCCTTCCAAGCTACCCTCCACAGTGGCTGTCAGAAAGATTTTTTAAAAATCCCAATATGACCACAGTGCCCCCCTACATTCCTTCTTGTCCTCAAGCTCCTTAGCTAAAGTTATACCCTAGTCTGGCATTCAAGGCTCTTTATAATCTAGGCCCAATTGGCCTTTCCACCCTTATCTCATGCTACTCTTCCCCCACATAGGCCACCCTTCCCCTATGCTTTAGCCAGATTAAGCCGCTTGGAAATTCCCAGAAAGAAGAGCTTATTCTTACCTTCAGCTTGCTTTTTTTGTACACTGTTCGCTCAACCTGGAGCACTCTTTTCCTGGCTGCCTAAATCCTACTTAACCTTTAAGACTCAGTTCAGAAGTTTTCTTTTCCAGAAAGGATTGCCTAATACCGTGGTCCTACTATAATTGCAAATCAGGGGTTCTTCTCTATGCCCCCCGTATTAAGTGTTCCATAAAGAGTGATGATAATATTAGTAGTAGTTGTTATTCTTAGTCAGGAGATACTACTTAAAGGATGCTTTTTATACTTAGTAAATGCTAGGTAAGTTCCTTCGACTACACAGGTGCTCTACTGACTGCCTTTGCAGGGAGAAACCATTGAGGTCAAAATTCTGATTAATGAAAAAAACCAAAAAACCTGTTCTGATTCTACAAATCAAATCTAAACTTAGGCTGGGAATACAAACTATTTTATTTAAAAATGGAAATACTCTGTCCCTCCCCTAGAATTTGTCAAAACCTTAAGATGCATCATCCTGGCAGGATGTTTGTAACTGAAGGACTAGTGAGCAGTGCTATCACCTTTTTCGAACATATTGAATGTATACAGTGTGTGTAGTATGTACGCAATGCCTTGGGGGCCCCAAAATATTGCTGCCTATGAAGGAGCCTGGAATAATAGAAAGAATTGTGTGCTTTGGATCCAGAAGGACCTGTGTTTTAATGTTGGATTCACTAATTACTGTCTTATGCTTTTGGCCAAGTAAACTCTCTTTTTGTGCTAAGACTTATATGAGTGTGCTTCTGACTGCCTTTCTTGACTTATCTTTCCTTCCAGCTATCAGAGAAGATGGCATGCCTGGAGGCCGGAATAAGAGCATTGGGCCAGTCCAGGTGAGTTCTAGACCTCAGTCTCTGTGGTCCGTCCTGGAAGCCCAGGGCTCCAGCTGTTCCTGAAACTGCTCACCTTGACTCTTTCATCTGCTGCTGAGGAGAGCCATCTTTGCTTTCATTTCTGTAAAAGTGCTTTTACATCCTGGATGTGAAAGTGCTTTGAAAATCTTAAATATGTAAGTTAATGATTAAAGCTCTTCCTGTGATCCCTCAGCCTTTCCTAAGGATTTCACAGACAGTGAACCCAGTTATGGTTCTGAACCATCCAGAGGACTTTTTGATCAGTCCTTAAGGTTATAGATAACTAAGCCTGGCAGAAATGAGCAAGACTACTTTGCTTTGTTCATTTCATCTAAAAAATATATCAGCAGAATATTATTGTCTTATTGTAGAGTAGGAATGATAATACCCCCATTCAATCCCACAAACATTTACTGAGTTCCTACTCTTCCAGGCCCTATACTGTGAACTCAGTCTAATGGGAGAAACAGATAGGTAAACAGACATCATAGTAAGGTGAGAGGTAACAGAGGATGCCCAGGGACTACAGAGGGAGGGGCATCTATTCTGCTTGGGCTAGAGCCGTGGTTGGGGACTAGAGACACTCAAGAAAATAGACTGTGAAGAGACCCAACGATGAATCTTTATGACAAGGAGTTTGTTCAATTAGGCTGCAACATTGGGCACATGTAGTAGAGTGGCAGAAGATAAGGCAGAATCCTTGAATTTGGAATCAGTTCATTAGGGAGTGGCCTTCAAGTCTTTGACTACAGCTCCTTAGGAAAAGTCTTTGTTGGGCCAGCCTGCACCACTTGTTCTTACCCGTTGTTCTTACTTGCCAGCAGAAGAGCTTCATGAGGGTAGAAAATTGGATATATCTCTGCCCATCAGGTGAATCCCTTGGCACATTAGTAGGCAGAGAGCATGCCTTAGGAATTACTAGTGGCCAGGAGCAGTGGCACACGCCTGTAATCCCAGCACTTTGGGTGGCTGAGGCAGGAAGATCGCTTGAGGCCAGGAGTTCAAGACGAGCCTGGGCGACATAGCAAGACAGACCCTGTCTCTACCAAAAAATCAAATAAAATTTTAAAAAACTATTATTGTTACTGGTATGAGCCAAGAGGCAACCACTAAAAGGTTTTATTTAGATTTGCATTTTAGGAAGATCATTCTAGCAGGTAGAAATGGTTTGTGAGGAGTGAGGTGAGGGTGAGTAAAACTGAGGGAGAGAGAAAGCAGTTAGAAGGTTTTCACAGAAGTACAGGCAAGAGATACAGATAATAGTTTGAAGCAGAGCAATGGCAGTGCAGATAGAGGGGAGAGAATAGACTCAAGAGATATTTACTGGGTAAATTTATAGGATTTAGCCAGTTAAATGTGAGGGAATGAAAGAAAGGTGTTCGGAGTTGTCTTAAGACATACACTGATGATGTTTGGGGGATTTCTTATCATATGAGCACAGCGTACATTCAATCAGGCTGTGTGATTCCCAACTCTGCTGTGTTTATTCTTTTTTTCTAAAACATTTTTATTCTCGTTATTCAAGTCATATATATGTCTTACAAATTCTTTTTGTTTCTTGGTCTGGACTAATAGCTGCTCTTTTTTATTATGGCAGAAGTAAAAACCATATAACATGAAATCTACCTTTTGAACAAAATTTTAATTATACAGTACAGTGTTGTTAACTATATACACACTCTGATACAGCAAATCTTTAGAACTTTTCCATCTTACATGACTGAAACACTATACTCATTAGACAGCAGTTCCTCATTTTCCTCTCCCTTTGCCCATGGCAGCCACCATTCCACTTTCTGCTTATAAGAGTTTGACTACTTTAGATACCTCATAAAGTGGAATCATGCAGTATTTGTGCTTCTGTGACTGGTTTATTGCACTTGGTGTAATGTCATCATGGTTCCCCCTTGGTATAGCTTATAACAGGACTTTCCTCTTTTTTAAGGTGTTTTATGTATATATCACATTTTCTTTATGCATTTCTCTGTCATCAGACACTTAAATTGTTTTCACTTCTTGACTATTTTGAATAATGCTGCAGTGAACGTGGGAGTGCAGATATCTCTTCACAATCCTGATTTCAGTTCTTTTGGATTAATACCCATAGATGGGATTGCTGGATCATATGGTGTTTCTATTTTTAACTTTTAGAGGAACCTCCATGCTGTTTTCCATAGTGGTTGCACCGTTTTACATTCCCACTAACAGTGCACAAGGGTTTCCATTTCTTCACATCCTTACCAGCACTTGTTATTTTCTGGACTGGTTTTTTGTTTGTTTGTTTGTTTGTTTTGGGGTTTTTTTGTTGTTGTTGTGTTCTTTTACATACAACAGACATAACAGGTGTGAGGTAATATCTTCAAGTTTTGATTTGTATTTTCCTGATGATAAGTGATATTGAGCATCTTTTTATATACCTATTGGTCATTTGTCTTCTTTGGAGAAATGTCTGTTCAAGTTTCTTGTTCATTTTTCAGTGGGTTTTGTTTTGTTTTTTTTCTGTTCCTGAGTTATGGGAGTTCCTTGTATGTTGTGGATGTTGACCCCTTATCAAATGTATGATAATATATTCTCCCATTTCATAGGTTATCTTTTTACCCTGTTGATTGTTTCCTTTGTTGCACAGAAGCTTTTTAGTTTAATGTAGTCACACTTGGCTGTTTTTGTTCTGTTGTCTGTACTTTTGGTGTTGTATCCAAGAAATCACTGGCAAGACCAGTTTTATGAAGATTTTCCCCTGTGTTTTCTCCAAGGAGTTTTATAGTTTTAGGTCTTACATTTAAATATTTAATCTATTTTGAGGTTGACTTCTGTGAACGGTATAAGGGGTCGATGTCTTTTGGGGGCTGGGGGCGGGGCATGTGGATGTAGTTTTCCCAGCACTATTTGTTGAAGAGAGTATCCAAAATGTGGTGGTAGAAAGCCTCACAAAGGACATGACATTTGGGGTTTTTTGTTTGGTTTTGTTTTGTCTTCTTTTAAGACAGGGTCTTGCTCTGTCACCCAGGCTGGGGTGGGTTAGTGCAATCATGGCTCACTACAGCCTCAATCTTCTGAGCTTAGGCCAGAATCTCCTGCCTCAGTCTCCAGAGTAGGTAGGACTACAGGCATGCACCACCAGGCCCAACTAATTTTTCTATTTTTTGTAGAGACGGGTTTCACCGTGTTGTCCAGGCTGGTCTTGAACTCCTGGAACTCCCAAAGTTTTGGGATTACAGGCATGAGCCACCATGCCTGGCAAGAGGTGACATTTGAATTGAATCTTAAAGGGCAAGTAGGAGATTGTCATTGAGGAGTGGTGTTTCAGGGTTAGGAAAGAATAGCCTCAAGGACAAAAAGGAGTTGAAAGAACCTTGAGGCTTCACGGCTTGAGAGTAGTGTAAATGAGCAGGAGGAAGGCCACGAAGGGCCATGGTGCCAGTAGGAAGGAAGCCACGCCGTCCTAAGATTAGTGAGAGGCCCGGAATATGGGGATGGAGGAGAGGGAACCTAGGTTTCTGGGAAATCCTATGAGATTTAAATAAGCTCTCAGTCCTGAAGAAAGAGCAAGTGTCCTGAGCACCCATCTAACATGTCTCAATTCCTTGTCAAAGATATCGGAAGAAGAAATCGAAAGGATCATGTCTGGGCAGGAGTTTGAGGAAGAGGCCAATCACTGGAGCAACCATGGTGATAGTGACCACAGTTCCCCTGGGAACAGGGCTTCGGAGAGCAACCAGCCCTCACCAGGCTCCACACTGTCTTCCAGGTGAGCTTTAAGGCAAACCCATGGTCATCATCTAGGGATCCCCCACCAAAGGGAGAGCTACAGAAAACCTCTGGCTGAGTATCCCTGCCAGGCTGTCTCAGCCATTGTACTGTTGCTCCCTCAGACTCTTGGAGTAGGGGTCAGGAAGATTAAAAACAGTGTTTCCCAGCCCCTTTTATGCTAAAGACCTTGAAAATGTCAGTGGTCTCTTCTGCAGACTGATAAAGTGCTATAGCTTCTATCCATGCCCGTGCATTCTTCACCTAACAGAATAACATTTTAAATGTTGCCATTTTCCCTCATTTATTTTATCACTGAAATAAACCTTTTTGACAGTTTTGAATTAAACTGTAATTTCTCTGCCTCACAAGAGTCAATGTTTTTCACTTTATAAATTTTAAGAAACATTGAAGGCTTTTTAAGCCAGTCAAATTTGCTGCTATCAGAGAATACAAACTTAGAAACTCTTGGTTCAAGCATATCTTTAGTTAGTTGTCGAGTGTGAAATAGATCCTTCAGCTATTAGGGAAGCTTTCCTTTCCCCAGAAACCTTTCTTATAGGATATGGATTGACAAACTTTTTCTGCAAAGGCCAGATAGTAAATATTTTCAGCTTTCCGGGCCTAATGGTTTGGATCTCAGCTTCTCCATTCTGCCTTTGTAGTGTGAAAACAGCTATGGCCATGGACATTATGTGAACCAGTGAGCATGGCTGTGTTCCAAAATAGGCAGTGGGCTGGATTTAGCTTGCAAGCCAAAGTTTGCCAACCCCAGTTATAGGAGATACATTTAGGCAAAAGCTGGAAGATTTTTTTTTTTCTTAAGAGATGCCAGGCATGGTGGCTCACATCTGTATTCCCAGCACTTTGGGAGGTCAAGGTGGGTAGATTGCTTAAGTCCAGGAGTTCAAGACCAGCCTAGGCAACATGGCAAGACTCTGTCTTTTTTTGTTGTTGTCGTTGTTAATTAAATACTTTTTTTTTTAAAAAAAGAGATGGAGTCTTGCTATGTTGCCCAGGCTTGTCTCAAATTCCTAGCCTTAAGTGATCCTTCCACCTCAGCCTCCCAAGTAGCTGAAACTGTAGGTGCACACCACTGTGGCTGGCTTAGGTTTTTTTTTTTTTTTTAATTAGTTGACAGAGTGGTTAGCTTTCTCCAAGAAAGGAAAGGAAGGCAAAAATCTACCTTTGTCTTCATATTTAATTAAAGCTTTTATCCCATTCAGGTGCCCCTTCGTTTGTTCTTTCCTTGGACTATTTAGGGGGTTGTTGCCACATGCCGGGTTCCTTGCTAGATGCTGGATTTGTTTTGTGGCCTAGCCAGGACTTAGCCTGTCTGTGCCTTAGTTTTCCTAGCAGTATTATAATATAAATACCTACTTTGTCATCATAGTCTACAAGTATCTGTTAAAAAACTGTCCAGACATGGCACCTATACAAAGAATTCATTCAACCAATATTTATTCATTACCTACTCTGCCATGCACTGAGTGTCCAGTGGCGACCCCAACATTCATATACCCATAGAGTCTTTGTCTTACAGATGGGAATCTAGTAGGAGAGACATGAATTTAACTATTAATTATGCCCCCTGGCTTGATGAAGACACATACCTCATGTTCAAAGAATACCTAAAGTCACCTTCTGGCTCACTTCCTTTGAGTAATTACTAGACTTGCCATGGCTCTGTTTGACGCAAGACTTTTCTCTCCAGTAGGTCTGTGGAACTGAATGGATTCATGGCCTTCAGGGAACAGTACATGGGAATGTCTGTGCCTCCACATTACCAATATATACCGCACCTTTTTAGCTATTCTGGCCACTCACCACTTCTGCCCCAACAAGCTCGCAGCCTGGATCCCCAGTCATACAGTCTGATTCACCAGCTGTTATCAGCCGAGGACCTGGAACCATTGGGCACGCCCATGTTGATTGAAGATGGGTGAGTGAGCTCCGCCCTTCTTGGCCCCTTGCAGTCTCAAAGTGTCCCTACCCCACACCCACTCGCGTCCCTGGCTCCTATACCCGTGGCTTCAGAATGAGTTGGGGGGATAATGACTCAAGTGTCAGGGGACAAATCTGTGCTTATCTTTGAAACCAGTGATCCCTTATTTTTTCCTTAAGCATCCTTTCTCATAGAGTTGAGGTTACTTTCCAGTTCCTATGGAATTGAGATAGAAGGGCCTTTGATTCTGCTTGGGCCTAGGTAAGCCAGGTGCTGGGATGGGTCAGAGCACTTCCATGCTAGAGATGAGCAGTAATTCTGGGAATAGTTATATATCGGATATAGGCTCCTTCACAAAGCCCTGGCTGGTTGTAGCCTGTCTGCACCCCTCACCAGCATCCCCATGGCTAGCCTGGTGGCATGTGACCACTTTAAGTGCAGGCTTGAGTGGGTAGAAGGAGTATTCTTTCAGTCTTTAGTCACTTCTACCTGAGGAGATAACAGTTCAGCCTTCGGGCCTACCCATTGCTGCATCCATTACTCCTTTGGCCTAGAGCATAAACGATTTGAGTGTTATCAAGCTTAGACCTCCCAGGAAGGTATCCTGAGATTTCTTAAGCTAGTCTCCAGTTTCAGAAGAGGAGATTAAAATATCTACCCACAAGGAGGTCACACAAACCCTTTGTAAATCTAGATGTAGGAAGCCGGGCGTGGTGGCTCATGCCTGTAATCCCAGCACTTTGGAAGGCCTAGGTGGGCGGATCACCAGGTCACGAGTTCCAGACGAGCTGGCCAACATGGTGAAACCCCGTGTGTACTAAAAATACAAAAATTAGCTGGGTGTGGTGGCACACGCCTGTAATCGCAGCTACTCAGTAAGCTGAGGCAGGAGAATTGCTTGAACCCAGGAGGTGGAGGTTGCAGCGAGCTGAGGTTGCGGTGAGCCGAGATTGCGCCACTGCACTCCAGCTCTGGGTGACAGAGTGAGACTCCGTCTCAAAAAAAAAAAAAAAAAAAATTTAGATGTGGGAGTGTGAGGAAAAGTCTTGGCAAGGGGCCTTGAGAGGAAGAAAGCTGAAACTCTTGGGTCTGTGAGTCTGTGGTCTCAAAGCCGGCTTTTATTCCAGTTTTAGCTTAAAGGAAAGGCTGAGCAATGCTGGTTCCTGAACTCACCACCAGGGGGTGGAGTGAGAGCAGAAAAATCTTCTGAACTTGTTCTCTTTCCTTCAGTGGTCTGGACGCGAGGCTTATTTTTGTGCCAGTTCCTTTGTTAGGTGGGCATCAGATCCACCCCATTAGAGTTCCATTGCCAGAACTTGAACAGGAGTGACTTGGATTTTCTCTAAGACATGGAACATTAGAGAACACCAACAATAAAAGTCATATTCCCTGACAATTGGACACATTTCTTTTTTTTTTTTTTTTAGACAGAGTCTTGCTCTGTCACCCAGGCTGAAGTGCATTAGCGCAATCTCAGCTCACTGCAATCTCCGCCTCTCAGGTTCAAGTGATTCTTCTGCCTCTGCCTCAGCCTCCCGAGTAGCTGGGATTACAGGCATGTGCTACCACGCCCGGCTAATTTTTGTATTTTTAGTAGAGATGGGGTTTCACCATGTTGGCCAGGCTGGTCTCGAACTCCTGAACTCAAGTGGCCTCCAAGTGCTGGGATTACAGTCATGAGCCATTGCACCCAGCCAATTGCACACATTTCTAAGTCTCCTTTCCCCTTAGCAGCCTTTCCTCACCAGACCCGCCTCTCCAGCCCTGAACTTGCTGCTGGCCTCAGCCTTCCCCCTTTATCAGAAAATCACACTGAATGGAACTGGAGACCCGTGGGCATGGAGCAAGGAGCCCATTGCCAGGGTCCCTTTGTGCCCTTGGGACTACCTTCTCTCTGTACCCTTATCCTCACCCTCTGACCAATGGAAGTGACTTTCCCCTGTCCCTGCCCCTCAGATACGCTGTGACACAGGCAGAACTATTTGCCCTGCTTTGCCGCCTGGCCGACGAGCTGCTCTTTAGGCAGATTGCCTGGATCAAGAAACTGCCTTTCTTCTGCGAGCTCTCAATCAAGGATTACACGTGCCTCTTGAGCTCTACGTGGCAGGAGCTAATCCTGCTGTCTTCCCTCACCGTTTACAGCAAGCAGATCTTTGGGGAACTGGCTGATGTCACTGCCAAGTACTCGCCCTCCGATGAAGAACTACACAGGTGAGGCCTCCTGGCTGGGGAGGAAATACCAAACAACCAAACAATTGTCATCCCTGTAAGGCAGAGTTGCCTGGCCCTTCAGAGGATAGGCACTACACCTCATAGGCCTGGATTTGAATCCTCACTCTGCCACTGACTAGATTTGTGACCTTGGCCAAGTCTCTGATCCTCAGGTTCTGAACTGGTAAAATGGGGTGATAACACAATTTCCCCAGTAAGATGGTTGTTAGGAATACATTTTATGCATTCAAGCTTAGCAGAATGCTAAGCTGTAATTTTTTTTAAATTAATTTATTTTTTGAGACAGAGTCTCATTCTGTCGCCCAGGCTGGAATGTAGTGGCGCAGTCTTGGCTCACTGCAACTCTTGCCTCCCGGGTTCAAGTGATTCTCCTGCCTCAGCCTCCCAAGTAGTTGGGATTACAGGTGCCTGCCACCACACCTGGCTAATTTTTGTATTTTTAGTAGAGACGAGGTTTCACCATGTTGGCGAGACTGGTCTCAAACTGTTGACCTCAAGTGATCTACCCGTCTCAGCCTCTCAAAGTGCTGGGATTACAGGTGTGAGCCACTGCACCCAGCTGATCTTTATTATACTTGGATTACTGAGATAACGCATCCAGGAAAAATAAAAATATAAATTCTGCCTACAAGGCAAGAGAGGCTCTGAACTGGAGTTTACAATCCAAGAAAGAGACCTAGGGGTCATTTTGGTGCCTATAGTGTGCCAGGCATTAGGCTAGATTTTTTTTTTTGAGACGGTGTCTGGCTCTGTCACCCAGGCTGGAGTGCAGTGGTGCAATCTTGGCTCACTGCAAGCTCCGCCTCCCGGTTTCATGCCATTCCCCTGCCTCAGCCACCCAAGTAGCTGGGACTATAGGGGCCCGCCACCACGCCCGGCTAATTTTTTGTATATTTAGTAGAGATGGGGTTTCACCGTGTTAGCCAGGATAGTCTCGGCCTCCCGACCTCATGATCCGCCTGCCTTCCAAAGTGCTGGGATTACAGGCGTGAGCCACTGCGCCCGGTCTAGACTAGATATTTTTAATTGTCTTCTTTCTTTCTCGCAGCCTCCAGCCTTATAGGTGGTGTTGTGCCTATTTTATAGATGAGAAAACTGAAATTCAGAGAGACTTTCCCATAAGGGTTTGGGATTTGAATCCAGAGCCTTAGATTTGAGCATATGCCTGCCTGCCTGAAAAGCTTAGGTTCTTTGACTCCGTCTGAGATGTGGTGAGATGTTGAAAGGATAGGACTAAAAGACTGAGCTATTCTCTTTGTCATTTTCTGGCATAAAATTTTATCCCAGCTGTCCAGTATCCTTAAAACCTCCCTGTCCAGAGTGGGTTGTCTCCCTGCTGTTCTGGGGCCTGTCCAAGCACACTTTTTACTCATTTACTCTGCAGACCTGGAGCACAGGGTGACCATATTTTCTGACCCCTAAAATCAAGACAGATGATCTGCTGAGATGACTTTCTGCCTTGTTAATCCATATGAAAAGTCTTATAGCCAGGCACGTGGCTCATGCCTGTAATCCCAGCACTTTGAGAGGCCGAGGCAGGTGGATCACCTGAGGTTGGGAGTTCGAGACCAGCCTGACTGACATGGAGAACCCCTGTCTCTACTAAAAATACAAAAATTAGCCAGGTGTGGTGGCGCATGCCTGTAATCCCAGGTACTTGGGAGGCTGAGGCAGGAGAATCGCTTGAACCTGGTAGGTGGAAGTTGCAGTGAGCTGAGATTGTGCCATTGCACTCCAGCCTGGGCGACAAGAGCGAAACTCCGTCTCAAAAAAAAAAAAAAAAAGTCTTATAATGCTTAGTTTGTATTTAAATAGACATTTCAATAAATGACCTTTATTGGCCAATTCAAAATACTGGAAGTCATGGGATTCCAGGGCACCAAGAAGGAGAAAAGAAAAGGTGCCCCTGGCCGGGTGCGGTGGCTCACCCCTGTAATCCCATCACTTTGAGAGGCTGAGGCAGGCAGATCACGAGGTCAGGAGATTGAGACCATCCTGGCTAACATGGTGAAACCCCGTCTCTACTAAAAATACAAAAATTAGCCGGGCATGGTGGCGGGCGCCTGTAGTCCCAGCTGCTTGGGAGGCTGAGACAGGAGAATGGCGTGAACCCAGGGAGGTGGAGCTTGCAGTGAGCCAAGTTTGCACCACTGCATTCCAGCCTGGGCGACAGAGCGAGACTCCGTCTCAAAAAAAAAAAAGGTGCCCCTATCCATGAAAGTTGGAGAGGGGAAAGTAGCAGCCCTTACACTTTCTTCACAGAACTGGGATCCATCTCCCCCTCCCACCCAGTTGTGGCATAAAGACAAGCCAAGACTCAGGAAGAGCACAGTGCTCCAAGACCTGCAAGGGCCCTTTGCACAGCTAGGGGAGGGAGGAGTCAGCTTGCTGACTCTCTCTACTTGTTTTCTAATATTTCCTTATTAATGATGCTTACTGGCTTCAGGGTGATCTGTAAATGACAGAGTTTTGAACCCAGCTGACACTCTGTCTGGTAAATAGAGCTATCTGATTTTGCAGTTGACCTAACCCCTTGTCCAGAGACTCTAATTCATTGTTTCCATCAAATTCCTGTCTCCTGCTCCATAACTCTGCTCCATAGGGGTGTTTGGATAGCAGTCAGCCTGCTCTGATGCTGTCAGGGTTTGCAGAGCTGGCCCAAGGATCCCAGCCTCTCTGGGTGCCTGGAATCTACCAGTTCGGCCTGGGACTACAGGATCAGCCTTTGGACTCCACTTCCAAGTAATGGGTTTGCCCAGGCCCTCTGCAGGCAGGCAGGGGTCACTGGCAGTACAGGGTTCTCTGGCTTTGAGCTTCATAATGCATCCCATCTCACTGTAGCCAGTCCCTTAAGCCCCAAGACCAAGGCAGAAGTCAGTAACAGCAGAAGTAGTGAGGAAACTTTTCCTTCCTTGGTAGGAATTTTTCTCATCAAGGAGGATCTAAAGCTGTACCGTCCACTACAGTAGCCACTAGCCTCATTTGGCTTTTAAAATGTAAATTTATTAAAATTAGAAATTTAGTTCTCATTTGCACCAGCCACATTTCAAGTGCTCAGTAGCCACGTGGCGAGTGGCTACTAGTACAAATAAAGATCATTTTTATCATCACATAAAGTTTTATTGAGCGTTGCTGTCTTTAGAACATGTGTTGCTGCTGAGCTGTCAAGTGGCTTCTGAGAATAGGAATGGATTTGTTGTTAGGACTCTACTGTGGAATCCATCGATGCAAAAATAACAGTTAAACTTCAACATGTTAGTTCTGATTCCATGGCCATTTACTGAGTATCATGTGTTTTGTGGGGAGGAAGCTGGGATCACAGGTGATGCAGACATGGTTTCTGACTCAGAGTCCCTATCCTTGATTTAGTGGACTGGGAGGCAAAAAGAAGCAGATACAGCTTACAGTGCAGGGTTGTGTTGGTGGAGATGGCGGGGCATCCGAAGAGAACTGTACAAGCATAGACCAAGGAGTGAGTACGTCTGTTCACAGGGTCAGGGAAGACTTACCAGAGGAACAGACATTTGAGCTGCACCTTGAAGTGGGAATTTCTAGGAACGTTGTAGAGAACAGGAAGGAAGGAAGGCAGGAGATAACACAAAGTCCTAGAAGTTAGAGATCCTGGATGGTTGCTATGTGCAGGGAATCAAAAGCAATTTTGTGGATTTAGGGTATAAAGAGAATGTATCTAAGACAGAGAAATGAGGGGAGAATTGACTAGAGAGAAAGATACAGGCAAGACAGGTCATGAAGGTGCTCAAATGTCAATCTAAATAATTTGGGGTTTGTTGTGTAACTAGTATTAAGTCTTGGGAAGTTTTTAAGTGGAGGAATTACAGAGTCAGGTTGCATTTTAGAAAGATCTCTATGGCAGTAAAGTTCAGGATGGATTGGCGTGGACAAGACCGGAGCATGGTGGCTGGGTAGGAAGGAGGCTGTTCCATAGCCCACGTAAAAGGGAACAAGGCCTGGACAAAGCAGCAGTGACTGTGGAGACAGAGAGTGGAGCACAAAGCCAAGAGATGTCAAGGAGATAAAGTCAGTGGGACTTCAGCGAGTGGAAAATGTTGGTGATGACTGCTGATTTTTTGGACTAGCCAGGCAGGTGGGCACCAATTTTCTTAGCCAGGATGAAGGAGCAGGGAAGATCAGGATGGGAGATGAGTAACTCTGAGTTTGGTTTAGGTGTCTGTGGAGTCTGAGGTGCATGTAGGACTGCCTAGGAGGTCATAGGAAGTGGAAGAACCTCTAGAGTCAGGTTAACCACTGGAAAGCAGTAACCGCTCTGCTAGAAACCCAGGCTGTGGAGTCTGTAATTGGCCATAGCACTCTCCTACCTTGCCTGCTACTGCCTTGCTCCCACTCCCCCAGATGGCCTTTACTTCTTCACAACTCTTGAGTGCAAGTGAGTTCCTGCTGTCATGGAAAGGCTTTTCCCAGATGATACATGATCACCTCCTTTTCTCTTCTCAAATATTGAATCAAATTTATGGTGCCCATATTCCTTAATCACACCGTTATCAGACAGTGAACCGGGTGAATTTGATTTAAAGCAGATTGTAGCACCAGCCAGTGACTGCTCCTGGCCCTAATCAAGACTCCTCTCAGGAGAAGATGCCTTGAGCTAGATGGGCTTTAATGGGTACCTCTATCTCATGAGCACCAGCTCCATTTCTGCTAGATCTCTGGAAAGTTGCCTCCCAGCTTCCCTGCCTAACTATAAGGCTCAGGAAACAGGCTTTTATTTTTGCTACAATAATGGGAGAGAGATGATGATGCTATTTGTAATGATAACAGCTAACAATTATGCCAAATTCTATCTTAAGTGCCTTACATACATTATTTGTTGAATTCTTACTGCTACCTTGTGTGACTGGCACTAATATTATCCCTGTTCTAGAGATGAGGAGCATGAGGTTGAGAGGTGAAAATTAAAGGCTACAAAGATAGAGATGGAGCTAAGTTTATCACCTGTATCTGTTGTGCTCCAATGCCCAGCCTCTTTAACATTGCCTTATACTAAATTCTTATTTTCCCAGAGCATTTTCAAAAGGTTTGACTTTCTGGAATTTGTCCTGAAACTAGTCTTAGTTTTCGTCTTGGAGTCTTTACATGGGTGCTGAGATGGCAGTTTCTCTAAGGTTGTGGCTGATGGCCACTCCTGGGGGTAGGTGCATTTAGATCAATGAAAAAGAGACAACTGAGTTTCTCAGCCCCCTTAATGGGACATAACTTACATAGTGTCAGTTTCAATTGCTGACTGAATGGTCCAGTGGTTTGGGGGATCCTGGCAGGAATGTTTTCCTTGTCCCAGCATGCTTGTGTAATGGGAACCTAGAAGAAGAATGGGTGTGTTTGTCCAACTTTCTGGCTTTGAATGCTGATAATTTGTAGACAGTGAATACAGGGGCATTAAAACTGGAGTGGGCAGATGTGGAGGAGGCACGGCTGCAGGCAAAGGCAGGCCCGTGGAACAGAGAACAACTTTGTTTATCAAGGGGTGGGATGCGGGGTGTGGAGGAAAGCTTTGCAGTCAGGCTGTGGAGACTGAGTGGGGGCTGCTAGGCTGGCTGCCAGCCCCCATCACTGCTGGGGGTCCACGGTGGCTGCCTGTTGGAGGAATTTTGGAAAAGAAGGATGTGCTGTCCGCAAGAGAAAGGGCAGATCTAGGGTGTATGGACAGGCCAGGCACTTGGGAACTCCTTTGTGTCCCTCAGGTCAAGAGTCAGCCAGGAACAGGTTTGGCACTCCTGGCTAGGGGTCTGGCTGATAGCCACACACCTGCAGGGTCTGGAGTGCCAGAGTGAACACTTGGGGCAAGGGGTTGCTGATTAAAGGACAGAGCATTATCTTTGCTTGCTACATACTAGGCCACCAGACAGATGCTGACACTGCCTCTCCCGTTGTGTCCTCCTTTTTTGTGCCCTACCCCATTTCATCCCCACCCCTCCAGTCAGATACTGAAAGAAATTGGCAGTAAAGAACTTTTTTTCCCACTCCCAAGAACATAAATATCCAACACAGTGCTATGATGAGGAGTGGTCTTCACTCCCAGGCACACCGCCTCCTGCAAGTCTTAGCATCCTGGAGGCACTTGCAGTGGCAGTTCTGTGCACTGTAGCAGACCTGACATCCTCCCAAGGTTGGGCCCTGCTCTGAGTTGCTGTGGGGACACAACTCCTGAGGTCCCCTGTGGTAGTATGTGGTTAGCCTTTTCCAGGTAGCAGCTAAGAACAAGACAGGATCAAGGGTAGGCAGTGTAGTGCTGAGAAAAGTCCATATGCTTGGAATTAGAAAACCTAGGTTTGAACATTGGCCTCACCACCACTACCATTTACTTCCCGTGCAACCTTGGGGTAGCCATCTCTTTTTCTGCTTCCTCATCCCTAACATGGAAGTGATACTTACTATGTATCCTTCCAGGTTATCAGGAAGGTAAAGTGTAAGAATGCATATGAAAAGGCCTAATACATAATAGAGACTCAGTAAATAACTCCCTGAGCCTTCATTTCCACATGTAAACAAAGGGGGTTATGATTTGTATCCATTCTGTGAATTTATTGGGAATATCAATAAGATTAAATGTAGAATACTTAATGTGCCTCGCAGGTAGCAGACACTCAACAAATGGTAGAGTGGTAGAAACGGTATTATAGATTGGTGGTTATTGTGGTTATTCAATATGAATGTATCGGCCAGGCTGGGAATGTATCAGTAAAGTTGTAAAAGCCATTGGGCCAGGTAGAGAGAAACTGAGTCAGCCATAGTAGCTCAAATCAGCTAAAAGAATCCCCAGCTCATACTAGGAGCCATGCCAAGGCCGAAGGTCAACGTTCCAGATTGCATGTGCAGTCATCTCCAGTATCCGTGGAGGATTGCTTCCAGGACCCCCATGGATGCCAAAATCTACAGATGTTCAAGTCCTTCATATAAAATGGTGTAGTATTTGTGTATAATCTACGCATATCTTCCTATATATTTTAAATCAGCTCTAGAATCCTTATAATACTGGATGCGATATAAGTGATGTAAATGCCATGTAAATAGTTATTACACTGGTTTTTTGTTGGGGGAGGTTGTTTTTTTTCTTTTTTAGGTTTTTTGGTTGGTTGGTTGGTTGGTTTGGTTTTTGGTTTTTTGTTTTATTTTTTTTTTCTGAGACAGGGTCTCACTCTATTGCCCAGGCCAGTGCAGTGATAACAGTCACAGCTCACTGCAGCCTCAACCTCCCACGCTCAGGTGATCCTCCCACCTCAGCCTCCCGAGTAGCTGGGTCCACAGGCACGCACTACCATGCCCAGCTGATTTTTGTATTTTTTGTAAAGATGGAGTTTTGCTATGTTGCCCAGGCTGGTCGTGAACTCCTGGGCTCAAGCAGTCTGCCTACCTCAGCCTCCCAAGGTGCTAGGACTACAGGTGTGAGCCACCACACCCAGCCATTATATTGTGTTTTAAAAATTTGTCTTTTTTTATTGTTGTATTGTTTTGTAAAAAAAATATTTTTGATGGAGTTGGTGGAACCCAGAGATATAGAACCCATGGATACAGAGAACTAGTTCTACCTGCTGCTGAGGCTCCCCTTGGTACTTAAAAAGGGCAGGAGCCTCTGGCCCCAACCAGAGCCAGGCTTTCCCCAAGCAAGAGAAAGTGTCCTGCTTGTCCAGGAAGCCTAAGCCTGCAAAGCCTTCAAAGTTAACACAGAAAGCAGTAGATTCCAGAAAGCAATAGTTCATCCCCAGGTGTTCTGGACCCTACCCAGATAGGGCCTTCTTGGCTTGGCACAGGCCTGTAGTGCGCAGATCTGAAGATCTCACCAGGAAGCATGCCTGAAGCTAAGCTGCTTCTCTTTGTGACTGAGCTGTATCTAAGGCCTATTCTGGGACCCACTGCCCACTAGCCAGGCCACTCCTAGAATGACTCAGGCCAGACTTGACCTCGTCTTTTATAAACTCCTGCTTCCTGATTAAGTGTTTGCCTCCTTGGTTTTATGGTATCTCCATCTCTGGTATGAAGTATACCCAAAACATTAATCCCCTGGGGTGGCCTAGCCTGGGGCTCCGTTGCCTAAAACTTGGTCTTTCCTCAGAGAGCTCACTCCTAGACCCAAAGAAAAGAGCATGGGGGCTTTGAGCCACTTCTGCTAGGGTACACCACCTTAGATACTGGAAAAACCAAGGCTTTGGGTTCAGGTTCCAAATTCCTACTCTGTCACCAATTAACTGTATTTGTGGACCAGACCCTCCCTTCTTTGAACTTCAGTTGCTCATTTGTACAGTGCTGATGATTATCTCACCTAGCTCATAGGGTTGAGAGAATTAAATGTGATAATGCTCACAAAGTGCCCAGCACAGAGGATGGCGTGGTATGGAAACTCAGTTAACGTTTTCCTCCCTCCTGCCAAAGTCAGGGATGCCAATAAAAATTTTCACTATGCATAACCTCAGCTCTGCTGGAAACAGTTAACACAAGCAAATACAATCAGCAGCTTTTTTTGCAGTGTGGCAGAGGCTCACATAGAGTCACCATGGCAGCTGCCATTGATACCAGAGGCTGAATCTCTACAATAGCTGTATCTTAATAATGTTGTACTTCTCCACATTTATATCCCAGACCTTCTTGGGCCCTTGTTAGCCCAAGAATGCAAGCATTATCATTTTGCAGAGGAGGACCTCAAAGCATAGAGGGGTCAGATGACCTTGCCAAGATCTCATAGCTTGTGTGTGATGGAGCTGGATTTGAACCTAGGTTGACTCTACCTGACCTTGGAAAAAGCAGCTTGCATGAGCTACGTTGGCCTGTAGACAAAGCATGGATCTGCCTGTACTTCCCAAGTGGCTTTGGATCCCATTTCCCCCAAGCTCAGCCTGTTTAAGGAGCTGTAGGAGCTCTCTGGCTGCCCTTTCCTGGCCCCTACTGGTGTCACAGCCAACTGTTAACACCTGTGTCTGTTCCTCAGATTTAGTGATGAAGGGATGGAGGTGATCGAGCGGCTCATCTACCTCTATCACAAGTTCCATCAGCTAAAGGTCAGCAACGAGGAGTATGCTTGCATGAAAGCAATTAACTTCCTAAATCAAGGTGAGTGGCTGGGGTGGGAAAAGGGACGTTTGCAGTGCGGGAGGCAGGCAGTGAGCATTTGCCCTCCTGTTTCACCCCTCCTTACCCTCAGGACTATCACACAGAATCCATCACACCATCTGGGTTTCAATCCAGGAAGACTTGTGCACCCCCTTGTCATCACCCTGACCCTTATAGTACAGGGAATGCGAGAATGCTTTGGATTTTTTTTTTTCTTCAAACTGAAATGCCACAATCTCTATAACTCATAGAGGAAGGAAGAGGATTCGCTTTGTTTAGTCAGTTTTAATGCATTTGCACACAGACACCAAGGACAGTACATGCGTCATTTTAAATATGTACCAAGTTTACCAGTGACTGAAGAAGAGCAGAGTGACTGATGAAACTGTTGGAGATAAGGCCTCTGTGACAGGCTGGCAGTGGTTCTGACAGCCCCTTCAGGGCAGAGCAGGGGTGCACAAACACACACACACACACACACACACACACATACACACATACACACAATCAAGCATGGCTTTTAATTAAAAGAATGCCAGATGTGATTTATGTGGTATCTTACCTGCAAAGGGGCACTTGGCAGCTGCTGGTAAAACCAGTATAGGGAGGAGGGTTGTATTCTCTTTTTTCCAAAATAGCTAATGTGTACTCTGCTCCTATAGTGGCACTGGGCTGTTCTGCTGCCTGTGGCATTGCAAGTGCCCTCGTCCTGTGTCCCATTTCCAGTCCAGAGCTCCTCTCCTCTTGGCCTACTCACCCCTACATTGGCCAAACCTCTTCCTGCTTTTACACCATTCATGCATTTATCTGGTGTTCTGCATGCTTCCCTTTGGCCAAGCCCTGTGCTGAGCATTAAAGACATTGAGAAAACTTAGACTCAGGTCTCTGGTCTCAAGAAGTATACATTCTGATGGCACTTGACGTATTACTTGTGCCTCAGATTGGGGGAGAACAGTAGCAACTTCTTGAAGAAGGAGAAATCTGAGCTGAGCCTCAAAGGGCCGGTAAGATTTATATATAGAATATTTATGTTCATATTCTATATATAAAAAAGGTGTGTGTGTGTGTATATATATATAGAGAGAGAGAGAGAGAGAGAGATCTATTTAGAAAAAATGGAGGGGCCAGGCACAGTGGCTCATGCCTGTAATCCCAACTCTTGGAGAGGCCAAGGCAGGAGGATCACTTGAGCCCAGGAGTTTGAGACCAACCCAAGCAACGTAGTGAGACCCCATCTCTACAGAAAATTTAAAAAATTAGTTGAGCATGGTGGCACACACCCTGTAGTCCTAGCTTCTCAGGAGGCTGAGGTGGGAGAATCTATTGAGCCAGCTGCAGTGAGCTGTTGATCACACCACTGCACTCCAGCCTAGGTGACAGAGTGAGACCCTATCTAAAAAAAATGGAGGGACAGCCCAGGAAGAAGATTAAGAACAGAAGCGCATAGGAGGGTGCTGTGTGTGTGTGTGTGTGTGTGTGTGTGTGTGTGTGTGTTTTACAAGCATGAATGTGTAGGTATTGGCAAGGTTTCTGATTGGTTCCAGCGAAGGGCAAATTTAAAGATATTGTGAAGGATTAATTTGGAAAGGTAGGTTATTCAGTCATTTGTTTAGTGTTTACTGGTATTCTCTGGTTGTTTTGGGAGTTTGGTATGAAGTTGAGAGAAGCCTTAACCCTCGAGGGGCTCTGTCTGCTTACTGTCCTCTGTATTTTTTTCCTCTCTCTCTTCATTTCTCTTCCCTTAGGTAGAACTTAGTTCCTCCCTATCAGAGGAGATCTCCTGTTGTGACAATGTTTAGTAACTTAGTTGAAAAATGAACATATTTAAGGAGCTGGTGTTTCTTCCACATTAGAATGCCCATCCCATTCCCTGTATGTGTGTGTGTGTTTTTTTTTTTTCCACAGATATCAGGGGTCTGACCAGTGCCTCACAGCTGGAACAATTGAATAAACGATACTGGTACATTTGCCAGGATTTTACTGAATATAAATACACACATCAGCCGAACCGCTTTCCTGATCTCATGATGTGCTTACCTGAGATTCGATATATTGCAGGTAACATTCTGGGTCTTGGGCTCCCAACCCTTCCTTGCTTCTCTTAGCTTGTGAAGGGAATGAGGCAAGCAGTGTTTTCAGGGTGCTCTTTCCAGCCCATCACCAACTGCATGAAAGAGTTCTCACCCTTGCCCTCAAAAAAGGTCTGTTATAATGAGAAGCTTGCATTCTCCATAGAGAAGAGAAGTTAATTTCCTGAGCTCTTATGATATGCAGGGTACTTTGTGGCCTTATATCATTTAATCTCATACCAGTCTCCGCTGGTGGTTGGCAATATTATAGCCATTTTATGGATGAGGAAACAGAGACTCAGAGTATCTCAAATTAACTTAATTTCTTGAATTGTGTACTTTAAAAGAGTGAATTTTATGATACATGAATTATATCTCAATTTTTAAAATTATCTTAATTTCACAGAATTTCCCATGAGCTTTGAGGGATCATTTATTTAAAGTGATATCTTTAGCTGGGCACAGTGGCTCCTGCCTGTAATCCCAGCTACTCAGGAGGCTGGGGCGAGAGGATCAGTTGAGGCTAGGAGTTAAGACCAGCCTGGGCAACATAGTGAGACCTCATCTCTAAAAAATTTAAAATAAGAATAGGAAAAATAAAGTTTAAAATCCTGTATTTGCAGAGGAATTTTATGTATTGGGGTGTGTGTGTATGTATGTATGTTTCTATGTGGTCTTGACCCCTTCTGAGCTTTCTGACATTTAAATAGGTCTATTTCAATATAAAATCCTGGCTTTTTTGGTTGTTGCCTTGCTTCATGTGGTAAAGATTCTTGTTCTGGCTGTCCAGCAGATACTGAGGGGCAGCTCAGAAATGTGACCTATAGACCGGGATTCTTCCTGTAAAATTCAGCAATACAGTTTTTTAATTCAACATAAAAATTCTGGAGAAAGCAATACGATTTTAAAGGAAAATTATTTCAATCTGACAAGGGAATTTTTTTTTCTATTTCTTGGGCCACAAAGCAGTCTAGCAAATGTGAGCTGGGCCTAAACTATTGGAATTTTAGGGATATTTTGACAGTTTGTCTCAGTATTTTCTAAGCTAGAGTTTACCACATGAGATATTAAGCAGGCACTCTGTGAAATAAAAGGAAGTCAACAATTACATGCCACTCTCCTCCATAGAACTGGGTCCTCAGCCTTGGCGGCACTTCCAATCACCTGGAAAACTTAAAAAAAAAAAAAAAATCAATGTTTGAGTTGCACCTGGAGAATTCTGGTTTAATTGGAATGGGGTAGAGCCTGGAGATAATCAGTGTTTTCGAACGGCTCCCCAGGTCACTCAGAGGTACTGTTTGCCAGAAGAAACACAGCCTTAGGTATTTATAAATTATATTAGCACACTGAATGCTCTGAGAAGTCCTTCAATCAAGAAATCTGTAAAGCTCTTTTAACCCTGAGTTTCTCAAATGTATTTGCCTCTTTACCCCTGCTTCTTTTTCCCCTAGTACTTTTATTAACCTATTAAACCATTCTGAAGTGCAATATTTTATAGAATATTACTTAGAAAATCTACCGGGGGTTGAGGGGGTGAAGAAAACAGGACAGAAGTTTTTTGGACTACCTGTCAGTTTCAGCTTCCTTATCTATAAAATGAGGGTAAAAAGTAGTACACAGAAATAGTGTGAGAATTCAACGAGGTAATGCATTTAACCACCTAGAACAGAGTTAAGTATTCCCTGAGTAGTAGAATGATGATGAGTTGGCACCATTACTAGGCTCCCTGGGCACCCAAAGGGGTCTGGATGTTAGGATGTTAGCCCAGTGTGTCCAACCTTTGTGATACTCCTGGCACTTCTCTTGCCCCAGTCACTCAGCAAGGTGATACTCTGCCTCCACCAGCCCAAGGAGGCTGACTTGCCTGTCCACTAGAGTGACCACTGCTAACTCTTCTTCTCCCCCCTTGTTCCCAGGAAAGATGGTGAATGTGCCCCTGGAGCAGCTGCCCCTCCTCTTTAAGGTGGTGCTGCATTCCTGCAAGACCAGTGTGGGCAAGGAATGACCTGTTCCAGGCGCCCTCCTCAGGCCAACCACAGCGTCTTGGGTGGGCAGGACAGGCTCTGGAGGGAAAAGCCAGAGAGACCAAGATGGAGGCTGTGGAGCAGCATTTCCCGTTGCCTCCATAGCAAGAAGAGTTTTTGTTTGTTTGTCTGTTTTTTTAACCTCATTTTTCTATATATTTATTTCACGACAGAGTTGAATGTATGGCCTTCAACATGATGCACATGCTTTTGTGTGAATGCAGCCAATGCATTTTCTTACAGTTTACAGAATGTGAAGATGTTTAATGTTACAGTGTTGTCATTGTTTAGAAATAGTTCTTTTGTATTTTGAGGGAGAGGGTGGGATGGGGCTAAGATGACTATTTCCATAATGTTGACAAAGATGACTACCTCAATGGAAATGGGGGGTGTGGCCATCCCTACTTTTTCCACATTTTCTCAGCAGACTCATACATTTGTCTGTCAGAGAGCAAATTGCCTTTTTTAGCCACAGAATTGCCAGATAAAACGGCACACTGTAAGGGGGCAAAGTGTTGTTAGGAGATTCACTAAGCAAGGTTGGTGAGACGGCAACAGGGTAGGAGGTGAGGATTGAGCCACGTCCTTTCCTTGGAAAGCGTGAAAATTAAGAGAGTAGGGCACAGTGACCATATTTAAGGCAGGTGTCCTTCCACCCAACAAGTCCTAAGGGCAGAAGAATTTCTGTTCTCACACCTTGCTGCCCCCCTTACCCCTGCACCACCATCATTGTCTACCACTGCGAACTTTCCATCTAGGCAAAGTCCTGGCAATCACTTGATCCACAGGACTCGCCTCCCAGCTCCCTCGGGGCCCCCAGCTACCTAGTTTCCTTACCTGGATCTCCTGAGGCCCACCTTCCTCCTTCCCACTCCCTTACACATTTGACTTCCTATTGGCCCTTTGAAAAACCAGCTGAGCAGAATGCCATGTTCTGAAGCCTGGTGCCCACTACTGATTTATTCTCCTTTCACCTTGTTTTCTTCAAAGGGTAGTAGGGCAAGGCCAGACTGCAAAAAGAATAGACACTCCCCTTTTGAAATCTGTTCCTCTCCCCTCCCCTTCCTACCGCACCCTCAGGTCTAAATCCGAAAACTTCAGGCTTTTTTAAACAATGAGAAGGACCATTCACCTGTCTGCTGACCAGAAATGTTGCCCCTAAGTTCTTCTCCAAGTTCTCCTTTTCTCTCCAGAGTGAGACCAGTTTTCCTCAGGGACCCAGGACACAAAGCCCAAGGCCCAGAGTGGCTCAGCTGCCCCTTACTTCAGCAGTGGACTGGCCAGCCAAGGCCTGGAGGGCTGGAGCCAGAAGCACCTGGAAGGGAAGGGGGGCTTTAAACTACCTCAGGTTCCTAATGGCCCGGCTGCTACCTCTGCAGACATGGCCTGGACTCCTTGACCTCTCACTACCTGCCCCACCTTATCCCAGGACGTGTTCCTTACCCTCTTGACTTTGGCCAGCGCTACACCAGGTCTGTCTTTGAACTCTTTCAGGTGCTTGTCCTGCCTACACCCAGGTATCTTTCACAGCCAGTGTGGCAAGCAGACCACTTAGTTGGCTGCATGCCTGGGTAGGTTGGAAGGGCCCACGGCACCTTCTTCTGCCTATTTAGTCAAAGGCTGTTTGCTGTCTCCTCAACTCAACCTAGTAAAGCTACCCAGGAGGGCACCACGTCGTGTGCATACTGGGTAGTCCATGTCTGATTGTAATTGTTTCTTTCTGGTGAAATGTTACGGGTACCAGCAGAGTGATGATTTTGGCCCTTGATGGATCTAAAACTCGGAACATTACTCCTCAATGCCGTTTCCCCAGTTGCTCTGAGAAGGAAGAGACATGTTCCTCAGGAAAAGCTCCAGCTAGCATGTTTTTCACGTCAGTGGGAAGATTCTTGTGTGTTCGTGTGTATCTGTTTATTTCTAAGTTCACGATACTTGTTCCCCTGAATTTTATTTAACCAACTAGATCACATTCTTTGGCCACAGGTCAGACTCTGAGCTGCTTTCCTCCAGATCGGGAAGGAGACACATATCACAGATGCCTTCTCTAAGACAGCTCCTGTGTACAGCATCGTTCTTTGCTGAGGCCTCTATCTGTCCAATTATTATTTTTGAAATTGCTTTTCAAATTAAACATTTTACCCGTTGTGTTGGGTGTCAAAAGAAATTGCTCTCTGATGAGGCAAGAACATGTCTCTCCAACAACGTAGTATTGAACAGAGCAAGTTGTTAATTTGTGGAGTAGGGGAAAGGTTCTGCAAGTTGCCATTGTACAAATCCAGTTTTACAAATGTTTGCAGCAGATTCCACAGAACAAAGAGCCCATTCATTGCCGAGAGCCCTGCAGAATCTCAGAGCAAAGTGGCTGTGTGTTCCGAGCCGGAGCCTGACCTGTGGACCGTCTTTAATGTCTTCTGCACCAGTCCTTTTATGACGTGGGCTTTTTTTAAACAGGGTAAAGTGAATGTGTTGCATTGCAAACTCAGGTATTATGAGGAGAAGGTAGGAGTGTAGCTAGCAGCGTGGAGACATTAGGTCAGCCACTAGATGTATTTGTGAATTTGGTTTGAAGGACACGGAGAAAGGTTGGAGGGGAGGTTTGGTGTGTTTGTTTTTTGCTTTCTTCCCCATAATGTTTGGTTAACAGGTAGCCTTTTTGCGAGTGGAAGGAGAGAAAAGTTGTGCATGTTTTCTCTAATTTCTCTTTCTGCCCTCTCTCTGATCCCCAACCACCAAAAGCACTCACTTTGAGTGAGGATTTTTTTTTTTTTTTTTTTTTTTTTTTTTGAGGCGGAGTCTCGCTCTGTCGCTCAGGCTGGAGTGCAGTGGTGCGATCTTGGCTCACTGCAAGCTCCGCCTCCCGGGTTCATGCCATTCTCCTGCCTCAGCCTCCTGAGTAGCTGGGACTACAGGCGCCCGCCACCACACCCGGCTAACTTTTTTTGTATTTTTAGTAGAAACATTGTTTCACCACGTTAGCCAGGATGGTCTCCATCTCCTGACCTCGTGATCCGCCTGCCTCGGCCTCCCAAAGTGCTGGGATTACAGGCGTGAGCCACTGCACCCAGCCGAGTGAGAATTTTTATGCCATAAAAATACGACTCTGAAAGCTACATGGAAAAGGAGAATCCCACCTCCTTGCACTACATTGAAACATGCAAGCCTTTCCCTCCCTCTCCTTTTTGATGTTTTCTTGTCCCAAGACAAAAGTTTGGCATCTTGGAACTTATTCATGCTCTCTGGCTGCCTTTGTAGACTTTTGGAGTCCTTTGCAAGGTTTGGTGGTCTCGTCGTTAATCTGGAGAAATTCCCCAGAATCTGTCTCAAAGCGCTCAACCTGGCTCAGAGGACACCCAGCCCCTATGCCCCACTCACAAGAGAGGTGGGCAAGCCCCCAGGGATAGGAGGAAGTAAGCAGGATCCTCCCTGTCCTGTTTCCCAGAACCAGAGCAAGGAATGGGGAATCCTAAGGGTTTCTGTGGCATCACTGAATGTCACCCACTCCACATCAACCTGCCTCTCACCTGCCACCCTTTTTCAGGGAGGTGAGTACCTGCCATGGTCACTGTTACCAGATCCTTAAAATCCTGGGCTCTGAGCTAGGTGCATTGCTCTGTTACCCATTTCCTACATTTGTTTGTTTGTTCTTGATTTCCTGGGGGAATGGGACTGATGGAGACAGACAAACCCACTGTGGGCAGCATCTAAGCCATGTCCAAGGTTGGTCGAATTAAGGGAACCCTGGCCTCTCAGCAGGACAGAAAGCTGAGCTGTGGTTCCAGGCCCTCCTCTCTGGGCCCCTGGTGTGTATCTTTTTTCCTTGTTGCTTTTGAAATTTTTGCAATTATTTTAAGAATCCAGTCTTTCAGACCAGCCCTTTTATTAAGCTTTGAATTTTTAATTGATTTTTTTAAAGTAAAAAAAAAAAAAACCCAAAAAACAAACAAAATTTAACAAAAAAATCCGCTACTCTTACTCCCCTGCCTCCCCCTACCCCAGCCCATGAGAGTTCCCTTGCACTCCCCTCTGCCTTTGCAACTGATCATCCTCCCTTTCTCCTTGGCTTGAAGCATCTATGTCCAGTATCTGTGAAATGATGTTTTATCTGTGTGTCAGGATGAGAAACGGCAGTCATTCCACCAAGTGTTGGAAACTGGTTAGCCTGGAGACAAGGGTTTCTGGGGCCACAGCTCAGGGATGTGTATTTAATTACAGGATCCCCAGAAACTCCTCTCTAGGCTGCCACAGCAACATTTTTTCTGGGCTTGGGAGCCATACCTGAACTGTTTCCTCCAAGGCGGGAACTCCAGAGAGCCTGCCAAGTCTGGAGCAAGCTGGGGCTTCTGCTTTGGCCAGACCTGGGCCACCATGAGACTTGAAGGCTTCTAGCTGTCCTACGACACGAGCCACGGTGGCCCTGCCTCTCCCCGCTCATAGAAGCCTGGTCCCTCTGTCTAGCCCAGTTCCCATCTAGCATCCGTCTTCTGGGCCTGAAGCCCTAAATGGACCACAGCCTGCACAGGAATCAACTGTAGGCTCAAAGGGAGGCGGTGAGTAAGGTCAGAGCCTGCTCCAAGCCCAAGAACAAAAGTTGTGTTATGGGTGGAGGCTAGTCCCCCAGATCTAGCCCTGCCGTCTTTGCCCTTTAATGACCATTGTTTTCTTTCTCTAAAATGTCTTGTAATAGGTGATAATGTTGTTGATTCAAATTTCCATGAAAAAGAAAAAAAAAACTACCTCTTAAGCGACATCCTGGTCGATTCCTCTCTGAGGAATCCTGTGGGAAAAGAATACTGTAGCTCCTGCTCTGTTTACATGTTTCTGTCGGGAAAGAAGCCCCGCCTGCCCTGGGGTGTTGGTGTTTTTGTCTGTGTTGCCATCCCAGGTCTGCCATAGGGGCTGGTGGCTGCATTGTGATGTCTGGGCTGTGTCTGGGGATTCCTTCCCACCTACCCAGCCAGGGACTAGTCACCCCCCTGAAGAGGCCTCCATTTCCTTCCTGTGCTCCAGGGCATAGGGAGCACCACTCCCACAGACACCACCTTTAAGGGCTCTAGTGGCACACACATCCACGAGCCTACCCCCAGGTTACCTGCCCTAGGTCCACCTCCACCCACAGTCCTGTGTGTAGGAATCGAGGAAACGGGATGTCCCTGAGCCCTTGTCTCCAAAGGGCCGGCCAAGGGCTGCCCGCCAGCCTGACTCCATCAACCCTCCATGACCAAATGATAGCTGGCGGGCTCTGCAGGCTACCCAGGCCCTCTGCTACCTCCCACCCTGCCAGCTGGCAAGGGATGGGCCCTGTTCTGTGAATTGACTACCTGTGGAAATGTGACCAATTAGTGTGAAATGCATGTTTAGCAAGTGTTAGGTACTGTATTTGAACCAATAAATGTGAATCCTTCTGCACATGGCATCTGTCTGTGAAGCTTGTCTGGGGTTCTGGGGAGGGATGATGGCGTGTCCTGAGGCGCCGGCTTGTGCCTTCAGACCTGTGTCTCTTGCTCATAGCTGACACCCACCTCAATTCTGTTGCTGAGGCTCTGGCAGAAGGTGGTGTCTCGGAACTGCCTGAATCAATGAACCAGCACTGACTGAAGTGCCCAACTTGTGTGCCAGGCACCATATTGAACTTCAAGGATTATTCTGTTTTATAAGTGAAGAAACTACAGTTGAGTGAGGTGAAAAGACTCTCCCAAGGTGAGTGGCACAACCAGAGAAGTGAGCCTAGTGGAGAGGCAGATACAGACTTTTGCAGTGCAGGGGGGATGAGGTTGTCATTAGGGATGTATGTGGGGTTGTAAGGGCCTGGAGAAGGAGTGGCTTGTTCTATGGAGGATAGTCAGGAAGAGCTTCACAGATGAGTGTTGTTGAAGGTGGCCCTTGAAGAAAGTCACGAGGCAAAGGGATCCACAGGTAGGCCAGGTAGAGGGATCCATGTCCAAAGGCCTGGCTGTGTATCAGAAAGATGGGAGTGTTCAGGTAAAACAAGGGACTGTCATGGCAAGAATGATGGCAGGTGGGAGGGATTAGCAAGAGTTGAGGCTGGAGAAGCAGTTGGGAGCCTTGGATGCCACATTCAAGAGTGTGGGGAAAGAAAGCTGTTTGCTGAGTCTTGGGCAAGAGAGCAGCATCATAGTGCATGAGAGGCCAATGGATGGCCTAGGATGCACTGTGCTCTAGCAAAGTAATACTGTCTTTCCAGAAAATAGGTGAGGTCTATTAATAGCTTTTCTAGAGCTGAAAAAATGGAGGCTCTAAGAGATCAAGGGATGTGGCCCAAATCACACAGGAGTGTTAAGTTTGTACTTGAACTCAGATCTGCCCAACTGTCCTGTAGGCCTGCTCATATGATCAGAGAAGTGGCAGAGTTTGGGTTGAGGGGTGTATGAAGACAGATGGGAGAGATGAAGGCTTCTCAGGCTGGGAAGATAAAGGCTGAGGAGGGTTTGATCAAAGTCTATTAATCCTCTTGTGTGAAATGAGGGAAGCCCAGCTGCCTTCCCATTCCTCAGCCTCCAGCACAAGAAACCAGAGAGCCCTTGAGTTTTGAAAGAGATGGGTTTAGAACAAAGCAAATGCTGCAGAACGAATTAATAGACTGTCTTCCTTGCCCCCACAAGAGGGAACAGATACACAGAGGTGCCGGGAGGAGAAGGGACGCATTGGCCCACCGCCTCGTGAGTCCAGGCGCCGTAATTGGTGCTTCACGCATGTCGTCTCAGTAATCTTCATAACAGCCTTGCAAGGGGTAGGTCTCAGCCCCATTTTTCTAATAAGCAAATTGAGGCTCAAGGAAGTTAAGCCTTTTGCTTCAGATGACACATTAGTCAGTGGCAGAATTGGCTTTTGAATCCAGGTCTATCTGATACTAAAGTTACAACTGGCTTCCTCCCTGCTCAGCCTTAGCAATTCAGTAGTGCTGAATGTGGATATCCAGAGTTTGTAGCAAAGCTCAGTAATGGCCTTTGGGTGAACCTTTTGCCATAGAAACAAAAAAATAAAAAACATTAATAAAGGATTAATTCTGTAAGAGGTGGATGAACAGACCCAACCAAAGTGAGCTGAAAAGCGGTGCTGCCCAGTCATGTGGAATACTGCAGGCGCTACATTGGTATGGCTTCCCAGAGCTCAGGAACCTCCCCCCCACCCCACCCCACCCCCAGAGATGGTTCCATGGAAGAAGCCTGAATTCTGTTGCCAAAAATATGGGAAGTGCTGCACTCGCTCTATCATCCTCATTGATTCTCAGCCCTTACTGGCATATTAAAGTCTCGAGAAGTCCCACCTGAAGAAAACTAATGTTGTTTAACCCAGGTTCTACCAAAAGCATTTGAGCATTGGACATTTTTGCCTCCTGTTAAAATTCTGTTGGGATAATATTCCATGGAATAAAAGGACACTGCTCTAAATACATAAATTGCTGCTTATGTGACACTGAGCTTTCAGTTTCCTGGGTGCCAGCCAATAATATGGAGGAATAATAAAGTAACATCTAGAAAACAAAGCAAAGCTCTGTGCTGAGTATTTTGTGTGCATTAGAGTACTACTGATTCCCCAGAGCAACCCGGTGAGGTTAATGCTATAATGATCCCATATTACAGATAAGAAAACAGAGGCCCAGAAAGGGTAAGTCATTTGCTTGAGGTTACATAACTGGCAAGATGTCAGGAATGAATATAAACCAGCATCGATTGAGCACCTACTATTCGGCAGGATCTGTGCTGTGATTCTTATCCTTGTGCAAACCCTCAGAGGTACGTAAGACCATCTGCATACCTGAAGAAACAGGGAAGGCTGGCTACTCCGAATTAAGTCAGAGTCTGAAGACAGAAGCCCCTGGAAATGATGGCAGGGGAAAGTGCTGGGATGAGGTTGAGTCTGACTACACAGAGCTCTTTCCAGGGGTCGTTTCCTTCAAGCAGTCTATGAGACAGCAGGCACGTCAACCAGAGATCTCACCACCTGAGTTCTCATTCCAGCTCTTGCCCTTCCTGGTTGTATGTGACCTTGACCCAGACAGATGCTTCTCTGATCCTCACTTTCCCTGTCAGACAAATGGAGGTGCTGGTACCTGTGTCCTGGGGGACAGGGGGCAGTGTTAAGGAAGATTGAGTGTGGCTGGCTTAAAGTTGGGTCTCAGTGAAGTCAATACATGAAAGGAGGCTAGGTACGGGGAGCTGTCGCCCCTACACCCCAAGAGCAGAAACTTAGCAGAGCCAGGAGCCTTGGCCTGGCTGCCCATCAGGGTTTTAGGTCCACAGTGGTAATCAGTCTCTCAGATCCTATGGCAAAAGTGCCCAACTGCCAGACCCGGGGCTCTTGGAGTCTTGTTCCCTTGGCAACAAGTCTCACCATGGAGACCACAGCCCCATCCTTGCCCTCCCTGCATGCTGCCTCTCCACAAACCCTTGTTCAACACCCAGTCCTAGGAGCAGTGTAGGTACTGAGGAGTGCTTCCAGGAGGCACTTCCTCAGGTGAGTTGGAGGCAAAAGGAACTCCCATTTTTTGAGTGTCCACTTTATGTGTGGCAAGGTCCATAGGCATCAGCTACATACGTGGTCTCGTTCAGGTTAAAAGCCACGTGCTCACCCTGTTTTCCGTAAGTGGAAACTGAGGCTCAGGGAGGCAACATGGACCAGCCCAAAGTCTCACGGCTAGTCGGTGTTGGAGCTGAGACCTGAATCCAGGGCTTCTGACTCAGGAACCCATGCTTTTTCTGCAACTCCCCATTCCCACCCATGTTACCAAGACAAAGCCTCCAGCCACAATCTGAGGAGGGCTGGGTACCCGGGCCTCTGCCAGCAGCACGAGCAGCCAGCCAGCAGCCCTCTGAGGTCTGGGCTGGGCCCAGCACCATTACAGGAGGAACTGTACTATTTTAAGCCAGGGCCAGAGGGCCCCTTGTGGGCACAGGGAGGGTAGCCTGGGGCCCTTGGCCAGCTTCCCGGAAGTCCCCATGGCCTCCCTTTTCTCCCGCTAGCAGGTTTGTGAGGCAGTGACTTCCCTACAAACAGGAAGGAGGCTCTCAGGCTGGGAGACCTCCAGCCCCAGCTTCCTCCCCATTGCTGCCACCCCCAGGCTTCTCCACTACATGGGGGAGCCCTCCAGCACCAGGCCCTATCAGTGTCCATCATCCAGGCTGACTCCTAGCAGTGGGTGGGAGGGGGCCTGAATTTGGGCTCCCTGGGCTGCCCCAGCTCACCCACTACAGTTCCAAGGTCTCTGCTTTCTGAAGCCCTTTGTCCCTCACCCAAGCCCGAGTTCTCATAGACATTCCCACTCAGCTGGCCACTGTGAGCTAGAAAGAAAAGTGTCAGTATCCTTAGATGTGGCCCCATTCAAGGACCCCAGAGAGAGAAAAGAAAAACAGACTAGGCGGCTGAAAATAGCAGAGAGAAACAAATTAGAACATGATTAAGATACCGACAGTGACAGATTCATCGTGACAGAGATGAAAGCAGAGACAAGCGAAGAGACACCAGAGATGGCTGTGCAGGGCTGGAGCCGAGAGCAGGGGGTGGTGCAGCATGATGGCTTCTGACCACCCTCCAAGCACAGGCCCTGTCTCGGGGCTGTGGGGGCGCCCACCGGCTGCGTGGCTGAAGTGGAATGTGGGGAGCAAGGCTGGGTCACCCCTTGAGGGCCAAGCGTGTGCACCGAGAGATAAGCTACCCCAGGCTGGGGGCCCCAGCTGCACTGCACGCTCCAGGAGCCTGGTGGAGAGGCCAGACCCAAGGCTGGAGCCCAGCTCTGCCAGATGCCACCTTCTGCACCTCCTACGGGGGCTCCCCCAGGCCTCATGTTCTAAGGGTCCCAGGTCCTCTGCCCAGCCCTTGGGGCAGCAGGTTCTGGGTGCATCCAGTTCACAGAAGAGCAGTGTGGGCCCTAGGAATAGTACCAGCCACAAAGAGGCTCCTATCTTGCTTCTCCAGTGCGGGCTGCAGTCCTGGGTCAGGAGAGAGGTCGGGGGGGTAGGGGCCCTAAGCTGAACACGCAGAGCAGGGGCTCTAGCAGGCTGTGGGGTGCTGAGGAGAGCTGTGGGGGCGCAGCTCTTCACTCTGTGAGCTGTCCCCATGTGGCACTGTGCACTCATGTGCCTGAGTGTGTGTCCATGTGCTTTCTCGAATGTGCAAAGATGTATGTGTCCACGTGTTGCCAGGAGCCCCAATCTGCCTCCACAAGTCCCTGCTCTCAGTCTAGAGAACTGGCCCCAGGGGCACCTGGCCTTTCCCATCCCCACGAGGTGGTCCAGCCCAGAGAGCCACCAGGCAGAGGGGGAAGAGCGAGCAGGTCTATTGCAGGCCCCTAGCCCCCCTCCCCACACTGCAGCTGAGGCTCCCGCTGGCCACGGCCTTGACCCAGCACTATGGACTTCTCTGACATTGGCATCGGATCTGAACATCTGGCAGCAGGCTGATAAGGGGTGCAGCGGAAACAGCCTCTGCTGCCGCCAGCAGGCCCGCCCCCTCCGCTGCCCTGCACGGGGTCTCCACATCCACCCTCCCTCCACCTCCAGCTCTCCAGGCCTCGGCCCTTCCCGCTTCTCGTTCTCTGCCTCAGTCTCTCTCTCTCCGTCTGAATCTCTCTCATCCCTACTCTCTCTCTCTTCCTCATTTCTTCTCGCTCTCATTTCTTCTCTCCCCAACCCTCACCACTCTGAATTTCTCTGTCATCCTCCCTCCCTCCGACTGCGTCTCCCCTTTCTCTCTGTGTTCATATTTTCTGCCCAAGCCTCTGCAGCTTCTCTCTCTTTTTCTGGCCACCTTTCCACTCTGCAGCCTGATGATTCTGTCCCTCTCTCTGTTTCAGTTTCTGGGCCTCTGGTTTGTTTGTTCCTTATCCCACCTCCAGGAAATGGGCCTGGCACTTTGGGAAAGTCCCCAGTTAGGAGAGAGACCCTGGGCTTTGTTTGCCTGGGGAGGGAGGTTGGGGGCGCCTGAGTCAGGACTACAGCCCTCCTTTGCTTTCCCCTCTGGGTAGGTCTAGTGGCCTGGGACCACCAGGGCTAGAGCTTGAAGGAAAGGACAGGCCACCCAGGGGCTCTGGCAGGGTGGAGAGGAGTCAGCCTGCAGGCCTGGGCTCTGGACTCCACTGCTGGGATTTGAACGCTGGTCCCATCACACCCTCGCCTGGTGACTTTGGGAAGATGCCTGGTCTCTCTAAGCCTGACTTTCCTCCTCTCTTAACTGCTGCTATCGGGGGTTGAGAGGGAATTACTACCTACCTCCCAGAATGCCGGAGAGGTTCGAGACTGACTGCAGGTGTGGAGTGGTTAGCTGGGGACCTGGCACATAGGGGGGCACTTCTGAGTTGGGGCCTTGCCATTCCCAGCACGCTGGTAACCCCTGGCTGCCCCTGTCCCCATAGAGCACCCACTTTGGCTGAGGGTGGGAGGGGGCAGCACAGAGGAAGGGGGTACCAGTGACTGTGGCCAGGGTTGGTTAGGGGATGAGGAGCACCCAGCCTTGAGTGACAACTGATGCCGTCAGAGGAGACAGGACCCATGGAGCAGGCAGCAGAGCTCTACCTACAAGTGCGGAGGAAAGTGGTCATTCAGCAAGTTCCAACGCTTGCTCCACGCAGGCTGCTGTGGACCCAGAGATAAATCAGGCCTTTCCTGGAGGCTTCCCCAGGCTGAGGTGAGGCGCTCATCACAGAAGGGCAAACGGTGTCCATGATGATGTTGCAATCTCATACTCAACAGGGAAAGGGCCTCTGAGGACAGATCATCCAGTCCTTCAGCTGGTTGTTTGTTTGTGTTTTGCTGACACTTATTGAGCACACATGACATACCAGCCAGCCACTGAATACATTACACGTATTGTCTCCTTTCATCCCCATTTTATAGAGAAGAGAGAAGGCCCAGAGAGGGGAAGTGACTGGTCCCAGGTCACACAGCTAGAAAGTGGTAGAACTGGGATTTAATCCAGAGACTCTGCCAGCAATTCTCCTTCTCAGGGCTCAAGGACTCACCAGGAGACTAGGACAAAGCCAGGCTGGTTCCTTCTATGGCGTCATGGTGTGGAGAGAGACCTGTTTGTCTTGTTTAAGAAGGCGGACAAAGCAGACCCCACTTCATAAGGTCGCCTATTAAATGAGGTGCAAAGATTCATGATTTTGTTATTGTTACATGTATGTGACATGTTAGTGGTGGGTATTTGCTGGGATATGTGTGTGTGTGTGTGTGTGTGTATATATATATATATATATATATATATATATATATATATTTTTTTTTTTTTTTTTTTTTTTTTTTTTTTTGAGACAGAGTCTTGCTCTGTTGCCAGCCTGGAGTGCAGTGGTGCAATCTTGGCTCACTGCAAGCTCCGCCTCCTGGGTTCACGCCATTCTCCTGCCTCAGCCTCTGGAGTAGCTGGGACTACAGGCGCCCGCCACCAGGCCCAGCTGATTTTTGTATTTTTAGTAGAGACGGGGTCTCACCGTGTTAGCCAGGATGGCCTCGATCTCCTGACCTCCTGATCCGCCCGCCTCGGCCTCCCAAAGTGCTGGAATTACAGGCGTGAGCCACTGCGCCTGGACTTGCTGGGATATTTCTTATTAAATTCAGAGGGTGAGTGATATTAGTCCAGAAACAAAATCATTGCATTAAAATAGGGACACTAGGCTAGGTGCGGTGGCTCACACCTGTAATCCCAGCACTTGGGGAGGCTGAGGTGGGTGGATCACCTGAGGTCAGGAGTTTGAGACCAGTGCGGCCAAAATGATGAAACCCTGTCTCTACTAAAAATACAAAAATTAGCCGGGTGCGGTGGCGGGTGCCTGTAATCCCAGCTACTTGGGAGGCTGAGACAGGAGAATTGCTTGAACCCAGGAGGCGGAGGTTGCAGTGAGCTGAAATTGTGCCACTGCACTCCAGCCTGGGCAACAAAGTGAGACTCCATCTCAAAAAAAAAAAAAAAAAAAAAAAATAGGGACACTAAGGCCAGGTGCTGTGGCTTACGCCTGTAATCTCAGCACTTTGGGAGGCCGAGGCGGCCGATTTCTTGAGCCCAGGAGTTCAAGACTAGCCTGGGCAGCATGGCGAAACCCCATCTCTACAAAAGAAAATACAAAACTTAGCCAGGTGTGGTGGCATGTGCCTGTAGTCTCAGCTATTCAGGAGACTGAGGGAGGAGGATTGCTTGAGCCCAGGAGGTCGAGGCTACAGTGAGCTATGATGGTACCACTGCACTCCAGTCTGAGTAACAGAGCAAGACCCTGTCTCAAAAGACATAAAACAAAATAGGGACACTAAAAAAAGAATATTAAAATAGGGAGACTAGTTAGGTTCAGCCATATGCAAGAGAAGTATATCTTGTAAGAACTTCTCTAGGTGAAAAAGACATAATTACAAGGTCATGCACATTGAGGAATAAGTTGTCTGTTACGTTGTAGGTGGAATATATTCGATCAGTTAGCTATGACTGTTGGTGAAATTATATTATAAAAATTATTATTATTGAATTAATGATTATTAATTATTAAAACCCTATTGCCCGGGCTAGAGTGCAGTGGCACAATCATAGCTCACTGCAGCTCCAACTCCTGGGTTCAAACCATCCTCCTGCCTCAGCCTCCCGAGTAGCCGGGACTACAGTCTATCAGTATTATTGTTGTATGTTCACACACAATTTTAAGTGGCATAATGAGGAAAACACACACTAGGTTTTATTTTATTTTATTTTATTTTATTTTATTTTATTTTATTTTATTTGAGACGGAGTCTCACTCTGTCGCCCAGGCTGGACTGCAGTAGCACAATCTTGGCTCACTGCAACCTCTGCCTCCCAGGTTCAAGCGATCCTCCTGCCTCAGCTTCCCAAGTAGCTGGGACTACAGGCACAAGCCACCACACCAGGTGAATTTTTCTATTTTTTAGTAGAGATGGCGTTTTGCCATGTTGGCCAGGCTTGTCTTGAACTTCTTGACCTCAGGTGATCCGCCCACCTTGGCCTCCCAAAGTGCTGGGATTACAGGCATGAGCCACAGTGACTGGCTGGAAAACACATAGGTTTTAAATATAGTTGGCGTTTCTACTTTTTCAGTGGCCTTCCATGAAAAAATATATATAGGGAGAGTTGGCTTCACTTCACTTATCCAGAAAAGTCCCTCTTGTTCCAGATAAGTGAGGTGTTGGGTGTGATTTATTTATTTCCTCCAATGAAGGGATATGTGGGAGGAGGGGTGGTTCTCAACAGTGACTGCCCCATAGTCACCCTGTGCCCCTCCCTGCTCTCCCAAGATGAAAGGCACGGAGGTAAATCCTCTGAGGACAGAGACTTTTCTTCTCTTTCCTATGGGATCCCTGGTGCCTGGAACAGTGCCTGACCCCTAAGTGTGCGCTCAGTAAATGTGAGACAAACAGAGGAACACACAAAAGATCCAGTCACCGTGGGAGCGGCACAACACCCTGCAACCCGGGCCCTACAGGAACAGGATATTTCAGAGCCCATCTGGGCCCAGAGATTGGATGGGGACGTCCCAGGTTGTCTAGGGAGGCCTAGCCTTCTAGATAAGGGCCCCTTCCTGCTACCCTGTCCTATCCTGGACTAGCTTCATACTTGGTTCAACCTGGGGCCACTATAGCCACCACTTGGCCTCAGAGGCAGTCTCAGCCCAGCCTCAGTTTTTCCAGCCATCGACTGGGAACATCAGCAGCCCACAGCAGATGAGGACATTCAGAGGCCACCGTGGCATGCACGCACCAGGTGTCCAGGCCGCTCACCTGCTCCCCTTCCGGCCCCCCTCTTCTTCCACCTGATGGAAGAGGAAAAAGAGGTGGAAGCAGCAGGCCGCCTAGTCAAGTCGCCATGGCCTTGCCTCCGCACTGGCCTGTCCTGACTCTACTCCAATGTCCGGGCTGGGCCAGACCATGCCAGGCCAGGCCCCAGGGAGGTAGCCATTCACAAGGAGAGAGGAGCAGGCGGCAGGCCGGGTGGGGGAGCAGCCCATAAATCAAGCCCCACTCCCACCCGGTTTCTAACAAGCGGGGCTGCCTACCCGCCTCTGTGGGGTCCCTGCCTCTGGGCTCCCACAGCGGGCCTGGAACAGCCAGCTGGCCAAGGCCTCTGCAGTGCCTTGGCCTCCGCCCCCACCCTCAGCCCCCAGATAGATAGGGGTATTTTTTTTCTTTTAGGAGAAGAAGAAAAAATAGACGTAAATGAAGAGAAACACCAACAAAGAAGGCGAGAGGCCTGCAGAGTCACGTGGGGGCAGAGACCAATTGGGCCTCCGGTGGCCCCCCCACCAGGGCGGGGAGGAGGAGGAGGACGGACGGACAGGGCCAGCCTGCTGTCCGGCTGCCGCCCGCCGTGGTGTGAGGGGGTTTCTGCGCACCCACAGTCGCCACCGTCCCACCTGGGCTGCCGGAGCCTCCCCCTGGACCCCTGGTGCCCACTGCCACCCTCATCCGGTGTGAGAGCGCTGCTTCCGCTTCGTAAGTGAGGGCCTTGGCCCAGGCCTCTAATGGCCAGCCTCCTTCTGCAGTGCCTCCCTGCAGCCTGGGCCGGCCACTGCCTGCTCCACTTAGTGACCGGTGCCCCCTGCTCTGGGCAGGGAAGGTGCCAGGGGTCTCCCAGACTCACCCTCCCACCATGCTACCCCCTCTTCTTCCCTGGGCTGCCGATGGGAGGAGCCAGGCCTGTGACCACAAGCCCCATGGAGGTCCGCTGGTGTCCCGCTGTCTCTGGCCAGGCATCCACCAGGCTGTGTGGGTCTGAGCCTAGAGGTCTGTGAGTGTGTCTGGAGGGCTCTGGGCCTGTCTTGGGGCTCTGTCCCCCACCTGAGTTTCTGTGTTGTCTCTGTGGCTCTCTCTGAGTCTTGCTGTGTATCCGTGTGTCTGTCTCCGGCATCCATCTGTCAGCCTGGGTTCTGCGGCCGGGCCAGGTCTAGGCTTCCCTCCCTGGGTGGGTGGATGAGGGGCTGGAACTCCCCAGGCGGTGGGCTGGAACCTGGAACCTGTGGGGGTGGGTGCCTCGGAGCCTGGAGTGCAGAGGAGCCATGGGCTTCCAGCCGGTGAGAGTAGAAACCCTTGGGGAGAGGGGATTGGAGATAGAGGGAGAAGGGCCTGAGCCCAGCCCCCACCCAACCCCGGCGGCTGGGGCCTGTGTGTCCAGCTCCAGGTTTCCAGGAGACCTCGGGTGAGCTCTACCTTAGAACAGCCAACTGGGGCACCCCAGCCCATCATCCACCAACCCCCTTCCCTCCTGCAGTCACTGTCTGAGGGCTCCATTGTGGTGGGGAGCTGTTCAGAGGCGGCAGTGACCCCCACCTCCAGCTCGGGCAGATGCTCTTGTTTCTCAGGGGTTTGGGGGTGCGGGGGGTACGATTAACAGGGTCTCTGGCTCTTTCTTCCCTCCTCATCCAAGATTCTTGCATGGAAACCGCAGTACCCCATCTGTAAAGCCAACATGTTCCACTTTATGCTCGGAGAAAACTGAGGCTCTCGTTTCAGAGAGGAGAAGTGACTTGCCCGAGCTTGCACAGCTAGTCTGCGGGTTCTGCTCCTTCTGTGGGTGAGCCAGCTGAGTGCGGTCTGCGCGGGGGGTTCTCTGGCCACAACTTGCAGGCCCCAGGCCCAGCTCCAACCGAAGCCCGAGGCCTCCAGGCGGGCGGGAGCCCAGATGGAGCCTTTTGGTGGGTTGCGCCGCTGTCAATGCAAAATTGCGGTATTTTCCTGCTTGAAGATCGCAGCTTTTTGGCCTCATGGTCCCCAAACTCTCTCTGACCCCAGGTGCCAGCGGGGGCGGAGGCAGGATGCAAGCAGGCCCCTTCCTTTCGGGTCCGTTTCTCCAGCTGAAAAACAGTGGCCCCGCGGATGGTCCCTAGCCCAGAGCAACTGCTTGGCCCATAGGCCCGGGAACCCCTTTGTCCCCAAGACCGCCCAGCGCTTTCTTCCTCGCCCCACCCCCCCGTGAGAGCTCCGAGGGGAGCAGCGGGGCCCTGCCTCCGGGCTCCTCTCCCAGCTCCTGCGCCCGTAGAGGCTTCGGGTCCCCCCAGGCCTCGGACATTTGTAAAATGGGATTTCCACGAGTCCCATTTCCAGCCCAGCGACCTGAGGCTAGCGAGCAGAAGGGGTTCGCCCCAGATCTCCCCAGAGGGGCGCCACTGAGCGCTTCCGCCAGGCCACACGCGTGCTTTGCCCCTACTGCTTGGGTTCATCCTCACGACCCACCCTTAGCGAGGAAGAGCGGTCATCTACCCACTTCACAGATGCGGCAACTGAAGACCCGAGACGGGGAGAGAGCTGCTACAGGCTCGAGTGAGGAGATGTGGTGGGCCCCATGGGAGAATCTGGCTTCCACCCGTGAATCCGAGCCTCGGCCACGGTCGCCACTCGCCCTTACCCACTTCCACGCTGTAGTGCGACCAGCCACCCGCGTGGCATTCGCCACGACCCAGCTGGGTTCACAGACAGGAGCTGCCTCCTCCCACTGCAGGCGGGTGACCCAAGGCCCCCACTGCCCTATACCTGCCCAGATCGCGGGGCACTCGGGCTCCGCAGCTCTCTGGCCGCGCTCGGGGTCCGGGGAGCCGGGCTGCGGCTGGGGGGCCTGGAGGATGAGGGCGAAGACTCGAGCTGGACTGCGGAGAGGGTGCCGGCGCGGGCCGGGCTTGGGGGGAGGACACGACCGGGCCTCCGCCCCCGGATACCGCACGCGCCGATATAGAGGGGCCGGCCCCCGGCCCCGGCGCGGCGGGTTGGCGCAGGGCGGGGTGGCGGCTGAGGGGCCCGGGTCCCAGGTGCGCCTCGGAGCGGCCCCGGCGGCGGTGCGGGGGGGAACAGGGAGGCAGGATGGGGGGCGGGGAGGCGGGAGGGGGGAGCCGAGGCCCCCGCGCCGCCAGCCCCGCGCCCCCGCCTCCCCGTCCCCGGCCCGAGCGGCCGTCATCGCGGGCGGGCGGCGCTGCGCCCGGGTGCGGCTCCTCGCCGGCGGCGGCGGCGCGGCCGAGAGGTGCGGGCTCCGCGCGGGCGGGACGCGGGGCGCTGCTCGCAGGAGCGACCAGGTGGGCGCCGGGCCGACCGCAGCCGCCGTCGCGCCCCCTCTCGCGTCCCGGGCCCTGGCTCTTCGCGCTTCCCTCCTCCGGACTTCGCCTCTCCGCCCGAGGTCGCTCCCTCGCCTCGGGCTCGGCTTCCCGGAGCCCGCCGACCCCCGCCCGAGGTCTCCCCGCCCGACGTCCCGGTGGCAGCGGCGGCTCGGGCTGCGCCTCCCGTTGCCGTCGCTGCTGCGGCTTTGTCTCCCCCGGGGAGGGGGTCCCGGCGGCTCTGCGTTTTCGGGCTCTCGGTCCCGGCGCCGTCGTTTTCCGCCTCCTGCGGCCCGGGCCCCCGTCTGGGTCCGACCCTGCGGGGCCTCGCCTTGGCGCTTGGGCTCCTGCCCGGCAGGTTTCCGCGCGTCCCCTGTCCCCGACCCTCGGGCTGGGCGCTTCCGCCTCCAGGTTTTCTCTCCGTGTTTCTGTAGCTCCCCGGCCTCGTCTCTCCGGGGCTCCTCTCGTCTCGGCGTCTCTGTCTGTCGTCTATCGTTGTGTCTCTGGCTCTGCGTCAGTCTCTCTTGGGTTTTCTCTTCGGGCCTCCGCTGTCTCTCCGAGTCTCTGATCCAATCCCCCACCCCTCGTTTCTCTCTCTCTCTCTCTCTCTCGTCTCTCTCTCTCTCTCTCTCTCTCTCTGTCTCCCTGTCTCTCTCCATCCCTCCCTGTGTCTCGTCCCCGCCGGGTTCTCTCTAGCTGGGCGTCTCAGTGTCTGTGTCTCTGGCACTCTCGGACTGGCCTCGTGTCTGCGCCCGGTGGCGTCGGTCGTTGTCTCTCGCCAGAGTTTCTTCCCATCTCTGGCTCCCCCGGACTCTGTCTCTGCCTCCTTCGTCTCTGTCGGGTTCCCAGAACACCCGGGCCGGGCGCCCCAGCGCTCCTGGGTCCCCTGGCGTCTTCCCCGCGGCTGAGCCCATCTCTTTTTCTCAGAATCGGGGTTTTGTTCTCAGACAAACGAATCCCAATCGAAGCGCATCGAACCCGAGGGCCCCAGATCGGGCGCGACGGGGTCCGCGCGGGAGGAGCCCCCCGGACGGGGCGGGAGCGTGGGGCCTGGCAGGGGAAGGCCGGGCGCGGGGACTGCACCGGACCCACCCCGGGACGCTGCGCGGGGCGCTCGGTGGGTGCCGGCGGCAGCGCCTGGGCACAGAGAGGGGATTACGCGACGGGCCGGCGACAGCGGCTGGGGCGGCGGCCGCGGGGACCCCAGGCTGCCGGTCTCCGCCGGCCCTCCCTGACCCGCTGTCCCTCCGCAGGCGGACGCCGCGGGCATGGACTATTCGTACGACGAGGACCTGGACGAGCTGTGCCCCGTGTGCGGGGACAAGGTGTCCGGCTACCACTACGGACTGCTCACGTGTGAGAGCTGCAAGGTGAGCGGCGAGCGCGCGGCAGGGGTGCGGCAGACGGGCGCTGCGGGGCCTCGCTGACTCTCAGCTCCCGCAGGGCTTCTTCAAGCGCACGGTGCAGAACAACAAGCACTACACGTGCACCGAGAGCCAGAGCTGCAAGATCGACAAGACGCAGCGCAAGCGCTGTCCCTTCTGCCGCTTCCAGAAATGCCTGACGGTGGGGATGCGCCTGGAAGGTGCGCGCCGCGCGGGCCTCGACCCCTGACCCCCCACAGCCTGAGGGGGTAGGGGGTGGGGGTGGGAGAGGGGCTGAGGGGATAGTACCATTGGCCTTCGCGAAGGCCCCTCGTGCGACATTAGGGCCCAGTCGCTGCAAGAGAACCGGGCGCTGGCGCTGGGTGGGCCTCGGGCGGGGAAGGGACGCTGGCAAGGCCAGCCTGGGTTGGGCTGAGAAGTATCCAAAAGTGAACCCTATGGAGATGACTCTTTCCCCAGCCCCTGCCAGGGCCCCAGCACAGGGTCGGCAGAGCTCCTCCCTCTGTGAGGAGGTCCCCATGCCCCCAAAATACCCAACCCCAGCCAGCAGAGGCCAAGTCCCAGTGCCCGCACTGTCAGTCAGGCTGGGTGACATTGGGCAAAATCCTTAACCTCTCTAAACCGCAGATTTCCCATGTGAAACATGGGCTTGGCCGGATGGAGCGGCTCATGCCTGTAATTCCAGCATTTGGGAGGCTGAGGCAAGAGGATCACTTGAGCCCAGAAGTTTAAGACCAGCCTGGGCAACATGGAGAAACCTTGTATCTATAAAATATAAAAAAGTAGCTGGGCGTGGTGACATGTGCCTGTAGTCCTAGCTACTCAGGAGGCTGAGGTGGGGGGATCACTTGAGCCTGGAAAGTCGAGGCTGCAGTGAGCTATGATCACACCACTCCACTCCAGCCTGGGCGAGAGGGAAACCCTGTCTCAAAAAATAAGTACATAAAAATAAAAAAGAAAGAAAAGAAAAGGCAGAAAGAGAAAGAAAGAAAAGAAAAATGGGCTTAACGGCAGCGCCTTCCTCCAGTGAGTGAGTGTGGGGATCGGTGCAGGCAAGCTGAAGGTGCCTAGGCGTTCATTGCCGCAGGTTAGCTGTCAAGCCCATCACGCTTTCCATTAGGATCTGCCCACCACCACCGCCCAGCCCCCACACATTCAGCTGCCCATCTGCTTGTCTGTCCGTCCATCCAAAGGGCTCTCTGGTTTATTGGCTCAGCCAGTGAGATTCCTTCCCGTCATGTTCTTAGCCAGGCCCTGAGGGGGCCGGGCAGTGGGGGACAATTGAATTGCCCCCAAGAAACCCAGGCCCCTCTTTGCCTCCCTACCCTCAACCCCAGCTCTCAGCCCAGAGAGGAGGAGGTAAGTTTTGGCAGGAAAGATTTGAGCTTCTGGAGGTGGCCGGTCACTGGACTGTGTGCTGAACAGGCAGTGGTTGATTAAGGTCTTGGAACAGTGTAGAAAGCCCCAGGTGGCTCTGAGAGTGGTGGACCACATGCCCTGCCACCTGGAGAAAGGACTCCTGGATGGGAGAGGGGACATCCTGTCCTGTCCCCAGAGCCCATGCCCCTAGTGCCAGGTCCCAAGGGGCCAGATAGCTGGCTGTTGTGGGCAGTAGAAACTCCCGTGCAGCCTGCGAGCAGCACAGCGCTGCCCACCCCAGGGGGCAGGAAGATTGGCCAGGCAGCCCCCCAGCCATCATCCCTGCTGAGCACCACCACCCCCTCTCTCCTGCTCTTTCCCCTCGCCCAGATCCCAGGGTGGGGCCCTGTCTGAGCAGGGGCGGGGGGCACACTCCAGCTGCAGAGATGTACCTGTTGGGTCTGGCTGATGACACATTCCTCGCCAGGCGGAGGAGCTTCTAGTCGGCAAGAGAGGTCCCCTCCCCCAGCATAGAGCCTTGGCCAGCTCTAAACTTGGCTTCACATTCGCAGCCAGTGAAGGATACTTGAGTCATTTTGAAGCAGGAGCTCAACAGTCAGGCAGTCAGTCAACAAACAGCTGGACCCTGGGGCCAGCGGTGAACAAGGCTGACCAGGGTCCCCTTCCGGTCACCATCTCCCTGCCAGGCCTTATGCTAGACACCTGAGCCCAGAACTTAGCCCGCAGGAGCACATGGCATGATCCACTCAGCATGATAAGAGTGGGCAAGGACAGGGCACCTGGGGCAAGGACAGTAGAGCCCGTTTGCATGAATCCAGGAGTGCTTCCTGGAAGTAGTGACATTGAGGCTGGGTGTTCAGCAAGCACAAGAGAAAAAAAAAAGTTTGAGTCAGAAGGAAAATGAAAGGCAGGGTGGAGGAGGAAGGAGATGTGTCAAACAGAGGAGTGGAGGTGAGTTCGGTGGAGTGGAAGGAGAGGGGTCTTAGCAGGGATTGCCTGAAAAGCTGAGCAGGGCCTTGAATGCCAGGCAAAGGAGACTGACTTCCCCTGTGGTCAGTGGGAGCCATGAAAGGGTGTTGAGCAGGGGAGAGAGCGGTCAGATTTGTTTGGAAAGGATCTGTGGTGGGGCAGCATGGAAGGGGGCTTAGAGAGGGTGAGTCTGACCCTCTGCCCCTGCCCACAGCCGTGCGCGCTGACCGTATGAGGGGTGGCCGGAACAAGTTTGGGCCGATGTACAAGCGGGACCGGGCCCTGAAACAGCAGAAGAAGGCACAGATTCGGGCCAATGGCTTCAAGCTGGAGACAGGGCCCCCGATGGGGGTGCCCCCGCCGCCCCCTCCCGCACCGGACTACGTGCTGCCTCCCAGCCTGCATGGGCCTGAGCCCAAGGGCCTGGCCGCCGGTCCACCTGCTGGGCCACTGGGCGACTTTGGGGCCCCAGCACTGCCCATGGCCGTGCCCGGTGCCCACGGGCCACTGGCTGGCTACCTCTACCCTGCCTTTCCTGGCCGTGCCATCAAGTCTGAGTACCCGGAGCCTTATGCCAGCCCCCCACAGCCTGGGCTGCCGTACGGCTACCCAGAGCCCTTCTCTGGAGGGCCCAACGTGCCTGAGCTCATCCTGCAGCTGCTGCAGCTGGAGCCGGATGAGGACCAGGTGCGGGCCCGCATCTTGGGCTGCCTGCAGGAGCCCACCAAAAGCCGCCCCGACCAGCCGGCGGCCTTCGGCCTCCTGTGCAGAATGGCCGACCAGACCTTCATCTCCATCGTGGACTGGGCACGCAGGTGCATGGTCTTCAAGGAGCTGGAGGTGAGTCTCTCCTCCCGCCCGGCTGGCCCTGCATCATGGTCCTCCCGGCTGCCCAAGCCTTAGCCCGACTGTCCTTTGGATAGGGCCATCCTTCCCACTGGCTTCAGGCAGTACCTGGGGACCCGGAGGCCACCCTGGGGACATTAAGGAGCATTTCCACTTATCACAGCCTCCTGGGTCCCCGCTCCCTCCCTCTCCTTCTCTCCTCCTTGAGCCTCTGCTCAAGGAGCCACTGCTGCTTTGATCTCTGCCTCTGTCTCTTCCTACTGTGTCTCTCCCTTGCATGTTGTCTCTCTGCTTCTTGGTGTCTCTGCAACCCCTTCAGCCTCTGGGGTTCCCTATTCTGGGGCTCTCTCAGTACTCATTTCCCTCATTCTCTGAGACCCTGGGCTCCCTCAAAGGACTAGCTGAGTCCTTGGGAGACTGTCTTGCCTCCCCAGGCTTCAGCCTAGTGTTGGGAAGGGGGTCCGGCCCATCCTGTCCTCCCATTCAGGGAGGCTGGCAAGGATTGGCAGTGTCACACACAGATGGGGGCTCTTAGTGTTTTAGAGTTTGGGGCATTTGTGGGCCATTCTCCTTCCCAGCTAAGGTGAAAGATCCTCCTGCCTCTGCAAATCTTGCGTATGCTGGATGGTCATGTGCATGTGTGTGGGTGTTCAGGAAGCTAGATAGGTAGGTGGGTGGGGGATTCCAGGGTCTGCCACTGATCTTCCCTGGCGAGGCAGCCTTCCTCTATGGCATGGCCTTCTTTCCCCCTGGGTCGAGGTACCTGATGCTACAGTAATCAGGAAAGCAGCAGGAGAAACTGAGGCTAGACATAGGAAAGAACTTCCCAGTCTTCCCACCTAGTGGCTTGAAGAGCCTGAGGCCCCAGAACTGCCCCTCCAGTGCCCTGGCTCTCTGAGACCTCCCTAGAGGCCCCTCCAGCTGACCAAGGCCTGCCCCTCCCTGGCCTGGGTTCAGGCACTCTTTCACCCAGGGCTATTGGTGTTTAGCTTTCCCAGGCTGACCCCCTGGCTGTTCTGGGGCTGGGTGTAAACAGCAGGGCCCGTTGCCCCCACTGCTGGGGCCACTGCAGCCTTGAGCAGCATTGTCAATGCTGACGCCACTCGGGCCTGGGCTTCCTCCAGGGGCATGAGGCCGGATGGGCTGGGGGCACTGCCTGCCCTGGCTGGTAGGTGGGGGTGGGTGCTCCGAGCCCTAGGGGCATCGCGGGACTGGGGCCTGGGCCATCTGGGAGTCGAGGATTGATGGTGGTGGCTACGGCTTCCACCGTGGAGCGCCTGTCATGGCTGAGGCCTGGGGATGTACCATGTGTCTGTCATGGGGTGGGTTTCTCACCCCAGCCCCTTCTCAACACTGCCCGCCTCTCTGGTCCGACCTAATGGATGAGGCAAAAGGCAGGGTCTTGAATACTCCCACCTGCCTTCTGCTCATGGCTGGAGGCCCTGGTGGGGATGAGGACCCCAAGCATCTTGGGTTGGTTGCTAGCTTCCCTCCAGACTTCCCATGCACCCCCCGTGCAGAGGGGAGGAGGAGCAGGGCATTCCCGGCCTTCCAGAACCCTGGATTGAGGGGCAGGGCACTTCCTCTGGCTGCCTTCCTAGTCTCCCGGGGATTTTCACGCAGGATGGGAAGGGCTTTTGTCCCAGCTTTGCTGAGTGTTTTTTCCTGCTTCTGGCTTCTCCGTGGTCCAAACCTTCCTGCTTCCCCTTCTCAAAGTCTTTGAATTGAGCCCGGGATTATGAGCAGTGGTCACCAGCTTCTCTAAAGGGGCCTTGCAGATAAGTACCAGCCCAGCCCTTAGAGCGCCTCTCGTAAGCCATGTGGAAGTTCTTTTCCACTGGTCCAGTGGACCCTGGGCTGGTGTCTCTTTGCAAAGTCCAGAGGTGAGGAGACAGAAAAGTGGGAGGGGTGTGGGTGACTCCGGCGTCTCTTCTAGCTGATCATTCATTTCCCCACCTCCAGACAGGACACATCTTAGCAGACAGAAGAGGGGGCTCTCTGGCTCTGAGAGTGGAGCAGCCCTTGGGCTGGACACTGGGGACATTAAAATCATCTGGACCCAGGAAGCTGCCAGCCTGGAGGAGAAGTCAGACATGCACTTAGATAATGCCAGTGCGAGGTGCCCAGGGCTCTGAGAGCCACGGAAGGGGCAGAGGGGACCCTGGGGGGAGAGCAAACAGCTCTAACTAAGGAAGTCGGAGAACAGTTCTGTGCCTTTCTAGAAAGTAGAGAAGGTTCAGGGAATTCCAGGCAGTGGGCACAGCAGAGGCGAAGGTCCCGAAATGTGAAGAGGCATCGTGTTCCGGGAGTTCCAATGGGCCTGTGAAGCAGGGCTGGAGAGGTTGGCAGGGCCAGAGCAGAGCCTGGAGCAGGAGTGGGTCCTTGGGCAGTGGGTGATGGATGGCTGCGGGGCTGGCTGGGGCTCCAGGTTCCGGGTCAGGGAGGGGCTCCCCTGACAGAGCTTGGGCTCTGAGCAGAGGCCCACTCAGCCCTCTGATGCTGATGACATCTTGCTGCTCGGGAGGAGTCCTGGAGTCTCAGCTGAGCTCTCAGGGGTGCCAGGGGCCCAGTTGTGTCCGATGCTGAGCTCCAAATGCCCTCTTGGGGTCTTCCTCCCCCATCTTCTTTCCCAGCTGGTATGGGGGTCCCTCCGTCTCCATGTTTCCATCTCACACCAATCCCAGCATGGTAGATTCGATAGTAGCACAGAAGTGAATATCAAAGACTAGAATCAGAGAGGCCTGTTGTCAAGTTCCAGCTCTGTCACTTACATGCTGTATGATTTTGGGCAAGTGACTTCACTCCTCCGGGCCTCAGTTTCCTCGTCTTGAAAATGGGAGGAGTTGAAATAATGTCCACCCCATTGGATTGTGGTAAAGGGTTAGTGAGTAAGGACAGGGGAAGAACTGAGCGCGGGCAGTTTCGGAAGTGGGGTCGCAGCACCCTTCCTCTCTTCCCCTTAGCTACACTGTTTAATCGACGCCTGCAGGCTTATGCAGGCCTTGGCGGGGAGGCAGCAGGGAGAGACACATTGGACCCAAGCTCCTCTGAGCACACGATTGTTCTGGGACCGTCTGAGGGTCACTTTGTCCTGCGCTTATAAAGCAACTTTTTCCCTGTGAGGTGGAAGAAACTCACCTGTACCTGCTGCTTGGTGGGCAGCAGTGCCCAGGGCCCAGGCAGTCAGCCTCTCGTCACTTACTGCGAAGGACAGGCTGGGAGGATGCAAGGGAGGACCCGGGGGGACGGTGGGGGCCAGGAGTGCCCAGTGACCCATTTTGACATCCGTTCACCCTCAACATCCAGCTCCGAGGCCCCCACTGACAGCAGATTTAACTGCCCAGATAGACGGTTTCATTTAAGCGGCAGTAACTGTCAGTCCTGGGCTGACAAATGACACCTCACTGACCACTCTGCCGGCAGAGCGCAGTGGCCAGCCCGTGGTGTGTCAGCCACCAGAGAATTACACAGCCCACCGGCCTTCACAGCCAGACCAATCGGACCCCAGGGGGCTCCAGAGGGGCCCTGCTGGGAGGGAGGTCAGCTTGGCACCCATAAATACCGGGTCTCTGAGGCAGCCTGCAGAGCGTCAAGGCTCCAGGAAGATTTGTGGCGGTCCGGTGGGAGGGGTGGATGGCTGATGTGCCCAGCAGACAGGCCAGGCTGGTGGGAGACCCAAGGGCTGGGGCTGCAAATGTCATTGTTCCCAGGGCGACAAGGAGGCCTGAGGGTAGAGGAGCCTTTAGCTTAGGGAGGAAACTTCGGAAAGTGAAAACCAACCCTCTCTGGTTAAAGGAACCTCTTAGCCACCTGCTTTCTCATGCAGGGGGGCTGGCAGCTATGGCCCTGTGGTTTTCTTTTAAATAAAAAGAGGTTGTGTGTGTGTGTGTGTGTGTGTGCGCATTCTCATCTGTGTGGGGAGTGTTTTGGAGTTTGGTGTCTTTATGCATCCATCTGTCCACCCAAGGAAAGCAGTGAGTACAAGACCTGCTTGGCCAAGGGGCAGGTGGGATCCCGGCCGGGCAGCATCCACGTAAGAACCAACAGCAGGTCCACCGATTCCCATACATCCCAATGTGTGTTCTTACGTTTTAACCAAAAAAGAGAGAAATTACATTTCCTGCTTCACAAAACAGGAAATTAGGGTGGAGGATGCATGGCCGGATGGGGGCTCGAATGCAGGGCACGGGGCACCAAAGCCTCAGCGACCATATTGTGGCTCTGTGCCCCTGGCACCCCTATCAGCCTCACTGGGCAGGGCTGCCCCATCCAGGGTCTAAGGTCTGGGTACAGAGCCTGCTCCCAGGGCTGGGCCAGCCGGGTCACCGTGACCCATCTGCTTTTGGCCTGAAGCCTTATCTCCTCATTCTACCCCTTATCGCTCCTCCGCCACCTCCCCACCCCCTTGTGTCTTCGTTCTGGGCGCAAGCGTGTCTGCTCCTGTGGGCCTGCGAGGGGCGGGGGGACAAGCCTGGCCCTGCACCACCACCTGGGTGTCTACGGTGGGCCTGAGTTTTTCTTGCTGCCAGTGTGACCCCTGGGCAGGCCCCTCCTTCCCAGGTCTCAGGAGGTTCTCAGGTCCCCAGAAGTCTGGCCGGTAGGAACCTCTGGGCAGAGCCCAGCTGCCTGAAGCCCGAGTGTTGCCTCCGGCAGGCCTCTGTTTCCTTATCTGTAATGTGGGCAGAATGTCGGCAGGGCAGGGGTGAGGTGTCCTGTGCCACACTGGGCGCCGTGCCTGGTGATAGGTGCCCTCTGAGCCTTGGCTCCCTCCTGGAAACCGCGGCTCCATGGGGGCTGGCACTTCCAAGGAGAGATACGGAGAGATGGCCGAGTCAGCCCCTGCCCAGGCCTCAGTCTCTCCGGGACCCTCCCAGTCAGGGCTGAGCCTGGGGGCACACGGCTGATGGTAGGGGCTCTGGGAAGAAAGCTTTGCTGGGAGCTGGAGGGAGCTCTGGACCCAGAGGTGAGGTGTGGATGGAGGGAATGGACACAGACCTCCCTCTTTTCCACCACGTGGGCCCGGAGGTCTGTCTGTGTGCAGTTCCTGACTTCTCCCTCTCCTTTTCTCCCCTTCTGTCTGCCTGAGGACACAGGCCCCAGGGACGCCCCAGGAGAGAAGGGGAACAGAGAGCGGGGTGCTTCTATCTCCTACGAGACAGAGCTGTTCATTAGGCTTGGCCCAGTTCCCCTCTGACTGGGGGCCGCCCCTAGGTGGGGAGCAGTCCCTCTGAGCCTCTGGTCCCAGGTAGAGAGTGGTCTCTGTGTGCCTCTGGCCCCAGGTGGGGAGTGGCCCTTCTGAGCCCCTGGCCCCCAGTGGGGAGTGGTCTCTCTGAGTCTCTGGCCCCAGGTGGTGAGTGGCCCCTCTGAGTCTCTGGCCCCAGGTGGGGAGTGGCCTCTCTGTGTCTCTGGCCCCAGGTGGGCAGTGGTCCCTCTGCTCTCTGTGCTTGTCTTGGGGAGCACCTTGCCAGTCATCAGCCCCTCTGACCACTGCTCTGGGGCCCAGAGAAGAGCTGAACACCAGTTCTGCCTCCCCAGACCTCACAGGTATTGGTGAAGACAGAGGCATTTAACTGATGCCATGAGATGTTGCAGATTCTGCATCCAGAGGGTGGAGAGGGCCTCGAGGAAGGAGAGGGATCAGGTAGAGGATCTGTAGAGGAGGCAAGGAGCCTGTGAGAGACCAGGAACTCCTGGATGGCAAGGAGGGTGAGTGAGAGGTCCTCTTCCACACCTAGTGGTTAAGAGCGCAAATCTGGAACTAGACAGAGCTGTGTGGCCTCTCTGTTCAGTTTCTTCTCTCTATCATGTGGGTGGCGACTATACGAAACTCGCAGGGCTGTAGGGCTGCAGTGGAATGACTGTCAGCTGTCATGGTTTGCATTTGCCATAGGGCACGGCCCAGGAAGGTGCGCCAGAAGTGTCTTTTGGGTCGATGGTGGCCAGCTGGTGAGTGGCACGGGCTGAGAGGGATGGGGCTGTGTCTGCCCAGGCCCATCTGCAGTGCCCAGTGTGCTTCCAAATACCCAGAAGGGCTCGTTTTGTCACAGTGGAGATTGTGGACCGGGAATGCCAGCCGTGGCCCTGGCCTGGCCCTGCCTCTGTGTGATCCCGGGAGAGTCTCTTGCCCTTTCCGGGTGGCGGATTCCTCAGCTGAAAAATAGGGATTGGGGCCAGGGGATCCCTGGCTCTGCTTCTGAGTCCTGCAGAGTCAAAGGACACTCCAAACAGGGGCTGGCCCTGCCCCTGCACCGAGTGTCTCTGGCCGCAGCCTGGGCATTCGGAATCAGCCCCTTGTTGCTGTTCGTTTCTGCTTCATGTGCCAGGCCATTGCCGCCCCCCTGCTCATGCCCTGGGCCTGACCTCAGGCCAGGTGGGACCTCCCTCCTCCTCCTGAGCCTGAGAGCTCTGCGTAGGCCCGGGGGGGAAGCCCTTGGTTTCTCCCTCATGGCTCCTGTTTGAGCAGTTGGGGCTGCCAGAGGTGTGACCGACCACAGGCTTTTAAATGTGGACAAGGTTAAAATTAATAATAACCTTGCCAGGCATTTGTAGGAGTCCTTTGCAGAGCACCTGCATGGACATTAGTCACTAACATGTATGGCATACCTAACATGTACTGGACTGTCCGCTCAGTACTTTGCCCACTTTACAGATGAGAAAACTGAGGCACAGAAAGGTTACCAGGACTTACGTAAAGTCATACAAAAGACAGAGGTGGGGCCTGAAGCCTGGCCCATTCAACCCCCAAACATCCCTTTGTTAACTGGCCAGACCTCTGTTGCACTTTGATAGCCTAGACATCTGGGTAGATGGGCACAGAGAGGTTAGCTTGCCCAGGCTGCACGCCTAGTTGGGTCTCAGTGGGAGGAGAAGGGGTGAGAGGAAGGTCCCTGGACCCTGGCTGGAGCCCGGCCCCCCGCGTGCCTCTTCCTTCCAGGTGGCCGACCAGATGACGCTGCTGCAGAACTGCTGGAGCGAGCTGCTGGTGTTCGACCACATCTACCGCCAGGTCCAGCACGGCAAGGAGGGCAGCATCCTGCTGGTCACCGGGCAGGAGGTGACCAGTCCCTCGGCCCCGCCCCTGGGCCCCGCCCTGGCCCCGCTGTGCACTTCCAGGATTCAGGGCCCCGGAGAGGAGGACCCAGGCCTCTCGGGGCTGGCTCTGGGCACCCTAATTATCAGCCCTTTCCCCACGTTCATGGAACACCCACTGGCCCAAACCCTCTGTGAGCAGCCCTGGCCCAGGCTTGAGAGGCGCCGGCCCCTGGGAGCCCTGCTCTTGGGGAGCAGCTCAGGGGGTGTGGGCATGGTGAGGAGAGGCTCATGGAGGAGGAGGTGATGGTGGCCCTGGGTCTGGAAATAACACACTGGAGTTGGCTGGGGAATGAGGGATGAGGGGGGCAGTCCCCACGTCTACCGCAGGCTCAGAGAGGGTGGAAGTGTGGAGCCCCCGGGCCCTGCTGGTGCCGGTGTGGGGGTGGCATGAGGTGAGAGATGAGGGAGGCTAGGGGGTTGCTAGTGCTGGCTTAGCAGGCAAACCTTGCAGGCCCTAAATCTCGAATGAATGAATGAATGAATGAATGGGCAAAGGGCTCCAGAGAGCTCAGAGTCGGAATTTGGGCCCCCTTAGAGCAGGGAATGAGGATCTGGGGAGTAGAAAGTCCAGATGCAGCAGGGGTCCGGGGAGAGCTTTAGGAGGAGGAGGGACATGGCCAGGTGGTATCTGAGGAGGCAGGCGGAGGGGTCAGGATGGGAGGTGGGGGGCCAGGGTGGGGACACGGGGGCACAGCCACGGAGGAAGACTCACCTGGAGAGATGGGCTGTAGGGAAAGAGAGGGAGGGGGGGAGGCAGAGAAGGGGGTTGATGGCCAGGGTCCAGCCTGCTGGCAGGAGTGCCACTCTCAGGTGGGGACACAGGAAGGGCCGTGGGGTCGGTGGGTGCTGTGGGGTGGGGAAGACAGACTCTGCTCCCAGCTCCAGCCCTCCCAGGCCCCCACTGCTCATCTCCAGCTCTCTCCTCGGTGTCACAGGCCATCGGGGCAGGAGGACGGGACGGGCAGCACTGGTCCCAGGGGGGTGTCTTTGGGGCTCCCTGTGAGCGCAGGTGCCTGCAGTCTGCATGAAGTGTGGGTGTCCGCAGGCTGGCTGAGTCTCTGTGGCCATGGGAATGCCTGTTTGTGTGTGTGTGTGTGTGTGCCTGCCTGTGTTTTATTGTGCAAAATCTCCACACACATCAGTGTGTGGGTGTCACTGTCTTCCCATCAACCCGTAAATGTGATCACATACATGGGTGTATGTGTTGCCGTGAGTGTGAGCGTACAAGGGCGGGTGTGGCCGTGTGCACACGTGTGTGCCTTCACTTCACAGAGTGGGCGACCCCATGACTGTGCTCGTGTGTGTGTGTGTGTGACTCTGAGCTGAGCTGTGACCCAGCGTGTAGGTGTGAACATGGGGGCTCTGGGAAGCCATGTGGATGTGTCTGTGTGTCCCCACACAGGCCTGCCCTCCCCAACCCCTCCCCTCCCAGCATGTAGAGGGGCCCCCTGAGCTGCTGGTGCTGCTGGGCCTGGTGCTGGGGTTTGTGTGTGAAGGAGGGGTGGACGCGGGCAGAACGTGGGTGCCTCAGCTCCGGGCTTGGCGGGTTGAGGAGAGCTCGGAAGGGTGGGCCCGGCAGCGTCCCCGGGGCTGTGCAGATGTTACCCGTGCCTGGCTCGGCACCAAGGCTGGGCCCTCCTGACGCCAGCCCATCTGACCTGCACCTCCAATCCATGCCCTCAGCCCTGCATCCCCCATCAGAGAGCCACCTGCCCGGACCCACGTCCTCTGACTGTCCCCCGCCCCGTGCCCTCTGCCCCCAGGTGGAGCTGACCACAGTGGCCACCCAGGCGGGCTCGCTGCTGCACAGCCTGGTGTTGCGGGCGCAGGAGCTGGTGCTGCAGCTGCTTGCGCTGCAGCTGGACCGGCAGGAGTTTGTCTGCCTCAAGTTCATCATCCTCTTCAGCCTGGGTGAGTGCAGCTCCAGTGACAGAGAGGTGGAGACAGCCAGAGGCGGGTGGGTGGGAGGGTGGGTGAGGCTGGAGAGGTAGCCCTGCTGTGGCCAGAGTGGCCACGAAGGAGCCTCGGGGAGAAAGGACCCCTCCCTTACTCATTCAGTGAACAAAGGTCTGAGGGCCCCCGGCCAGGGCCTGGCTCTTAAATGGGGGCTGCTCCCGCTCTGGTGGCCCATGTGACTTTAGGATTTTTATTCCAGGCTCCCATCCTGGGGTCCCTGTTTTCTCTAATCCCTGGATCTAGGGGGCCCCAATTTTGACTGTACCTCCTGGGGGCCTGGACCCCTTTGCTCATGCACACGTGCATCCATTCATTGACTCTACAAACAGGCACCGAGAAATTGCACTGGAGAAGGCACTGGGAATACCGCTGTGAGCAAAAACCCCCCAAGCCCAGCCCTTGTGGTACTGACCTTCTCTAGGGGAGACAGATCATGAGCATAATATGATTAGTAAGACGTAGGTTCCTAACACGATTAGGCAGGCATAGCCAGGAAGGTTGTGACCAGTGCTAAGGAGGAAAAGAAAGCAGAGGAGAGGCAGAGAGCAGGCCTGGCCCAGCCCAGCCCGGCCACCCACCTCACTCCCCAAGCACTTGGGGGGTCTCCTTCCCGTTGCCCTCCTGACCCCAACCCTGCCTGGGCCACTCCAGTCTGCACCCTCACTCCCTGGAAAGCCATCACAAATGCCCTCCCCATGCCCAGAGATGCTGAGGACATAGCTGTCCCTTGCCAATCGTGAAAAGACCTACAGCCTGGGTGGTTAGGGCTGAGACAGAGAGATGGGTGTGGCTTAGGGAACCCTGGGTGGGGAGCAGAGCTCTTTCTGGAAGGCTTCCTGGAAGAGGGGCATCTGAGCAGGGTTTTGGAGGATGAGTAGGAGTTTTCTGGGGGAATGAATTATTTTGCAGTGATGCAGGTGGGATGGGATAGAGATGAGTGAGTGCTTCATCACCTGGAGAGGGGGCAGGATTAAGGTATTGTCTTGGTGGCTGGCATTATAGTCACAGTCTGCGAGGGGCATGCCTGCCAGAGAGAGGGAGGAGTGGGGAGTGGGGAGTGTTGTGGAGGCAGAGGGGATTAACGAAAAGTGGGAAGCCCAGTGCTTGGGTGGGATTGGTGACATCCTCCATGCCATGTGGCTGGGTGCAGTGGGCTGGGTCTCCCGATTCTGGCAGAACAGGCTGGTAACTGGAGGGCTTATCTGCAAGGCCACCTTAAGCCACCTCTCAGGACACCAGCCGGGGCTCTGCAGGGGTCAGCAGGGGACAGCCATTGGGGTGGGGGGCGGGTAGGATCTTGGGCAGCCAGTTAGGAGCTGTGGCCTGAAATCCTTACAGGAGCCTCAGGGACCCAGGCTCGGTTGGCTGCAGCTGGGGAAGCTCCCTCCTACCTCTGCCCGCAACGGCACCTTCCCCGCAGCCTGCCAGGCTCAGCAGACTGGCACAGGATAGAGTCACAGATGTGCGTGGTGGGGGTCTGTGTGGTTGGGGCGTGGAGCCTGCAGGAATTACGTGAACGTCTGTCTCTGCATGCGTGCGTGCTGGCATGTGCAAACGATGAACTTTCATACGCTTGTGGTTTCTGAAGTGTTAGCCTGTGTGAAGAGTTTGTGTGTGACTGGGGATGGACCGGGAGATCTGGGAACATGAGTAATTTGTGGGGAAGGGTGGTGCTTGGAGGCACCTAGAATTGGAGTGTGTGTCCGCGGGAGTCCGGGTGGTTTGTAAGGTGAGAGTTCTTGACCTGGCTGCCATCACAAGGCCACTGGGAGGGCCTTAAGGAGGGGTAGGTGGAGGGTGGGCTATCAGCCAGCAGGCTCCTTTGCCAGGGCTCTGTCTGTCCTTGGGTGTCCCCTGAAGGGCAGGGACATTGTCTTGGCCCCCAGCCCCTCTTCCCACCAAAGCCCTGTGCATAGCTCTGGCGGCTGCCGGGGGTGAATCCAGGACTTCTCCTTCTCTGGGACTTAAGGAAGATGGCAGAGCTGAGCCCTCTTCTCTTGGGTCCAGGTGTGGGCGTGCTCAAAACTGGAAGTGCCCCACCCTCATGTCATGCTGGTCATCAGCCTTTTTTTCCAGATGCAGCAGCTGAGGCCTGAGAGGTGGGAGAGGCTCCAGTGCTGGGCTGGAACAGGCTGAGTTGAGGGGAGAAGGGTGCGTGCGTGCGCACTCGTGCTGTGTGTGTGACAGAAGCAAGGTGGCACAGCGCTTAGGAAAGGGAACTAGGTGGGGATGAGGAGTGGATTCTAAATCTGGTCTCTGGTCTCTTTCTGGCTGTGTGCCCTTGGGCAAGTCACTCCCCTCTCTGAGCTTCTATTTCCCCCATCTGTAGAGTGACCCTCCTAGTAATCCCTAACTTGTTACAAGGATTAAATAAGAGAATTCCCCAAAGTGTCCCAGTGCTTGGCTGACCCCTGGGAAGTGTGTGTCGGAATTGTTTTAATCATAATCACCATTATTAAGTTAATGTGCATATGCGTAAGTGAAAGAATGAAGTGAATGAATGAAGCAGCTCACAGTCTCCATCTGTATCATTGTGTCTGGCACAGTGCCTTATCCTTGGGCACAGGAACATGGGTCTGGCTGATGTGGGTGGGTGAGCCCTGAGCCCAGCAGGCCAGGAACCTGGTGAGGTTGGGGGTGCCAGAGGAGGAACAGGAGGAGATTCCAGGACCCCAGCTGATGGCAAGCAGTGAGAGAGGGATGTAGGGGGCTGCAGAGGCCTTTGGCTGGCCAGTTCCAGGTTGGGAGAGGAACCCCATCAGTTCAGTGTGATCAGGGTTGGGTCAGAGGGGAGAAACCAGCACCACTTGGCTATCCGGGAAGGCTTCCGGGGGGTGGGGGCTCTGAGCTGGGCCTAGCAGTATGAATAGGAGCATTCTGGGTGAAAAAAAAACAAGCAGCACTAATAGCTTTCCAGACTCAAGGAACAGCTTGCACAAAGTTCTGGGGAATCCTGAAAGTTCTGTGTGGCTGCAGGGGTGGGGACGGGGTGGGGAGTAGGCTGGCGAGGGGACAGGAGCTGAGCTGTGCAAAGCCTTGAATGCCGGGGCCTGGTACCTTGAACTTTCCCTTAAGCAGGCAGTAACATGATGAAATTCGCATTTTATCAAGACCCTTCTAAGTGCAGCATGGGAAAAGGATGGCAGGCAGGCAGCCCAGAGCCCTGGCAGAGGCTAGACCTGGGGCTGGGCTGGAGCAGACTCCAGGGTCTGGAGCAGAGGTCTCCTCTCCTGATCCCACCCAGACCACCAGAGCTGGGGCTCCAGGGAAACTGGGACCCGGAGAGGGACCGCCACTTGCCAGCAGACCTCCAGCTGGCGCGCAGGGCGTCCCCCTCGGGGGCGGCTCCGCCCTGGGCCGGACAGCCTGGCCACGAGTGCTTGTGCTCCCCCACCTGCCCCACCGCCCTGCGGCTCACTCAGCGCCTCCTTCGCGCCTGCCTCCGCATAAGGGTGCCATTTGGTGTCTAAATAGCCGTCTCGGGAGGGCGCGGAGGCAGGTAAGGAGGTTTAATTAAAATTAGTGCCTCTCTCCTGGCAATCACGGTATTTATGAAGATGGGCCCGGCTGGCATTGTTCTGCCGAGGACTTAATCGAAGCTTAATGGATTGACCTAACATTCGATTTCCTGACTTCCATTGAGGCGGCGGCAGCAGCATTCCCTTAAGCGTTTGCAATTTACCCACTGCTCCGCGCCAACAAAAGGCGGCCTGAATAGCAGCCCCACTCGAGGGGCCATTGTGCGCGGGGGCGCCTGCCTGAGTTACCGCTATTGGGACAACATTCTTTATGCCTCGCTGGAATGAAAGGATTATTCAAATATTCAATTAAACCATGAAAAGGGGGCTTTTCTGAGAACCTGGGGGCCCCCAGCTCTGCAGAGCTAGCGGGCTGCTCTCCGAGGTGGGGGCTCCATCTCCCAGCTCCCTCCGACCTCCACCTCCGCGAGTGCCGGGAGCTGAGCGGGCTTGGGGGGCGCAGGCTCCTCTCCAACATGCCGGTCTCCAACCTTCGGGCGCCCAGGGCCCAGAGCTGGGCATGCAGATGAGAGCCAGCTCCTTGCCACCCTGTGAGGCAGAGATGAATTTTCCCCTGTTGTGCAGATGACAGGAAACTGCAGCTCAGAGAGGGGAAGTGACTTGCCCAAGGTCACCCAGCTGGTTGTAAAGCCGGGATCTGAACCCCTGACACATGAAGGGGGCGTCTCCAGGTTTGTTTGACCCCGCTCCCGTGTCTGCTGGAAGAACGGTGTGGTGTTCTGTGCGTTGCTGGCACCGTCACATGTGTTATCCGCTGGAATCTTCACAATGATCTCTTTAGAGACTGGGGGTTCAGGGAGGCTTGGGGAAGGGGAGTGACTTGTACAAGGTCTCCAGATGAGGAGGAAGGCAAGTCTAGAGTCCAGAGTAGCCTCTCTGGGGGAATCCTAGAACCCCAGGGGTGGGGGATCTCGGACAGAACTCATGGATGGCATGGGACATAAAGTTATGTCCAATCCCACAGGAACATGCATCCCAGCTTGACCCAGCTCCTGGGCAGGGGGCCCCAGTCCTGCTTGCCTATCATGGGAGACTTGGGCTTTGGTGTCAGAGAGACTTGGGTTTGAATCCAGGCTCTGGCACCTTGTGTGTCTTGAGGGGGCCCTGGTTCCCTGAGCCCTGGGGATGCACTGCCCTGCCTGTCTGGATGTCTGCTGAGATGAACCGAGCTGGGTGCAAGGTGCCTGGGGGGTGCCCGGGAAACTGGGTCTGGGCTTCTGGACTGTAGCCACTGAGGCTCCGTTAGCGACTGTGCTTCCCTCCCCCGGCCCTGTGGCTGACCTCTGGGGGCAGTCGGGGGTTTCCAACCTGCTGAGAGCTGGGAAGCCATAGAACTGCTGGGGGTGGGGGCATCCCTGAAACCTGTCCTCCTTCTGCACCCACCCCCGCACCCCCGCTTCGGTGTCCCTGGCGCAGTGCTGCTGAGAACAGTAAATCCCGGTAAAGCCGAGGCCCTGGTCTTCCCCAGCCCCCTCCCGCCCCTGCCCCTACTGCGGTATCCTGGCCGGTCCTCCCCACTCCAGCTGCTTCCTCCAGGACCCTTTACTGATGTGTGGCCTTGAGCTGGTCCCTGTCCCCCTCCGGACCCCCATTATGAATTGTCAGAAGAGAATGTCAGGAGACTTGCTCAGCCCAGGATGGTGGGGAGCGAAGGCAGATGGGACAGGGATGGGGCCAGCAGGAGCTCAGCTAGGTGACATGACTTCCCATGACCTTTGAATATGTCTGGGGCAGCCCAGGCTAGGGAGTAGGGCTGTTCCATACAGTTGGGCAGGTCATTCACTGCACAAGAGCACCTGGGCCAGGAGGCGTTGGGATGGATATAGCAGCATCTCTCTGGACAACGGGGAACTTCCATGTAATTGGCATAAAGGTGCCTTCAGGGTTAGTGGTGACCCTGGGGAAGTGAGGAAGAAAGTGCTCCTGGCTCGCTTCAGAAGGGAGGGTGAGGAGCCTGGGCTGGGCTGGGAGGATGGAGGCCAGGTCCTGCCGTCCACCCCCGGGCCCAGCTCCGGTTTCCCTAAATCCGACTTTGGACAACACAGGCCTCAGCAGGCGCGCTGGGGGCGGCCAGGGATCAGGGTTGCCAGGAGCGTGGCGCTCTCCTGGTGCAGCGGGTGTTAAGGGGGATTAGGGGGCCAGGGCTGCACATGCTGCCTCTGGACGCCCCCGCAGCTGCAGGGCTGGGGGTGATGGGGTGGAGGAGAAGTGGGTGGATGACCATTTTCTGAGCCACTGGTCACCCCATCCCAGGCAAGGCCAGGCTAGAATTTGAGGCCTGGGGACAGATTCTGTGGGTTCCTGCTGACCCTGTGCCCCCAGGCTGGGCACCTCCTAGAAATGCTGCCCAGGAGCTGAAAGAGGCCTGCAAGCTGTGACAGGAACTTGGGTGACAAGAAACTGACCCTGGCTCTCCCCCTCCAGGGAGGAGGAAGGCTGGTCAAGTCGGGGCGGGGCAGGTAGCATTGCACCTCAGCAGCGGCTGGGATTCGAATCCACGTCTGTCTCACTCCAAAGACATTTTACTTTCTGTCTCTTCACTGCACCTCGGGTGTGGCGGACACATCAGTTGCACTCCTCTGTTCAATCATTGGTGCACGCAGAGCCAAACCCCCTCCACCCCTCCCCAAAGGGAGCCCTTCCTTGATGTTTAATGCGGGTCGTCCTGTTTGCCCCTGTCTTCCCATGGCACGTCTGCTTTGTGTACAAGCTTTATTTATTTATTTATTTATTTATTTATTTAGAGACAGAGTCTTGCTCTGTTGCCCAGGCTGGAATGCAGTGGTGCAATCTCGGCTCACAGCAACCACCACCTCCCGGGTTCACCTGATTCACCAGCCTCAACCTCCCAAGTAGCTGGGATTACAGGTGCGCGCCACCATGCCTCGGTAATTTTTTTTGTATTTTTAGTAGAGATGGGGTTTCACCATGTTGGCCAGGCTGGTCTCGAACTCCTGACCTCAAGTGACCCACCTACCTTGGCCTCCCAAACTACTAGGATGACAGGTGTGAACCACTACGCCCGGCCAACAAGCATTTCTAGTTTATGTACATGGCTGAGCCTTATCGATCTCATCCTGACCTCCCTTCTGTGATTTTTGTTTTCCGCTCAGTCCCAGGCTTTGCCCTGCATTGTGTGGGCTCCCTGACTTCTGCCTATTGCACACGACTCCTTGGGGTGCGGTCACCACGTGGCCATCCAGGCCCCCTCCTTGCCACCATGAGCAGAGATGGCCCCTGACTCATGAGCTTTGGCTTAGGATTTTTTGACTTTACGGTGGTGTAGAAGTTGAAAAACATGCATTCCGCAGAAAGCATGCCTGGAGTACCCATGTAACCCTTCTGTTTTGCGTTTTCAGCATGGTGTTCAGTAAACCCCATGAGATGTTCAACGCTTTATTGTAAAATAGGCTTGCGTCAGGTGATTTTGCCAACTGTAGGGTAATGTGGTCTGAGCACATTTAAGGTAGGCCAGGCTGTGATGTGCAGCAGGTCAGGCATAGTAAATGCCTTCTGACTTACGATATTTTCAGCTTGCGATAGGTTAGCCAGGATGTCAGCGCATCTGCACTCCTGCAGTGAATGTGCATGCTCCCCCATGGCCCCATGAGAGTCCTTCCTGGGGGTACTGGAGCCTGTCTGTTGGTCATAGGGGAGACTAAAAGCACATGCCAGCTGTCCTCTAGAATGGGGCCACCAGTCCTCCTGCATTGCAGCATGAGATGGGATACTCCCACCCACAGTGCGCCTCTGTGGGCGTGGTGCTGATGGGGTGACAGTGGTGATGGTGGCAGAGTGGGGATGCGGATGGCAACGGTCATGGAGATGAGGCATCAGTGATGATGGAGACAAGATGGCTTTGATCGTGCCAGGGGGATGGTGTTGGTTATGGCAGCAATGGTTGGCCATGACGGCGGTGAGAGCAGCTCCCATTGTGATGGCATTATTGTGGTGCCAGCTAACCCAACCCACCGAGCTTCTCACGTGCCAGACACTGTTCTTCAGAGCACTTTCCACACAGCGGCTCCCTAAATTCTCAGGACAAGGTTGTGAAGTTGGTACTGTCGTCACGCCCATTTTACAGATGGGGGACCGAGAGGTTCAATAACTGCCCAGGGATCCTCCCCGAGGGAGGCTGGTGATGGGCTTCATAATTCTTGTTCATTGTGACCACTGTGGTGATGATGATGGCAGTGATGATGGTGACAGGTGACTGTGGTTGGGTGGTTGATGGTGGCGGTGGCCATGTTCATGAAAAACACAGGCATGTGGGTATTGGTGACGATGGTGGTGTTTGTCAACCAGGGTGACAGCAATGGTGATGGCGACACGGTGCCAACGGGGAGACCATGTTGCATGGTTGGTGGCAGCAATGCCCATGTCTTTGATGGTCATAGGGAAGGTGGTATTGGTGATGCTGGTGACGGTGTTGGCCCAGCCCTGATGGGCATGGATGGTGACGCGATGGTGACCGAGAACCTCCCTTTGCAGATTTGAAGTTCCTGAATAACCACATCCTGGTGAAAGACGCTCAGGAGAAGGCCAACGCCGCCCTGCTTGACTACACCCTGTGCCACTACCCGCACTGCGGGGACAAATTCCAGCAGCTGCTGCTGTGCCTGGTGGAGGTGCGGGCCCTGAGCATGCAGGCCAAGGAGTACCTGTACCACAAGCACCTGGGCAACGAGATGCCCCGCAACAACCTGCTCATCGAAATGCTGCAAGCCAAGCAGACTTGAGCCTGGGCCGGGGGCGGGGCCGGGACTGGGGGCGGGACTGGGGGCGGGGCCTGGGCGGGGCCGCAGCCACACCGCTGGCTCCGCATGGTTCATTTTCTGATGCCCACCGAGGAGCCCCAGCCCCGTCCCAGAGGCCGCTGCCCCTGAGTTCTGACACTGTGTGTTTGGGAAGGTGGGTGAGGCTGGGCAGGGCCTGGCGGAGGTGGAGTGGCCACTGGCACTTGCCTGCTGCTTGGAGTGCCCCAAGGAGGTGGCTGTTAACCACCCGCCCCGCCCCCTCCCTGCTCCCAGCTCTCTCTCCTGGAGTCTGAAGCCTGCAGGTCCGGGGAGGAGGTTCGGGATTCCCTGGTGGGCCTCGACGTCCCTTGGATCAGAGGTCATCCCTTCCTCCTCTCCTGGAAACAGACAGGGAGAAGTTGAGCAGGTATCAACTAGGGGAGGAGAGAGGGTCTCCAGTGTTCCCCCCATAGAGACCAGGAGGGAGAGCCTCTGTTTTGTAAACTAAGGATAACCGAGTTTGCTAAATTGAGAGGGGCTATTGGGCCCTAGAGGACACTAGGAGACTGGTTAGGACAAAAAGACCTTCTCCCTAGCCCTTCTACCCCACCTGACCTCTGCAAGAGGGGGCATTGATACATCATCGGGAAAAAACTTTGCTCCAGGCATCACTGATTCCCTCTCCCACCCAAGGAGAACGTTTGGTACAATCGACATCCTAGCCCCACCCAGAGGTGGCCCTCCCAGGCTGGTATTTATCTGCAAGGTTGTAGTCAAGAGGTTTTTCTCCCCGCTTTTTGTTTTTAAGCTTCTAGACACTCCTTGAAATGTGTGTGTGATGGAGGGAAGGGGACAGATTTGAGGACTGAAGCTGGGGCTTGGGGATTGCCACTAAGTACAGCTGACGGTTTCTCCCCGGACACTCGCCTACTAAGTACCCTTGGGGTGGTGCTGGGTCATTACTTCTGAGCCCCAGCCCCAATCCAGAGAAGCGCTGTTGCCCGCCCTCCACCCACTAGGTGAACAGCAGGATGCCCTGTTGGGGGCTTCAGGTCTCTGTGGGTGGGAATGCAAGTGAACTTGGGAGGGGGCACGGGCCTGTAGATCAGGGATAGCGCTGTTGATCCCCTCTCTGTGGCTCCAACCCGTTGGGTCCCTTGCTGCAAACCCATGAAGCTGGCCCTCAGCTCCCTGACCCCCTGTCCTAGGTCATGAAGGACACTCTGCAGGGTGAAGCACCAGGGAGAGGCCTCGGCTGTCTCCTGTCCCCGGCGGGGTGCCTGCTGTCCGTCCCGCTTTCATGTTACTGTTGCAGCTTGTGCTGAGCCTGCCCAGTTGGAGGAGACTGGGCACCCCTGCCTCCTGCCTCCCGCCTCCCGCCACCCTGTCTCAGTACCTCCCCTCCCCGCCCCCTGAAACATGTGCCCCTGCCAAGGCCGGAGACCCACAGCCCTGAAACGAGAAGTGCCCTTAAGGATCACCCCAGCCCCCACAGCCCTGGAATAAATTTCGCAATTAGTTTCCAGCTACCTTTGCCTGTGTACGTTCTGGGGCCAAAGCAGAACGGCCCGGGTGGATTCCGGGTGGTCTAGGTTGGGGCAGCGCTCTGACTTGGATGGAGGTGGCACGCAGACCCTCTTTGCTTCAAAACTCTGAGGAGGCAGGTGGGTGGCGGGGCCGGGTGGGGGGACACCAGGCACTGTTGGGGTTTGGGACCCACCTCATCCCTGGGACCCTGAGGCACTGGGAGGCCAGGGGGATGCTGTAGCCTCTCTGCCTGTTGCATGCTGGCCATGCCAGCTCAGCCCCCATCTTGGGGCAGAAGGAGCAGCCATTTAAGGGGCACCTACTGTGTGCCACCCTCATCTCACTGTCCCCGCAGCAGCCCTGTGAGGCAGGGGTTATACTCTAGGAGGGGAAGGCACTTGCCAAGGGCCCATGAGCCACAGACCTGGGAGACCAGACCCCTCAGAGCCCTGCCCTTTCCTGTCTGCCCCACCACGTCCCTCACAGGTTCCTCCCCAGCCCCACGTGGTGGCGGCAGTGAGCACCGCCGCCATCTGAGGCTTCCTCCACTCCAGGCCCCCTGCTTAGTGCTTCCCGCCTCATCTGGGCACACTGACTGCTCTTTGAAGCCACTTCTGTAGGTTACAGATGAGGAAACTGAGGCACAGAGGGCCCAAGCAGCTTGCCAAAGGTCACACAGCTAAAAGCGGCACAGCCATGGTACAAAGCTCCATCGTCCTGATCCATTTTGACTAACTTGACTAGTTCTTCTCCAGGGTCACCCCCGGCCTCCAGATGCTTCATGCAAATTAGAAAAACGTGTTCCCTCTCAGGTGATGCAGCCCTAGGCACACAGTTTGGCAGTGGCTTTTATGCAAAGAAAAAGGTGTCCCTCTTCTTCTTGGCACCTGCAGATGCCTTAGTTCCTGCCCTGGGCAATGTCCAGTCTTGTAGGCGGAGACTATCTTAAACCAGACTGTAGTCTGATGTGATACTGCATATATGCCTGAGACAGACAAGGTGAGGAAGTGATTGACCCTGCTCCTGGGAGAGATGGGTCTGGGGAACAGGAATACTTTTTAGCAGAGGTGTCATCCAAATTGGGTTTTGAAGGATGCCCAGGAGTTCACCAGCTAGATAGGAGCTGGGGACAGTTCAGGCAGAGGGAACAGTGTGAGCAGAAGGATGGAGGGGTATCAGCCACCGTGTCTGGGGATCTAGGAGAAGTTACTCTGGCTGGAGAGTAAAGAGAGGGTGTGTATAGGGGACAAGAGGGATATGGAATGGAGGGAGGTGGGGGATGGGAAAGGACCCCTTGGTCCCACCTTTGTCCCCTTCCCCACAGCCCATATGATGGGTTTTTGAGGAGACAGGAGCCTGTTGAAGGTGAAGATGCTGAGATGTAGGTGGTCGGGGGGCCACCAAGTGCCCTGCCTGCCTCCTTGCTGCCCCTTCAGCGTCCCGCCCCTCCTGTCCCCGCTGAGGATAGAGTGCCGCACTTGGCCCAGCGTTCCCAGCACAGGGCAGGGGCTCTGCTGGCCCCACGGAGCCATGCTGTCTTCTCTCTGGACTGCCTCCCCAGCCTGGCGCCTTCAAGGCCTTGAACGTCCTCTGGGGCACAGGCTCTGGCCCCCACAGCCCCGAACATCTGTCTCGGGCCACAGCTGACACTCTGAGTGCTTGCTGAGGGCCGTGCCAGGAACCAAGTGCAGGACTGCGCGGACCCCTCACATGACCCGCTGGGTGAGTATGATGTCCCCCATTCGACAGAAGACGGATGGGGCATCGTGAGGCTACGCAGCCATCCTCAGCAAGAAGCACCTGGGCCCTGTACCTGTGTGGGTGGGGCCAGCACCCTGGACAGATTTTGTCCCGGACTCAACCCAGGCAGGGTCCAGCGTGGAAGCTGGAGGCCTCTGGGAGCTGTGCGTGCCTCACTGGGTCTCGGCTGCTTCTCACTCAGCCCTGCCCCACCTCCCGGGAGCTGCTTGGAGGTCCTGGCTATGCTGTGTCACCTGTCACCTGGCCCCAGCAAGATGTGAGCCAGGCTGGCATCGGCAGGACAGTGTTGGCTGCCTGGGTGCCCCCACTCCCAGAGTCTGGGCCCTCATTTCCCTGCCGCCAGCCTTGGGGTCCACCCTGGCACCAGGCCTGGTGCAGAGCCCTCACATCCTTGCTCCCCTCCCTGCTCCGAAACCCATTCTACTGAGAAGAGACCAAGATTCAGAACGACCTTGCCCACAGCCACACAACTGTGGCAGCAGGTCCTGGTTCCATGGTGTGACTTGGAGGTATCCAGACTCACAACTTACCTGTGAGCTGTCTGCCTGGGTGGCCCCCACTCACACCAACCGTCACCCCTGCCCCCTGTGCTACAGGGCCTGGGAGACCCCAGGCCTGAGTGGTATGAGCCTGTGTCCTCCTCTGCACAGCAGGAGTGATGGCGGCTCAGGACTGCGGTGAGGATCCATGACTCTAAGGTGGTAAAGGGCTCAGCACCGTCCAGGGATACAGCAAGCGCTCATAAATGCTGGCTGCGCCTACCCTGATGATGAGGCTGAGGCCCTGGAGTCCCAAAGCCAAGTGGCAGCTTCTCTGGTTTCCTCCCTCCTCCCAGAGGGCCTGGCGTCCCCTCCCTCTGCCCAGGCCAGGACGACTCCCAGAGGACAGGAGAGCCCAACAGTCCTATTTATTACCAGACACGGCAGAGCCCGTTGGAACTTCGGAGCATGGGGGAAGGAGCAGATCACAGATAGGCAAAGACTGGGGGAAAGAGCCTGGGGACCTGGTGGGCTAGGGGAACAGGGGGCTGAGGCCCACAGTCCTTTAGGGAAAGCCAGAGGCTGAGGCCACGGGAGCTGGGGCCGCTGTTGGGGCTCAGGGACTCCCGCTGCGCCGTTCTGGGGTCTGGGGTCCCAGCAGAGCTGAGCTGGGCAGGGTTTGGCGACGAGTTTCCCAGCCACTCTCTAGAAACCTGGTGGGAAAGTGCGCCCTTGGGGCTGGGCTGGCAGAGGATCCTGGTGGAGAACCCGGGGATGGAAGGGCTCTGGGAACTGAGGCTTGGGGAGACCCTGGCCCGTCCTCGCTGTGAGTCTCAGCTTCTCCATCCTCGGAACATCCGCATGCCCTGAGGGCTCCGCGGCCTTTCAGGAGGGGCGGTGGCGGCCCCGCGAAGGACACAGCCCGGCAGCCTCCGCTGCCCCGCGCTTCCAGCTCGGGCCGCTGAGTGGCCCGCGGGGTGGGGTCGGGGCTGGAAGCGGGGGCGTCCGGAGAGCCGGGCCGGGTGGGGGGTCCGGAGGGTGGGGCCCAGGTGGAAGCTGCTCTGTTGCTACGAGCGGCCCTAGCAACGCACCCATTCAGCGGAGACAAAGGCGCCGTCACTTGAGCGCAGAGGCGCCGCCGCTCTCTTGTTCCTGCAGCCGCGGCGCCCGCGGGTGGGGGCGGGGCAGGTGGGGGAGGGGCGCTGGCCCCGGGGGGCGCCTGGGCGGGCCTGTGGGGGGCGCCTCCAGCCCATTCTGCAGAAAGGGAAGCTGAGACTCCCCGGGACCGAGATGCCAGCCGGGGATGGGGGCTGGTCGGGGCCTGGGATCCCACAACCCGGGTTCACGCGGCTCTACGTTTACACCCGCGTGGCTACTGCTGTGCCTGCAGTCCCCCATCTGCGCCAGTGGGGACCTGGCTCTGGCTCTGTGCGGGCTCTGGCTAGCGGCTGCGCCTTTCTGTGCCTCAACTTCCTCATCCGCGCAATGGGTGGAGAAAGGCACCTCCCCCTCCCCCTCTCTGAATCAGAATCACTGGGTGCCTGGGCTGAGCACTGAACCTGCCCCTGGGAGGGGCCTGGTGAACAGCGCTCTTGCCTTCGCTGGAAACAGTCACCTGGCGGAGGCTGAGGCGTGTGGGTTTCAGATGGAGTGCTCCCTCAGGGAGGCGGCCAGCGGTCAGGGTCCGCATGGCTCCCCTGGGCCCGGCTGAGCTCCCCAGGCTTCAGTCCTCTCCCTGAGCCGGAGCTGGGGTGTCCTCACCCTCCCACAGTACCCACCCTGCCACTGCTCAGCCCCCGTCATGCCCCCATCAGCTGTCCAGCTGGTGACCCGCAGCCTTGGAGGAAAGCACTTCTCCCTCAGCGGGTTTGGAAGGCTCTGGATCCTAGGGCATCAGGCCGGGGCCTTCAGAGGGTGACGGGGGGTGCTGGGCTTAGGGGGCAGAAAGAGGGGGAGGACAGAGAAAGGCAGGCTGTGCTCCTTGGCAGCGCCCCCCTGGGCAGAGAGAGGGGAGGACAGAGGGAGGCAGGTTGTGCTCTTGGCAGCGCCCGCTCAGAATAGGGTTCCATGACCTACTCTCTAATGAAGTCCTCCCAAGGGGTACTGCCTGGTCCCCGCCAGGCCCCCAGTGCTCCCAGGGGACCTGTGGAGTGAGGGGAGGGCCTCTGCAATTGCGGGAGGTTGGGCGTATTAATTTGAAATCACTTCCATCCTGGTACGGGGGGCTTAGGGGGTGTCCAGGCCCAAAAAGAAAAGAGGGGACCCCGTGAGGTGGGGACTGTACCTGAAGCTTTGAACGCTGTCAGTTCCACAGCCTGAGGACAGAGGGGCTGTCACGGGGGTGGCCCCCACTCCTTCTGCTGCCCCTTGCCCTGGGGACCCTTGGCTATAGGGGCCTCTGCCAGCTTGCCGCCAGCAGCTCCCCCTCCCTGGGCCCTTCAGCCCAAGAACAGAGAAACAGATCCCCGGGAAGCCCCCACCCCGGCCCTACCCAGGCCCTGTGGCTTCCCGACTTTGCCTGCTGGCTTTGCCAGCCCCCTGGCAGAGCCCTGTGCGGCCCACCCTGTCCCAGCCTCACCTGTCTCTCCGGGTTTGCAATGGAGGAGAATGCTGAGGGAGTTCTAGGGCCATAGGTCCCTAGGGAGGAAAAGGCAAATTTTTGAGAGACGAAGGCAGGAAGCCCTCTCTCTGCTCCCCCATCCTGGGAGTGGGGCCCTCAGGATCAAATACGCTAAGAATCCACTCCAAGGTTTACCTCACAGATTAGTAATGAGGCCCAGAGAGGGAAGGGAACTTGCCCAGGGGCACACAGGAGGTGGCTGGGAGCTAGGATTGGAACCCCTGGCCTGACCTCGAAGTCATTCAACCCATGCCCTGCCTCAGAGCCCCGACCCCATTTACTCACCATCTGCAGGAGTCCCCCAAACCCTTCTGCATGGAACCCCAGGGAAGGTCACCCTGGAGAAGCCCCATGCGTGGGCCAGGCCCCAGAAGCCCGGGTTTCCTGGCAGTGGGGAATGAGTGACAGGACATTGCTCAAGCCGCAGGGCTGCAGAGTTTCCTGGGCCCTGGTTTCCTTTTTTCAGATGGGCTAAAAGGATCTGCTTTTGTCCTCCCAGCTCTGCCTGAGTGCTGGGGAAACTGAGGCACTGGGCGGCACTCCCACCTGGGTGCTGCGAGTACCTCTGAGAGCCACGTGTCTCCGGGGTGGAGCCAAGGCTATGGGGCTCCCTCGGGCTGCCTCCCAGGGGCCTGGGGGCCTCAGGCTGGTCCCCCAGCTGGCAGGGCTGGCACGGGACTTAAAGGAGAGGATATGGGGGCTGGGACCTGGCTCTGGGGGCCTCCCGCCCCCACCCACACCCCCAGTGCCCTGAGCACCTCGGCCACCTTCTTCTCAGCCATCCTCTGCAGGGCGCTCCGCACCTGGGGGAATACTTGGAGGTCAGGCTGGGGACCCTCCCTACCCCTTGGACCCCTCTCCCTGCAGCCGGCACCCCCAGACTCACCTCCTCATTGCAGGCAGCATAAACCAGGAAGATGTACAGCCCCTGAGGACAGACCCAGCGAGTGCCTCAGCCCGGAGCCTCCTACCCCATCCCCCACAGCCTGGCCTTGCCTGGGGTCCCGGCGCCTCCCAGTGGCAGAGACACTTGCAGAGATACCCAGAGACAGGCTGATGGGCACGAAGTCGGCCCTGCCCTCGTGCCCGCCTGCGGAGGAGTAGCTGTGGCATTTAGCAGGCCAGGGGACCAGAAGGGGCTTTGCCCAGTGCAACCCCAGCCTTCAGCTTCTGCTCACCAGGCAGCCTCTGACTCCAGTCCTCTGTGCCCCACGCTGGGCCTGTCCCATCCTCACCGCCTCGCCATGCTATGTGGTGGGGTTGGGAGGGGCACACCTTCCTGAGGCTCCAAGGCCAAGTCAGGTCCTGGGACAACAGCCCTGTGAGTGCCTTCTCACTGTGCCTCTAGCTGAGTGGCCTTCACCTCCCTGAGCCTCTGTCTTTTCATCTGGAAAGGGGAGATGAGGCCGGGACTTGGGTTCTGAGGGGATGGGAGGTGCTGCCTGTGAGGGACTCACACCGTGGCTGGGGAGGAGCTGGCTCTCTCTCCCCACACCGTGGGACCAAGAGGGCCTCACCACCCTCCCTGCACCATCACATTTGGTCTCTCACTTGACCCTAACAGCAGGTCTGTGGTGGGGGTGGATTCATTCTCCCCATTTGATGGAGAGGGACCAGGAGCTGTGGGTGGGGGGCAGAGGAATGGATCCTAAGCTCCAGTGTGGCCCAGCCCTGAGGCTGTCCTGGGATCCCTCCTAGGCAGTGTCACAGGCAGCTGCTTCTGTGCTGCGGCCCAGGCGGGAGGACACAGGTGGGGGCCTGGAATTCCTTGGGGCCTTCCAGCCTCCCAGGGCTGAAAGCTGGAGTCCAAGAGCCTGACTGGTCCCCCTGGTGTCCAGGCACCAACTGAGATGATACCACCACCCCCATTCTCCAAGACAGACCCCAAAGCCTCCCAGGTCTCCAGGCCCAGCCTGATCTTTCTCTGTAGCCTCTGCACTGCCTTCTCCATCCCATTTCCTTCTACCCACTCCTTACCACCCAAAGGCATCTTTCCAAATGCGAACCCAAGAACACCAGCACCTGCCTGACGCCCTGCATGGCTCCCAACTACCCCTGGGACAAAATCTGAGCTCTTTTTTTTTTTTTTTTTTTTTTGAGACAGAGTTTTCACTCTTATTGCCCAGGCTGGAGTGCAATGGCACAATTTCGGCTCACTGCAACCTCCAACTCCTGGGTTCAAGCGATTCTCCTTCCTCAGCCTCCCAAGTAGCTGGGACTACAGGCATGTGCCACCACACCCAGCTAATTTTTTGTATTTAGTAGAGACAGGGTTTCACCATATTGGTCAGGCTGGTCTCGAACTCCTGACCTTAGGTAATCCACCCGCCTCGGCCTCCCAAAGTGCTGGGATTACAGGCGTGAGCCACCACACCTGGCCAAGTCTGAGCTCTTTACAACAGCTTTGAGGACCCCACTCTGTCTGCCCCCCACACTCCCTCCTGCCCCATTTCTCGCCAGCCTTACCCCTCATGTCTCCCCACCATTTGACCCCACCATGCCCCCTCCCCTGGTTTAAAACATTCTTTTCCGCCTCTCCATACAGCCGTCAGGTCTTGGCTGAGAGTGACCCTCTCCAGGTGGCCCATTCTGCCTCCGATGAGTTGTTCCTCTGTCCCCACACTGCCTTGACCAAGGCCCCTTGTCTCTCGGCCTCAGTCATGACACACTGTGGTTGTGTGGCTTTGATGTCTGTCTCTCCCTCAGGCTGAGAATGTCACAGAATTCTTTGGCCCTGGGCATCTCCATGTCCCCCAGCGTGCAGGCCAGCCCTGGCATGGGGAGGTGCTAGGGGAGTGCGTGTTGAACAACTGAACAAAACAAATGAGCTCACACTCGTGGGGCTCCTAGCACGTGCCAGGGATTGTGCGTAGCCTTGGCAAATGTTACGTCAGCTGAACTCCACGATGATCCCATGAGGAGGGTGGGAATCTGATCCCCTTTGGTTAGACGTAGAAACGGAGGCCTGGTGCCACTTCTCCAGGCCTCACAACAAGGCTCTGTCCACCAGGGCAAGTGTGAGCTACGGCTGGTTATAGAAGTGAGGCTTTGCTCTCCCTTGACACAACCCGGCACAGTGGCCAGAAGGACACAAATTACTCCTAGAGAGTGAATGAGGTTGGGCAGAGTCTCATCCCTGAGTCCCAGGCCTCCTCCCTGGTCACTTGGTCACCCTCCTAAAAGTGGGATGTACCTAGCTTATGCCCAAGACTGACGGAGAGTGAGAGAGGGACAGGGATGGAGGTGGAGTGTGAGGGGAAAACACAGAGAGACCTTGGTGGACACAGAGAGACAGGGAGAGACCAAAGGAGAGGTGAAGGGAAAGGCCGGGCCTGGGGAGAGGGACTGACTGAGAGAACAGGGCTCTGAGCCTAAGAGGGTCATGTGACTGTCAGCGGCGGGGCCCAGACCCCACTCCTGCCTTTTGAGCTCCTGCCTAAGGCAGCCTCTCCTTGCCTTCACCGGGTGACCGTCCCAAGGGTAATCTGAGGCTGCTTTAGGCAGAGACAAGAGAGTGTCATGCACAGGGAGATGGAGAGGCAGAGATAAAAAGACTGGTGTCAGAGGGCTGGGTGCGGTGGCTCATGCCTGTAATCCCAGCACTTTGGGAGGCCGAGGCGGGAGGATCACTTGAGGTTAGGAGTTCAAGACCAACCTGGGCAACATGGTGAGACCCCCGTCTCCACTAAAAATAAGAAAATTATCCAGGCGTGGTGGCAGGTGCCTGTAATCCCAGCTACTCAGGAGGCTGAGGCAGGAGAATCGCTTGAACCTGGGAGTCAGAGGTTACAGTGAGCCAAGATCATGCCACTGCACTCCAGCCTGGGCGACAGAGCGAGACTCCATCTCCAAAAAACAAAACAAAACAAAACAAAACAAAAACAAAAACAAAACAAAAACAAAAAACAAACAAAAAACAAACAAACAAACAAACAAAAAAACAAACCAGTGTCAGAGAGACTGAGGAGAGAAGTGGAGAAACATGAAGACATGCCCAGGAAGAGCCAGGTGGGGTCAGTGCCAGAAAAAACATCCATGGCCAGAGGGTGAGAAGGGCACAGGGAGAGGGGGACAGTGACAGAGGGGGAGCCTGAGAGACAGAACCAGAGAAGATTCAGAGATGAAGATTGGGACAGAGAGGAAAGAATGAGAACTGAAGGGAGGGATCTGAGACGGTGCGACGGTGGCATTGCCCCATGGCTGACGGTGGCATTGCCCCATGGCTGACGGTGGCATTGCCCCATGGCTGTGTCTCTGCCCACCCGAGGGGCACAGGTGAGGATGGAGAGCATCAGGAATCCAACCCCCTATGATGTGGAGAGGGGCACCTGGCAAAGAGCTGGAGGAATCGCCATGGCAACAAGATGCCACCACCTGCCCCACCGTGTGACAGGTGGAGAAGCCTCGCCAGGGGCCCAGCCAGACTGAACCCAGCCATGAAGCCCTGGGGGGCGTGGGGCTTGGAAGAGGGCTTCCTGCCTCGTCCCCTCACTGAACACTTCATTTCTTCATCGTGGCCATGGTCTGCCTGCTCTACCAAGGGCAGCTCCACAAATACAGGGGCTTTTTGCTGCCTCTTCTGCTGCTGCGGCCTGGCACCCAGCACAGTGCCTGGCACACACTGGGCGAGCCATGAAGAGCACATGGATGAATGAGTAACTGGGTCCAAGCATGCTCCCAGGGACCAGCCAGGACCCATCTGTGGTCATAGCTGGATGCCCTGTGGCTGAGAACGCAGACTCTGGAGTGGTGCCCCCGCTGCTGCTGCCTCCTGGGGGGCCTTGGGCAAGTGACCTCATGAGGTCTCAGTTTCCCCACTTACAAGGCTTATTGGGAGATACAAATAGGAGCCTGGCCTGGGGCTCAGAGGGAGCACCCAGGCACTGTGAGTGGCTGTTACCACCTTGGCTCTCCTTCTTCAAGGAAAAGATGGAGGGTCCCCAGCTTGGAGGACACATGGACCCTGGGTGGAGTTCGCACCTGACTTCCTGAGCCTGGCACAGTCCAGCCTGGGCCCTTGCCCACCCACCTTTTGGCCCTGAGAGGGACCCGGGCTGGGCAAGCAGGGAGCAGGAGGTGCAGGTGACAGGGAGAGGTGCCTGGGGGGTGGTCCAGGGAGGTCGAGGGAAAACGAGGGGCCAGGAAGGGCCTCCCTGACTCCCAGCACCCAGCCCCCTGGCTGTCACTTCAGTTAATGTTCTGGCCCCCCACAGACCTGCCAATCCCCCGAGAGGGACCTAGTTGGCCCTCTCCCTGTGGTTCTAGCACACAGGCCCCAAGAGACCCGGGAAGCCCGGGCCCTTTCCTGTGGCCTCATGAACTGGCCTCCTCACCAAACCCTCTTCTAAACTGCTATCCCAGCAGGCCGCAGACCCCAAGGGGGAGGTGACTGATGCCCTGTGTCCCCTCCCCAGCTTTCTGGCAAGAACTAAGTGGCTCTGGCACTGGCCAAGGGGCTGGAATTTCTGCCGGACCCTGAGTGTCCAAGCACAGTGAGCCTTAACACCCTCTTTCTGGGTCTCAGCCTTCCCAGCTGGCAGAGGGGCCCCGTGAGCCTCCTGCACGAACCGCTGGTTGATTGGAGGTTGCCTGTTCCCACTGCCACCCTCAAAACCCCTTCTTAGATAGGATGTCCCAGTTGCTGTTGAATGTCTCCCATGATGGAGAGCTCACCCTCCCAGGCCCTGACACCCTAGTCGTCCCCTCTGAGCTTTCGTGCATGTCAGGGCCTAGTCCCAGAAGGTTGGGGCTGGAGGTACCTGGATGGAGTTGAGGCCCACGGCAGCGTAGGCCCAGGCGGGGCTCAGGTGCACCAGGATGC